>NC_000008.11:64677265-65302265 GCF_000001405.40 Homo sapiens | reverse complement strand
GGTTTTGTGGTTAGATACTTCAGAAAGAGAGAAAATGAACCCAAATGCAGTAAGAGATTGTGAGCAAAGAAACCAATCAAACATACTGGCAATCCTAAATGTATATTGGCTAATAAATAGTGGCACTATTCGCTAGTTTGGAGGGGGGTGT
Source organism: Homo sapiens (assembly GCF_000001405.40). Classification (NCBI taxonomy): domain Eukaryota; kingdom Metazoa; phylum Chordata; class Mammalia; order Primates; family Hominidae; genus Homo; species Homo sapiens. Next base: position 65,302,114 of record NC_000008.11, on the reverse strand, counting down.
TAAAATATTAAAATGATGGTTAAGATACTAGATACCAGTAACATGAAAGGTTTGAGCATATAATGTTATTTGGACAGAAGTAGAGACATTTTAAGATGCATGTTTGTTTGGGAGCAGGGTGGAGATGTTTTAAACTTAATACTTTGTTGAAAAAATAACATTAAACATGCATGTTATGTAGGTTTATGTAGGGTAACTTTAAAAAGAAACACCAACTTTGTGATGGTGTTGCCTCCTTAGGAAGAGATTGCCTCTGTGAAGAGCAGGTAGGGAACTTGGGTTTGAGAAAGTGGGTTGTGAGGATGTTACTGTTATCAGAGGCACATGTCATGGACGGGGGCATGGCTTTGGGTCTCAGCTTCCTGGCCTGAATGCCAGCTCTACTCTTGTTATGGGTTGAATTGTGTCCTTCAAAATTCGTATGTTGAAGTCCCCAGCGCCTCAGAATATGACTGTGTATGGAGATACATTTTCAAAAACCTTTAAAAAATTGTATAAATCTAAGGTTTACAATATGGTGTTTTGATATACATATTCATAGTGAAGTGATTACTACAGGCAAGCAAACTAACATATCCATCTCCTCACATAGTAACTGCCTGTCTGTGTGTGCATGGAGTGGGGGTGGGGGTGGTGAGATCACGTGAAATATACCTTCTCAGCAAATTTCAAGTATACAATATGGTATTGCCTAACAATAGTCCTCATGCTGTACATTAGATGTCAAGCCTTAATCATCCTATATAAATGCAGCTTTCTACCCTTTAATCAACAACTCCTCATTTCCCTACCTTCTCCACCTGGTATCATTGTTCTATTCTCTGTTTCTACGTATTTGACTTTTTCAGATTCCACATAGAAGTGAAGTCATTATTTTTCTTTCTGTGTCTGGCTTGTTTCACTAAGCATAATGCCTTCCAGGTTCATCCATGTTGTGGCAAATGATGGAATCTCCTTTTTTTTTTTTTTTTTTTACAAGGTGGAATCATATTCCATTACATACATATCTCATAATTTCTTTTTCATCAGTCAATGGGTATTTAGATTGTTTCCATATCTTGGCTATTGCAAATAAGCTCTACTTAAGTTAGAATGAAGTCATTAAGTTGGGCCTTACTTCAATATGGCTGGAGTCCTTACAAGAAGGGAAGGTTGGGAAGCGGACACGCACAGAGAGAAGGAGATATGAAGTCATGGGGAGAAGATGGCCGTCTATTCACCAAAGAGAGAGGCCTTGGAACTAGCCAACCCAGCTGACACCTTGATCTCAAACTTCTAGCCTCCAGATTGTGAGAAGATAAATTCTGTTGTGTAACAAAGTCTGTGGTATTTTGTTATGGCAGCCCTAGCTGACTAATATAGCCTCTTAAAGCTGTGTGACTTGGCACATGCCTAAAATTCTATACCTCAGATTCCTTTCTGTAAAATTGAGATAATAACAACCTGTCTCATAGGGTTTTGTAAGATTTAATCAAATTAATGTATGTAAAGCAATTGGAATACTGCCAGTACATGGTTAATCCTCAATAAATGTTAGTTATCATTATTTCTTTTATTAAAAATATTAAATGTGACAAACTATTAACACTGATTAATTGTGAGTAGTTGGAATATGAGTATTTGTTATATTATGCTTGGTACTTTTAGGCAATTTTAAACATTATTCTGAGCAAAAGTAAAACTATTCTCTATTATCTACCTCCTATAGGGACTTGATAGCAAATAGAATACTGCAATTGATGTCATGGTAGAGAGTGTATTAACAGCACTATTTATTTGAAGAATATTTTTAAAGCATCCACTATATGTCATATACTAAGCTGATCCTTTGAGTATTATATATTAACCAATTGTCTTTCTCTTTTGAGGGTTTTTTACTACCAAGAAAATTATTTTCAGAACTTATGATCTATTCTACAATTCCATGTCTGCCCACGGCTTGGCACATGGACATTTGTCCAGCAGAGCTTATTACGGACAGACAACCCAAATGCTTTATATCTCTGCTTAGAGAATTTGACGCATGTGCGGTAATGAAGAAAGCTACTTGAGAAGAATTAAAGATTTTGCTAATCAGCTTATTAATTGAATTTATGAAGTCTCCAAATACAAAGGCAAAAGGAGTAGGTGACTGTGAGACCAGAAATGTCTCTGGAAGTCAGAATTAATGATACGCAAGCCAGGGTCCCTTTGTGCTTGAGCCTCATCCAGATGCATCCAGCCATAAAAGAATAATGTGAAAACTCATTAATTGGGAATCCTGTACAACTTCAAAAACGGATCTCCACTGCAAGCGTGAATTTTCTGACAACCTCCTAATGCCTCAAAGTTGTGGGGAAAAGCTTTGTCAAACCTATAACTCACCATGATAGTTCCAGGAAACACCCAGTAGGGCCTGGGAGAAGCTCATCTCATTTAAAAATGTATCCATCATTAAAACACTTCACTTGGTTTTGCTAAAGTCACACTCCCATCCTTATTCCATGTAACTGCTGCCTCCCTGTTGGCTTTTGAACATATTTATTCCTCTTTTGAACATAGTCACACGTTGACACAACAACTGTTACATTGTATCAGCTGCCTGTGATGAAGTGGGGATATTAGCACCATGTCTTCCAGTCTGGCCTTTACCCCATCAGGTAGAAGATTTAAGTGATTAATGTGAATTGATACTGTTAAATTACAACATAGGAAGAGCTGTTAATGATAAGGCATAAACCATGGTTTAAACGATGTCATTTTTTACTGCATATGAACCTCTCTACAAGGAATAGAATACATTGTAAGAAAGTTCCTTAGAAACTCTGGCATTGTGAAAAGAGTCCTGTCTGAGTTGGAAGACATGGATTCTCAGTTTGGCCCCTCACTTTCTAGTTATTTGATCTTGGGTGAGTTCCTCATCTTCCTTGAACCTTGCATTACACATTTGTGCACGGACAATGATAACATTTACTCTGCAGGGTTGGGTGAGGATGAAATGAGATCATTTATATAAAACTACATAGTGCAGTGCCTGGCATAAAGTGAGTCTTAACAAAAGCAGTTTTTGGACTTTTTTTTTTTTTAACAGAAGTTAAACTGATTCTATCGTGTCACATTTTATAAATTCACTTAGTAAACACCTAATGAGTGCCTACTCTTTACTAGGTGCTGTGCTCAGAGCTGGAAATGCAGAGATGAATAATATGAGGTTTTCAGCCTGGTGGGGAGTAAAGACCCAAATCCAAACCTGATGAGTTCTACTGTAGAGACATACAAGCTACAGTGAAAATACAGAGATGTGAGAAATCAATACCTCAGTGCCTGCAGGACCAGGAGTCTTCACAGATGCACAGGCCAAGGTTAGGTCGTGATTCATTCGAGCTGCTACACCAAATTACTATAGACTGGGTGGCTTAACCAGTAAACATTTATTTCTCACAGTTCTGGATGCTGGAAAGTCCAGGATCAAGGCACCAACAGATCCATTGTCTGCTGGGGGCCCACCTTCTGGCTTGCAGATGGCTGTCTTCTCCTTGTCTCCTCACATATATTCGGTCAATAGTAGGTTAGGTCTTGTTAAATTGAGTTTATCATGAGGACAAGAGAATAAAGGATACACAAGGCACCACTGCAGTGCAGGGGCATGGGAGTACAGACCAGATTGTCACGCTTGGGAAACTGCAAGTGGCCAAGCGTTCTGTTGTGGCCGAAGCATATTGTACCATTAGCCTCTGGTGGTCAGTGGGCTGGGGACCAGGCTGTAAAGTTAGGCAGGATCCAATCAGAAGGGTGTGTGTGTGTGTGTGTGTGTGTGTGTGTGTGTGCCCAAGCATGCACCCCTGTGCCTGCCTCTGCAGCAATGGTGCCCTCTGGCACCGTCAGCTGAACTCACAGTCTGTTCCCTTGGCTGGTCAGGGCCTGGGGCTCCCCGCTGCTGATGCAGGCCCACTGCCCCACTCGCTCTTCTCCTGAGGTTTGCCTTCCCTCCCCTTCAGTCCCTGGCCTGCTCATCTTCCTAGCACTCCTCTCCAAAAGCTTATCAGACAGCACCATCTGCTAACTTCTGGCTAACTCCACAGGGCACAGCAGCTGAGGGCAGCCATGAGAACTAAAGCAGGCCTTTCCCCATGTTGTTACCCCATGGGGCAGCTTCCTCTTGAAGTCTTAAACAGGAAACAAGCAGGAAATCTTCTCTGCTTCTGCTTTTTGCCTTTACTAACCAGGGTGCCATCGGGGGTGAGACAGGTCACGTTTGAATTGCCCCTCCTCTAGGCTCCTTTTCCTGTCTCTCCCTCCCACCAACACCCTCCTGGGCTGGAAAAAGTGGAGTTTCTTTTCACCTGTTCTTCTATCTGGAGTTGAGTCCTCTGAGCCATAGCCGTCTTCTCAACCCCAGCCTCATGGAGGGCTGGGATGTGGAACAAAAAAAGGCCTTGCCGTGTGGAACAAAAAAAGGCCGCGCCAATAAGGTCACATCAGTGGGGAAATATTTTTTAACAATACAATAGTGGCCGGGCACCAGCGGCTCATAGTTATAGTCCTAGCACTTTGGGAGGCCAAGGTGGGAAGATCACTTGAGCCTGGGAAATCAAGACCTGCCTGATGCAACATAGAAAGACCCCATCTCTACGAAAAATGAATTATCTGGGTATGGTGGTGTGCACCTGTAGTCCTAGCTACCCAGGAGGCTGAGGTGGGAGGATCGCTTAAGCCCAGGAGTTCAAGTCTGTAGTGAGCTCTGATCATATGACTGCATGCCAGCCTGGATAACAGAGTGAGACCCTGTCTCAAAAACAAACAATACAATACAATACAATACAATACAATACAATACAATACAATACAATACAATACAATACGTTATTATGGGTATGTTAGTGAACCCACATAATTCCATAGCGAATAAAGAGCACCTGCAAGTTTGGCTATATGATAAGGCATAGCCCGGCAGGGGTGTTCAAAGCTCATGTGGCTTAGGAGGGTCACTCAGTTGCCCCCCGCCCCACAACCACTGGAAGAGACTTTTTACTCTTTGCCAATAAGAGCTATTTGGCTGCCTCACCTCCAGAAGCTATGTGGTTTCAGGCACTCCAGCATACAGATGACTGCTCTATCAGTTCAGTGGATGAAGGAGATAAAATTGCACAGGGGTCTTAAAAATAAGAAAATCTCTGATGACTTGTTTTGCAATTTGAAAATGACAGGAGATGTGGGGTTTGCTGGGGATGAGGATTCTGAAATGTTTGTGGTGGTAGCCAGGGATATAAACAATGGGCAACTGACCTATGCTGGCTGCAGGGACAGAAGTGAAGATTGCAAAGTGTCGTCTCATTCTGGCAGCTCTTTAGAGACAAGCATCCCAGACTTCTACAACCCAGGGCCTGGGAGCTAATCTGGATCCCTCCTTTCCTGTGACTTGGTTGTTTAACTCTTCCTTCAATTCTGTGAGATACCCCAATATCCTTCTAGTACATTCCATTTCCTTTTTTATTGCAGCATATTTTAGCCCAAATTGGTTTCTGTTGCTTGCAATCCAAGGAAAAGTAATTAGTGCAAGGTTGTCTGGGAGAAGACTGGGAGAGGGGTTGTAATGCCTTGGCCAGAGGCTCTGATCATGACTGCACTGACATCTGCTCTGTGTCCTGGACCATGTACTTCTATGATAAGGTTAATGTGGAATTTTGTCTAAAGGTGAGATTTTAATATAGGATTTAGAGAAAAATTCAGTGTACTCGGTCTAATGGTGGCCCGTTGAATTTAGCAAGTTCTATTTGAAGTGATTCACCAGTCTGGCATAGGGACATGTGATAGTCTTCAGAGTTTATTTGAAGTAAGTCACCACAAAAGATAATAAATATTTGTGTTGTCTTGGTTTTACTTTCAACCTGAAGTGCCTTAAGCAAAGAAAGCCATGAGAGAGAATAAAGCTGGATACATGCAGGCCATGGAAACGAGTGTTCTCCTTTGCATCTTTCTCTTTCTTTCAATATCTTTCCCTCTTTTTAAGAAATTGTTCATCATGTAAGCACAAAGATTAGATTGCTTTCCTTTGTTACTATGTTTCTTTCCTGAAGTGGAAAAAAGTTTCACAGGACTTTGTATTGCCTCTTATTTTTTAGTTAAACAATTTTGGGGAGTGTATTAGTCTGTTCTCATGCTGCTAATAAAGACATACCCAAGACTGGGTAATTTATAAAGGAAAGAGATTTAATGGACTCACAATTCCACATGGCTTGGGAGGCCTCACAATCATGGCGGAAGGTGAAGGGGAAGCAAGACATGTCTTACATGGCAGCAGGCAAGACAGGGCATGTGCAGGAGAGTTCCCCTTTATAAAACCATCAGATCTTGTGAGGCTTATTTACTATCATGAGAACAACACAGGAAAGACCCGCCCCCATGATTCAATTCCTTCCCATTGGGTCCCTCCCACAATACATGGGGATTATGGGAGCTACACCTCAAGATGAGATTTGGGTGGGGATGCAGCAAACCCATATCAGGGAGAAAGTACCCAGCTTGGGTTAAACAAGATAAAAACCAGGCTAGAATGTTTCCAAATAAATCTCTTCATAATGCAACCTTCTGGTAAAATTTTGTCTTCTCTCTCTCTCTCTTTCGCCTGAAACACGTAGAAGTTATCTCATCCATCTCATCTGTTTCTAGTCAGATCCAGTCAAAGAGCCCTAAAGATACCTTCCAGACTTTCATGAGCAGGTAGGTTCTTTGGATTCAGGTTTACCTTGTGAAAAATCTGAATAGTGGCTGTTTATATTTAGATTAACTTGGGGGATATACTACTCTCTCAAGATCTATACATTTCCAATGAAACTCATATCATATAAGTTGAAAAAAATCACTAGGTGTTTGGCTCTAATTCTCTACTCCCTGCCCCAGTGACCCTGGTCACTTTACAATGGGTTTTAGTAACTTACGCTTTTATTCAGTAATTGTGGTTAATATTGTCATTATTTTATAATCCCAGATGCATGCGAGTTGCTTTGTTTTGTTCTTTCTCAAGTAGCAGGAATTTTCTCCTATGTGATGTGGCTCTTTGGGAAGACTTAAGTAGCTAGAGTTCTTTTGGGTTTTTATACCTTTGTCATGATCTCTTGGTCCTACCTCTGTCGAGGATTTGAGAACATATTTCTCACCAGATGGGTTAGAGGATGTTTGAATGAAGCTCCTCTTGCATTCTCTAGGTATCCTTGAACCTGCATCCTCCAATGGGCACAGGTCCTTAACTCTCTTCTACCTGTGGACAAGTTAGTTTCTGGTCTTTTAGAGATACCTTCTTTGAAAACATTCATCCATAATTTTGGATCGACAGTCTTAATCCTGTGACATGATCATAAGTATCAAAGATCCTGTTACCATTTTTGTGGGGCATAATAACACAGATAGGATTGCTGGTCATCTGACTTCCTAACGTAGATTTTCTGGACTTCTTAACTTGGATTCCACTGGCCCTGACCAACTAGATTGCTTTAGTTATTTCTATCATGCTTGAAAACACTTACGAATATAGCACCTAGTTTTCAGCTGAAATACACTAGGGCTTAGAATGTGTTTTTATGGGTGAACATTTAGTCTCTAGGGAGATTAAAGAACAGACAAGTAAGTTCCATGAGGATAGGAACAGTGTCTGTCTTGTTAAGTTACCATATCCTAAACACTTAGTATTATGTCAGCATATTGGAAGGCATTCATTAAATATCTGTTGAATATATAAATGGCATTAAACAGCCATAGTTCATTCAATGAAAATATATTGCATAGGCTGTATGATTATATTGTTTCTTCTGCCAGTGGTCAGATAAGCCGGGGGTTGATGATGGCTCTCCCTTCTTATTTCTCTGGTCTTTGTTAAGTCAAGTGCAATGTTTGCGATGAAGGGCTGAAAATTGAAATAACTTCTTCCTTCAAGCAGCATTTATTTGGAGCAAGGAAGGAAAGTTCTTAAGAGATTGACATCCTTTTACAAAACCATGATGCTGAATGGCATGAGGTCCAGAGAGACAGTGTTTCTATGGGCTAGTAGAAAAGTGCACTGCGTGCTGTTGCTAGGCAACGGCCCATGCCAGCTTCTCTTGAATGAAGGCCAAGAGAATCAACAGAAACCAATGGGCATATGAGGGAAGAGTTTTCACCCAGAATACCAACTTTTGTGTTCTTTTTGCTATGTAGATACTATAAGTCTTGGTCGGTATTTGATGGGGAGGGGCTCTGTATGTGGCAACCATTTAGCAAATTGTCCCCAAAGCCATTTTGTGAAATTCTGCTTATGGCCAAGTATTAATTATAGGATTTGTGTATAAAATGTAAATTCAAGAAGAAGGAACACATTTCTCTACATAATGTTCCATTTACACCAATATGTAGCCACCCACCTATTTTTTCCTATTTGAATATTCCATTCCATTCCTTTCTCACTTTGGCTACATGCTTCATGCAGAGTAGATCTGCTCTAGACAGCATGTTCAAACTACATTTGCAACTAGAAATTTTTTTCTTTCAGCAGGTGTTCAGGGTGCTGTGGTTTGCCACGGGTAACTTAACAAATCCATTACTTTTGTTGCCTGGAAGCATTCCAGTAGAAGAAATTGTGGCTATGGCTATTACTATGTTGTGAATTGCACCCAAAACTTAGAATCACAGAGTAGCAAGTGTCTGGTCTTAAATCCTATTTTATCCAAACTTTATGCAGAGTTCTGAATGAATCAGGTACTGATTCACTTAAACTATATCACATACCTACTATGTGCTAGACATTTTATTTTCATATATGCAAATTTTGTGTGCATAATCAAGTCACACTAGCACACACATTTATAAACTCTAGTTAAAATGTATCCAAGGTTTATTTCCCGGCTTGCCTTTGCCTTACAGTCAATCCTACAAAGATATTTATTTTTATTTTGAAATATATTGAATGGGATTGACACTGGCGGTTTTGCTGCCATTGGTCATAAAGTTGTGACTTCTAGAGTTGCTTCGAAACCTGCTATTGCAGAGAGAGAGGAAGTCCCAATAAGCAAGTCTTGGGGACTTCTCCCAATCTTTAACCAAAACTCCTGTTTTGATCCTTTTTATATAATGGGGTATCATGTAGGATTTTATTTGAAAAAGAAAATCTGTAAACCTCTGATATAAAACTTTATAACTCAGGACGAATCATGCAGTATTTCTCAAAGGATGGTCCATGTATCTGCGTGGGACACTTGCAGGTTCATATGGATGTTCATTTCAAAAAGCTGAAACTGAGGTGCACCCTTGCCCTCAAGACCTACTGAAACAGATTCCCTGAGAGTTGGGCTTATGAATACACATTTTAAAAAAGTATTCTTATGCACATTAAATAATTTTATATGAAATTCATTTTACTTATAAAGGAATATGTAACATATGTATGGTTAAGGTCTAATAGACCATATGCCTGCTACCCAGAAATAGAAAATTGACAGTTCCTTTGAGGCCTTCTGTATGTCCCTCCAGAAATTCCATCCTCCTCTTTCCTCATTCCTTAAGGAGCCACTGTAATAAATTTTGTGTGAATTATTCTTCTGCTTTTCTTTACTCTTTTCCCCTATATGATTGTATGTTAACCTTAAACAGTTTATTGCTTGGTTTAGCCTGAGTTTGACCTTTAAATAAGTGAAATTACACTCTGAACACTATTTTGTTACATATCTTTTTTTAGGCTTATGAGATTCATCCATGTTGAAATGTATAACTATGGTTTATTCGTTTTTATGTGTATTATAATCCAGGCATGAATATTCCAAAATTTATCCAGTTTTCTATTTATGGACTTTGGTAGTTTTAAGTTTTTGCTCTCACAAACAATGCTGCCATGAATATTCTTATATATACATATAAATATATATATCCTAGTTGTGGAAAATTTATGGGTATATACTTAGAATACATACCAGGGTATCTAACCTAGGTGTAGAATTACTGTGTAATATAGGCAAGTTCAAATCACTAGATGATGCCAATGTTCCTTCAATGTGCTTGTATCAATTATAAAAATATAAGAAATACTGTTGATTTTATGGATTCTAACTAGATTACTACTACACACATTTTCAAGAAAACATGGGAGACAGGGTGGCATGCTTCTGTTTGCATTCATCTTGTCAATGTTTTCTCAAAGAATCCTGTTACTGCCTTCACTGTACATGGTCAGAGGGAAGAACTCAAACATTTAAAGATCTAGAATACAGAAGCTTCTGCTTGAGATCTTTAACATCTTACTTTACGTGTATTATTCTGGTCTTCAGCTCCTCTGTTCATGGGTGAAAATTCATTTTTATAGAAAATTAGTAAAAAGCAAAGGTTGCTTATGGCAACCTTGTGGCAACCTTGTGGCAGTGGCTTGGATTTCTCCGCTCTGAATTCCTGAAAACACTGTAAATCTTAATGGAGTCCATCCTCAAGCTCTACACTGAATAATATGCCCCTTGAAAATTGAGCATTATTAGTGCTTTTATTGAAGAGGATATGGTAGACCTGCCACAAATGTTTTTCTTTTCTCATTTCTTTCTGCCTAATTTCAGACTAAAACACTCAGAAATATTATTAGTTGTCACCATTTCCAATATAGGAAATGTAGGTGATATGTTATTAATCTTCAACCTTTGTCATATTACCTATATTGTAAAGAGAAGGACTATGTACAAATCCTCCCCTCCTTGACAAGGTGCTTACTTGGTTGATAGAGGTATCAGAGGGCTGGCACTAGAACAAAAGCTCTCTCACTTAAGACTCCTTGGGAAGCTCAAACCAAAGGAGGAAGCTGTCCAGTGAACCCTTCAGGGTGCTAGAGAACAAGGCCAGAGGTGTTTCTTCTGAATTGTCACTAAGACAATGAGGTTAGGCAGATAGCGTCAATATAAAAATGCGATTATGTCAGGCAAAGGAAGGAAGAGGGATGCAATTGCAGAAGAATACACAAAAGCTTTCAACTGTCTTGGTAACATTTTATTTCTTAAAAATAACCTTCTTATGATTCTTCTGTAATGAACAATAAATACACGTATTCTTAAAAAGCATACTATCCTGGATTGAGGACTATGAAGAAATAAATAGGAGGAATTAGATTGGTTGCCACTAATATGCCTGCATTTTTCAGTCAGATTTTAGTGGATTTGCTTGGATGAGATGTATGATACTTTGGGGGACAGCAGATTTCCAGATCTAGGAGACAGAATGGGCAAGTAGGATCTTGCGCTGTTAACAATATGTATATGAAGTCTAGCAATATATACTAAACAACAGACTGGATGGAAAAACTCTATTTATAACAAGCAGGGAAAATGCTACAATTTATAAGCTCTAAATGAGTCATCAAGGTTTCTCTTTATGAGGGAAGGCAATATTAACAGCTGTTCTATTGGATTTCATTTGCTCAATTCAATAGGACTATTCTAATGGTTTATTTATTTAATGTTTTACATCTTGTAAATATTTTGGTCTGCTTATATGCATTTAGTTTTCATATTTCAGGTTTATACTTTTGTGATGTAGTGCTTTTGTACATGCTTTCTGGATTCAGGGAAATAGTTGAAGTAGAGTGAAGCTGTATTAAGGACAAGTTGTTGATGAAATGATTATCTGGAATCACGATGCCCTTTTCCTCTCTATCTTCTCATTTCTCTATGACTCCTCCTCAGTTTCTTTAAGTGGCTCCTCTTGTTAGTTGGGATAGACTACATTGTGCCCTGGTCACAAAAATGTCAGTGGCTTAACAGAACAGATATTTATTTCCAGCTCACACTACCAGTGCCATGTGGGTTGACAGGAGACTGTGTGACACACAGTCACTGGGGTCCCAAGCTCAGAGAGACTCCCTCACCTTGTGGTTGAATGACTGAAACACATGGTCACTTCAGTTGCCACAGCAGGAAAGAATATCTGGAGAATCATTTGTGCTGTTCTTCTCAGCCTGAAGGTGACATGTGCCATTTGTATTCATAGTCTATTAGCGGGAACTATTCACCTGCATCTACCTAAATGCAAAGGAGCTGAGAAATGCCTGAAGTGGGAGCAGACCCAGGTGCTCATGGACAGTGGTCATCTGCCATACTTTTCCTCCTCCCCTGGTCCTCTAAATGACTCAAATAACTGGCTGCAATTAGCTAATCTTCTTTATCTCTCCCTCAATTCTCTTGATTGACTCTACTCGTTCTAGTATTTCCTGTTGTATTTAGTACAATGCTTTCTGTTTCTTAGGTGCATAATATTTGTAGAACTCACTTGAATTGTTGCTAGTGGATAGTGTCAGTGCTTCTGATTGCAAAAAGTAAAACTGATAGCTCAGAATTCCAAAACCAATTGAACTGTACATGTTTGAATGTTATGTGGAGAGGCAGTTATGTGGCAAAAGGGGTTAATAAAAAGACAGTAACTTATTGGTGAGGGTAAAGAGAGAGGAAATATTTTGCTCTATTGATTCACTGAAAAAAAAAAAAAGGAAAAAGAAACAACATAAAGTGTAGAAAAGCCATAATCTGAGTATAAAAAGATCTGGATTGGAGTCCTAAATTCCTGAGTGCATTGCTAATTACAGCGTAGCCTTGAGGAAATAACTTCAACTCTCAGTCTCATGCAGCCAACATAAGATGATCACATTTCCACCCTCTTGTAAAACTGCTCTTGTTATTGTATATTTATCTCCATGAGCCTTGGTCAGACCTGCAGCCTCTAGGTCTTCTTTCTCATTTTGTCAGAGTTCGTTATTTGTGGAGGTGGATGTTTGAGATGTTAAGTGTATGGAGGTGGAGGAATTGCTGAGAGGGCAGAGCGGAACTGCTGAAGATAGCATCCATGTGATCTTCCTCACCTGTTCCCAGAGCTGGTAAGTCACTAGGTACATGACTTCACGTATGTGGACACACTTGTAATATTTACACTAAATTGTGGGAGAATGTAGTGTTCCAACTGAGAATTTCAAAATTCTGGGACAGAATTCAACATGGACCGTTGAACACAGACATCATTTCTCTTTCCCTCCCTAAGTCCAGTTGAAGTGACTGAAAATAATGAATAAAAACAAATAATGCCATAACAGTACTGGAAACAAGGAAAATGAATCCATAACAGACTAGATCATTTGAGGAAATACTGGAACATAAAAAATGAATGGGATCAGATGGAGAGCGAATAACAGGGAAAATTTGCCTCCTGGAGATCAGAGCCAGAGTTGACAAGAACATTCTGGGGGAGAGTGAAGCTGAGAAGTAAGACCAGGAGGGTGCATGGGGCAGCGGCCAGGGTATTTATTGAAAAGATTGTAGTCCAAACAGCTGAGCCTACAGGGCCACTCCTCTAAGTTTGTGAACTTACCAAGCATATTGGTGGTGCCTTTAGTGCCAGACTAACATACCATAAATAGACTGACTTGGGTGATCTGCCTGAGAAGGATGTAGGAGTGGGTGTGGGGCTTGAGAAGGAAGTAAAGTTGAGACAAGTCAGGACAGCCACGCCAGACAATAGAAAAGTTAAAAAGAAAGGGCAACTCTACCTAAAAATGAAATACACTATGGTCTCCAGCCATGAGTCAAACCTTCCTTATTTGGTTTCCTGTAGGGCACTCCTTGGAGAAGCTTTCCTGTGGACACAGACACCCACTTGCAGTGTCTATGGTCACCCTGCCTTGAGAAAAGGGGCCTGTCAGAAGTATTGACAACCCCCTTAACTTGTCCATCTAGGATATGACACCACAGATGTAAACTGGCAATGGAGGATCGCTATGCTTTTAATTACAATCATCAGAGAAGATCATAATGCATAAATAGAAAGTTACAATAATCAAAGAAGATCGTGATGTATAAATAGAAAAATCATGATCCTGGAAAAAGAGATAACTCAAAGTAGAGAAAAGAATTTTAAAAACTGAAGATTCTTAGAGATACAAGAAGATGCTGTATTAGTCTATTTTCACACTGCTATAACGAACTACCTGAGACTGGGTCATTTATGAAGAAAAGATGTTTAATTGACTTATAGTTCCACACTACTGGGGAGGCCTCAGGAGACTTACAGTCTTGGTGGAAGGCCAAGGAGAAACAAGGCATGTCTTACATGGTGATGAGAGAGAGCGAGAGCAAAGGGGAAGAGCCACACGCTTATTAAACAACAAGGTCACATGAGAATTCTATCAGGAGAACAGCAAGGGGGAAGTGCAGCCCCATTGATTCAATTACCTCCCAGCAGGCTACCCCCAACACATGGGGATTACAATTCCACATGAAATTTGAGTGGGGATACAGAGCCAAACCATATCAGTCGCACATACATAAATGAGAACAATCTATTATAATAAATGATTATTTAGGAAAAAAAGTAGTTGTGGAAATAAGAATTTCAATACATGACTGAATAAATTAATATTCAATTAATTTCAATAAATGACTGAAAAAATGACTAAATATTAGAAAAATTAGAGTAAAAGTCAAGCTGATGATCTTGACAAAATCAAGGAACTCTCCCAGGATGTAGAGAAAAAGGGCTGTTAAAAAAAGTATATTAAAAAAGGCATGAGATGTAAAAGACTGAAGAGGTTCAGCATCCCTCCCTATAGAGTTTCTACTGGGGATGGGATAATAATGATAACGGTAATACAAATCTTGAAGTCAATTTCACTAAACCAAAGAAAAACTTAAGTATGCTGATAAAAAGTGACACTGAGTTCTGAGAAGGATAAATGAAAATAAATAAATAAATAAATAAATAAATAAATAAATAAATAAATAAAAGTCCTATCACCAAATACAACTTGTGAAAATCGAGAACACTAAAGGGGTAGAAAACATCCTGACTGCTTCCAGAAAGGAGGGAGAGAAAACAAATGAAACCAACCAACCAACCAACCAACCAACCAACCAACCATCCATCCATCCAACCAAACAACCGATCAGACAAACAAAAGCATGTTCCTTGAAAATGCATGAGAATCAATAGAGCACGGAAGATATAAGTACAATTACAGAAATGAATGTTGAAAACCTTGACAATGTAAAACTTAATCTTTTAAGGGAAAAGAAGTGGAATGTAGTTCAAGTTTTAAATTCCTCATCTTTCAATCTAATATTGACGAAATAGGATTTTACATGTGTTCAGTGAAGATAAAAGTGACTATCTCAGAGAAGCAGAATTCGTGAGATAGGGGAGAACTTTTCCTTTTCTTTTTAGAGTTGGGTAATAGTTTTTTTTTTAACCATTTGCAGATATTAATGATTCAAAAAGAATCACCAGGAGGCAGTCTCCTTACACAGAGGTTCAGCCCTTCTGCTCAGTCATGTTTTGTGGCCATGTGCCCTGGTTAGAGCCTCTCCCAGGCCTGAACGGTCAGGTTGGCCTCATGTCCTTGTGGACTAGGAACTTGGGGTGCTTTGCTTACTTCCCTTGTGGAAGTGCATGGTATTTGGAAGAGCAGTGAGTCAAGAGGGAAAAATTGGGGCGCTAACTCACTCGGTTTGTTATTAATAGTTTAACAGTTCAGGCGCAGTGGCTCACGCCTGTAATCCCAGCACTTTGGGAGGCCGAGGCGAGCAGATTGCCTGAGGTCAGGAGTTTGAGACCAGCCTGACCAACATCGTGATACCTTGTCTCTACTAAAAATAACAAAAATTAGCCGGGCGTGGCCTGTAATCCCAGCTACTCGGGAGGCTGAGGAAGGAGAATCACTTGAACCCGGGAGGCGGAGGTTGCAGTGAGCTGAGACGGGGCCTTGGCACTCCATCCAGCCTGGGCAACAAGAGTGAAACTCCGTCTCAAAAAAAAAAAAAATGTTTAACAGTGCAACTTACTAGTCTTTTGGCTCTGCTGCCTCAATTCTTTCATCTGTAAAATAGAGAGGTTGGATTAAATTGGTGAATTTCAAACTGTTTGCAGAGCTCTGAGACTGATGGTGAAGTACTTGGGGAGGCAGCTCCTGAAAATGAGGGGGTCTTAAGGGAGAGCTCAGATTTTCCACTCCCAATCCCACGAAAGCAGTTGTGCTTTGACCTGTTTTAAGCATTGATTTCCATATAAGATCTCATTTGAGTGAAGGGCACTGTGTTAAAAGGGTGTGAATTCCATGGGAGTAGACACTCTCCAGGGTTCTTTTGAGCTCTAAAGTCCTGTAATTCTGAAAAGAACAGCCATGCGCAAAAAGAGTTGTATTGAATATTAATAAACAATCTCTTTTTATTCTCTTTGAAAACAAATTAAGGGATAAAAGGTTCCTTTGTTACAAATACACGTTAGATTTAGGAAGAAAATGTAGGGTTAAGTACAATATCAGATTTTTATTTCAAGTCGTTTTATAAGCATCACTTTTTATATCTGCAAAGTTTTTGTTTATCAAGCTTCCTGATATGCATACAACTCTACTCGCTGGCAAATTTATGGTTTTTTTTCACATCCAAGGAAAAGATATGTAATAGTTTAATTAAATCTCCCCCTACTTACTCTATCATGGTGCTTCTTAACCATACATTTTCCCTTTTTCTGCTGTCTGTGGGATGATAGAAATGACAGAAAGGAGAGATACTGCTTGGGCTGTGCAAATGCCTGGATATAAATTAATCTTAAATTAATCTGGAAAACACTAAATTAAACTAATATTTAATAAGTTTAACTTTTGGGAAGTAAATTGTGATTTGCTCCAGTATTTTAAAGTAGGTGGCTGCAGTAGTGTAGGGTCTGGGCAATCAGACACCTCACTGGCAGCTTCACTGTATTAGAATGCCCTTGGTTAGGATTTCTTTTTGATATTTCTCACTTTCTAAGCTAGAGCAGAAGTCTTTTTTTTTTCCGGTGACATTTATTAATCTTTGCCCTGCTTTTATGTAAATCACCTCTCTACCTAAATTTCATGCTTTCAATCCTTCATGGATCAATCATTTGCTGAGTTCCCACACTGTGCTGGGAGCTGGGATGCTATGGTGAACAATACAGCCAGATACCTGCCCTCCTGGAGCATCAGACTGGTCACCACCCCTGTGACCAGAGAGTACAGGGTGCTAGGAGTGTGCAGAGGAGGGGGCCCCCGCCTGGATCTGGGAGTTAATTTCTGTAACCATGAGGGCCCATCTGCTTGACTCGGAGGTTCCCACAAATACACAAACCACATAGCCCTTCATAATTACTTGGTGCTTAGATTGGTCAAGATCAACAAGAAGATGGACTTTATCTGACTTTCAGAATGAAAGTAGCTGTTATGGTCACTCTGCCAAAGCAGGAGGGAAGGAGGGACCTCCCCTTTGGGACTACCCCAATTTTGTCAGGATGTCAAGACGGATGATGCCACACATACACACACCAAGAAAGAGGGAGTGAAAATATCTTCCTTACACAAAGAAGGGCTTGGGAGAGAGCAGGGCAAGGCTCTCAAGCAGGTCTGGAGTGGCTTGAGAGAGAATCAGTAAAGGAGACTGGCCTGGGGTTCCATCATGGTTGGGGGTGGGGCCAGGTGGAGCTTCCTGAGCCTGGTAGGGGCTTGTGTGGTTTCAATGTTCTGCAGGCACTGAAGGACGGTCCTTTTTTAATCAGCGTGTTCAAATGCACAAAGGGAAGAGGGAGGGGTGGCTTAAAAGCTGTCAGAAGCCAAAGATAAACAATGGAGTCAGATGCCTCATTACAGTGGCCCATCTACTGCCCCAGATGCGCAAACCTTTTCTTTGCCTTGAATTCCAAAACAAATTGCTTACATAAGACTAGGCAGGGAGCTCGCATACCACAGTGGACAATGTTCCTCACCTCGCCTCGATTTTAATAACAGATGCAGTGATGCTGGGCTTGCCTTATTGTGAAACTGCAGCTCAGGAGAGCAAGTCCAAGGGGGACTTCAGTAACAGAGTGCACAGGGGCCAAAGAGTAGACAAGGATGACAGCTGCTGCAGAAGCTTCAGATGGTCTTTTTGTTTGCTTGCTTACATAACTTTAAACAGCAGGATTTTTGATACGAACTGGGTAGCAGATAACATAAAAGTGACTCATTGACAATGTTTGGAGTATTTTGTGTTGTTGATTGAGGGTAAATTCTTACATTATTAATCATAAAGCAGTTAGTGATGTTCACAACATGCTGTGAAAGATTGGGGGATCTAACTATAACTACTTGGTTTTACTAAATTATTGCCAATTAACTCATCTCCCTCCCTCCCTCCCTTTCTTCTTTCCTTCCTTCGTTCCTCCCTCTCTCTGTCACTCCCCTCCCTTCTCCTCCACCTCCCCTCCTTCCCCTCTCCCTTCCTCCCCTTTTCCTCTTCTCCCCTCCCCTACTTCCCCTTTCCTGCCCTTCCCTCCCTTTCTTTTCCCTTTCCTTCCTTTCTTTCTTCATTTTGGTAGGGGATAGTCTAGTATTCCCATATTTCCATCTCCTAATGGAGGTATGGGGGTGTTGGAATACTGGACTGGAAAATAAAATTCTCTGGACACAGGACATTTGCACTTAATACATTGCTTTAAAATTTTTTCCACCTCACTATATGTCAATAACAATTTAGATATGGATTGTTTTACTCTGAATATCTCTAGAACGCCTTCTTTTGGTCAATTTTCCTTGGTCTTTTTATCAATGCTCTGGACATGAACCTACTTTGGAAACAAACCTGCTTTAGTCTATATCCAGCTGGCATGCAAGATGCTGTCTGTTCAGGAGAAAATGATGTGCAAATCAGGGAAAAATAAGGAATGGACATATTTGGGGAAAACATCGAACATCTTTGAAAAGGTGGGCATATTCTCTTCAAATTGTTTAATTAACCCTGAAAAATCAGAGGGGAATTTGCATTGTGAAACATGGAAACAGATGATCTCATTGCCAAGGTTTCTATTATTCCTAACTTTTGGTCAAGTGACATGGCATTTAAAGGGGCTTGTCTGGAGGACTTATTCACTTCTTAATTCAAAAGTTTGCCTTTTCAGACTGACCTCTTACAAGGTAAGAGGAAGCGAACTAGAGGGCCTAGAAGGGTCAGTGTGAGCATACTAATCTTCTTTCAAATATAAAAGAGGAAGGCACCCTGGGTAAGACTTTTTCAACTTTTTTTTCAACAGCAACAGCTTTGGGTCTCCCTGTAGGTGGGGCTGAGTCTCTGTTGCTGCATTTTAAGATGGGCCTTGAAACGGGTTCCTCTGTTACGCCTGGTTTCCTCCTGGCAGAGACATGCAGTGTTGTGTCTCTCTTACCACCAGATCTTTAGCACAATTTTGGCCCATTCCTGAAAGAATTACACAGTCCCAATCAACACACTCTCTTCTTCAGAGATGAATAGCATTATATACTTGCGTATCTGAATAAGCAAGAAATACATGCATGTCTCTTAGTGAGCTTCATTGCCTTTGCAATTTTGTGATTCATGGGATCCCAGGACCTGAAAAGGTGGAAGAAAAGTCTCTCTAGTTCACGTTAATGATACTTGTATTTTTTTGAACACCTAGCACATATAAGACACAGTGCAATATGTTATAAGACATATAGGGAGAAACAAGGCATGATTCCTGCCCTCCAGGGTTTGACAGTCCAGTTGGGATAATGCCACTTGAGTGTGTGTGTGTGCATGTGCGTGTATCAGTCCATTTTCACACTGCTATAACAAACTACCTGAGACTGGGTAATTTATAAGAAAAGAGGTTTAATTGACTCACAGTTCCACAGGCTTCACAGCAAGCACGACTGAGAGGCCTCAGAAAACTTACAATTATGGTGAAAGATGAAGGGGAAGCAAGCACGTCTTACCATGGCAACAGGAGAGTAGGGGGTGGGGGGAACTGACACACACTTTTAAACCATCAGATCTCGTGAGAACTCACTCAGTATCACCAGAACAGCATGTGGGAAACACCCCCCATGATCCAATCACCTTCCACCAGCAACCTCCCTCAACACATGGGGATTACAATTCGTGATGAGATTTGGGTGGGAACACAGAACCAAACCATCTCTCTCTGTGTGTGTGTGTGTGTGTGTGTGTGTGTGTGTTTGTGAGAGGGAGAGAGAGAGAGAGAGAGACAGACAGACAGAGAGAGACCAAGAGACAGAAGGGTAATAGCATAGGCTGAAGCAGCAAGTTAGAGGTGTACAATGCAAATACTCAATAAGGGGAGTATTGAGAATGCTCCAGGATGGCTTAAATAGAAAGGGCAAGAGGAGTGGAGCTGCAAAAAGTATTAGTGACAGGCGTGGAAGGGGGTGTGAGAAAAGAGACGCTCCGGCTAAGACCACTTAAGACTCATCAGACTCTCCCAATGCCAGAAGAGAGAAATTGGATGAGTTTTTAAGATCAAGGAGAAAGGCATATGACCTAAAGCCATCAGACAATATATTACATTTGGGGATTTATGAAAACGTTTGATTAGGATTTATAACAATTACAATTGAGAAGTAAAAGTACAATCAACTTTGGTGAACACTAGGATTGTCTAATATTGGGGTGAGTGATTTTTTTTTAGTATAAAAAGAACGGATCAACTGTACTTGAGGTCCACATACTCAAACCATGTTGGCATGAGAGAGAGAACGGGCAAGTAGTGAATTGGAGGGAGCAGGCCTTTGTGTACACTACATGCCCAAAGAGATATCTGGGAAGTCTTGGGGTCAAGCAGGCTCTATTGACCTATTCATTGTGTGCTTATTAACAAGATGAATCTTTCCTGAAAACCATTGCCTGAACCCAATGCTTCTCTGAAAGGGTGCAAAAAGGGGGAAGTTGTAAGGATCCCTTAACCCTGTCCTTCCACCCTGATAAAACCATTCCTCCAGGAAGCAAAGAGGAGCCAAAGGCTTGCAGATGGAAATAGGTTAAAGTGGATTGCCCTTCGTTGATCATATCAATTAATGACCCAATTATTATACAGCTACTTTGGGCTTCTCATAGCAAAGCACATACAAAGTATTCAAGGACAAGTCAGGGCTTCCTGTGAGTTGAATTTTGCCTTTCAAAAAGATATATTTTAAGATGGGAACAACAGACAATGGTAACTACTAGAAGGGGGAGAAAGGGAGGGGGGTAAGGGCTGAAAAACTACCAATTGGGTGCTATGCTCACCACCTGGGTGATGGGATCATTTATATCCCAAAATCTCAGTGTCACATGATATAACCATGTAACAAACCTGCGCATGTACCCCTGGATCTAAAATAAAAGTTGAAATTATAAAATTTAAAAAAATGCAACCCTTGCCCCTGCTAACAACCAAAAAGACATGTCTTTGCAGAAATAATCAAGTAAAGATGAGGTCATACTGGATTAGAGTGGGCCCCAAATCTGATGACTGAGGCCCTCATAAGGACGTAAAGATTTGGAGACACACAGGGAAGCAGGCTATGTGACCATGGAGGCAGAGATTGGAGCGAGGCAGCTACAAGGTAAAGAATGCCCAGGATTGCTGGCCACCTCCAGAAGCTAGAGGAGGCAAGGAGAGGTTCTTCCCTAGAAACTTCAGATGGAGCATGGCCCTGTTGACACCTTGATTTTGGACTTCTGGACCCCAGGACTTTAATAATAAATTTCTGTTGCCTTAGGCCACTGAGTTTGTTATGGCAGCCACAGGAGACTAATCCAGGGCCTTCATACAGTGTAATGCAGAAGTCAGTTGGTTCCTACATCCTTGGTGCCACACCTGATTCTACCCAGGAGGACCACCTGGGATACAGGACTTCATCCCTTGCCAGTTTCCATAAGCAGTCCCACCACACTGAGCACATTGCTTTCATGAACATTGGGGAGGGCGTCAAAAGGAGGTCACATGGTATCCTACACCAAATTCTATCATTTCCTTTGACTCTCTCTCCCTCCATCTCCCTCCTCTCACTCTCCTACCCACCTTCTCTCAGAAAAAAAGTAAATTCTTTTTCTTTTCTTTTTTTTTCTTGAGACGGAGTTCTGTTCTTATTGCCGAGGCTGGAGTGCAATGGCACGATCTTGGCTCACTGCAACCTCTGCCTCCCGGATTCAGTGATTCTCCTGCCTCAGCCTCCCAAGTAGCTGGGATTACAGGCATGCACCATCATACCCAGCTAATTTTGTACTTTTAGTAGAGACGGGGTTTCTCCATGTTGGCAAGGCTGGTCTTGAACTCCTGACCTCAGGTGATCCGCCCACCTCGGTCTCCCAAAGTGCTAGGATTACAGGCATGAGCCACTGCACCTGGCCAAATTCTTCTTTTATGCAGTAATGGAATCCCTGGTGGTGATGGTTAATATTAAGTGTCAACTTGATTGGATTGAAGGATGCAAAGTATTGTTCTAGGTGTGTCTGTGAGGGTGCTGCCACAGGAGATTAATATTTGAGTCAGGGGACTGGGAGAGGCAGACCTACCCTCAATCTGGATGGGCCCCATCTAATCAGCTGCCAGCGAGGCTAGGATAAAAGCAGGCAGAGAAACATGGAAGGACTAGACTGGCTGAGTCTTCCAGCCTTCATCTTTCTCCCATGCTGGATGCTTCCTGCCCTCGAACATCAGACTCCAAGTTCTTCAGCTTTTGGACACTTGGACTTAAATCAGTGGTTTGCCAGGAGTTCTCAGGCCTTTGGTCCAGATTGAAGGCTGCATTGTCGGCTTTCCTACTTTTGAGGTTTTGGGACTCAAACTGGCTTCCTGGCCCCTCAGCTTGCAGACAGCCTATTGTGGGGCTTCACCTTGTGATCATGTGAGTCAGTACTCCTTAAAAAACTCCCCTTCATATATACATCTATCCTATTAGTCCTGCCCCCTTAGAGAACCCTCTAGAGACTAATACATCTTTGGTACTTGAGTACGCTCTTGATTTTCAAGGTATTTCTTTCTAATATACACAGCTTTCTTTTGGAGGATTCTGGTGGATACATTTTTCTCCTGCCATTACAGCTTTGCCCCTCCCTCATTTAGGAGAGAATAAAGTGGTCCCAGAGAGGCAAAGTGACCTGCCTGCCGTAGTTCACTGAATTGCCAGGGCTTCCCTGTCCTCGCTGATGGTCCCACTGGGGGAATTGATTCCTCCTCCTTTTTCTTTAATTTTGAACAGCCTCAAGCCTCATCTTACCTACCAGCCCTTTCTTGACATCTCCATTCAGCTTTTACCTCCCTACATCTCCAGGGGTCTCATAGCATTTGACTATGCACTGTTAAGTCTAAGTAGTTTCATGTATTTCAGTGGTATCTTCCCACTCCAGATACTGTTATGTGTAAGCTTTTAAGTGAAAAGCTATCTAAGGAAAGGATAAGGAAACTGGGTCTACAACTAAGTCCTGTGTGATCATAGGAAAGTCTTTTAACCTCTGTGTTTCTTGGATTTTTCATAGACATGAAGGTGCTTTAATTATTCAGAAAGTGTTGTTTTGCCATGCCTCACCTAGTCCATACTTAGTGAAGATGGTTGAGTTTACCTTATTCAATGAATTAGGTTTTTGAACATAAGCAGGATAATGGACCATTGAAAATAGTTTCTACATGTGTGCATGCATGGGATTAAATAAAAGTCATAGTTTAAATGCTAGAGTTCCAAATCCTTCTTGGCTTCTTCATCTCTGTGCTGTCCAGAAGTTTATGGATCAAAACACTTTATAAAAGAAATTTATTGATAGAAAAAATGGCTGAAACCAAGGCTTGGAAGTAGGTGGCAGAGAAATAAAGCTCTTCCATTATCTCAGAACATGAACAAAGAGAAGGGAGACTGCATGGCAGGGAAAGGTCTGTCTTGACAACAAACTCCTGACATACGTTAGGCTGGACCCTACACCCTTAAACCAGAGACACTCAGTGACAGTATGTCACTGGTCCACCCAGGGGCATGCAAGAAGGGGTGTATTGTCTGTAGAGAATTCAAAAACAATTATAAAATGGACCATAGGCTGGTCTTCTTTTTTTCTTTTCTTTTTTTTGAGATGGAGTTTTGTTCTTGTTGTCCAGGCTGGAGTGCAATGGCATGATCTCGGCTCACTGCAACCTCTGCCTCGCGGGTTCAAGCGATTCTCCTTCCTCAGCCTCCTTAGTAGCTGGGATTACAGGTGCATGCCACCACACCCAGATAATTTTTGTGTTTTTAGTAGAGACAGGGTTTCACCATATTGGTCAGGCTGGTCTTCAACTCCTGACTGCAGGTAATCCACCTGCCTTGGCCTCCCAAAGTGCTGGGATTACTGGCGTGAGCCACAACGCCTGGCTCGGTCTGCTTTTTATTATCACCATGGACCAGCAATTCTAAATCATGTTAGTGACAAAATACTCTCTGAAAAAATCTTTTGTGATCTAAGTTCTAAATAATTGTGAGTCATTATTGAGTTTAAATAATAGCTAAAGTTTTCATTTCTCTATATATGCCTATAATATTCTCTGTATATGCCTGGGAGTGGAGTTGTGGGGTTGGATGACAACTGTATGTTTAACATTTTAAAGAACTGCCAGTTTGTGATCCAAAGTGGGCACAGACCCATCAACAATGTATGGGGATTCCAGTTTCTCTCCGTCCTCACCCAGAGTTATTTTCTCTCTCCTTTGTTTTCGACATCCTGTTGTGTGTAAAGTGGTGTCTCATTTGTGGTTCTGATCGGCATTTCCCTGACTGATAACATTGAGCTTCTTTTCATAGGGCTGTTGGACATTTGCATATCTTTTTGGGAGGAGTATCCATTCAAATCATTTGTCCATTTTTAAATTGGGTTATTGGTCCTTTTATGGTTGAGTTGTAAGTGTTCCTGATATACTCTGGAAATTAGCTCCTTGTCGTATGTATGATTTGCAGGTATTTTCTCACATTTGGTGGGTTGTCTTTTCACTTTCTTGGTGTTATCATTTGAGGCACAAATTGTTTCCATTTCAATGAAATGGAGTGTATCTTATCTTTTGTCATATATGCTTTTGTTGTCATATCTAAGTAAAACTGCCTAACCCAAAGTCAAAACACAGCTAAATTGGCATATTGTTCTTATTCTTATTAACATGATATTCTACACAGAAGTTAAAGAATTCCTGGTTATACAGTAAGGCCAACACATGTAGACTCTGCAACATGCTCATTTCAGGAGAAATGACTTGAGTTCTCTGGCTTGCCTTGGGTAGAGTTTGTGTGCTGGTCCCTGGGAAAGGGTTAATCAATCATAGATTAGAAATAAGCAGTGAGAGCATTATGATTGCCAAGATGAAGGAAGAGAGCTTGAGTTTAACTCTAACAATCTATGTGGTTTCTTGGAGTTTTTATTTGTACTTACATTTTAAAACAGTAAAACTGAGTGCCAATAACAAGTGTAAGATTTTTGTTGGTAAGGGCAAATTTAGTTCGGCATGAAATGTTTTACTGAATTTGAAGATACATTTAAAATTAAAATTTATTCCTTTAAAATAGTTCATTGCTTTAAAACTATTACAAAATCAGGAAAATAAAAAGCTACATAAGCGGCACTGTTTAGTAAATTCCTAAATTTCACCTATTGCAGACATTTTGGTTTTATTAAAATTTACAAATTAGTTATGGACAATGATTTACATAAAATATTATTATATCAAACTGTGACCAGTGGATCAAATTCAGATGACTAGTTCTATTAAAAAACAATTGAATACATAGTTCTGCATTTTTTCTTTTTGTACTGTAGTAATATTTATTTAAATTTTAAAGCTTTAATTTTTTACTGGCACAATTACATATAGAGTACATTAAAATTTTTTCATTGTCTGCAATTCTTTTCTGGCTGTTATCCTTGTTTCCTGTCATGATTACTATGAAATATTTTTGTTGTGTGGAGGCATGGGGTGTTACAAAATGACCAGGTCTCAACGTCAAATCACTGTTTGCCACCGCTCTCGTCATACAGTGAAACTGGTTGTTTGGTTCAAGTTGGTTTGAAAGCACAGTGTGGTCTAGTTTTAGGAGTCAACTCTGCCACCACCAAGCAGTGGAATTTGAAGTTGCTCGATTTTCCTATATGTAATGACAGAGAATTTGGAGAAGATGACTTTGACGTTGTTTTCCAGCTCTGAAATTTTACAGTTCAGACTGTTGTACCCACACACACATGCGTGTACACACCCACACACACCCACACATACAGCACTGGCATGCTTACCAACTCAACATTCGTTTTAAGGAGTTTCTGTCATTGCTTTCCAGATTCACCTACTGTTTAGATGGCTGTGAATGTGAGCTTTATCAATTCTTGTTTCTCGGTCTTGGCTATATTCCATCCTAAATTTGTTGGTATTTTCAGCATAAATGTTATCTGCAAATGTCATTATTATGACTTTTTTCAAATCTTTGAATGTACTACTTTGTCTACAATTTACCTGCCATGAACTCCATCCAAGCTACATTTTTTCCTGTTTTTCCTAACTCTTTATCATTATAATTTCTTCAAAATCTTATTGGCCCACCTCTTGTACCACCAGGCCAGTTCTAGGGAGGCTTTGGCCAGCCTTGGGCACAACAATGGGACAGTGCCTTGCCTGAGACTGCAGGGTCCTGGGTGTTGCTGAGGCTGAGAGAAGTGACTCATCACTCACACATGTAACCTAGAGGCACAAGGAGTCTACCTCTGTGGGGCCGTCTTTAACCAATGGAGAGCAGGCGCAAGAGAGTAAGTGCTTCCTCCTTTCTTCCTCAGCCAACAGTTCCAGCTGCCTTTCATGGGCTCCTCGAAGGCTCCAGCAAGATCCAGGAGAGTTGCTCAAGTCAGAGGCTGATGTACCCTGCATTGGCTTTCTCTGCTTCCCTGCCTCACTTCTCTTGGTCCTCACAATATTTGACTCAGGCTCTGCTTGCAAAGGAATGGAGGCTAATGTCTCTCAGGTGCAGTTTTGAGAGGGGGACCTAAAGAAGGCCTCTACTTGTAGGAGAGTAAGTTAAGGATGCAGCACCTTCAGTGCTGTATGCACCCAAGGGCTTATTCTGCATTTCAATGGACAAGCCTCTCCTCTTGAGCTCTCTTAAATGCCTCACTGCCTTTGACAAACCCAGTGAAAAGAGGAATTTGCCCCTTCCTTTTGCGAAAAGTAAATTAAAGATGACAGGAAAGTCTGACATACATGAAGATTCTTATTAGGGATGTCTGTGGGTCAAGTGTTAAAGTATTTTATCATGACCCCACTTTCCCACTTTCCCAAGGGATTACAAATTGTTGCTTACAAAAATCAGGCTGCTGTTACATTGGAACAGCAGGTGTGGGCACTGAAGAAGCTTGCATGCACTTCGCCTGGGTAAGCTTTCTTGTTCCTGCAGCCAACTCATCCCCTGCCTTGCTTTGAAATGCTCTCCGTGGCATGTGGGAGCAAATGACTTTCTGAGGCTGAGCCTAAAAGTTTCCCAAGCTGCTCTCTTGTTTTCCTGACAGAGTAAAGAACTTATTGGGGCTCTAATGAAAGGCAGGTTGCGATTGCTGTCATGTCAAGAACGCTGCAGTCGGGAAAGTCGACATGATTTCATGGCTAATGATTCACTCCCTAATATCAGTGTGGGCTGCAGTGAGGATAACCAAGTTGAGCTGTCTTAGATCAAATGATTCAATTAGGCCAGCTGTCCCTATTTGTCATGGCTCAACTCGCTCTCAAATTACCTTTCCAAAGTGCATACGTGCCTTAGCATAGAAGTTAACAGCTAAACTGTTTTACAAAAAAGGAATACTTAGAAGTGATTAGAAAAAGTCACCTTTTTTCTTTTTTCATCCACACAGGCTTCTCCCTATTCCCCGAACCCTCTCCCATAGGAGATGCAGTATGTATTTGCTCAGGTAACCCTGCAGCAGCCTCATCAGCTATTGTCCGGTTTTGCCTGTGAAGCCTCTTGGGGAATTTCTTGGCAAGAAATTGTTAATTCTGAAAAGGAAGGCTTGATCTAGGGTTATCTAAGTTGCTAGAGGAAGAAGAGCCAAGGTTAAAATGTTTTTCTGACGAACTTCCATTTCCTCCATTGGCAGTTGAGTTTTGGGTCAGAGAGGAATTTATGTTACATATTTGGTTTTTTTCCAGAGCTGATGAAAAGACTCAGGGATGAGATGTGAATTGGTAGCCTCCATGCGGCTTCAGGTCAACAACATACACTATTGCAAGGGGCAGTAACGTAACTAACCATTGTTTAAAAGGTAAGAGAAGTCCAGAATCTTAGTGTTTCCATGTGAGATAGGTGAAGAGTCTCATTGCCCTGGGGGAGAAATGGCCCTTCTGCCACAAATAGCCTGAATAAAGAAATGAGTCAGAAGATATTTGTGCCTGCCTTCCGTGTGAGGGGCACTGTACTCGGTGTTGGGGGAAATAAAACAAAAACCAGGGACCTGATTTCTACTGCAGAGGGGCTTGCACCGAATGATTCTGAAACCTTGTTGTGTATTTGGGGGTCATGGCTATTAGAAAGAGAAAAACAAATTGAAGTAAGTCTAGAGTAGAATGACTGAAATGGGCAAAGAAACAGAGGGTTTAATCTAAACAGGGAAATTATAAAGAAATGTTTAAAAAGAGCACTCCTTTGAATGAAATGGCAAATGTTGAGCTTTAACTGCTTAAAAAGCTAAATGTACAATCATGTAAAGGCTGTATATAGGTGATTGTCATGTAAAGGCTGTGATGGCTATTTTTATGTGTATAATTGACTGGGCTAAGAGATGCCCAGGTAGCTGCTACACCATTTCTGGGTGTGCCTGTGAGGGTGTTTTCTGGAAGAGATTAGCATTCGAATCAGTGAACTGAGTAGGGAAGATCTGCCCAGTGCCTGGCAGGTGAGCATCATCCAATTGGTTGATGCCTTAATCTATAAATGATGTGAGACTCTTGAAACTCCTCTGTTGTGAAATGTTCTCAAAAGATAAGTGAGGAGTACAGGTAGGGAGGGCATTCACGGAACGTTTGCTGAAGGAATCACCGTTCTTCCTTCTTTCCAGTGCATTTAAACTCAGGCTTATTTTGTATACAATTCAGAATTCAACTAGAAAGAAAGCAGCCCACAATGATGTGGGCATTTTAGACTTTGCTTCTCTGGTCTCTTGCTTCTTATTTATCCTTGTTTCAGGGAGAAGCAGGGTGATTTCAGCTCTGTTTCAACCCCTTGGAACTTTCACAGTCTCAGAGAAAAGAGAAAGCCTATGCCTGAGTTTTTTCTTTGTCCCAGGAAACACGCATTTCCCAGACAGAAAATTAAAGGGTGATCTAGAGTCAGAACATTTGGTTTACCATTGTTCCCCCAAGTATTGGTTTCATTGATTTGTCAGTTGGGTTTTTAACATCAGGATGCTACTGGAGATAAGGAAGATCATACACTGGCAGCCTCAGAAGCAAGGCCCCGCTGTATGCAGGCCTTACCAAGGCTGAGCAGTTTGGTCGCTGGACTCTCATCTGCAGTCCAGCCGGGTCTGGTGTCCAGGCTTTCTCTGTCTTCAGTGGCAGCAGGGCTGTGGGTCGGCTCCTGTGCTTGCCGTTCTGTGGCCTTGGCTCTTCTTTTGCTTCTGCTTCATTGAGATCCTACTTAGAGTTCTCTGCATGTCTCCATTCAAACTGCCCAAGAAAGAGCCTGGATTGGTCCAGCTTATTGCCCCTACTGGGTGGGGACGTCACAACCAACAGCTTTATGGGCATCTGGGCTTGCAGGAGATCAAACTCCGGATGCTCAGTGGTCCCTGTCTAATTGACTTTCATCAGAGCGACAGGGTTGTGTGGCACCAGTAAAGTAAGTTACGGAAAAGGAACTGAGGAAAGGCTGTAGGGGTAATAGGGGCTGAATTTCCCCCTCCTTCACATGGTGAAGTCCTAACCCCCAGTACTTCAGAATGGGCCCAGGTTTGGAGATAGGGCCTTAAAAGAGGTGATTTGGTTAAAATGAATTTAGTAGGCAGACCCTAATCCAATATGGTGGGTGACTTTAATAACAATGGGAAATGTAGTCCTAGACACGCACAGAGGGAAGAACATGTAAAGATAGGGGGACAGCGGCCATCTGCAAGCCAAGGGGAGAGGCCTCAGGAGAAACCAACCCTGCTGGCACCTCCATCATGGACTTCCAGCCTCCAGAACTGTGAGGAAATAAATTCTTGTTGTTTAAGCCACCCAGTATGAGGCACTTCATTATGGCAGCCCTAGCAATCAAATTCAGGGTGGCGAGCAATTGGAGCATGATGGTGTTGTAAAAAGAGCTTTGGGCAGAAAGTTTGGCAATAGGGTATATACCGTTCTTCTCCCACTGGGAGATGTTAGGCAAGCCTTGTCATGTCTTGAGTCCTCAGTTTCCTCATGTGTAAATAAAGGAGATTGGGACTAGATGAGCTGACCAAGGTTCTTTCCAGCTCTGACACCTGTACTGTGTGAGCCTCCTCACTGACCCCATTTAGAGTCCTCTCTGTCCTGCTTCTCATGGTTCATTCTGAAATGTGGACACAAAGGCTCTGGGGAGCACAGGCCTTCGAGGTGCTGTCCTTTTGTGGCTCACAGTTTCCCATCTATACCAACTTTCCTACTTATTTCTGTGTTCCCTTAACTAGGGGAATACCTGCCTGGAGACATAATTAGCCTAATTCCCCCCTGGTAGGGGGTGACGGCGGGCAGGCAATGCTGCGCTGGCAAAACATACCAAATTCTAAAATAACACTCAGCCGTGGGCTCCAGCCTCTCAAACAGGACACTGTAGGTGACCTCCTCTCCTCCTCTCCTCCCCCGTCCTCCTTTTTCATCTTCACTGTAGCCTGGAGGTTCTGCTTCCTGTGTCCCGCTTTGTACCTCCTGACCTGACAATAGCAATGAGCCAGCTTTGCAGGTTAAGAAGGTCTAACGGATATTCTGGGGTGCAGGGGTGCATCAAGAACCTACGCACCTCCTGGGAGCCTCATTCTTTCTCTTGTGGCCAATGACTAGGACGGGTAAAATAACAAGGTGGAAAAAACAATTATTTAGGGATCGAAGCTGAAATGGGGAGATTTAAATCAGGATCCCCAGCTGTTTCCCATGGTTTCCCTGTCCCTGTCACCTGGCACTATGAGGGCCCAACTCTGAGGGCTGGACTCGTCGTTGGGTTGTCATTGCTGCTGCTGTTTTGTGGAGAGAAGCAGGAAGTCTCCCTCGCTCTGCCTGCTAGGAGGGAACCCATGGAATACACCGAAAAAAGGACCCCTCCTCCCCAGAACTTGGGATAGTATTGTTATAAGTCTTTTTGTTATGTTATAGTTTTTATGTCTTGGACTTAAAAAAAAAATAGGTCTCTTGAGTAAAGAATATACAAGTGAACCATGAGGTTGATCAGCACTGACTAACGAGGTGTGGCTCAGTCCTTGCAGTCCCACAGCTGCCTGTGGTCCTACCTGGAGCCGCTTTGTGTGCATTGGTCCCCCCTTGAGGTCTCTACTGACCTCTGGAGATCCAGAGTTACCTATCCATCTTTTTGTCCTGAGTACACAGGTGCCGGTGCAAGTCAAGCCATAGTGTCCAACTTCTCTCATTATGGGTCATCATGGGCTTTGACCTGTCCAGAAAGCCTGTCCTGATTCTGTCTCCGTATGTCTTGATAAACTGCCCCTTCTGGTTACTCTTGCTGCACCTCCAGCTTTTCCTGTCACTGCACCTAGCACCCAGCCCTAGTTTGTTTGCATCTATATCTGCCTCTCTTAGATTTTGAGTCCAGGGACTCTGTTTTGCTTATTTGTTATTTTTTCCATTTTTTATTTCTCTAGAGACAGAGTCTTGATCTTGCCCAGGCTGGAGTGCAGTGGTGCAATTAGGGCTCACTGCAGCCTCAAACTGCTAATTTTACATTGTTTGTAGAGACAGAGTCTCACTGTGTTGCCCAGGCTGGTCTTGAGCTCCTGGGCTAAAATGATCCTCCCTCCTTAGCCTCCCAAATGCTGGAATTAAAGCATGAGCCACTAAGCCCAGCCAGGGACTGTGTTTTGATCCCTCCTGTGCTTCAAGAGTATCTAACTAAAGCATCTGACAGCCAGTCCACCCTTGATTAGTATTTATTGAATAAGTGAACAAGTGAATGAATATATTGTGTTCAGTTCTGAACCCAAAACTGCACCAATACTGGGAGAGGATGCAGCTCATTAAGTAACGCTGCTTTCTGGTGCGTGAAGAACTCAAAACAGCTTTGATTCAAAATGTTGGCAAAATAGACTGCCTCCACTATTTTGACTTTTTCAGAAATGAATTGATGAGGTAATACATTTTGAAGCAATGCCACAGAAATATACCGTGCTGTGCTTTTGAGACTGGAGTATAACGGGGATGTTGTGTGTCTGGTTTATGTCCTTGTCAGAGTTAGAAGGAATGGAGTTACTGGTCTCATCCTAGGAACTGCAGACTCAAGAAGGAGCCTTCCTTTTTGGAGATTTGTTTCTCTTCCTTCATGGGTAGGGGAAGAGAATTGGCACATGAAATGTGTAATCTGCTATAAGGAAGCCGCCAGCTAGGCCATCCTTGGGTATGATAACATGCCTTTATTATTTATGAATATTTGCTAAAATGATCTACATGATTGATTGGAGCACTCAAAGGCAAAGTTTCTGGGATTCCAGAGCACCTAAGCTCAACCTTTACACTTGGAGAAATTGTTCAATTGAAAAACCTGAATTTTCTGAGTGTATAAGTATTTTATTTGTGCAACTCTACAAGCTAATTTTAGTCACCCAGTGAACATGTGGCATGATACATTCCAGGCTAGGTCTGGCTTTTTTTTTCATGCAGTCTTGCATTGTTAACATGTTTGTTTCTTATGCTTGCATATTTAATTGCATATATAATTATAGCTACACTTAAAAAAATCTCCCCGTAGGAGCTAAGGCAAGGAGGGCAACGCATAGGGCTTGTAACCCCATTTCACCCTCCCACATCCATGGATCGTGACTATTTGATAATAGTATCCTTTCCTGCACATTTGAGTGTGGCCTCAGATCCCTCCATGGTGCTTTAGGCAGCTACTGTCAATGGCAAGCAATAGAAGCCTCTATCACTGAACTCAGGTGTGTGGTATCATAATGTTATGCTGTCATTACATACCACAAATGAAAATAAGTATTTGCAACTCATCATTTAAAACAAGTCTTCAAACTTTTTATCTAAAGGGCCAGATAGTATATATTTTAGGCTTTGCAGACCACATATGCCCTCTCATGCATAGTCTTCTTTGTTTTTGTTTCTTTCTTTGTTTAAAAAACAATTACTTAAAACTATAAAAATTATTCTTACCTCTGTAAGGCCATACAGAACAAAATCCAGTGAATATTAAATTAAGGCTGCAGGTTGTATTTGGCCCATTAGTTATATACTGTTGACTCCTGATTTAAAATATTGTGTCTCGAAAGTATGTATAGATGGTGATAGTTTTTACCATGGAAATCTTTGGTAGATAAATATAATTCTGAGGTTACAGGGTGTCTATTTTATGACATGAAATTATGCATGATTAGAAATTCTAATATGTATAATTCAAGTTACTTTGGGTACTCAAAATATAATGCCTCTGTAAGTGTGGCATGAATTATATGTTCTTATTGGGTTATATAGCTTGCAGTTTAGGCACCCAAATCAGACTGATTGGAAACAACTGACACTGTTTTTTTTTTTTTTGGGGAATAATTTTGGAAATTCAGGCAGGGGTTGAGTATAGGCATATGTGAATATCTGTTGATATAAAAAATTATTTTATAGCAAGTGAAAGTATAAGTGGTTGTGGAGAGGTGACTAACGTTCTAGAAAAATCAACCTGCCCTGGATATGAGATTTGGTTTTGAACCATGAGGCTTCAGGAAGTTCCATTTGCCTCAGCACATGAGTAAGTGGCTGTGTCCTTTATACATCCACTCATTTTTATCTCCTGGTTGCCATGAAACTTCAGAAACTTGCTGCACGTGGCTGTGATGTGTCTCATTTGATACCACTTTTCTGTATTTTCTGAAGGTAACTTTCGTTCCTTTCTTTTCAGTCTGTAGAAAATGACAATCCCAAGGTCAGTGTTGTGTTTCTATGCATGTCTTTTTGCCCATTAAACCAAGTTACTTTAGTGGATGCTTATGGCCAAAGTGAACACCTGCAAGGTGAATACAAATGTACTGATGAAAAATGTGCAGACAGAATTATGTTGATCTGGATGGTTCTAGAAACAAGAATAAACCCAGAACTGTCATCCTGGAGCATAATACCATTAACTAGGCCCATTAGTTAGAATAATTTTCAGGAATGCAAAATTGGCAACTTGCCCCACGTTGTCAACTTGTGAATCTTAGAAACATATTGGATTATTATTGTCTGTCTTCACCGAAGCATATGCCTTGTTAGGTGTGGATAGTCCAGGAAGGTATGCAAAACCTGTCTGGGCTCATGTTTGCAGTATTAAGGCTGTACAGAACAAAATCCAGTGAATATTAAATAGATCCAATTTACCCCTCCACCTATATCTGGTATTTTTATTGGGTATTTTTTTGTTTTGCTTTTTTTTTTTTTTTTTTTTGCTTTTTCACGTTCTTTGTAGGGAGATAGAAAAGTGAACATATATATTCATGTATATATATGAAAATCAGGATATATAATGAAATATGAACCATTTATGTTTGCCTTTCCTCTCTATGATAACACATCACATCTACATAGAGGACATCAATTACAGTACAAGGGTATGGTTTCATTGGAGTCAGAAGTTCTTGGCACAGGTAAGCTCTCAATCATTGTTGACTACATAAGAAGACCAGGGTTCAAGTCTTGGCTCCATTCTTTATGAGTTGTGTGATCTAAATTTTTTGGAGCCTTAAATTTTACCTGTAAAATTGGGCAAATAATAATACCTAATTTATAGGGTGGTAGTTCTGATTAAATGAGACACTATATTTGATAGAAGTTACTTATACTGTGTAGAGAGTTATATAAATGTTAATTAATTTAATTTAAACATATATTGGCGATATTTCTCCCCTCTGGCTTCTTGCCTGGTAACTCTTCCAGGTCCCAGAGATCTGTGCTGGCTGTCTCCATAAGACATCGGTGCAGATGAAGCATGTGGTAGCGGCTGAGTTCTCCACTTCCATCTGGATGTTTTTGGCATTGTGCAGACATTGTTGCAGCATGCTGAAGTCACAGTATAAGCTAATATTTTTTAAAAATCCCCACACTCTATTAATTGTGTGTGGTTGATACTTGTCGTGTAGGTTCTTGTCCTCCAAGAACTTACCTTCTAAGACTTTCCCAGCCACCCATTCATAACAGGTAATGCTGTTGGGAGACTGCAGTTTGATCTTCAGGAATGAATTTTTATTTCTCTCAATGGGATTTGTATCCTTAAACATCCTGACAGAAAGTCATTTGAGAAAAATCCATATGCTAAATAACTGTACTTCAGAAGTTAAAAAAACAACAAAAAACTACAGAATATTCTACAATCAAGTGACTTACCAATTAAAAAAAAGCACAAAAATGTGAAGTGTGGCACTAAATACAGCATGAAAAGAGCACTTGCTTACAGTATGAGAGCTGAAACAAGAAGACGCAGCATTGTCTTGTTTGACCTCAGCTGGGAACATGCGTGTCTGGCACCTCAGATTGTTCCTCTGCCTCTGTACGTATCCAGGAATGACTGTGAAAGAGCCACGAGTACTGATTTCGGGGTTACAAATAAATTTTAGCAAATAGGTAAAATCACAAATGTGGAAACTGAACAGTGAGGTTCGACTTTTTAAAATATGAGATTATACTGGGTTTTAGTTTATGGGAACGTGATTCATTGCTTTATTGTTTGAAGTCAGTGTGTATTATTAGTTAAGATGCCTAATCTCTTGTAACAAAAAGGAATCTAAATTAAAGTAGATTTAAAAAATGCAGGGCTTTCCTCCCTTTCTTGTAAAAATTATATAAATGCCTAAAGTGAGCTGTCCTTGTTGGCAAATAGCAGTGCTGCAATCCCTGGATTGCAGGCACTTCTGTGTTCCAGCTCACAGGAAGGACCAAGAAAATAAGTCCAGGACAAAGGATCCCTTTTTAATATAGTGATATGGATGTTGAACACATTACTTCCACTCACATTCTAATTGATCAATGAGCTGGCTAGGAAATGTATTTTTCATGGAGAAGTCATGAGTCCAAGCATAGGTGTCAAATGGACTTTGGTAGTCACATAACTGTCTAGGAATAATACCGTATTACATTAGCTTTACCTAATAATGTTATTCATTTTAAAGCCATGAGGTAGTGATAACAACAGCAACACAGGTATACTCATTCTGTCGTGCTTTGCTTTGTTGAGCTTCACTGAGTTTTTACAAACTGAGGTTTGTGGCAACCCTGCTTTGAGCAAGTCTACCAGTACCATTTTTTTTTTTTCAATAGCATGTGCTCACTTTGTTTCTGGGGCACATTTTGGTAATTCTCAAGATATTTCAAATGTTTATTATTATTATTATTACACCTGTTATGGTGATCTGTGATCAGTGATCTCTGATGTTACTATTGTAACTGGTTTGTGACATCATGAATTGCGCCAATATAAGATAGCAGGCTGGGTGTGGTGGCTCACACCTGTAATCCCAGCTCTTTGGGAGGCTGAGGTGGGCAGATAGCTTGAGTCTAGGAGTTTGAGACCAGCCTGGGTAACACAGTACAGCCCTGTCTCTACAAAAAAATTAAAAATACAAAAATTAGTCGAGTTCGGTGATGCATGCCTGTAGTTTCAGTTACTCAGGAGGCTGAGGTGGGAGGATTGCTGGAGCCTGGGAGGTTGAGGCTGCAGTGAGCTGTGATTGCACCACTGCACTTCAGCCTGGGTGATAGAGTGAGACCCTATCTAAAAAAAAAAAGATAGCAAACTTAATTGATAAATATTGTGTGTGTTCTGACTGCTCCACTGACCAGCCATTCCCTGTCTGTCTCCCTCTGTTTGGGGCTTCTTATTCCCTGAGACAACATAACTGAAATTAGGCCAATTAATGACCCTACGATAATACCTTTAAGTGTTCAAGTGAAAGGAAGAGTTGCATGTCTCTCAGTTTAAATCAAAAGTTAGAAATAATTAAGCTTATTGAGGACGGCATGTTGAAAACCAAGATAGGCTGAAAGCTAGGCCTCTTGTACCAAACAGTTAGCCAAGTTGTGAATGCAAAGAAAAAGTTATTGAAGGAAATTAAGTGTTACTTCACTAAACACATGAAGAATAAGAAAGCAAAACAGCCTTAGTGCTGATATGGTGAAGACTTTAGTGGCTTGAATAGAAGATCCAACCAGCCACATTCCCTTAAGCCAAAGCTTAATCCAGAGCAAGGCCCTAATTCTTCAATTCTATGAAGGCTGAGAGAAATGAGGAAGCTGCAGAAGAAGAGTTGGAAGCTAGCAGAGGTTGGTTTGTGAGGCTTAAGGAAAGAAGCCATCTCTATAACATAAAAGTGCAAGGTGAAGCAGCAAGTGCTGATGAAGAAGCTGTAGCAAGTTATCCAGAAGATCTAGCTAAGATCATTGATGAAGGTGGCTACACTAAACAACAGACTTTCTATGTAGATAAAACTGCCTTCTATTGGGAGAAGATGCCATCTAGGCTTTTCATAGCTAGAGAGGAGAAGTCAATGCCTGGCTTTCAAAGCTTCAAATGACAGGCTGACTCTTGTTAGAGGCTAATGTAGCTGGTGACTTTAAGTTGAAGCCAATGCTCATTTACCATTCTGAAAGTCCTAGGGCCCTTAAGAATTCTGTATTTAATCTACTCTGCCTTTCATTATAAATAGAACAACAAAGCCTGGATGACAGCACATTTGTTTACAGCATGGTTTACTGAATATTTTAGGCCTACTACTGAGATCTACTGCTCAGAAACAAAGATTCTTTTCAAAAGAATACTGTTCAGGACAATGGACCTGGCCACCCAAGAGCTCTGATGGAGATGTAGAAGGAGGTGAGTGCTATTTTCATGCCTGCTAAAACAACATCCATTCTGCAGCCCATGGATCAAGGGGTAATTTCCACTTTCAAGTCTTATTATTTAAGAAATACGTTTCATAAACCTATAGCTGCTATAGATAGCAATGCCTCAGACACATCTGGGCAAAGTACATTGAAAATCTTATGGAAATGATTCACCATTCTAGATGGCTTTAAGAACATATGTGACTTAGAGGAGGTCAAAATATCAACATTAACAGGAGTTTGGAAGAAGTTGATTCCAACACTCTTGAATGACTTTGAGGGGTTTGAGACTTCAGTAAAGGAAGTAATTGCAGATGTGGTGGAAATAGCAAGAGAAGCAGAAATAGAAGTAGAGCCTGAAGATATGACTAATTTGCTGCAATTTCATAACACTTGAATGGATGAGGAATTGCTTCTTATGGATAAGCAAATAAAGTGGTTTCTTGAGATGAAATATACTCCTGGTGAAGGTGCTATAAACATTGCTGAAATGACAACAAAGGATTTAGAATATTACATCAAAGAAGTGGCAGGCTGTGAGAGGATTAACTCTAATTTTGAAAGAAGTTCTGTCAGTAAAATGCTATCAACAGCCATCACATGCTACACACAATCTTTCATGAAAGAACAAGTCAATCTATGAGGCAAATTTCATTGTTGTCTTAAGAAAGTGCCATGGGCACCCCAACCTTCAGCCACCCTGGTCTTACTAGTGTTGCCTTCTCCAAAGCCTAACACTGTCTTTGCAGTGATCAACATTGAAGCAAGCAAGGCAAAAAATTATGACTCACTGAAGGCTCAGATGATCATTAGCATTTTGTAGCCCAAGTGTTTTCTAACTAAGGTATGTATAATTATTTAAACATAATGCTGTTGCAAACTTAATAGACTACAGTATAGTGTAAATAAAGCTTCTATATACACTGGGAAACCAAAAATTTTGTGTGACTCACTTTACTGCAGTGGTTTGGAACCAAACCTGCAATGTCTCCGAGGTATGCCTGCATTAATAACAACACAACAGTGATAGTGAAAACCTTAATCATGTAGTGCTAACCCATCCTTAACACTTATTTTGGATTTTTAAATCCAAATAAGACTCTGCCAAGCACCTGACATGATTATATTGAATGTAAGTTTTTGGTTAAGCATCAAAACAGTGAATTTACCTGGCCATGTTTAGTTCAGATATGTTGTCTGTTAAAGAGTAACAAACTGCTTTTCCATAAATTTTCCAGAAAATTTTTTATTTAAAGAAAGCATTATCAAATGTCAGAATGACAGATATGGAAGGAGAGACAG
Source organism: Homo sapiens (assembly GCF_000001405.40). NCBI lineage: Eukaryota > Metazoa > Chordata > Mammalia > Primates > Hominidae > Homo > Homo sapiens. The sequence goes on along the minus strand of NC_000008.11, from coordinate 65,263,018 downwards.
AGTGGAAGAAAACAGATGCCTTGGAAATGCAGGTGAAATCACATTTGCAAAAATCATAACAGAGAAAATTATGACAGTGAGAGACATCTGATGATCTAACCAACTCCATCTTGGCATGAATGTGGTGAAAAGGGAACACTTTTACACTGCTGGTGGGAGTGTAAACTAGTACAACCACTATGGAAAAACAGTATAGAGATTCCTCAAAGAAATAATAGTAGATCTACAATTTGATCCAGCAATCCCACTATTGGGTGTCTACCCCGAAGAAAAGAAGTCATTATATGAAAAAGGCACTTGCACACACATGTTTACAGCAGCACAATTTGCAACAGCAAAAATATGTATATATACATACATGCATACACACCATGGAATACCACTCAGCCATAAAAAGGAATGAAAATATAGCATTTGAAGCAACCTTGATTGAGTTGGAGACCTTTATTCTAAGTAAAGTAACTCAGGAATGGAAAACCAAACATCGTATGTTCTCACTTATAAATGGGAGCTAAGCTATGAGGATGCAAAGGCAGAAGAATGATACAATGTACTTTGGGGACTCGGGGGGAAGGGTGGAAAGCAGGGTGAGGGATAAAAGACTACATATGGGGTACAGTGTACATTGCTCGGGTGATGGGTGCACCAAAACCTTAGAAATTACCACTAAAGAATTTATCCGTGTAACCAAACACCACCTGTTACCCCAAAACTACTACAATAATAATAATAATAATAATAATAATAATAATAATAAAAGACAAGCATTAGAGGTTTGTGAAACTATTGGAAGGCTAGGGTGAGTGGATGTCAAGAAAACTGTCTCTAGTAGACAAGAAATCAAGAAATGCTGCAATCACAGAACATCTGGCAATGATCTTGGCTACTTGCAGCCCCCACATTTAATGATTGGCAGAAGGATGCCTGGAAGCTGCCATCGAAATCTTACATCTGCCCTCTGCCAAAGTTCACCCACCTGCCTGCTATTGCCCCAGGAGCAACAATAGCTTCAGCATTTCCTCTGACTTTCAAATCTCAGGTTAGTTCTCTCATTGGCAGAATCTAACCTGGAACCTTGCAGACAATGTAGCTCCCAGGCTTCCAAACCTTCCATAAGGGGAGAGCATAAAAGAAGGAAAATGTTGTTAAATTGCTGACAGATAATCAAACACCTCTGAGTAGGGCATTGCCATGGCTCCAATGGTGAACATGCTCCTCTCTGGCTACAGTGAGTAATTCAGGGATGAAAATTAGTCTCAACTTATCCAATTAGAGTAAATTTCAGAGATTTTCATGGGACACTAGAAAACAGGCTGTACGTGAATATGGGAGGACAGGAAACTAAAGGTAGAGTCAATCTGTGGTAAAAAAGATAGAACTTGGTGAGAATCTTGCCCAACACACAGAGGAAAAGAGAACTAAGCCAAGAGATCAAATTCTGATGACAGCCTTTGAACTCCTGTATTCAGCTATGCCTGAAGCTGATCCTACTATTGGACTTACCAATTTTATGAACCTAAAATTTCTAGGTTAGTTTTTGGTCATTAATAACTGAAGACTATTTAGAAGATCATTGCAGTAGTCCAGTTTCAGTTCCACAGATGTTTATTTTGGAATATAACAATTAATCGAACATGGTTCCTGATCCTAAACATCTCATTAACAAGACACATTCACAACTAACTATAATCCCATCAAAAGAAAATCATCCTTGATGCCAGATTTTAGCCCAAATGAACAAAGCCTGAGCAGCCTTGAATGTGTCAGATAATCAGACAACATTCTGATGTTTCTGACAGAACACCATTGGATCCTATGCTGCAAATAAGACATAGCAGTTGTCCCTGTTGTCCCAGGGGTTCTGCAGTTCCTCTGGCAGGTGGCCCACCATAAATAACTGTGGAAGTGAAGTGGAATAGAGGTATAGCTACAAAGATCTGGGCATTAATATTATTTGTCAAAAGCAACTGATTATTGATAAAAGCTTTGTTACCACTTCTTTCCCCCTTTTATCTTTTGCCCACCCTCAACAAAATGTCTTCAGCAGATGCAAGGGCAATGTGGTCCTCATGGTTTCAGAGGATGTCACAGGGAAGTGGCAGTGTTATTGTGTGTTATTGTTACTTATCTAATTAAATGCCAGGATACAATAAGGACTTATTGTTTCTCATTCTCTTGTAGTTCTCTAAAAGGAGGAATATAGAGTTCAAACAACTGTATAGGAAAAAAATCTAATAATCTAATCAAAAGTGGGCAAAATATTTGAATAGACATTTCTCAAAAGAAGACATACACATGGCAAACAGGCATATGAAAAGATGCTCAACATCACTGATCATGAGAGAAATTCAAATCAAAACTACAATGAGGTACCATCTCACCCAAGTTAAAGTGGCTTTTATCCAAAAGTCAGGCAATAACAAATGCTGGTGAGGATGTGGAGAAAAGGGAACTCTCATACACTGTTGGTGGGAATGCAAACTAGTACAACCACTATGGAGAACAGTTTGAGGGTTCCCCCAAAACTAAAAATTGAGCTACCATATGATCCAGCAATCCCACTACTGGGTATATATCCAAAAGAAAGGAAATTAGCATGTTGAAGAGCTGTCTTCATGCCTATGTTTGTTGCAGCACTGTTTATAATAGCTAAGACTTGGAAGCAACCTAAGTGTCCATCAACAGATGAATGGATAAAGAAAATGTGGTACATATACACAATGGAGTACAATTGAGCCATAAAAATGAATGAGAGCCAGTCATTCTCAACAACATGGATGGAACTGGAGATCATTATGTAAAGTGAAATGAGCCAGGCACAGAAAAACAAATGTTACGTGTTCTCATTTATTTGTAAGATCTAAAAATCAAAACAATTGAACTCATGGACATAGAGATTAGAAGGACAGTTGCCAGAGGCTGAGAAGGGTAGTGGGGAGTTGGCGGGGGGGAGGTAAGGATTGTTAATGGATACAAAAAAATAGAAAGAATGGATAAGACCTACTATTTGATAGTACAGTAGGGTGACTATAGTCAATAATAATTGTACATTTTAAAATAACTTAGAGAGTATAATTGGATTGTTTGTAACTCAAAGGATGAATGCTTGAGGGGATGGCTACCCCATTCTTCATGATGTTCTTATTTCATATTGCATGCCTGTATCAAAGCATCTCATGTACCCTGTAAATATATATACCTACTATGTACTCACAAAAATAAAAAAATACAAGCTTAAAAAAATAAATAAAAGGAGGGATATCTTTTACTCTATATGTGTAGGTATACCTGTGCATATATTTTCCTTTTGTTGAAGTGTGGGTGGTAATAGCGCTGAACACCTCATCTCACTTGGTAGCTTTTTGAAAAGTGTGCACTCAAGATATCCTCTGGTAGGCAATACTCACAGGAGCTCCCAAATAAAACGATTTGCTAAGACTTCATTCATAGATGACTTAACTTGGGAAGATTGTTTCTCTATGGGCAATGCTTATCTTAATCAAAGATGAAAACATTTGGACAGAGTCATTCATAACTGTAACTCAATATTATTACATGTCATTCCATGGAATAGATTGAATCTAAAGGGAGATTTTAATTAAGGAGCCAGTGTTACACTTACTAATTAGGCCTTCCCTGCTTATATTCTTCCATGAAGCAGATTTCTTGTCAGAGTTGAAAATGTCTCTATAACTGGTTTTCTCTCTCCATATGGCTGCCTCTATGTCAGAAATTGAAGTCCATAGGACTTCGATGGGGGAGATTTGACTGTGAAGGACGCTGGTTAGAGCAATGGCCTTTTTGCTTCAGATACCATGTATGAAAGGCTTCTTCCATTCCTCATAAACAATTGTTTATTCTTTAAACATTTGAAAATGCCCTGACTGTCTCACATGTGAGTAATGATGGTTTGGAGTTGTATCCTTTTCTCTGGGGAACAATATAGTCATATCTCATTTACTTTTCCCAATTAATCATGAAATCTCCTTTCTCTACTCATTTTATCGGAAAGGACATTTTTGCCTCTAGTGATTTTTTTTTTGGTACCTGAATTATCGAAGAACCCTAGGCATTACTCAGTCTCAAAAGGTAACTTGTGCTTCCAAATAGAGTCATGAACCACATAGTAACATTTGGTCAACAACGGATGGTGTAAATGATGATTTATGAGGTTAAATATATTTTGACTACACATTTTCTGTGTTTAGTGCACAAATACTTATCATTGTGTTACAATTGCCTACTGTATTCAGTACAGTAACATGCTATACAGGTTTATAGCCTAGCAGAAATAGGCTATACCAAACAACCTAGATGTGTATGTGTAGTAGGCTATGCCATCTAGGTTTGTATAAACACCCTCTATGATGTTTGCACAATATTGAAATCACCTAACAACACATTTCTCAGAATGTGTCCCTATGGTTAGGTGATGTATGACTGTCCTAGGCAAGGAAAGAACTAGAATTTCTCATCAGTCTACCAAGAGGTCTCAGTTCTAGATATCTTGATTTCAGGCTGCTGAAAGCTCATGCTGTCTAGTTTATTCTATCCTCATCCACTGCCCTATAAGGTTTTCACCCTATCAGGTTAAAGGCCTTAATCTATATTTTACATGCGCTGCCATTTCTGAGGTACAAGCATCATGCTACTGTTTGGAAACTTCCTCCTCACTCTTGAACTTCAAGGGCTTGACTTTGATTTTAGATCCCCAATTTATAATCCTTGTTCCTTTATGAAACACTTACCTTTAAGGCCCTTAGGGTTTTTTTTTTCCTGCCAGCAAACTTCACCTAGAAGCACTTTAACCCATCAGAGAAGTATAGTGTGATTGAACTCCCAAAAAAGAAGAGGACAGAATTTTAATCTCTTCCCCCCTAGAAGGCCCCTTGACCTTTATATAAATTTGTCTGCTTTCTTAGTAGTCAGTTTGTCTAGTAAGGAGCATGAGGGTCAATCTTTGACAAGCTATGAAGAATGCCATTGTACCTTTCCTCCAGGGATATGTGTAGCTTTACATTTTATTTGTGTTCAACAGAGAGAGGCCGTTCATCTATGCAGATAAGATGAAAAGGATCATCAGCTGCAAGCTGACTTTCTGCTTCCATGAAGGGCTAGATTTGATTGATAGCTTCTTTCTCAGAAAATGTTTAGTTTTTCTCTCCAGGTGTTTTGCCAGAACATGGTTTCTAGGATGGTATGGGTGGATTTCTATACACATTATTGTCCAGACTGGGATAATTTTGAATGTAGGGAACACCACTTAGTAATTACACTGGGAAAATAGGCCTAAACCAAGGCTGTTGGAGGCAGACAAAGATGTATAGTGACCTTTTGCGTGCAAACCTGCAACTTCCCTGAGTGGTGAGAGGTGTGTGTTGAGGGCAACGCAGGATTAGCTTCTTCACAGCCTCCCCAGGGGCAATGGGTCCAAAACACTTCAGGATTCAAACAGTTCCAACCTGTTTAATGCGAAAAAAGCCTACAAAGGTTATTTTGTTAATTCAGAATCCCGAGAACCAATTTACCTAAGGGAGATAGTAACTTGGCTATAAGGAGTTTGAACAGATTTGTGATCATCATAACCATTAGTTTTAAATGAAGGCTTTTTTTTTCCTTCCATACAAAAAAGCAATAAGCAATAAAGGTCAAATATGTTCAAATATATAAATTTTCCAATTGCTGAAAATAGACTTAGTTCTAAACTCAACCTCAGCTTGTATTCTTTGTATTAGTTTTCTATCAGGATATGGCTGGACTTGAACAAGACATCATATGCTTTATTGTTTTACATCTCTTCACTCTATCTCAAAGGCTTTGCTTCACATGGTGTCAAAATTCTCTGAGCTCCCTTATCCAAAATCTTGTAAATTATTTTATTTCAACAGTCTAAGCATCTATAAGATGAACAATATTAAGAACATAGAAAACATTAACAAGTTAATTATGAATTAGGTTTAGCCAAGAAATGTTGAGGTATTAGAAAATGCATCTTTCACAAGTATGTTTCAATGCTGCATCTCATGTCTAGGCATAGGCTAACATGTTATGCTGCTGAATTTTACTAGAAACTGTGGGTGCCCATGAAAAAGAAGATCAGAAAAAGTGTCATGTGTTTCCAATATCTAGATGCCATAAAGCACTTCTTCCAATTTAACCATTTTTTAGAAGGGAGCATTGCTTTGTTGGAAAGAGTTCCCTACTTGTAATAAGGAGACTGAAGAGAATTTGTTCCAAGTCTGGATCTTCCCCTTTTAATCTTTATGCTTCTTGTTCAAATTACTAACTTCTATGAATTAAGTAAAATAACATCCACCTCAAACAACTGTGTGAGGATTAAATGAGATAGAATGTGTGAAAGAACCTGGTACATTATGGACACTCAGGAAAAATGCTGTTTTCCCTCACTCATCAAGTCCTTTTGCAAACAAACATTGAGAGCTCACGATCTCAGGGAGTTTTTCAGTTCTCTGGCTCTGAGAAAATACCACTACTACAATACTTTCTTCTTCAATGTCTTTATTATTCCGCAAATATTTATCGAGGATGATTAAATGTCAATCGGTTATTGAGCGAACAAAATAGTATGGCCCCTATCTTCATGGAAGTAAGAATTAAGTGGGGAAGCAAAAATGGAATGAGGAAACAGAAATACGTATAATTTAAAAAGTGTGGAAATTACTATAAAGAAAGCGAACAAGGTACAATAATAGGTAATAATAAAGAAAACCCTCGGTTTTACGTTATGTTACGTAGGATGACAGAGGAAACCTCCCCCTGAAGGTCACATTTCAACTGTGAAAGAAGTGATATTTCGTTTGAGAGCTAAACAACGAAAACGAGAGTCATGAGTAGAGGGGTAATAAGAACATTTTGGATATAGCAACACTATGTTTAAATTTGGAAAATAACGTGGCGATTCAAGGAGCTCCATGCTGGCTGGTGTGCTGCAGCATAGTGAGTAAGCAAGGCAGAGAATGATATGAAAGGCACCGAGGAGGGCATCGGGGAGCAGGTTGCACAGGGTAGGTGCTGAGAAAGGCATTAATGTGTTATCTAAAATACAGTGGAAAGCCACTGAAGAGTTTTCACCAGAGGAGTAACATAATTTAAATTTATTTTTATTTATTTATTTATTTATTTATTTATTTATTTATTTATTTATTTTTGAGACAGAGTCTCACTCTGTTGGCCAGGCTGGAGAGCAGTGGCACGATCTCAGCCCACTGCAAGCTCTGCCTCCTGGGTTCACGCCATTCTCCTGCCTCAGCCTCCCGAGTAGCTGGGACTACAGGCGCCCGCCACCACGCCAGGCTAATTTTTTTTTTTTTTTTTTTTTTTAGTAGAGGCAGGGTTTCACCATGTTAGCCAGGATGGTCTCGATCTCCTGACTTTGTGATCTGCCCGCCTTGGCCTCCCAAAGTGCTGGGATTACAGGCGTGAACCGCCGCACCCGGCCCCCATAATTTAAATTTTTAATGAGTACTGTTGTTGTTGAGTAGAGAATTAATTGGGGGGTAAAGAGTGGAAGCAGAAGACACATTTGAAGGCTATTACAGGAATTCAGAGAATAAATGGCTGTGGGACTGGAGAAAAAGAGGTGTATGGAATTATAAATTGCCAGGAGTTGATGATATATTTATGTAAGCAGATGGTAAGGGAGAGTTAGGAATGAAGGATGATTCTTTATGTCTCTTTGATAAGGTGGAGAGAAAGAGCATTTACTAAAAAGGAAAAGTTTAGGAGAAGAATTGATTTGGTTAGCGTGAGGACCAAGATTTCATTTATGAACATGTTTGAGATGCTTGTGAGACATCTAAATTTACTCCTAAAAAAAGAGGATTTTATCCATATGGGTATGGAGTTCAAAGAAGAGGTTTAAGCTAGAGGTTAATATTTGGGCACCATTGACATAAACACTGTGTTTAAAGCCATGGGAATGGATGATATCACCTAGGAAGAAAATAGGTAAATATACAAGAAAAGCACCTAGGACTGAGCCAGGGAGAGAAAGAAGATGGGAAAAGGCAGAAGAGGACAGCTAATAAAAATGACAAAACCAGAGGATTTTGTTGTCATGGGAACCAAGACAAGAACATTTAAAATGAAGAAGTGTTAAGTTTAAGTAATAATAAAAAAAATTAGTAAGGGAAAAAACTGTCCACTGGATTTAGCAACATGAATATAATTAGTAACCCTCAACAAGAATAGTTTCAGTGGTATGATATGGTTGAAAACCAAATTGGAGTGAGTAGAAAAGTGAATGGGAATTCTGGTTCTAATAAGACAAATGACCAAAAAATTTATCTGCTAAAAACATTTGTATATGCTGGATAAACTACAACAACACATATTTATATGCATAACTGAGCTTTCAGTAAATAAAATTACTATTCTCAAGGGCTGGAAATTCTTATGAAAATTAAAATAAAGCAGTAAGTGTGTGAACAAATGATGTGGCTATCTTTGGAGGGGTTATCCAACTCAGTCATCTAGTGGCCAGTTTTAATAACCATGCAGAAACAGAAGATGGGAACTTAAGACTGTGTGAGGTGAGGAGTTGGAACTAAGGTATCTGCATAAAGTTCAGACTACATTATCAATGAAACTGATAACTAGAAAAAAAATCTACCTATTATTACCAAGAGACAAAAAAGAAAAAAAGAATAAGAAGAAGTTGATTGAACATTCTTGGGCTTTGTTTGAAATAATAATAATTTATCTATAAGAATGTAAAACCCCAAGACTAAACTTCATGAAGGGTTGGAATTCACAGTTATACTCTTGGCATTATTTATGTACTCTTAAGCCAATAAATCAACACGAAATTTGGTATCAGAATGCAGCAAATATTAAACTCTGGGGGATATTTTCTCAACTCATATCACATAGAATTGCCATGAAGAAAACCTCAGTATAGATGAGCTCATAATCCAAAATTATAAAACATGAAAGAAAATAATCCATAATGAACAAGAGTCATCCAACACACATGCACACATACACACATAAACAGGAAGATTATTAGCTCCTTAGTTGAGCAATCTGTTGGAGACTACATATTTATTGGTATTAAAGATGTAAAAAAGATCCAAAAAAGAAAAAAATACCATGAGAAATAAACAGATAAGAAGAAATTAGAAGAAATAAAATCAGTCTGTTCAATTAAAAACTTAAGTGTTGGCAAATCTGTTGATTTGCATCTATAAATGAGTAGGTCTGTGCTGTGTAGTGGAGACATAATTGTGAGATCCTATATCATGGTACCTATCATCTTTTGGGGGAGATTGGTATGATTCAAATGATCAGAAAACAAAAGGATTCAATTAATCCTTTCATAAGTTATTTGAATAACTAAAGTTGAAGAAACAATTAGCAAACTAAAAGACATGTCTGAAATAGAAAGAAGAAATATAATTCAATTATCTAAAATATGATCTGGAGATATAAATAGATACACATATAAAATTATGTTTTGAAAATGTGGAGAACAGAATTAGAAAGATCAATATATATTTAACAGGAATTCCAGAAAAGGAGGTTAAAAGAGAAGAGGCAATATTTTAAAAAGGCAATGAGAATTTTCCAGAACTGAAATACATATATGAGGCCACCAATTCAAGAAACACATTATATTCCAAGCAAGATAAATAAAAGAAATCCACATGAATATATCATATTGAATCTACAGAACTCCAAAGACAAAGAGAAGATCATAAAAGTAGCCAGAGGGAGTAGACAGATTTTCAGAAAATGAAAAAAAGTTAAACTGATGACAGATTTCTAATCAGTAACAGTAGAATGTAGACAACAATGGAATATCATCTTCAAAATGCTGGGAAAAAAATCCTGTCAACTTAGAATTTAACACATATCTGAATTATAAATCAAGATTGTAGGCAAAATAAAGGTATTTTAGTGAAACTGAGATTGACAACCTAAGAGAAAATTCTGCCCGAATCTCCAGGTGTCTGCTAAGATATTCATGTACATGAGAGATTCCCCAGGAGCCCAGACAAAAAGCAATCTAACATAGAAGTGTATCCTTGAAAGGCAAGAGTGCTTCAGATGAGAGTGGGAGTTTGCTGAGACATTGAAAGATTGCATTCCTTAACCAGCATGAAGCTCAGACTGAGTATATCTCCTCCCAAATCCGTGGCTGATCATTAAGTCACTCGGGAGTAGGAAAGATCACTAAGGGACCAGGCTAAAAATCAAAGCTGGAAGAAAAAATCTGAGCAGAGACCTCAGTGACTGTATACCATGGGAGGAACAGATACTTCAGTTGGAATCCAGGAAGTGAATTGCCAGTTGTCAGAAGAACAAATCTCCAATTTATTATTTGCAACTTTAAGTTCTGACTAAACTTACTAGACATTGAAAGAAATAGAAAATTGTGACCTTCACTCAGGGGAAAAAACACACAATCTATAGAAACTTACTCTGAGTGGGCCCAGATATTGGATTTAGCAGACAAAAGTGTTAAAGCTGATTTATAAATATATTTAAAGAAGTATATTAAAATATGTTCAAATAATTAAAGCAAAATGTAGTAAAAATGATAGAATCAATAGGGAATCACAACAGCAAAATGGACACTATGAAAAAAACCAAATGGATATTATAGCTGAAAACTATAATAACTAAAATAAAAAATACACAGGATAAATTGATTATCACTGAAAATAAGTGAACCTGAAGATAGTTTAATAGAAATTGCATAATCCAAAAAATAAAAAGAAAAAAATTAAAGAAAAATAAACAGTTTTAGAGGTTTTTAGGCAATATCAATAATTCTAACATACATGTTATTGGAGTTGAGAACGAGAAGAGAGAGTTGTGCAAAAAAATTATTTGATGATATAAAGGATGAAAATATCCCAAATTTGGTTAAGAACATTAACTTATAGCTCCCAGAAGCTCAATGAAATCCATGTATGATAAACTGTAATAAAACCACAGCAAGACACCTCATAGTAAAACTGCAGGAAGACAAAAATTTGGTGACGTTATGAAATTTTTTTATTATGGTGGTGGTCACATGACTATATATAGCTTATAGCTTCCCAAATCATCAAACTGTAGAGTTAAAAAGAATAAATTTTATTTTATCTAAAGTATACTGAAATAAAACTGTAGAAAAATATACCATATGCATAATATCACACACATATCACATATATCTATTTTATAGTCGATTTTGATTTATCCCAAGAAAACAAAGATAATTTAACACTAAACAAATTCAATATTATAAATCATTGCATTGAGAGATTAAAGAATATTGGCATCTTGATAGATATAGGAAAAAGTAACCGATAAAATTCAACAATGATTTACAATAATCTTGTTTAGTAAACTATGCATAAAAAAGAGTTTCCTTATCCTCAGAAAATACATCTAACAAAAACCTAGGATAAACAACATTTTAAATCATACAACTTGAGAAGCATTCAAATTAATGAACAAGTAAATGATATCATTGATTTCTACTTTAATATAACTTTCTACTGGAGGTCCTAGCTGGTGAAATAAGGCAAGAAAAGTAAAAGAAACATTTAATAATTAAAATGGAGGCTAAGTAGCTTTTTATTCCTGGAAAAAAATAATGTCAATCATACAATACTCATAAAAGTAAATTGCAGATGGATTAAAGATCTAAACATAAAGTGCAAGACTACAAGCTTCATATGGTCTGTTTGCTAGCCCACCACATATGCATTCCTAAAAATTACTCCACCATGTAAAATCTCACAGTAAAAGTACAGGGCTTAGGGGAGAAATGAGGTCAGTGGGATAATACTCAAACTTAAAACTTCTCAACACTCAAAAACGTCAGCAGTTACATAAAAAAAGAAAGATAGAAAAAGATAACTAAAAGCACAGTTTTTCACATTTTAAATGATGATAACATACAAAAATACTACAATAAACATGGCACTTCTTGAAACAAGCTAAAAAGTTGATTGTGAGACCGGACATCAGAGAGTTTCAGCTGGTGATATATTGTGAAGCAGTAAAGGGAGGATTATATGAAGTCTGATGAAAGGTTATAACACCAGATATGGCTAGATGTGTCTCATAGCACACCAGATATGGCTAGATGTGGCTCATAACACATCTATCCATATATGGTGTTATAAGCTACTGAGGTAACTGGTAGATATGGAGACACGTGTATGTGCATTTTGTGAATTCCAGTATGGCTTGGTTAAGCTGTGTGTAGTTCTCTGCATTCACTAAGTGCTTCTCACTAACAAAATAGCACAGAACCAAATTGGAAATTTGTGTTATGCTCATATTTTTTATTATATCAATAGTCTTGGAACAAATTTACTTGTTTTCAAAACCAGTACAACAGCAGAACTGACTGTATAAAAAAACATAGGTGTGTATATTGTTTATCATTGAGGTATGGGAAAAAACTTCCTAAATTAGACTCAAGAAGTACAAACCATGAAACAGGCATAAATTTGATGACATTAAATAATAATAATAATAACATATATCTATATATGTTATCTGAATATATATTATATATATTTGGGTATCTATCTATATCTATCTATCTATCTATCTATCTATCTATCTATCTATCTATCTATTTATGGATAGCCAAAACAAAGTAAAAAGATAAGCTATTGACTGATTTGGAAAAGATGATTTTAATACTTTCATTTATAAAGAACTTCTATGAATTGATAAGAAAAAGGCAAACAATTTAAAATAAAAATGGCAAAGGTAATTTACAAAGAAGATGAAACAAATATCTAATAACCATAAGAAGAGCTGCTGTATCCTACTAATAATTAGGGAGCTGAAAGCTAAACCAACAATAAACTACCAGCTACATGCTACATACCAATTTCGCAAAAATTAATGTTTGTTTGCAAATGTTGGTGAGAATGTGGAAACAGACATTTTTATAATCGATAATGAAAACAAGAATTGGAATAACCAATTTGTCAATCTAATAAAACTGAAATCCTCAGGGTTTGGGACCAAGCAGTTTTAGTTCCTAGTGTCCACCCTGGAGGATATCTGACATAGATACATAAGGCATCTATCTGGCGTAGATACATGGGATGCATGATCAGAGATGTTCAAAGAAGGATTTGTTTGTAATAGCACAAACGTGAAATTACCCAACTGTCCCTTAATAAGGGAATGTGTAAAGTTTTGTTTATTGAAATGATGAGAAAGTATACAGCAATTTAAATTTGTGACCTACGTTTGTAAGTATCTATCAACTGAATAAATTGCAAAAAGAAACACTGTTAAGTACAAAATATGTACTTGACACTGTTAAGTACAAAAAATATGTAAATATTCTGTAATATATAGCATGATACTACCCATGGAAAATTTTAAAGAGACAAAACACTAGTGTATACATTTCTTATGAATACCTTCATGTGTGTTATGAACACTTGCAAGGCAATGATGCATGCAAATTTCAGAATAGTGGTTACTTGGTGGAGGAGGAGTGCGGAATGTGGTCAGATATTCCTGAAACTGTGATCATCTTATTTTTTTAAAAAGAGAGAGTCATTTGATGCATATATGGCAAAATGGTACCAGCTACTTAATCTCAGTGGTGAATCCATGGATTTTGTCATATATCATTTTCTGCAGTTTTTGTACATTTGGAATATATTCAACTAATATATATTAGTGCCTTATTTTATGCCAGGCAATTTTCCTAAATTAAAAACTCCAAATATAAAGGAGACAATAGGTAGGAGTCAGAAAATCACACATTGACACATACTTAGAAACAGCTCATCAGGAGTGGTTTGGGATGCTTGGGTTTACTGGGGGGTTTGGCAGTGTAATATAGCAGGGTTTGTGCAGGACTCCTACCTTGTCTCTGTCAACAAAGATACCTAAGCCTCAACCCAATGCTTATGTCTAGGGAGGGAGGTTGAGAACTTTAACAAAGTTGCCTTTTCTATTTAAATCACATGTGCAAGCTTTCTTCCATCAAGACTGGGGCCAGCAGCGTGCTTCTCGGGTGGAGAGCATGCTGGATTTGGGGTCCCCGTGGACAGCAGAATGTAAGGACAGCTGCTTCTGAAAACACCTCTGATTGGGAAACTGAAAGGCTCTGGGATGCAGGGTACCAAGGTGGTTTACACTGAAGCCAGGAAGCTATGAATTTTCTAACACGAAGACAACTCCGCCCCAACATGCTGAGACTCGGCCCTTCCTAATGGAGGCAGGGAAGAGTCAGATGGCCTCTGACCACCCGGGTCTCTTTCTGTTGGTCTTAACCCTCTCACAGCTGGATGCCAGGGTTCTGGTAAATAGCACATCCCAGACGAGGGATGCTATGGTGCCAAGGGGTTAACAGGCACTTTGTGTGAAGTTTTAATATTCCACAGATGAAATGTGCATGTGAAATGGGAAAAAAGAGGAAAAGATTATATTTGTCATCTGGGCTGCCATATGTTGTTCTGGCCGGAGCACAGCAAAAATGGTGACAATTCTTTCCTGAATGAGAATCTCTGTCAACTTCTAATTTCATGCCTTTCTTTGGACAAGCAGGAGCTTTCTTCAAGACCAGGCAGAGTCCAGGATTTTCATTTGTGTGGGGGCAATCTGCACGAACCCCCAAAAGGTAGAACATTGGCATTGCTTGGCTTGATTTTTAAGAGGTGGAAGAAGGACAGGAAAATCATAAAATTCATCTGCATATTTTCTTCCTTTTTTTTTTTTAATGAAATTGGCCCTTAGGGTAAAAACAGCCCTCTGAAAAACCTAAATATCTAGCTGAATGACAAATGGAGAGGAGGGTATATTGGCAGACCTGTTAGTTCTCACCAAAGTCATCATCAGACAATTTCACAGAATTGGCTTTGTCACACAAAAGGTTTTTCTTACTCATATTTGGTGCATTATAATGACTACTTTAGTAGGGAATAAATGGCTGAATCTATATGTCAGAAAAAAATAAGATTTAGTCTTAGGATGTTGAGAGGGTTGTTCTTTTTAAATTATATCTTTCTGTCTCATTTTGCATTTGAAAATGCTGCACTGGACAAAATTACTTTTTCTTTAAATAATACTTTATGGATTCTGTTTACTGATTGAATAGCTAATATAATATAGAAATTTCAAAAAATGTAGCAAACTTAGAAAACAAAAATCCCCATAATCCCCATAATTATTTAATATAAAGATAATATTAAAATATTTTGCTTTATTTTTCTATACTATGAATAGATGTATATACATAACTTTACATAGTTGACACCATATTATTATGCTATAAATATAATTCTTAATAGTTCCATGTATACTAGTGAGAGGATGTTCCCTTCTTTGTTAACTACTTCCTAATACCTGAATTGGCGTTTTATTTCTTTCTAAATTTGTTTTCCACCCAGTGACAAGTAATGCAAATTTTCCTTTTTCCTACTTTTTGCAGAAGATAGCACTGTGTGCTGGAAAAGCAAGTGAAGGTCACTTTGACTAGTTAAGGTAAAATTTAGAATCTTGAAGGAACAGTGCTAATTGAGCTGAGCTCCTCTGGCTTTATGGTTATCCAGTCCATGTTGATGATTTTAAATAAAAAATAATCTGGGTTAATGTTTATTCTAGACCTACCTGAATATTTGGTTAGGGCTCAAGTGTTATGAAGACAAGGAGTTAAAATAGAGAATTTTTGTTAGTTGAATCATTCATTCACTCATTCAGTTGCTAGTGTGTATCACACAGGCAAAATTTGGTTAAGACACAAACCCTGTGTCTTCTTAGTAATAACTAATTCTGCCAAGTGCTAGCATGTTAATAAAAATATCATTAGTAGAGAGTTCCAGGGAAAGTTGGAAGAATAAAACCAGACCATAGACTCTCCCTCCTCCAAAGCCTAACAAAACTGCCCCCCAAATAAGACAGAATTAAAAAGTAACTGAACAAAGAAAAGATCATAACTAAGTGCTATTGATTTTAAAAAGGAGAGAACAAGCCAAGAAAAGGAAGATTCTGGTATTATGCAATACCTAAGCACCTCCCCCCAGCCCCTGTGTCATACAAAATCAGACTGGTGAGTTGACCAGGGCCTGAGATTTTTCACTAATAGCTGAAAATCTAAAGGGAGGCAAAGGAGTCCTCATTTCTTCCTTTTCTCGCTTCTGACTGGTGGGGAGGCATTAAGAGAAACAAAAAACAAGGGAGTGGAAAATGGGAGCGCAGTCAGATGGTGATGAAGAACTCCAGGCACCATGCTGAACAGAGAAGTGATCTAAAGCAAAGGAGCATTCCGGCAGGAATGAGAATCTCTTTCGCCCACTAAGTAGAGTGAACACAAGTATGGCAGATCATTTCTCTAAGCCTAGGATGGCAGAGCATAGAGCAAGTACTCCAGCCAGGACTGCACAGAGGCTCGGCTGAGCTGTCCCCCTCTTCTCACAGGTGGCCACCCTCAGGCCATGAAAGGGTGCACACAACAGTAAGTACTCAGCATTAAAACATTGGTGTGAGGAAAAGGAATGGAATGCCGATATGTGCAGAAGACATGTGAAAGGGAAGTCATCCATGCCATATCAGAGAAAGCAGAAAACAGAAATGAGCAGTTAAGCATGAGCAAAGTGAAAAGGAATAGCGAGGCAAGCAGGCAAGGGTCCCAGGGCAGGGGAGGCGAAGAGATGATTTTTAAATGCATTCTGTCAAGGAACTAAAAACAATCCATCATGAGTGTTTCTCCCTTTAGAACACCCTAATGAGAAAATAAATCTCTCAAAAATGATAACAAAACAACAGAATGAGAAGGAAAGGGAGACAGCGGAGATAAGAAACATAATTTAGGTTTGAATCAATGTCATTAGGGTGCTAATAATCAGACAATAATAAGAGCTAATATTTATGGAGTATTTATTATGTTCTAGGTACTTTTCTAAGTGCTGTATGTGGATTACTTCCATTAATCCCCACAAAAATACTGTAAGTAGTATCTTCATTACTGAATGAGGAATGAGGCATATGTAGCTAAGTCATGTCTATTCACTAGAAAGTGGCAGATACAAGATTTTAAGCCCTGACATATTCTATAATGCTATGAACATATAGTTTGATCTCAGTTACTAAAGGTTAATTTTTCCATTCATCTATCCTTCCACTTTACATATGCAGAGATGAAATTCATCCAATTAGCCATTTCTGGATGAGATTTTTTTCTTTATACATTTCTGTACTGCTTGAATTTTTAAAAATAATATTTTGTCAATGTTACAAATCAATTGTCAGGTTGGTGCAAAAGTAATTGCGGTTTTGGACCATGAATTTTAAATCATTATAATTAGGCTCAAACACATCTTTATTAATCAAAGTAGGAACCATTACAATCAACACATTTTTGCCAATGAGAAATACGTTTGTTTATTCCTGTAGCGTAAAAATCCGTGCTTCGGGATTCGACAAACTCTTGGAAAGCATTTTCCGCATCCCGCTGGTTATGGAAGCGCTTTCCCTGCAAAAAGATTTGCTGAGCATATTTCTCAGATGTAATGGTTTCGCTGGGACTCAGACAGCTGAATAGTAGTGGATCAGACTGGCAGCAGACCACCGAATAGTGACCGTTACACTTTTTTGGTGCGAGTTCGGCTTTGGGAAGTGCGTTGGAGCTTCTTCTCAGTCCAACCATCGAGCTGGTCATTGCTGGTTGTCATATGAAATCCACTTTTCGTTGCACGTCACAATCCGATCCAGAAATGCTTCGTTGTTGTTGCATAGAATAAGAGAAGATGACACCTCAAAATGACGATTTTTTTGATTTTCGGTCAGCTCATGAGGCACCCACTTTCCGAGCTTTTTCACCTTTCCAATTTGCTTCAAATGCCCAACAACCATAGAATAGTTGACGCTGAGTTCTTTGGCAACTTCTCGTGTAGTTGTAAGAGGATCAGCTTTGGTGATTGCTCTCAACCGGTGTAGTCAGCTTCCAATGGCCCGCCACTACACTCCTCATCTGCAAGACTCTCGTCCCCTTTGCAAAAGTTCTTGAACCACCACATACGTTCCTTAGCAGTTCCTAGGCCAAATGCATTGTTGATATTCTGAGTTGTCTCTGCTGCTTTATGACCCACTTTGAACTCAAATAAGAAAACTGCTTGAATTTGCTTTTAGTCTAACATCATTTCCACAGTCTAAAATAAACATAAACAGCAAGTAATAAGTCACTAGCAAAAAAACGTAAAGCAAGAAATGCCAATTAAAATGATGTATAACATAACCACATTTATTTAAAAGTGTATTCCAATATCAAATGGCAAATTCCAACAATGCAAAAACTGCAATTACTTTTGCACTCATCTAATAATTAAGTAGTACAATATAACAATGATAATATGATGAGTATAGTAAGTCCTTGCACTCTTATTCCTATATCACACACTCAATAATAATTCACTTCCTTATTTATTTCCCAGCAATCTCAACATTTTATGTCACTTCCTAAGCAGGGTTAGTGATTGATACTGATACGATTTCTTTTCAGCATTTGACATTCAAAGATGTCTCAAAACACCAGTCAGATAATATTTTAGTTTTAGACATTTTTCATGTTTGAACTGAAACTTCTGGACCTGAATCCCATCCACATCCTAATGTTTAGGTATAATTTGCTTTTTAAGTTTATTTTCTGTTTCTCTTTCCTATTGAATGTAAGTTCCATGAAGGCAGGTCATTTTCTCTGTCTCTTTGTATCCCTAACATCTAGAACAGAGCCTGCCCTACCACACAGGGTGCCCTATAAATGTTTGTTGACTGAAGAAATGAATGAATAGGAAATGTATTTTGTTAACAGGAGAGAGTGCAGGAAGACTGATAGAATTGTTGAATCCTAAAAAGTGAACTTCACCATTATGTATGATTCGACTTAATTACAATTGTCAATATAGAAATTTTCCACATTTAAATCATAGTATACATTTAAAAAATACATGGCACACATGTATTTTATACACTTAAAATATTTTAAAGCCTGCATATCACACCCACACAAACACTCCTCTTAAAAGGTTTCCTTTTTGAAAGGATCAGATGCAAGGCAGAAGCAAATATGCCTGGGTATGGGAAGAAGAGCCCTGTGTTCTTCTGCCGCCATGTGCCAGTAAAGGATTTTCTTTCAGAATTCTCAGACTGACAGGCCCAAAGACCAGGTTTGCTTTGCAGAGCATTTCATTTGATTTCACTGCCAGCATTAAACAATAAGGGGATTTTTTGAAAACCCTGGTTTTCTAGTTTCTCTTGAAAATTGACTGAACTTATACTGGATTTACAGTTTCACATAGTAATTGGCTGTTGCTGAGTAGCTGCTGCACTTTTACCTACAGCATAACTCTGTGATTTGCCACAGTCCACACCATTCCTTAATGTGTCTCTGATCATCTTGTGCCTAGGTCACTTCACTCATTCACATCACCTGCCCAGCCCTGTAGGTTTTTGAGTGTGTTATCCATGCTTTATTTGCCCCGTGCCCCAAAAGACTTATTGCTTCCCTAGAGCTCTGCCTTTCTACGTTTTCTATTTTGGATGAAATATTTTCCTTCCTTAAGTATTATTTCATTACAGACATAATTTTAAGAATCTCCATAAGGGTTTTGTAAAAAATTGATTTGTGTGTCTCTTTTCCATTTAACCTAGCTCATTACATATATATATACGCCATTTTAACCTGGATTTGAGATGGGGCAAGAAGACACTGAACTGCTTCCACAAATTTAACTGCATGACTTACTTTTTTTTCTCCCTCCATAATCCTCTGTGGTGAACTTGGGGAGGAAAAGTAAAAGGAGAAGGGGGAAAGGAGGCAGGAAGCAGGTAGAAACAACCTGGAGGAATTTGTCATGACTCAGCAATGGGAAAATTGGATTAAAGTCTTTTGCAGAAGAACCACTTCACCACTCCCTTCTCTCCTTATCTTAACATATGCACTTCAATTTAGGAAAAAATTATGAAAATATTTTATAATAATTTAAAAAGTACTTTAAAAGAAAATGAAAATATTAAAATTTTTTTTGAATAGAGATATGCTTTCCAGTTTTGTTGGAGAAAAATATTGATAGAAATTTGCTTGCTTGTATCTTTGTATCACTAACACCTGGCTCAGTATCTGACCTAATAAGTATAAATTAAATGATCTCCCATCCAGTCTTTATTTTGTTGTATAACTGATGGATCTGAAGGATGCAGTGTCATTTTATTCCTGGCTAGTCTCTCATGGAATGCTATCTAATAAGAGATAAAATGCTCTACTAAAGGCAGGTGGCAGGAAGAAGAAGAAAAGGGGAATGATATTGTTTTGATAATACTAAAATTACTAATAGAGTGACCATATGTCTGGGACAGTCCCAATTTATTCTTAATGACCTGGCATAATTATTAATAGCACAACTTCTCACTCTCAAAGTGTCCTTGTTTGGATGATAAATTACATAGGCACTCTATTAATCAGATCCTAAATAAAAGCTATTTGCTATCTAATTGTAGGGACTTGGGATTTAAAATATTGTTGTGGTGCAAGATGGGGATCTTGTTACTCAAGTTGGGAGTTATAAAATATATAAACACTTTTTTAGAGATTATACACACACATATATGTAAGGTACTTTTATGTACTGCCTTGCATTTGAATTATTTGTACAGTTGTTTCTGTTGACTTCTTGAGGAACACTATTCCACAGTTGGGAATGTACACCTTTATTTTCCCTCAATGCCTCAAAAAGGGTTTTGCACTTAGTAGAATACCATGACTATTTGTTGAATGGAACAGAATAAAATGAAATCAAATTGTTAAGTTTTCCCATTAAGGATAATCTTTGTTAGTCTATCTTCTAGTCCACAAACTGGGAGCACCAGTATGCCATTATGCATTTTATGTATGTGGCAGGCTAAATTAATTTTTATGCCTCCTTGTCCTTGCTTTGCTGTTTCCTTAAAGGCTCCAGTTGTGTATTATTGCAAAACACTTCTTCCTTGAAATGGTTAAAAGAAATCTATTCATTGAAGAAAATGTTCATAAACGGACTTGATTTGTTGTATATGTTGAACAGAAAGGGTATCTTTTTTTTTTTCGATTTATTGGCCAGGGTTTTGACCAGAAGGACAACAGGGGACCACCAATAGGATGTTGGCCATAACTTGCAATTTTCATTAGTCAAAAATTCAATGAATAATTTTTTGGCCCTATTGAGATTTCAAGAGACTCAAATAAGAACCACACAGAGGACTAATCTTTGAGAATCTGTGTATTTTGTATTTGAGTGCTGAAACTCCTGGCCAATTGGCAAGACACTGAGCTCTTCTAACAAGTTATAGGGTGGAAATTATTTCTTTTCTCACCCATCTGCTCTAGGAGCCATAGCTCATATTTAGAAGTAGCACTACTTACGGGGAGAAAAAAAAAAAAGACCATCAGCAGAAATAAAAAAAAAAAAAAAGAAGAAAAGACCATTATTGAAATAACAGCAAATATAACAACAAGGACATATTGTTTTGCACAGTCATGCAAAAATCCTAATTTAATAGTATTGCCACCTGGAATAATCAACCTACAGAAGTTCCTGTACTACCTTTTGTAAAAATGAGAGGCCTTTACTTTTAATGTTATGTGAGACTACTTCTCTGTGATGGAAAGGCAACAGTCCTTTACTAAGCACTTTAACAGAGCCAAAGGAAAGAGGGTTGGGCTATAAGAAGGACATTCACGATAAGTAGAGGTAAATACTCAAAAAAGAAAAGAGCATAGATGGGTGGGGGAAAAAAGAACAGTATTGAAAACATTTTTCTCTGTCTTAAATTTTCTTCCATTAACCTTGAGCA
This sequence comes from Homo sapiens, assembly GCF_000001405.40. NCBI lineage: Eukaryota > Metazoa > Chordata > Mammalia > Primates > Hominidae > Homo > Homo sapiens. Next base: position 65,241,196 of record NC_000008.11, on the reverse strand, counting down.
TTTAAGAAAATCAACACATGTTTTCTTAGCTGGCTACATTCCTTAAAAAGGTGAAGCCCTCTGAAACTGACAGAGAAGACTGTCCTTTTTAACCTTTTCTGCTATCACATTTACAGATGATAGACCTCTTTGGTGGCTCAGCCTAGTTTAATTGAGCAAGTGGGCACTAAGCCAAGAAACTTACAATTCAACAACTACAAAGAGCTCATTATTTAAAAGAATGGACACATCCATAGTAAGGCTCGTGTATTTTTTTAAATGGAAACAAGACCAATATAAGGTAATTTTCAGGAATGGTCTCATATTAAGAAACACAAAAATTCCTCTTACTGAAGTATTGCCTTAAAATATTAATGTTTTGGGAAACCAATTGTACTCAATAGTGTAATGAGTGGCATGACTTAAAAAATATTCTGTGTTTTTACTTAAAATTTTTTTCTTCATCCAGTCGGTGAATCCTTCCTCTTTTGTGGTCTCCTTTCATACACAGAATCTATTGATTTTATCTCTGCCAGGAAAGAATACCTATTCATTTTTAAACCCCTGGCCTAGGAGAAGATGAGAAAAAATTCAATCCAGGTAAAATATCTTGTTTTAAAAAGATTCTTTATTGTGTATATAGTTGATATTTCATGGTATTTTCTCATATATTTGGTTTCTACTCTTACATCATTTATTTTGCAAGGAGTGTTGCATTTTTTTTTCACTAGTTGAGGACATATCTCTTAATTGAGATGTTCCAAAATGTTGTCTACTTTGCATATGCCAGTCACTCTTGAAGGCCCAGTTGAGATATCACCTCCTCTGTAGTCTCCCCTGACTGTCTCACAGAATGAATTGCTCTCTCCTGGGCTCCAGCTGCATTGATCTGCAATAGTAGACTACTAGAAATGTGTGAGGGAAAGCCCAGATGTGAACCAACTTTGCCTGGGGGAGTCAGGGAAGTCTTCAGAAGTAATGTGTAAGCCTGGAAGGAAGTGTGATTTGCCAGGTGAAAAAGAGCCTACTCTTTGAGTTGAGTGTTTACAAGACTTTGTCCTCTTGTATAGAAAAGAATCACACAAAAATATCTCTAGCAATTATCTGGCACCTGTAAGTACTTGGTATTTGTTGATGAATATTTGATTGAAGGAGTGCTAAGCTGAGATGGACGTGTTCCTCTATCATTCAGTCCCTTACATGGGCTGACTTCCTTCTATTTAGGTTCTTCATAAATATTGGAAAACCTCTAGGAATCTGGAAGTGTCAAATGGCTTTAAAGATATTTAATATCTATTGTTCTCTCTATTCTATCCAGATGTTTTCTGTAAGAGATTTTATTTCCGGAGAGAGGGAATACTCCAAACCTTCTGAAAGGTGTTGGGAATGATTTTTTTTTGGTATTCAATATGTGGTGACTATTCATATAACTTTGCATTTTTAATGTAACAATTAGCATGTTTTAAAATGTCATGTTAAATAGAGGGTGGCCTTGAACTTACGTGATTTTTACGTTCGGTTTTTGGCTTGATGAGTTTCTGAGTTTCAGATAAAAAGAGCAAGACCACTTGCTTTTACATGATTTCACCATCATATAAATGACAGGGGAATGATTTTAGTATTTCTCACTGTGACTAGATATCATGGAATAGCCACTTGGTCATGCTCATATGCCACAGATATTTTATAGGAGACATTTAAATATGTTATCTTGTGTGTCCTGACCCCTAATAAAGCATGCTCCCTTCAACCAAAGAGATAACTAGAAATGGCATGATACACATTTTGGGTGGGTTCTGTTGTTGTCTTTTGCAATGCGCCATTCACAGATTTTCTGAATACTTAATATTATCATTAAAATATGTATTTTTTATATTCTCTTGATCTCCTATCTATTGCCGAGAAAACACTCTTATTTTCTGAAACATAAAAAACAAGCAGAGAAAGTGAGAGATCTTCCTTAGGTAACCTCATAACAGAGGAACTTTGTGCATTATGCAGCCGAGGCCATGCCAAAATGCAATTTGGAGGGTGTCCAGCCCTTCATTGGAAAGTAATGGTTTTCACTGAACTGAGTTATGACCAGCTGTTTACAGACAGTCTGTGACATACTGATAGAGCAGAACACCGTATGTTGCTTTCCAAATCAAATGATACAAGAAGTGTGACAGAGTGGAGAAACATCTGTCATTAGCAATTTTCAGCACGCTTCACTAATTCTGGACAAAATACGAGTAATGAACTTACCGCAGGAAACTTCAAATACTACCACTGCTGAAACAAGGATATAAGCAGCAAGTCCTCCTAATGGCTTCTAATTTAATTCATTTGCAGTAAGAAACAAACAAAGTGGGTTATTTGTTTTTGATCATAGGGTAGTAAATACTAATGCTGATCACAAACACTTTTTTAAAATCAAAGAAAAGAGATTGCAAAATGCAACCTTCTACACGTTCAGATAAAAGCCTTATTCCTTCTTCAATTATTGAAGAGGGTGGGTTTTTTTTTTTTTTTTTTTTTTTGGTAAGCAGCGGAGTTGGAGAATGTGCCCTAACAGGGATGCAATCTTTCCAGAGTACTATCTGGGAGTGTCTCTTTGTAGCTTCTCAGGTTCTTGCAGTTTGTTGGACCTGCAGTCATATTTACATAATATTAAGTGTTCCTAGTCTTTTGACTGAGAGGCCTATATAGAAGAATGTGTTAGGTCTTTCTTAAGCTGCTTTCCCCCTACCATTTCTCATCTTGCCTTTTTTTTTCCTGGCTGATAATTTTTATTTTGCCGTCCCACAAATTTTCACAGTTCTGTAATGAGCGCATGGTCCTCATACAGCATCCACATGGTTCTCTACTGGTTGACGTCACACTGTTTATGAGATCGCAGAGCCAAACCATGTGAAGGCTGCAATCTGTGAGCATTTTTCTTCTGTATCTTTGCAATCAATTGAGCTATTAAGCCATTAACATTCAAGGCCTACTCAGCTCAGCTTCTTCCCGGTTAGCGCCAATACGGCAACATTCCTAAATGGACAGGCTTGAGTTTGACTCCAGAAGGAGAAAATGAAGAAAAGTTGTTATTCTTAATCTGAAGTTTCAACTGATGTTCAGAAAAATGAGAATGTAAAAATCAGAGGTGAGATCTTGCCTGATCCGTTGGTGTTCTACCGATGGGACCTATTTTGGATTGTGTCCCAGAACAAAAAGACTGAATGCCATTCGGAACTGATGACTGTAAAATGAGTGTAGGAGGTCTTTGAGGAGCTTCTTAATTACAAAATTATTCATGATAAAATGGCACTAATCTCAAATTCCCAGTTTCTTGTAAATTTTAGTATGATACACATAAAAACGGCTTATCGCTTTTTAACACCTCAGATAAACCAGATTCAGCCTAGGCATGTTGTGAGGGAAATCATCTCTAAATATGTTTAAATCTTTCTCTGTTTCTCTTCTCCTCCTTCTTCATCATCATCTTCTTATTTTTTTGTAAGAGAATGCTTCTTCTACTACTGATCTATCTATCTTTTTTTAAGTGATCTCTGAATTATTTTATGGTTCAGCAGAAATATTCCAAGACATGTAAATGCTAAATTCTTCTGTTTTTTATAGACATCTGCATTGAAAAACAAAACAAAGCGAAAATATAGATGCCATTGAAACCCATCATTACGTTTGTGATCTAGATAATAAAGTAAGCAGACCCGAGCAATTCGCTAACACTAACGCTATTCTTTACATAAACAGTAAATGTTTAGATTTTCCTGTTCACTGACTAACAGCACACATATCATAAACACTAAGCTGTTATAGTACGTTTCGTGTGTTGATTCACTTTAACAGTTGTTAGTGTGAAGACAGGAAAAGAAAAGTGGGTGTAATGAGACCATGTGCAGTATGCTGTGAAAACAGAGGCCCTTATTTGGCATAATGGGTTGCACCATAAGGGCCATAAAATTGTGCATGTGTTAGTATCATTTTAATTATTACGGGTGCCACATGTTAAGCAGAATAGCGGAACTACTAAAACAGCTTCAAAATCCTTACTGCTGATCGCTGCATTTAATTACAAATAGGAACATTTGGAGATAGGTCACCATAAAACCCTTCTGTTGTCAAATGAGCTCAAATCTGATTTTTGTAATTATGTTTTTATACCACAGATCCTGTTGAATAACTATAGTGAATAAAATTTTAATAAGTGCTGATTAAATGTAGGTACATCTTGCTTCCTAAGAATATTTATGAACGCTCATCCCACTTAAATTAAGGTACCATCACTATTTTTCTTTGGACAGTGCCTTGATCATTCAGCCTTAATGCAAATAAGCTGAATAAATTTATGTGCCATGAAATATTGTTTTTTTTCCATTGGAGCATAAGAGCTCTGGATTTCAATTATTCATTCTGTTTGTGAGCACTGTGTACTATACTGTAATTCTCTAGAACCAAAGAGTTTTCATTACCTCACTACATGTCAGACTCAGTGGGATCTTGTAATTAACTTTCCTAAGGCAGGATTTTATCAGGGAGCAGAAGGTAAGTTATGTCCATCTTTTGTTTCTTACTAGAATAAATATGGCTAGAGATGGTAAGTCCACTTTAAAAAATTTCTCTTCTTTGGAATTATTTGTCTACCTATCTACTTACTTATTTATTGGTTACTTGGGCTATAAAAATCATGAACCCATTGCATCTACCAAGAGGAATGGTGCCTTAGGGTCCTTCATATGCATCATTTCCCTGTCTTGTGAAAAATGTTTTTGGAATTTTGCATAACGGTTAGGCCTCCCGGCTCTCTTTAACGTGAAATTATCACTGAGTTTCCAGTAGACATGAGAAATGTAAGAAGAACCAAAGAAGAGGCTATTAATGGGTAATGGCACATGAAAGTCATGAGTCAATACAAGGAAATAGGCCAAACAGAGCTGGCATATTCTGAAATTGATATGTGTTAATGTTGGTATGTGATCTTATAGATATTAAAACAGGTACACTTATAAGCTATCCATGTGGATATGTAAATTTGTGGTTTATTTGCTCCAGAATGCATAAAATTTGCTCCAGAGTGTATAAAATACTTATTCTATAAAACAGAGAATTTCGACTCTTTCAATCAATAATATTCCTTTACAACATTCACAACTTTCGGTATACTCCAGAAGACCACATTGTTGGAGAAGATGCTCACTGAGTTTGCAGAATGAAATCTATTTTTCTAGCAAAAGACATTTCTCAAGATCATAAGAGAGTTCCCTTTGCAAAACTCCTCAGATTATCTGTTGTGGTTAAACACTTATTCCACCCTGTAGATAGCTGTTTCTATTTCCAAGTATCTCTGCAATATAGTCATTCAAAGAGCAACACACATGCTCCAATCTACACCTCCACATCCACTGTTTCAGATAAATGATAAAGTAGCACTCACTGAAGACCTTGAAGATTCATGCACCACTAACAGACAGATGCCATCCTGTTGGCAGCTGTATATGGCTCCCTGAATACATTGTTCTGATCCAATACTCAAAAACAGGCTTTGGGGCTGTAAAACACAGACAGTAATTGTCATCTGTAAGGGATGAGTAAGGGGCTTCAGCCCTTGCTAAGGGCAGAAATTGCAAAGTTTGCTTCTATCATTAGAAAGTTTACTTGCATCATTTGACAGTGCTAACTTATTTTTTTCAGCTCAGTGCTGATAAATGCATTAGATGTCTCTAACACTCAGGTCATCATTCGGCAACTGTTTGAAACCCTGGCAGTGATACACCGTAGGAGGTGCTCAGTGTTAGCTGCAATAATGTCTTTGATGGGCTAATTAATTAATTAATTGTGGAAAATCTGAAAATCATTGAAATCATTCATGAGAACAGACAAGGAGAAAAAAACCTACAGATACAAGGACCATTTACCAGGGGTAATGTTTAGCACAGTAATTCCATTAATTTATGCCCCTATAAGATAGGAGCAGGTTTTATAATCAATCCAAACAAAAGGAAAGGCAAGTGGGGAAGAATGACAGACTGCAGAGAGAGAAGAAATTTCTCATTTTCCAAATTATTTGTGTCTTATTTTCTAACTGCATAATACTCAGCTTTTAACAAAGATGGATCACAAGGTTTCTTTTAAATAATTTTGCAAAATAATCCAGAAATTGTAACCAAAAGAGATTTATTGAGAATCTTCTCTTGCTTGGGGTGGTGGGGGTGACACAGAGCAGTCAGGCTAGGACACTGCTTTCCATGAGCATCCAGGGGACTGCTGGGCCCTCCTGGCCCCCACTAAGTCTGTACCGTATTAGTATTTAGAAAGGGTTTCCTGCTTATAAAGGAAGGATTTGGACTAACCTCTTGGCCCCTTTCCAGCTCTAAATTTCCTTAATTCCTTCGAAACCTGGGATGTGCGTGGTACTGGAGATAAAGATGCCGAGCTCCTCGGAAGATGAGTCTGCCCTCAGGGAGACTGTATCTCCCTGAACAGACAGGACATAGACCAGAAAACATATGTGAATCCCAGAAAGTATCTGTCAAATCAAAATGATGTGGCCATGGAAGTAAATTCTAAAATGTGGTCACGCTTACTTCCTTCTCTGATGGACGAGCTTTATCGTGACCATCAGTTGTGAATCAGCAATTCAGAAGCCCAAACCAGCTGACACTACCCTGTAATTCCACCTGACCCACTTGGAGTCCTAAGGACTTTTCACTGGAAATCCAGTGTCTTTTTTGTCTCCTTTGAGAAAAACTGTTCACTCCTAAACAGAAGAACTAATGATAACTTTAAGAGGATTTGGGCCGGGCGCGGTGGCTCACGCCTGTAATCCCAGCACTTTGGGAGGCCGAGGCGGGAAAATCATGAGGTCAGGAGATCGAGACCATCCTGGCTAACAAGGTGAAACCCCGTCTCTACTAAAAATACAAAAAATTAGCCGGGCGCGGTGGCGGGCGCCTGTAGTCCCAGCTACTCGGGAGGCTGAGGCAGGAGAATGGCTTGAACCCGGGAAGCGGAGCTTGCAGTGAGCCGAGATTGCGCCACTGCAGTCCGCAGTCCGGCCTGGGCAACAGAGCAAGACTCCGTCTCAAAAAAAAAAAAAAAAAAAAAAAAAAGAGGATTTGATAATTACTTTCTTCATGTCCTCGTGGTTAATAGATTAAGTATTGGAGGATAATCTGTTTAGTAGAGTTACTTGCATTCTGAAATACCGTATGTCTCCTGCTATTTCTAAAGGAAAAGTTTGTGTTTGTATTTTATTGTTTTACTGGGGAACACAGAGCTACTGGTGAACTTTGTCAAAGAGTTTATTATTAGCCAATTGATAGGTACGTCTTAGACATTTGCCACTTCCTGACTAGCTGACTGTGCCAGAGATTACCCAGGCTGCTAAGAAGTACCAACTAAATAGCATCATGGTTTCTGGATTACTTTCCATCCTGGTGTTCAGAATTCTTTTTTTTTTTTTTTGGAAATCTTTTACAGTTAAAACAGTTCCCATGCTGAGTTTTTGCAAGGATTTTAAACATTGTAAACTAGATTAAGACTACTTCATGCAATATCTCAAAGTTTTTACTGTCATGAAATGTGTTTTCCTTTTTGATGAGAAATTTGGTTCCCTTTGTCTTAAATGGCTTTCTTAAATTCATAAATGATGGTAACTGCAGTTTCATTTTCCTAAGACGTGTCTATGCATATATCATAAAGTACTCCAAGACATTTTCTCAAGCTGAGCTGGAAAGAAAACTCTGACATTCTTTTTTTTTTTTTTTTGAGAAATGTGAAAGAAAAATTTGCTAAAATCAAGTGTTTTTTTTTTTTTATAGTGGTTGTGCTTTGAAGCATATTGTATTATTCTATTCATTGGTTGACTACAAATTACTCAAAGCACATATGTTTCCATATGTCATTTTTTGAACTTTCTGTATGAGTGCTAAATTAAAAGTGAAGGTGTTCTCCTTAATAGTTGGTATTAATAATTATTAAAAATTTTTGTATTAATAGTTATTTAATATTTGGTGTTAATAGTTATTTAAAATATATAGTCAGGAATATTCCTATTATCTATGTATGTATATGTAATGTATATTTATATATCCTTAATGTAAATATACAGCAAGTCCTCAACATTGTTGGCAGTTTCTTGGAAACTCTATCTTTGAGCAAAATGATGTATAATGTGGAACCAATTTTACCACAGGCTAATTGATATAAATAAGAGTTAAGTTCCTATGGTATATTCTGGTCACAAAAAACATCAACAAACTTCTAAATAAAGATCAGAACACTTTAATATTAAACATTGAAATAAATGTGAGATATATGTACATTTAAGAAAGACGAATAAAAACAAGTAAGATCATTGCTTACCAAATTATTCCCGTTCAGGGTTGTGGGTGGCTAGAGCCTATTCTCCCAGCTCAGGGCCCAAGGCAGGAACCTACCATGGACAGGATGCCCTCCCTGGACAGGCCACCTTCCCATCACTGGGTGCACTCATGCACACCCGCAGTCACTCTGACTGGGACCACTCAGACATGCCAGGATAGGCCACCTACCCATCACTGGGTGCACTCACACACACCTGCAGTCACTCTGACTGGGACCACTCAGACATGCCAGTGAACCTGATATGCACATCTTTTGAATGTGGGAGAAAACCCACATAGACTTCGGGAGAACGTGCAAATTCCATACAGACAGTGGCCCTGGGTGGGAATCAATTTTTTTTCTCATCAATGTTATAACAGAATGATTTTGAACAAAATGTTAGTATTCAAGAACCTTCTGTCTATACTTATTATTTGTGTTCTGTATGTACATACAAATGTATATATTATACATTATATACATATAAGATATATATTATACATTATATAAATATAAAGCATATATTATTATGCTTATATGTACACACTTTTTTAAGTTTCACATTCAAACAATAATTTACATAAAAAATATCTTGTAAGTCTAAAGAAGAAATCCAAAATTATGTATTCAGGACAACTCTTATTAAACAGAATTAAACTACTCAGAGCTTTAATTTATCAGATTTTCTCTCTAATGACTCTTTAGGAGAGGGGTGAATCGAAAGGGAACTAACTGATGCTGGTCACTTTTGAAATAACTTCTAGAAGGTGTCTTGGGTCAGGACCCATTCAGGCCTCCTGATTGTGCATCTACAGACAGGAAGGAGGCTGCTCAATTAATTCTTTGTTGCCCTGCTTTTTCCTTGAACCTCTATAATCAGTGCCCATATCTTGTATTCTGCTGTTGTTACTCTTATTGCTCTGAATGACAAGTACTGTGTACTAGCCCACTCTTCTGTCCAGGTTGGCAGATTGTCATTAACCAGTCATCCTCTCTCTTACCAGTGTCTTCTTTGTACGAAGCACCTTGCATGCTGCACTCTATGGGAATCAACTCAATAACATTTGTTGAGTTGAACTGAGTTCCAGATGTTGAGCTAGTTGGACATTAACTGAAAGAATTAAACACTAAGAGTGAGTTGATTTCCACTTAATTGAACTTTCTACTTAACTAAAAATTAACAGGAGAAGTTTGATGTGTGTAATTCAGTCCTTGCTGAGAAGTGTTCTTGTTGAATTGGGGAGACTGTAATTGACATGTCAGCTCTTCCGCTGAGCTCGAGTGAGTTTCCTTGAGGCCCAGATCCACATCCGACTCACCTTGCTGAGCAGACTCACAGTCTGGCACATTTCAGGGGTTGAATTATTTGTTGAATGAAAGAGTTGGTTATTCTATTTCTTCCTACAGAGCTATTCATTGAATGCCTAACTTTTGCTGGATTTTCAACAAAGAGGACTAAAATTATTTCTGGATAGTTCTCAAAGAGAAAATTCAGACCCCCCACCAAGCTCTTAATTGCTTCAGTGTTATAATAATTGCGTCTTAAAGAAAAGACTGAGATTTTTGATCAGAAATACTTGAAGAAGATGGAATTAGGAAGTATCTTGAGGACAGAGACCACAGATGCAGAATTCATACACTATCCTTCAACAAAAAGAATGACAATAAGGATAAGAAATCTAGACACACTTCAGAGACATGGAGAAGAAGTTTTAAATAGACACCAAATATGAATATACTTGCATATATGGTGGATTTTTTTAATTATTAAAAATTCTACTGAGCTAAAAAGATGTTCTGGCTCCAATTTAATTTTGCACTCCTCCACATCTCCCCAGACCTTCATATTGTTTGACAGTATGTTGCACGACTGTTGCCTGTAAGTGTGAAAAGTCAGGATGAGAGTTCACAGCAGGTTGATGGCCTGGAGATGAGAAGTCTGTCTGAGGACATTTCAAAGTTGTAAAGGTATTATTCTCACATGAAGTTATTTCTCAGTGGGTGTGAACAACAGCTACTCATCAAGCTGGTGTAGTGTGAAATAGAGTTTCCTGAAAAATGATGTGCAGACATATGCAGAAAGCCACATGCCTAGTACATGCACAGACTGTGTGCCTAACTTCCAAGTGTTGGAATATTTGCCATGAGATGAGCTAGAAATGCAAAAGTCCCCGTCATAAGTAGCCCAGGGAGAAGCACAGCTTGGAATTATCACTGATCCATTGGTTCAAGGTGTGCACATGTTGAAGGACAAAAAGTGAATGGTGCAGCTGCACTGGAGAAGGGAGGTTTGCTGAAATGGAAGAGATCTGGTTTTATGCAAATTATCAGAAGTTCTTCCATATAATGCTGGAAAATCTACCTCTGCTCTGAGAACAATTTTGTTTATCCTGCAGTGTATCATGTCACAATTTTTGGGTCACAATCAGGTTTTATTAATCTTTACTGCAGAATGAAGAGATTCACATTCAGGGGTACCCCATTCCTGCTGTGACGAGTGTCTGCTGAGGGCATATCTGCCCAAGTTCATACACAGCTCCCTGGACCCAGTGTATTACTTATGTATTAGATTTGTTTGGACTGTTTCTCCTAATAGCATGGTGTGGCATGCAGACCTTTATCTGAATATTTTTCTCAGCTGCATGGTTCTCCTCATGACTTCTGTTAATTGCACAGTAGAGGAAAGAAGTTAGGAGAATGAATAGCATGATGGTGAGCAAGACATAAATCAAGCAGGTAAATGTGGAATCAAAGGAGGGGGATGTGGAGAAAAAAAACAACCAGCTATTTATGTATGTATTTATTTCACTCCATATATTTAATAAAAGGATTTGAGGTGGTTTACCAAAATAAAATGTATGCATGCTATAGGCCTATGAAAATGTAAAGAGAAAATAAAAATTTTAAAAAAGAGGAAGACTCAAATATGCTATCTAAGAGGGTTAATGAGAATAAGAATTAGTCATTTCACTACACAGATGGAGGTTTACTTATGTGGTTTGGTTGGCAGGTGTGCTGACTCCGTGGTGTTAATCTTCAGGTTCATCGTGTGGGAGGCCTTAGCAAATTTCTTCTTTCAGTTAGAAAAGACCCAGATAGAGATATGCAACCTGCTATGAATCCTAAAACTGGGCAGGTTGGGGGTCAGATATTGCTTCACATTCCAGAGTTGTTGCTTGCTATTCTATGAGGCTTGGTTGTCATGCAACAAAAGGTGGCTGACCAAAAAAATATATGCTAGGCAAACTGTTTCTTATTCTTAATGTCATCAGTTTATCTAAAAAAAATAGCTTTTAAATTTTGAAGTAACACATGCTCCTTGCATAATCCCAAACAAAAGTGGAAAGATGAAAATAAAGATCTTCTGTTATCTAATTATTCAGCAACCACCCTGTTATTTTGGGGGTGCGTTCTTTTGTGCTTTACTCATGCATGCACACACACACACACATACACACACACACACCTATTTAATCAAAACCTGGGGGTCCTTTTTGACTCTTCACTTTCTCTCACACCTTATACCCAATATATTAAAAAAATCATGCTTTCTTGACCTTCACCGTTTGTAGACTTTAAGCACTTTCCCCACCTCCGCTGCTGACAGCACCTGCTCTGAGCCATCACCAGCCCCCCTGGTGTATCACCATTGCTTCCTCCCACAGTCCTGCCGTAGTTTCTTCTTGACATAGTGCCAAAGGGATCCTTTGAAGATGTAAGTCAAATCCTGTCACTTCTATGTTCAAAAATTTCCAGTGGCTTTCTAATTCACACTGAGAAAAAGTCCAACTCTTGCGTTATCACAGCCTATTAGGTTCTTTAATACCTAGCCTAATCTACCCATCCCCATGTGGTATAACATTGTATTTTTATTATTGGGTACATGGTATTCCAGTTAATCATTTTGCCATATTTTGTTTAACTAACTACCTATAGGTTGATAAATACCCTCCCTTCTATTTTTTCCTACTATACATGAAGCTGAAATAAATATATTGGTATGTATGTTTTTGCACAATTATGCAATTTTGCTTTCATTGTAAATATGTTGCTGAACTTCCTCTGCAGAAAGGGTATGCCATTTACACTGCCACCAACCTCCTCCTTTTAGAAGCTGACTCTGCTTACAATTCAGCCTCTTTGGAGGCCGTAGCAGACTATGCAAGCTCTGGAATTTTGCATCCAAATTCATATTTTGATGGTGGTGAGATTTTGAACTACTGTTGGCACCGAATTTAGTGCCAGTCTTCTTGCTTTGCCTTGTCAAATTGGACAGGGAGACGGCTGTCTTGCAAAAGTGGAATTGTCACTAATTGGCCACAGAGGAAAGATTCAAAATCTTGCCAAAAGTCTCCTGTCTTCTAAGGGAATAAAATCCTTCATATAACTTTCCCTCTCATTAAAAAGAAACAAACCCAATATGAAAAGCACTTTGTAAACCAGAGAGCATTATATGAGCGCAAGGCGTTGCTGTTATTCATGTTGAGGTACTGCTCTTACGGCCACTGGATGAGGAGAGCTGGTGGGGTTTGCTGAATACACGGATAAGGAGGCCTGTCTGTGCAGGCTTCCCTTTTTACCAGGTTGTTATGTCCTGTTAAGAAATGTCAAGGAAGAAGAAACAGTAAATAATTTTTGACTTCACTTTGGCTTTTTCATTTAGATTAAAGCAGAGTACTTCAGGGGCAGTCTACATACAAAATGAATGCTCTATAAAATGTTTTGTCACTTGTAATGTTTGGAATTCAAGTGGGTTTTCTTTATTATGACAAAATGAATTTAGCAAGAGTTAAACATTGCTCCATACTGAGAATGACAACTCCTTATTTTTGCCCACTGAATGGACACTGGAAAAATTAATGCTTCATAACAAGTAGAGTTAAAGCATTAATTCTTTTTCTGAAGTAGCATATATCCCAAAGTAATTTTATTAAAAACATTACAGATAATTTATAAAAATCAAGCCAGATGATACTTTCCTGAGCATTTCAGAGAACTGGATTTTAACAAATCTATTTCTATTTAAATTTAAAAGAATGCAAATATGTTTACAAGTCTAGAAATATGTATGTTGGAGTTTAAAATGTGATTGAATAAATTTTCAGGAGTTAAACCACTTATTTTTAGAATGTAAAGTAGGTTTTAATTTTAGATTTTCCTAAAATGAAACAAAAAAAGACAAATGCTGTGTTCTATAAGATGTCAGAATTTAAGGGAATAATCTTTGAATTATTCACTGAGATAAATAATTTCTATTAGTATATAAATTTCTTGCTTTCGTGTTATTTTAAAAGATTTTGATGGCATTTCTTACTTTGACATTGAATAACCCTTGGACACATCCAACAGGGCATCAAGATTTTCATAATCTATTCTTTTATACTTCCCAAGGATCAAACCTGGAAAAAGAAGGGAAGCAAAGTATAAGTGAAAAATATTGGAAGAATAAACCATGACATTTGTTCTGGATTAATACATATTCCTAGTCCAATATTTGTGATTTAAATAACATGCAAGATTGCTAAAGATCCCTCTCCCATTGCTTCATTGTCAAGTTTTTTCATGCAACCATAAATAATCTTAATTTGAAGAATTTTAAAAGTTAAAGAATTAGTTTGAAATTTTAGATTCAAGGAAAACAGATTTTGCTTTATTTGATGAACTTTTAGAGACTGGAAGAAATTTAGAATAAGCCATTTTGACATTTTGCCAACCAAACCCACATCCTGGTTAAACTCAATTTTTCACCCCTCCTCACCTGGACTAGGGGAGCTGAAAGTTGATGGAGGAAATTACACCACCAGGATAGCTGAAATTGACTCAACTTTATGAGTAGTAATATCAAGGAGGCACTCGGAACTGTCAGACATGACACTTCCCATCAGCAACAACAAAACAATGACCTACCTTACGCCAAAGACAGTGGTTCAATTCTCTCTTACTCACTCAGCAGCAGATGTTCACTCTCTTCTTGAAACCGTTCTCATCTGGTGCTGGGACACCATACCTGTCTGCTCTTCTTTTCTACCTAACTCTCTCTCTACTTTCTCTACATTCTCTGCTGGTCCTTTCTCTTGCATCTGCCTGTTGGCATGCTCTAGTATGGAACCCTCTGCTCTTTTATTTTCTCTACATTCCCTCTTTATCTAGACAAACTGATTTAATTCAATGGCTTTTCTTACTGACATTCTGATGGTTCTCAAATTTGTGAAACTCCCAGACTATCCTCCCTCCTGAGCGCTAGATGATAAATTTTACTGACCACTTTGCATCTTCATCCGGATGCCCAGTGATATCTCAATCTCAACAAGGTTGAGACTTCCACAGTCAAAAGTGCTCCCTTCACCCAAGCCTTCACTACCTCAGTGTTCTCAGTTGCTCAGGCCAAACACTGAGCAATCAATCTTGATTAACTTCCCTTTGCTCTCTATGTCTAATATATTGATTCATTTTCACTCTACTCCAAAATATATCTTGACTTTCATAATTTTCACAGCTACAACACTTCCCAAACCATTGCACCACATTGCCTGTACTGTAAAAACACCTTCTTAAATGGCTTTTCTGCTCCTACCCACCTCCAACAAAACCTCCCTCCATGCAGCAACTAGAATGATCTTTCCAAAGTACAAAGCAAATTATGTCAACTGCTTAAAATCCTCTGATGTTTTTCTGTTGCAGCACAATAAAACTCAAACTCCTACAAGGCCCTGCGTGATCTGATATTCGCTCATATTCCCCATCTCAACTTTCCCCACCTGCCTGTTCAGTCTGTCAAGGTCACTGCTGTCTTCTTCATCCTTTTTGAACACACCAAGACCATTCCCAGTTCAGAACTTTGACATTTCTTCTACTTGGAATATGGACACAAAAGCTGCCTCTCTTTCCTGGTTTTGTTCTAAACTGAAATTTGTCTTCCACCTTGTCTAAAGAGTCTCTCTGTGTCTCCACCACTGTCTACAGCATCACCTGATTTTATTTTTGTCATGGAGCTTCCCAGAATTATCCGAGATTACTTTTTTTCATACACTTATTGCCTGTCTTCCTCTCCCTTCTATTAAGATATAAAAGGAGGGCAAAACCCTGTTCTTGCTTCCCACCATATTCTCAACACAAAATCAAAAACAGGAGAGAGAACAGTGCATTTGAAGTATTAATATAACTGTGATTATTTCATCTTCAACGTTACAGATGAGAACACTGAGACCAAGGGAGTAAAATAACTTGCCCACGGTTATAGCAAGTTAGTAAACAGAGCTATTATGTAAACACATAAGTAAATTATTGAATTCTAATAGAATAGAAATAGGTGCAAAGTTTTGTGGAAACTGAGGATGAGGAGGCACTGCTGAGCCTAGGCAAGGTAGGAAGTGTATGTCAGTGACCACTTCAGGAAGAGAAGTCATTTCAGCTGTCACAAGCTTGAGAAGGGTGTTCCAGGCAGAAGATAGAGCATGAGCAAAAGCTTGAGTGTATGAAGGCATATTCTAGAAAAATGCCAGGCATTCTCTTCCTGTTATTAATCTAAGGGAGTTACATAATCAGAGCTATATTGTAGACAGATACTTTTACTGCCTAATAGCTTTTTAAGATGCCAAATAAGACAAAGTCCTATGAAATTTATTCCTATGTATGATGACGGGAAGTTTAGAGCCTTTCCGGAAAGCACTGGTGACCTTATGGGTGTGGAGGAGACACATTCTGTGCTTCTTTGTTAGCTGGATAGTATGAGGACAGATACAGCCTTCCTCAGGGAGATGTACTTTCAGCTGGTGTGAATATACATCCCCCCCGATTTTGGAATCTTTCTGGATAGTGACGAACTGGACCTCATCTTCAACTGAGTACTGCCTTTCAAAGGAAGGGCTGCTAAAGAGTAGACACGAGGCAAGTCCTGCTGGATTTATTACCTGGGCAGTTTTGGTCTGGGTTAGTGCAAGTTGACAGTAGTGGGATCTCCCAGCCCAGGTTGAACACTCTTTGCACATTCCTAATCTGCCTTCTGTAAGCAACCATGTAGCAACTGCCTTCTAGGCCAACATACCAAATGTATATTTCTTCCTTTCCTTATTATTTAGTGCTCATCTGCTTGCCCAGAAAAAATGTAAGAGAAACCCACAAGGAGAGATCCTCAGGAGGGTTGAGGGATTTGTCTAAGTGCTGTGACTGCAGTCAAGAGATTTACCTTTCCTTTCCGATGCAGAGGGCAAGTCATGTTTTAGAATCTGGAAGGGGTCTAGGCAGGGAACCTCCGCCAGTTTTTTCTTTCCAAGAACCTATCATCACTTAACCTCCCTTAATGAGAGTCTGTGTGTAAATTTCCCAGATTTTCACTTTTGTCAATTCCAACCACAATGCAAATTATTATATCATATGCATTCCTGTCTTGGTATAGTATTATCATATTTATTTTTATTTAAGATAATTTATCATATGTTTTTTGTTATCTTAATTGTCAAATGTTTTTAAAAATCTTCTGTGAAGATCCTACACAAAATATCTTTGTGCCCTACAACATATTTAATTTACTGGAGAACTTGGGGTCTGTGTAGTCAAGAAAGACTTCACTATCCCATAAATTTATACTTTGATTTTGAATATATTTTGGCACAAAAGGAGAATATGAGATTGGAAGTACTTCTGGCTTCCACACTTGATTTATATTTATTTGTGAACTATGGTTCCATTGGCTGAAATGCTTTGAAAACTGATGCTAATGAGATTTAAGTCCCTGTGAAATCTGATTCTCAGATGTCATTATGTTCTAGAGTTTGATTTTTCTTCCATTTTTTTCAATTTTTATTTCTAAAATAATTATTTTGTTACTGTATTTCCAACAATCCAAAATACACTACCAGCTTTGATTCAATAATGCTTTATGAGAAAGGCAAGAAGCAAGCATAATTAACCCTTAATTAGTATCTTAGAGAAATGGAGACTTTTTCCAAGTAAAGTATAATATATGTATATATTATACTATCAAACTGACATTACTAGGTGATTATTCCAATGGATAATGTTCCCTGTCTCCTATAATATAGAAAAAGACTAGGTGGCTGTAGGTTATTCATGTGCCCATGCTTGTGGATTTTCAATGGACAAACATTTAAGAGAGTTGTTGATTCTTTACCTTTTGAGTCCGCATTAAAAATAACAACTTAGATGAACAGCTTGTCCCATCAATGAGACAAAATTTGATATGCTGTTTTTATTTCTTTACTCAAGAATATTTATTAAATATTTATTATACGCTTATCTTGTTCTAGCCAATGGGAGTAAAGTAGTAAACTAGAAACAGTTTTTGACCACTAGAGGTTATCTGTATATATAACCTACTTTCTGTCTCTTCTCCTTCTCTTTCTTCCTTCCACAATTATTTGTTTGCTCAGCTGTGTTTTGTGCTGGGCACGTAAAATAAAATAAACTTGAGGTACACCTACAACAAATCTCAGTATTTTTTGCGAATCCTTGCTTTTATAGGTTATACCTTCCAGAATTACTTGTGAATTAAAGTACACTTTTAAAATAATATCTTCTGAGGCTAATATAAGGCCATAAACATGCTTTCTTATTCCCTTTCAAGATGACATCTTTAGAACGAATATAGGCCGAGTGCGATGGCTCAGGCCTGTAATCCCAGCACTTTGGGAGGCCGAGGCGGGCAGATCACTTAAGGTCAGGAGTTTGAGACCAGTCTGGCCAACGTAGCGAAAACTCGTCTTTACTAAAAATACAAAAATTAGCCGCCGGGTGTGGTGGTGGGCGCCTGTGGTCCCAGCTACTCAGGAGGCTGAGGCAGGAGAATCCATTGAACCCAGAAGGCAGAGGTTGCAGCAGTGAGCCGAGGTTGCGTCACTGCACTGCAGCCTGTGTGATGGAGAGAGACTTTGTCTTAAAAAAAAAAAAAAGAAAAAATGGCTGGGTGCGGTAGCTCACACCTGTAATCCCAGCACTTTGGGAGGCCGAGGCGGGTGGATCACCTGAGGTCAGGAGTTTGAGATCAGCCTGGTCAACATAGTGAAACCCTGTCTCTACTAAAAATACAAAAACTTAGCTGCACGTGGTGGCAGGTACCTATAATCCCAGCTACTTGGGAGGCTGAGGCAGGAGAATTGGTTGAACTCAGGAGGCAGAGGTTGCAGTGAGCCGAGATCGAGCCATTGCACTCTAGCCTGGGCAACAGAGAAAGACTCTGTCTCAAAGAAAAAAAAAAAATCTTTAATCTAGAACCTACATGACTTACATGACTGTAGTCACCTTTTGTTTATAATTGCTTAAAATGTAAAGTTCTGAGCCATGTTTTAGGCAGCCCTGATTCTACATACCCCCAGGTTCAGATTCATGTGTTGGGGGTTTTATTTTTATGCCCATTTGTAGCCGTGTTTGACTTGAAATGCTGTGTGGGGCTATGATATTTGACTCGGGGTGTTTGACTCAGGGTAATTGACTACTGTTCTCATGATCCCTTGTAAAAATAGTCAGAATCTGCACCTGGAACCACAGAAATAAAAGACAAACGTATAAAGCCAATGAAACAATTAGCTTCCCATTACAACATTTTATCATCTAGTCCTGTGTAGGTCTGTGTCAACACAGATTGACAAAGTCATAGAATTTTATTAGACAATGTGAAAGCTCATTTGCGAATTTTATTGCCGTCCATCATAGCTCTCATTCACAGTCCAGAGGCTCTCCATTGTTGTGAATAACAATTGGGAGCAATGGCTGGCTATGGCCAATGGAGAGGTGCAGTTTCTCACTGACAGGTGTTCTCTCCTAATTACCTCCATTAGTTCCTCTTTATTGCAAGGCTCCATGTCCTGATTCGTATTCTCTTTACTGAACACCAAACCAGAACTAACAGCTCGGATGAACAGAGGCAATCACCCGCCACGTACTATTTCAGTTCAGAGGCTGTCGTCGACAGGACTGTACTTATCCTACAGTCTGATGGCTGGCATTCTAACCTGTGCAGGACTCCAGGCTTCAGGGACAAACACAACCAGTGGAAAGTCAAACATAGAAATCTCTAATCTGTGGAAGGTGCTAATGAAAAAAGACACATTCTTGGGGGAGGAGAGATTGCTGAACTAAATGCCTAGGAAATCCAGACCTACACTGTCACTCAACAAGAGCAAACTGCAGTTGTCCTGGGGTGAAGATTCTGCAGCTTATTTCAAGGTGATGCTTTTATTAAATATTGTAGCAGGCACAGCTTGTTTCCAGGATTTTTTTTTCAATATGTAAAGGAGTTAGTGTTTAAAGTACCATTTCTACAAATAATACTCTATTTCTCTATTACAACATTACATTGTGTATAAGGCCTTCATACATATTATTTCACTCTCACTCAGCCCTATGAGGTAGTTATTATTATTACTTCCTACTTACTTTTTTCCCTTCCTCCCTCCCTTCCTTGCCTCATTCTCTCCTCCTTTTCTTTCTCTTCTCCTCTTTTTGATAAAAGATAAGGAAAGCTGAAGCCCTTATCTGTCAATTCATTTGCCTGAGGCTACACAGCTTTTAACTGGAGAAGCTGGGACTAAAGTTTAGCCCTCCACATTCCAAAGGTTATACTTTTTCTACTTTCTCCTGAGTCCTATTCCATAGCACGTCCATTAATGAAATGATGACAGGAAACATGCAGCCTGCAACCTTCATGAATCTAAATAGTCGGTTGTCTGTTGTCATACCAGTGAAGCATATAGGTGAGTGACTATATTTTTTATTTTTCTGTGAACAAAGTCTGAATTTGATCACTCTAAAGGTTCCAACTTTTGTTAAAGTTCTACATTTTTTCCTTTTCCTAATCAAGGACACCATTTCTTTAGCCAGGTCCCTGATCTACTCAGGAAATAAGTCTATGAGAATAACAAGATGAAATCCAGGAGACTAAAAAGTGAAAATCAGGAATCAACAAGGGATTAGACATCACAACAAATTGGGATCAGAAATTTACAATGCTGATGTTTGGAAATGTTTTAATTTCACCATTGAAAAGATAAATGCCATTTCTTCAAAGCAGTTGCAGGGGTCAGAGGAATAAAAGTTGTGTGTATGAGTTGTTGGCACTGGTTTCCAAAGGCCATGCCAAAAATCATGCTCGCTTTTGAATCTAGAGTTTTAAACTTTGAAATGTAAATCTCACATTAAGTTACCATTCTGCTGTATTTTGTTAACTGTTTCTGTTCTCTTGGTATTAAAAAAAAAAAAGTCTGTTGCTTTATGCATACCTGAGCTTCCACAGTACAATTCTCCCCCTTTAAATCAGTGACATGACTTAAAATTAGATGTGAAGGTGAGGCTTGTAGGAAAAGAGTTATAGGAGGACATAGCAGGGTGTCTTAGTCCATTTGTGCTGCTATAACAGAATACATGAGATTGAGTAATTTATAAGAAACAGAAATTTATTTCTCACACTCTGGAGACTGGGAGGTCCAAGATCAAGGTTTCAGCATCTGGGATTGGCCTTCTTGCTGTGTCCTCACACGGCAGAAGGTGGAAGGGGAAGACGAGATGAAGGCTGTGTCTTCTGCTCTGCAGAAGAGAGAGAAGACACTTTTGTAAGCCATTTTTATAATGGAATTAATCCACTCAGAAGGCCAGAGCCCTTATGACCTAAACACCTTCCACTAGGCCCCACTTCCCAGCACTGCTGTATTGGAGACTATGTTTTCAACACTAGAATTTTGAGTCATGGATTCAAACCATAGCAAAGGGTATGAATGTGGGAATGTCTATTTCTCTATCTTTGACTTATTTAACAAACTCATCAGTAGTCTTTGTTGTTCTAGCAGTGGTATTTTTTTCAGCTGCAGTATCATTCCTTACAACTATGACTCATTTTTGGTTTTGTGGGGAAATTTAGGTGAATATGGATAGCACACCTGGCAGAGTGTGTAGCATGCAGGATGTCCTCTCTGAACTCAGCTTTTCTTCCCTGTGTCCTGCCTCCTTTGCTGATGCTACCTTTCTCCCTGATTTCTTCCCACTGTCTAACATTATCCTAGCTTCTCCAAGGTTGCTCTGGTTCCCTCTACAATCAACCTACATCATAGGAAATTTCCCACAAAGATATCTTCTTGTTAGTTTAACCACCTGTGGAAAAACTCTACTGCTTTATCTATTTGTAAGCTTGTTATGCTCTGGTTTGTATCTTCAAAAATATTTAGAATTGTTTAAAGGAGGCTTGGCCCCTTTAAAAAGCAGCTTCAGCACACAGGATGACACAGGCACTGATGAAAACCAAAGCTGTTGAGAGCTACAGCTGTCTGGTCCTTTCGTATGCAGATTTATGGAACAAGGAGGGGGAGTTTGAGAATGAGCTGAGGCAAGACTCACAAGAGAGTTGGCAAACACGCGGTGAAGAAGTCATGCTTCAGTCTCCCAGGAAATGTAGGCTGACACAAAGAATCAATAGCATTTAGAGTTGGACAGGACATTTATACCCCAATAATGTCATCTAGTCCAATCTCCTTATCTTACAGAAAGGGCAAATGATTTGCTGAAGGTCACAGAGCTAGCAAATAGAGCTTCAGAAAAGTTCTGAGGCCAAGGTTGCTATTCTTTTCGCTATCTGTTGCCCAGAGCTGGACACATAGTGGTTTGCTAATATATACATGTCTAATGAACGAATGATTGGAAAAAAGCATTTGTGGTAACCAATGGATGTGTTATATGCATCTAAAATCTTCCTGAATAACATTAAAAAGTTAAGCATCAAGGAGAGAGAAGGTGGACAAGTAAGTCCTGTTGTATTGGTAGTTTTCTTTGGATGAAGTCATATTTATTGGATGATTTAGTTCTTAGAAAACCTGAAGTGCCTGCAAGGCCTTCAATGGGCACTGACTGTTGTGAGCCACAAAAATGACTGAATGAAGGTGAGCAACTAATCCCAGGTTAAAGTTAAATATTTTAATAAAGAAAGATGGTTTTTCAAAACTTCACAGTTCTTTTGCTTTCAGATAGCATACAAATTGTACCCCATTTTCTGCAATTTTTTTGGTGGCATATAATGTCTTACTCTTAGGAGTCATTTTATACCTATTTCTTCCTTGAGTTTTGCAATCCAATTCTGCTGCTAACTACCTGGAGTTACTGCAAACTTCGCAGGTTACAGCACAACCTCCCACAAGACTCTCCTCTCTTCAGATACCAGCTGCAAGTTCAAGCGTTCTGAGGTCTTTAGCAAAACAGTTTTTGTTTTTTTACACAGCCATACAACATTGTATAGAACATTTCACTTCGGGCCAACAAAATGTATATGTTGAGGGGGATGGATTTCTCCCTACCAACAATTAATTCTCCAGTGGACACCAATGGAATGTCCTACAATTTATCTCAATTTGACACTATCTACCTAGAGATCGTGTCAGATCCCACAGGTTCAGCTCTCAGTCCCATAAGACTTCCTCCCACTTCAGATGCCAGTCACAAGTCCCCAGTTGTGACCTGTGCTTCTGACCAACCCACTATAAATTGGGTGTCTCCATGGCTCCCTCTTCGTTTGATTAATCTGCTAGGACAACTCACAGAACTCAGGGAAATGCTTACTTACATTTACTGGTTTATTATAAAGAATACCATAGGATGGGTGTGGTGGATTATGCCTAACATCCAGTGCTTCGGGGAGCTGAGGCAGATCACTTGAGTCCAGGAGTTCAAGGCGGCAGTGAGCTATGATTGTGCAACTGAATTCCAGCCTACGTGACAGAGTGAGGTTCTGTCTCTTAAAAAAATATGACAAATGATATAGACGAATTGAATGATGATTGATGAATATGGGAAGAAGCACAGACCCTCCATGCCCTCTCTGGGGATGCCACCATCCCACCACCTCCACGTGTTCAGCAATCTGGAAGCTCTTTGAACCTTGTCCTGTTTCTTATTTTATTTTATTATTATTTTTTTTAATGGAGACTTCATCATGTAGCCATGCTTAATTCCATCATTGGCCACTGGCGATCAACTTAACCATCAGCCCCTTTCCTCTCCTCAGAAATCAGTTCGTCGGGAGTGGGGGTGGGGGGTGGTCCTGAAAGTTTCAGTGCTCTAATCACATGGTTGGTTCCCTGGGCAACCAGCTCACATCCTAAGGCTATCCAGGACCCGCCAAGAGTCATCTTATTAGCACACAAGATGCTTCTGTTACCAATTCCAAGGGATTTAGGAGCTCTGTGTTAGATGTTACTACCACTCAGAAATTGCAAAGATGTTAGGAATTCTATGTCATGAACCAGGGTCAAAGACCATATATTAGAACAAAAGATTCTCCTAGCACTTCTGTCTCCAAGGGGCTTAGGAACCCTATCTCCTGACCTTCAGGCAGAGGCCAAATATATATTTCACAATATCACCCAGTCCACTCACACCTTAGACTAGCTGGTTACAAATTTGAGTATTTCCCCTACCCCGTAAGTTTTCATAATTCAATATAATGAACAGAACTCAAGAATTTGGAATTACAGTTTCATTAGAAAGGATACATATCAGGACAAGCTGAAAGAGGCCCCAAATGCAAAGTCTGGGAGTGTCCCAAGAAGCTTCTGTGTCCTCAGGACATGTGTCACCTTTTGTCTCAGCCAGCTTGGGCTGCTATAACAAAATTTCATAAACTGGGTGAATTAACATTTATTTCTCACAGTTCTAGAGGTGGAAAGTTTGAGATCAGGGTGCCAGCAGGGTCAGGTTCTTGGTGAGGGCCCTCCTGTAGGTTTACAGGCAGCTGTCTCCTAGCAATGTCCTCACATGGTGTAAAGCAAGCAAGCTAGCTCTCTGACACTAATCCCATTCATGATGGCTCACTCTCCCAAAGGCCCACTTCCAAACACTATGGCATTAGGAATTAGATTTCAACGTGTGAGTTTTGGAGGGTTACAAACATTCCATCCATAACACATTCCAATGTGTATTTCCACCAAGAAGTTCACCTGTGCTTCAGTGTCTAGAGTTTTTATTGGATTTTTATTATGTAAGCCAGATTGATTGAATCATGGTCATGTGACTGAGCTCAATTTCCATTTCTCCTCCTTTTCCTAGAGGTTAGGCTGATGTCATGTGGCTGAAAGCCCCAACCCTTGAATCACATGATTGGACTTTCTGATGTGGCCAGTCCCCATCCTGAGTCACTTTAACATAAACTATCAGGACCCACCAGGAATAACAAAGACACTCCTATCACTTGAGAAATTCTGAGGATTTAGAGGGAACCTCCCAGGAACAAAGTACTTACTCTACAATAATCGTATTACTCTAACCATCAATATTTTATTAAATAATATACTTTGTTCAGAAAGAGAAAGAGATGAATCTGTATAAATAATTATTCTAACTGACAGCTCTTCCAGAGAGATTTCCCCATTCTCTGTGCTGCCTGCCAAAGTGATTTTGCTCTCTGGTCCAAATCACTGAGATTTATAGACACCAGATCCCTTGACTATTAATAAGTACTGAGGCATGTGCCCTACTGACTCACCACTGCCAAGGACAAACTGCCATGGTACCACTTGGACGACTTGGTGCTGCTGCTGCTCCTCTGGGGAAGAGGGTGGTTTTAAATCTCCAACCACAGTGTTCTTTCACTTCTCTGCCATTCTCCTACTCTGGGTTAACTCTTGCACAGCCTGTTTAATTAGCTTTGTAAAATAAACAGTATAGTTACAGCATTCAATTTTGCTACTAATATAAATTGCTAACATTTATTGAGCACTTACTAAGCGCAAGAAATGGTGTTAAGCTCAGCACATACATTATCACATCTAATTCTCAAAACATCCCTATGCAATGAGGACTGCTCTTACCCTTATTTGCAAGATAAAGAAGTGGTTGTTCCCAGAAGCTAAGAAATGGGACCTTGGTCCCTGAGGCAGTCTGTGGCAGAGCTACTGGGGCCCATGTCCTCATTTGGCTGATGCCAGAACTCTAACTATTAATCATATACTATGCTTACTGTTTTCACTGCACTGTGAGCTCATATTAGGGTATAAAGCATAGGTGAGTGAGAAGTTTTACATAACAATGCTACTCAGTGTGGTTATTACCTGTTTCAAGTTTCCATAGTTATTTCCGTTAGTCCTACTTTAACTTTACTTCTACTAATTAAGAGTGCAGACTTGAATGCCAGATTATTTGGCTTTCATTAACAGCTGTGTGACTTTGAACAATTTTCTTGACCTCGCTATACCTTAATTTCTCCATCTGTAATGGCATAATAGTAATATTTATTTTGGGTCTTTGTGAGAAAGTTCAATGAGTTCCTGCATGTAAAACACATAGAACAGTGCCCAGCAAAGAACAAACACTACGAAATTGTTAGCTCTTGTTACTTTCCCCTCAACATTCTGAGGTAAGAATGTTATAACTTTGACATTTTATAACTTTGTTTCTGTAAGCATCTGCCTTTTAAGGGGGTTGATTTTTCCCGTCTAGAACCAAAATGCTGGATGAAAATCTCTTTGCTGAAAACTACACTATTTTTTTTCTTTTCTTTTTTTAATTTTACTTTAAGTTCTGGGATACGTGTGCAGAATGTGCAGGTTTGTTACACAGGTATATATGTGCCATGGTGGTTTGCTGCAACTATCAACCCATCATCTAGGTTTTAAACCCTGCATGCATTAGGTATTTGTCCTAATGCTCTCCCTCTCCTTGCCCCTCACCCCCCAATAGTCCCCAGTGTGTGATGTTCCCCTCCCTGTGTCCATGTGTTCTCATAGTTTAACTCCCATTTATAAGTGAGAACATGTGGTGTTTGGTTTTCTGTTCCTGCGTTAGTTTGCTGTGAATGATGGTTTCCAGCATCATCCATGTCCCTGCAAAGGACATGAACTCATTCTTTTTAATGGCTGCATAGTATTCCATGGTGTGTATGTGACACATTTTCTTTATCCAGTCTATCATTGATGGGCATTTGGGTTGGTTCCAAGTCTTTGCTATTGCAAATAGTGCTGCAGTAAGCATGTGTGCATGTGTCTTTAGAGTAGAATGATTTTTAAACCTTTGGGGATATACCCAGTAATGGGATTGCTGGGTCAAATGGTATTTCTTAACAACACTATTTCATCTTTTACTGCTAAGTTCCTTTTCAAGTCTTTCAAAATCCAGCTCAACTGTCACCTTCTGTGAAGCCTCCCAAACCATTCCACTCCTGCTAAAACCCCACACAGAATGCATTCCACTCTCTGCCAGTCACACAGCACTTTGAACACCTCACATCTCAGGGTGCATCATTGATTGGTTTTTAATCTGTCTCTGTTGCTGAAACATGGACTGCAAGAACCAAAGCCTGTGTGGTGCCCACTGCCGAGTCTACAAGACTGAACACAATACAGAGCGCAAAGTCAGGGCACAGTTGAATTCATGGAGTGGCTGCCTAGAGATTGAACCTGCACTAGACTTTTCTTTGCCTGGACAAAGGGTTCGCAGTGTCTGCTCCCTGAGGCTACTATAGTTTCAGCAACTTTACCCTCCCCTCAAATCAGCTTTCTCTGACAAATCTCAGCTTCTACTTTACATTCAACCCTAACAAATATTTGCTGAGTTCCTATTCCAGAAATCCTAATGGGGATGCCTAACTATTCTCCAGCCTATTCTCCAAAGGGAAAGACTAACGAGTATATTAAACACCCATTTTCTTCATTAATAGCATAATGTCAGATTTTGGGCATTTCTTTCTTCCCTGAATCACCATACTTCCAGTGTGGAAGAATGAGAATATCATAAGGACTTACAATCAGATCTTGTGTGTGAGTTACTTTTTTTTTTTTTTTTTTTGACAGGGTCTTGCTCTGTCGCCCAGGCTGGAGTGCAGTAGCACCATCATGGCTCACTGCAGCTTCAACCTCCCAGGCTCAAGCTATCCTCCCACTTCAGCCTCCCAAGTAGCTGGGACTACAGGAGCATGCCATCATGCTTGGCTAATTTTTTAATTTTTTTGTAGAGATGGGGTCTCACTACGTTGCCCAGGTTGTTCTCAAACTCCTGGCCTCCAGGGATCTTCCTGCCTTGGCCTCCTAAAGTGCTGGGCTTATAGGCATGAGCCACTGCCCAAGCAATTGTGTGTTAATTACTTCTGAAGCAGACCTTGAGAGAAGGAGGTAGTTTTCCAGTTGATCTCAGGAAATTTTGGTGGGGAAGTGAGGGTGTGAGTCAGGGGTAGGAAAGGTAGCCAATGAAGAGAGTGTGTTATCAAGGAAGTTATCACTATGGAAAGCTACAGCTTGATCCCTTAGGTAAACTTGGGAGCTGGTGTTATTGCCCACAAGGATTGAGAGAACTAGGGTATCTGGGGTATTTGTACACCAGTTCCTGCCAGCCACCAGCCCAGAGCTGCTCCAGAGGAGGATTAATTCCCGGCATTTTGGGCCTGCCTTAAGACCTAGCAAAGCAGGCAATGGAGGTAAAAGAAAGCATCAGGCCAGGAAATGTAGGTGCTGGCAGTTGGAAGTCAATGATCAGGTTAAGAGGATATCAGCAAGGATATCAGCATGTTAAGCAGGATTCCTAGCTCTGTTTCTTATGACTTTGGACAAGTTAATGAATATCTCTGTGTCTCAGTTCCCCATTTGCAAAATGGGGATAAAGAATGCCTGATTTACATGCTGTTAGGATTACCTGAGATCCTGCGTGCAAATTACCAGGAATGTAGTAAGGTCTCAGAAGTCCTATGATCCTACTACATCAGAGTTGAATGTGTGTATTTCATTAATTGCCTGAGTAGTTAATTCACTTATCAATTACCTGCTTTTCCAGGAGGACTAGCAAAGAGTGGGTAGCATAAATATCCTGCAGTTTCAGGGTTTGGGTCTCAGATCCTAGAGCTCTGGGATGTTCAGTTAAGAGTGACTGATGGTGGCAGCAGCTTCCTGTACCTGTGGGGCAGGTGGCAGTGTCATCTCAAAAGTTTGGGATCTGATATCAGGATGTTGCTGTAGGCTTATATAGAAATAGGTTTTCCAAACTTCTCAGGCTAAAGTCCCTTATTGATCTTCTTTTTGCCACTGATCTCTATGCCCACATTATTACAATTTTGCCACCTCAAGTGGCATCCCAATTTAAAAGAAGAATTACTCCAGCTTTCCTCATTTCATGGCCAAAAAGAATGCCAAAAAAGAGCAATTTACCAGGAATCTCTATGGAGAAAAACTTTTCCATGGCCAAGTCATAATTACATACAGAATTTAGTAACATATTCTCAAATGGCTTTTTGAAGATTGGAGGGTCAATGATGACCTTGAAATGCTAAAATGTGGAAACTTCATATTGACATTATCATGTACATTAATCTGACTGACTATAACTTTATAAACATTAAACACTGAATATTGAAAATGTTAAGAAAAAATGATCCACATGACAAATTGTCTTTACTAGTCATCCCAATTAGCAAGTCCCTGAAAGTAATTAGCAAAAGCTGAACAGAAATCAGGCAACAGGGGAGTGCAAAATTTAATCAGACTTGAAATTCTGACCTATTAAACTAGAACAGGTTTAAAACCTCTCATGTTTGTACTTTGGAACCTATTTACCTAAGCAAAACTGGTAAATTTTACAGCGAGCAGGCTTTAAAAAGCGTGGTTTTTCCATTCCACACAATTGGTTTCAGTGTTAATGCATATTCCTGTATCATAATCTGTCATATAACTGTAAATAGTGAAATCTTGACAAGTTCTTGGAGCTCTACATGAAGTGACTCCCAGCAATTCCTATAGCCCACGGCTAGTCACTCATGGAAACTTTTCATTTCTTTCTTCTAAGTTTTTTATCTGTTTTATTCTCATTTCCAAAGGGATTTCATTGTTACTGAGCTGTATAGTCCATTAGTACTTCTATTTGTAAAAATAGGGACACTTCTGAAGTATGAAACAATATAAATGGAGTTATAAATATGGTAAATGAATGAGAAATCCTTGTTAATCTTAGCCTTGACTACTTATTTAGATATGCTTTTCTTTATTTTTGTAATTTTCATGTGGGAATTTTCAAGTCTATACAAAATTAGAGAGCATAATATAATGAATTCTCTTTTACCCATCACCAAGTTTCAGCAAGATATATTTTAGATGTGACAAAAAAACCTCTGTATATTTTCATCTGCATCTCCCAAAAGTAAAACCTGGAAATCATATTTTTCATCCTTAAATATAAATTTCTTAGTTCTTGGTGATATTACACTTTTCATTTGTTAGTTGTCTAGGGATTTGTTAGGATCTTAGTTCATTTTTTTTTTTCCTGGTCAAATACTGTCTTTGTCTCTGCTTCTCTGTATCTTCCTCTCTTTTTTGGCTGGTTCAATCTTATACACCTGGGCTTTCCATGGATTAGAAATGACCCAGAACACATTACGTTCTTCTGACCCATGGAATGCTCCAAATCCCCCTTGATATGAAGACAGCAGCTGGTCTAGAAAAGATGACCAGAATGGCCAACAGCCTGGGACAGATTTCCAAGGTCAATGAGGAGAAAATCATGTCTGTTCAAACTTTGCTTAACTTGAGGGGGAAAGGTTTCCAGATCAGTGAGAGTTTCCATTAGAAGTTGGAGATGAGTCTTCATTTCTTTGGGGTAGTTTAGCCATTTGCCCATTAGAATATGTATTTATTGTGAGTCATGAATGAGAGAAAATGAGTCGGGGATGCCAGAATATTATTCTTGTATTTCACTGTAACTATTTATGCTGAGCTGCTTTCACTTACTACCTCCTGTGCTACCACCTGCCAGAAGCAGCCCGCCTCATCGGAGCGCCGTCTGGTATTGCTGGAGCATGAGGGCCTTGGCCTCCCTGCGAAGGTGCTGTATGTTGGCACTGCGGGCCAGCAACCCCTCATGCTTGAACGTAGTTGGCACCTACAGGATGAGCAGGAGTCATTTATTTTCTGGTCCAAGTACTCTAGCTAAACC
This sequence comes from Homo sapiens, assembly GCF_000001405.40. Classification (NCBI taxonomy): domain Eukaryota; kingdom Metazoa; phylum Chordata; class Mammalia; order Primates; family Hominidae; genus Homo; species Homo sapiens. The sequence continues at coordinate 65,210,968 of NC_000008.11, read as the reverse complement.
ATATCCACTTACTATGAAATCACAAAATGATAGAAAAAAATATGTAGGCTTCTCTGAAATGAATGTGTTTTTCTTTATTGAGAAAGCAACTTGGGTAATTTATTGGTGAGCTAATATAGGGCTGTGTTGTGTGTTTGTGTAATAATGTCAATTTTTACTTCTATCAAAATGTATTTAATTTTATTTTGGATTTGGAGTGAAGAAGAGTTTAAAATGTATCGTCCCAGTCTTCTGAGGTAAATTGGTAGAAGACGAAGAGATGAACTCTAAGTTAAAAGGGGAAGTAAAATAGGTTTGTTGACAAATTTTAACATCCTAATTAGATATAGACAAATTCCAGCCTCAACAGTGAGTCTATAATGGTTAGGGAAGGTTAAACATATCCATTTTTTTCCCTCTGACTTTGAACTCCTGATTGAAGAGGAAAAATACTTCATATCAGTAATCATTCATGTTTGCTATCATTTACTTGGCTATAAAACATCTGAGAGTGAAATCTGTGATTTCTTGATTGTTGGTGTTTTCTAATAAAAGCAGTTAACTGTAAACTGCAGAAAGTGGTGGTTTATGACACAAAAGAGAAGAGATCTCCTTTTTCTAACATTTAATTCTATCAATTAACATCCTTAAATTTTCTATATATTAGGTGCAAAGACATTTATTAATTTGGATAAATTTGTTGCTATAATAAATAGACCACAAGTAACTAATGACATACACACAGTAGAAGTTTATTCCTCATAATGAACAATCCAAGACTATTTCAGATGATAAAGGGGGCTTTGTTCCACACAGTACTTCCATAACTTTATCTAGCAGGGGCTCTGCTGGCTTCTGATGGCCATGTGGATGTCCACATCTAACAGCAGGGAGGAGCTCTTATGAGAAGATTTCATATGTAGGCTTGGAAATAACACATTTTGAGTGGAGTCACTTCCACTCACATGCTGTTGGTTAGAACTTAGCCATGTGGTCACACCTGCAGGGGAGGCTGGGAAATGTAGTCTAGCTGTGTGTCCCAGCAGAGGAGTAGATCGCTGCTACACTCTCTCTCCTCAGCCACTAATTTAGGAGGAATACTAGGACACAATCAACTATAATATAAGGTGGAAAATAAAATGGAAACTTCCACTTGGTAAATACTTAAAAAGCACTTACATTCAAGGCCTTAGGCTCAGCACCAGTATGCAGAAGGTGAAAAAGAGATGCAGGAGCTTTTGATTTAGAAGGAGGAAAACTGTTAGTGCTGCAATAAAAATTCTACACGAGGGCAGGGGCCTTGTTTGGATTGTTCTCAGTGGAATTCCTGATACCCAACACACTGCACACATATATTAGGATTTAGTAAATATGTGATAAATAATGAATCAATTCTAAGTCAAGGTATGGATTATATTAAATTAGCTTTTGAAGCTGATATTACAGCTACACAAAAGAAGAGAGTTAAAATCATTTAATAATTCCAAATTAAAGGAAATTGTTGGGGATGTGATTCTTTTTCCTTCACAATAAAAGCAGACTTTCTGGAACCTTGGTGCTACCTTTCATGCAACCTGAGAAGCCTCTGGTGGATGTGCTTTAATGAAGGTAAATTATTCAGTGTTTTCAGGCAATAACAGTCACCTTTTATCACTCACTATATCAATAATATTTAAAGAATCCTCCAAAGACACACTTATTAGTAGACAAATGAGGTAATAAGAATTTCTTTTACTTAAGCATGGCTACATACTGGATTTATCTCCCCAGTATGGGTCATTATCAATATCGTAAGTGTTTCCAGAAAAGACTGCTGCCATCATTACCAAGTTTTTATTAGCAATTGAATTGTGGAAAATGTGACAACAGATTTTTTACTCAAGTCTGCATGTCTCCTGTCATCCAATATCCTCCCTGACCCCAGCTCTGAGATGCTGTTTGGATTTCTCAGATTCTGAGAGCTGTTCACACTCCATTTTCTAAACAAGATCTGTGGTACCATGATCCAGTGCATTTGGGGAACCCATTGTTTGAAATTGTGGGTGTTATTTAAATGAAGGATTAAGGATCAGCATTTGGTAACTTTAACGTAAATATTTCCCCATTTGTTCCTATAATACACCCCAGACTGAATTTGCATGATTCCATTTCAGGATGGAGTTGAGAAGTATACTCAATTTGGAGCTCAGGATAGAATTTATTTCAAAATGACTAAATTAAACCTTCTTCAATGGCTGTTTTGGGATTTTGATGTATAATAATTTTGGTGATTAAATTCAATGAATAAAAAGAATAATTACATTAACTTTCCAAGCTGATTCAAACTTTCCTGACTCTGTGTCATTGCTCAGGGATCTGTCTCTGAGAAAACGTACCCTTCCACATCTTTGCGCTAATCCTATCTACTGGGCAAGGCCCATAGCAAATGCCTGTGCCATTCCTAAAGCCTCTGTAGATCTCCAGATATAAGCTCTTCCTTTCTGAAGTATTATTCAAACATGCCTGATAGTTATTTGCCTAATTTCTCTTCTTCTTTTTATGTTATACAGTCTTTGTGGACAGGCATTGTTTTTTCATCTCTTCATTCCTCCCAGAATCCAGTCACTAAGCCTGTCATATAGTAGTGTTGCAAGTATATGTTCAATTGAGCTGAAGCAAAAGGAATACATTTGAAAAGAAGAACAATAACAAAAATTCAGGAACACAGACCTATAGATTCCTACAAGGTGGTAGTTACCAAAAGAGCGTGATACTGGCATAAAAACAGTCATGTAGATGAATGGAACAGGATAGAGAACCAGAAATAAAGCCAAATGTTTACAGCCAACTGATCTTCGACAAAGCAAACAAAAACACAAAGTGGGGAAAGGACACGCTATTCAACAAATAGTGCTGGGATAATTGGCAAGCCACATGTAGGAGACTGAAACTTGATTCTCATCTCTCACCTTACACAAAAATCAACCAAAGATGAATCAAAGACTTTAATCTAAGACCTGAAGTCATAAAAATTATAGAAGAAACATCAGAAAAACTCTTCTACATATTGGCTTAGGCAAAGAGTTCATGACTAAGAACCCAAAAGCAAATGCAACAAAAACAAAAATGAATAGATGGGACTTAATTTAACTAAAAAACTTCTGTACAACAAAATAAATAATCAGCAGAGTAAACAGACAACCCACAGAGTGGGAAAAAATATTTGCAAGCCATGCATCTGACAAAGGACTAGTAGCCAGAATCTACGAGGAACTCAAACAAATCAGCAAGCAGAAACAAACAATCCCATCAAAAAGTGGGCTAAGGACATGAATAAACAACTCTCAAAATAAGATATACAAATGGCCAACGGACGTATGAAAAAATGCTTAACATCACTAATTATCAGGGAAATGCAAATCAAAATCACAATGCGATACCACCTTACTCCTGCAAGAATGGCCATAATTTAAAATAAAATAATAATAGATGTTGGCATGGATGTGGTGAAAAGGGAATACTTTCACACTGCTGGTAGTAATGTAAACTAGTACAAGCACTATGGAAAACACTGTGGAGATTCCTTAAATAACTAGAAGTAGATCTACCATTTGATCCAGCAATCCCACTACTGGATATCTACCCAGAGGAAAAGAAGTCATTATATGAAAAAGACACTAGCACATGCACATTTATAGCAGTGCAATTCACAATTGCAAAAATATGGAATCAGCCCAAATGCCCATCAAACAACAAGTGGATAAAGATATATAGGGTATATAGATATATAGATATACCTTATATATAGATATATGATGGAATACTACTCAGCCATAAAAAGTAACAAAATAATGACATTTGCAGCAACCCTAATGGAGTTGGAGGCCATTATTCTACTTGAAGTAACTCAGAAATGGAAAACCAAACATCCATTGTATGTTCTCATTCATAGGTGGGGGCTAAGCTATAGGGATGCAAAGTCAAGAGAATGATACAATGGACTTTGGGGACTCAGGGGGAAGGGTGGGAAGGGGGTGAGGGATAAATGGTTACACATCGGGTACAGCGTATACTGCGAGTTGACTAATATATTTTCATTTCTTTCAAATTTTTTCTTTTGTCCTCCCAGCTTTATTAGGGTATAATTGACAAAGAAAAATTGTAAATATTTACAGCGCACAAAATTGTGTTTTGATACATATATGCATTGTGAAATGATTACATCAAGCTTGTTAACATATCTGCAAATAACATACATATCATTTTTTTGTGGTGAGAACAATTTAAAGTCCACTCTCATAGCAGTTTTTAAGTATACAAACAACACATTATTTTGTTAAATGAGAATTATCTCTTTCTTTACAGTTAAAACAAGTTTAATAGTATATACATTAGAGACACGAGCCATTTCGTTAAGGCCACTTTTCAGTAACTTTCACAAATCTTTATACTAATTTTTTGTATGTTCCATTTCAACTTAAGTTTTTATTTTGGAAAATTGTATATATTCTTTATTTCTTTTATTTATTTATTTATTTATTTATTTATTTATTTATTTTGAGACAGTGTCTTGCTCTGTCACAGGCTGCAGTGCAATGGTGCAATCTTGGCTCATTGCAGCCTCTGCCTCCTGAGCTAAATTGATCCTCCCACTCCAGCTTCCCAAGTAGCTGGGACTACAGGTGTGTGCTACCATGCCCGGCTAATTTTTGTATTTTTAATAGAGATGGTGTTTTGCCATGTTGGCCAGGCTGGTCTTGAACTCCTGGGCTCAAGTAATCTGCCCACCTTGGCCTCCCAAATTGCTAGGATTGTAGGCGTGAGCCACTGCATCCAGCTGGAAAATTGTGTTTTCTAAGAGTTTTCCATGTTGCTAGTATACAGTTGTGTATTCACAACTGAATATTCACAGTATTGTTGATATTCGGTGTAATTTTTTATTTATAGGTTTTACAATTTATGTTTATTTCATGTTTAGAGTTAGTAGAGGCTTATATAGTTTATTAGTTCTGAATTTTAAGCAAATTTAATAATAAAAGTAAATTTTATTATTTAATTGGTTTTCTAATTATTTTTGTCATTTTTACTTAGAGATTTTATTGTTGCCCTTTGCTTAAATCATTAGTTGGATTTAAATTTACTTCCCAATTTGTGGCCAATAAAAAGATTTAAAAGTATAAATTCAGCTCTCTTAGTAGCTTTGATTACACCTTATCAGCTTTAATTTTTAGCTTTCTTATTTTGTGATTTAGTGGGTTCTTTATTTTCTTTTCAATGTGATTTTATTTAAAAGATGGCTAAACATTGTAAAGATACTGAAAATTTTTAGTGTTTATTTTGTTATTTCAAAAAGTATTGCATACTAGCTCTGCATTTTAGAATGTTTATTTTTTGTGGTTTAAGACATAAGTCAATATTTATAAATATTTTATGCACAATTGAATAGAGGGAAGTTGCTTTTCTCTAGGTTGTAAAATTTGGTATTTTAATGTTAATTTTGTCTCATTATATAGAATGTTCATATTTTCTATATTCTCATTTTCCCTTGATGACACAGGTTTATTTCTTTTTCCTTTAATTGACAAGTAAAAGTTATATATATTTATTATATAAAACATGTTGTTTTGAAATGTGTATGTATTGTGGAATGGCTAAATTGAGTTAATTAACATATGCATTTGCCTCACATATTTATCATTTTTTAGTGATGAGAACACTTAAAATCTACTTTCTTAGCAATTTTTAAGAATATAGCACATTGTTATTAATTATAGTCACCATGTATATAATAGATCTCTTGACCTTATTCCTTTTGTCTAACTGAAATTTTGTATCTTTCGGCTTTGGCCGACATCTTGCCAACCTCTCTATTCCCCCAGCCCTTGGTAACCACGTTCCACTGTCTGCTTCTCTGAGTTCAATATTTTTAGATTCCACAAATAAGTGAGTTCATGCAGTATTTGTCTTTCTGTGCCTGGCTTATTTCATTTAACATAATGTCTTCCAGGTGCATCTATGTTGTCATGATAGGAGTTCTTTAAAAAAAAAAACAAAGCAGAGTAGTATTCCATTGTGAATACATACCACATTTTTTAATCCATTAATTTGTTGATGGAGACTTGAGTTGATTCCATATCTTGATTGTTGTGAATAATTCTGCAATGAACGCAGGAGTCCAGGTATCTTTTCAATATACTAATTTCATGCTAATTTTCGTGTCTCAGCCTCCCAAGTAGCTGGGATTACAGGTGCGCACCACCAGGACTGGCTAAATTTTGTGCTTTTAGGAGAGACAGGGTTTCACCATGTTGGCCAGGCTGGTCTCAAACTCCTGGCCTCAAGTGATCTGCCTCCCCTAACCTCCCAAAGTGCTGGGACTACAGGCTTGGGCCACCGTACCCAGCTAAGCTAGGTCTATTTTTAACGTTTTAAGGAAACTCCATACTGCTTTCCATAATGACTGTATTAATTTACATTCCTACCAATAGTGTACAAGGTTTCCCTTTTCTCCGCATCCTCACCAACACTAATTATCTTTCCTTTTTTTGATAATAGTCATTCTAATAGGTGTTCAGTGATATCTCATTGTGGTTTTAATTTGCATTTCTCTGATGATTAGTGATTTTGAGCATTTAAAAATATATTTTTGGCCATTTTAATGTATTTTTTTGAGAGGTGTTTATTCAGATCTTTAGCCCCCTTAAAAATAATTTCAACTTTTATTTTAGATTTAGGGGCTACATGTGCAGGTTTGTTACCTGGATATATTGCCTGATGCTGAGGTTTGGGGTACAACTGATCCTGTCATCCAGGTACTGAGCATAGTAACCAATAGTTACTTTTTCAGCCTTTCCCCCTCTCTGTCCCCTCTTAGTAGTCCTTAGTTTTTATTGTTATTATCTTTAGGTCCCTTGAGTACACAATGCTTAGCTCCCACTTATAAGTGAGAACCTGCAATATATGGTTTTCTCTTCCTGTATTAATTGGTTTAGGATAGCGACATCCAGCTGCATCCATATTGCTGCAAATGAAATGACTTTATTCTTTTTTATGGCTACATAGCATTCCATGGTATATATGTCCCACATTTTCTTTATCCAATTCACTGTTGATAGGCACCTAAGTAGATTCCATGTCTTTGCTATTGTGACTAGTGCTGCAATGAACATGTGAGTGCATGTGTCTTTTTAGCATAATGATTTGTTTTCTTTTGGATATATACTCAGTAATGGGATTGCTGGGTTGAATGGTGGTTCTGTTTTAAGTTCTTTGAGAAATCTCCAAACTGCTTTCCACAGTGGCTGAACTAATTTACATTTCTACCAACAGTGTATATGCAATCCCTTGTCTCTGTAACCTCACCAGCATCCGTTGTTTTTTGACTTTTTAGTAATAGCTATTCTGACTGTTGTGTTACGGTATCTCATTGTGATTTTGATTTGCATTTCTCTGATGATTAGTGATGTGGAGCATTTTTCATATGTTTGTTGGCACATTTGTATGTCTTCTTTTGAGAAGTGTCCACTCATGTCTTTTGCCCATTTTTTAATGAAGTTATTTGTATTTTTGCTTGTTCGATTGTTTAAGTTCTTTATAGATGCTGGATATTAGACTTTTGTCAGGTGCAAAGTTAGCAAATATTTTCTTCAGTTCTGTAAGTTGTCTGTTTACTCTGTTGATAGTTTGTTTGCTTGTTTTTGAGACAGGGTCTCACTCCGATGATGCCCAGGCTGGAGTGCAGTGGCATGATCGTGGCTCACTGCAATTTCAACTTTCTGGGCTCAAGTGAGTCTCCTCTCTCAGCCTCCTGAGTAGATGGGACTACAGGCGTGTGCCACCAAATGTTTTGTGGAGACAGGGTTTTGTCATGCTGTCCAGGCTAGGACAGTTTCTTTATCTATGCAGAAGCTAGTTTCATTAGGTCCCCTTTTGTTTTTATTGCAATTACTGTTGAGTACTTAGTCAAAAATTCTTCCCAAAGGCCAGTGTCCAGAATGATGTTTCCTAGATAGTCTTCTAGAATTCTTATAGTTTGAGGTCTTACATTAAACCTTTAAATCATCTCAAGTTAATTTTTGTATATGGTAAAAGGTAGGGGTCCCGTTTCATTCTTCTGCATATGGCTAGCCAGCTATTCCAGCATTATGTATCGAATAAAGAGCCCCTTTTCCCATTATTTAGCCCATTTTAGAATCAGGTTGTTTGTTTTCTTACTATTGAGTTGTGTGAGTTTCTAATATGTTTTGGATATCAATTCCTTATCAGATGTACATAGAGTAATATTTATATGCTAAATTTTATCAGTAGAATTAGATTTCTGTAAATGTATCTGTGCAGTTTTAACCTTTTAAAAGATACATTTAGTTGCTGTAGAATCTGGTCAAAATTTTACAACATTCAACATTGATACGTCTTTATTAACTTTTAGAATATTTTCAATGGACTGTTTATCTCATGTAATACTTTTGCTTTAATTGCACTTGACTTATACAAAAACTAACTCAAAATTCATTAAAGACCTGAATATAAGAGCTGAAAGTATCAAACTCTTAGAAGGAAACATAGGGGTAAAACTCTATGACCTTGGAATTGTCAGAGGATTCTTGTGACATCAAAAGCATGAGCAACAACAAAAAATAAATAAATTGAACTTTATCCAAATTTCAAAATATTTTTTTACTTAAAGGGACATCATCAAGAAAGTCAAAAGATAACTCATAAAATGGGAGAAAATATTTGCAAATCATATATATTGTTAATGAACCTGTATCCCTTACATGTATATAAAGAACTCTTACAAGAGTATAAAGACAAATAGCCCAATTCAAAAAATAGACAAAGGATCTGAATAGGTATTTCTCCAAGGAAATGACCAAGAAGCACATACATAAAAATAACCAAGAAGCACATACAAAGATACTCAATTCATTAGTCATCACGGAGAGGCAAATCAAAACCACTTCATATGCCTAGGATTGCTGTAATCGAAAAGTCAGATAACAACAAGTGTTAGCGAGGATTTGGGAAATCAGAACCCTCCTATACTGCTGGTGGGAATTTTAAATTTTGCAGCTGCTTTGGAAAACACTGACAGTTCTGCAAATTAAACATAGAGTTACCATAAGGCCTAGCAATTCCACTCCTAGATATACATGCTACAGCCTGGATAAACCTTGAAAACATGATGCTAAGTAAAAGAAGTCAGTCACAGAGGACCACATGTTACATGATTTTCTTCATATTAAATTTATAAAACATAGAAATCTATAGAGGCAGAAAGTAGATTAATGTTGCTGAAGGATGGTGGGGGATTAGAGGTTTAGTGGGGTTATAGCTAAAGGATATGGAATTTCTTTTTGAGGCGATAAAAGCTGTCTAAAATTGATTGTGGTGATGGTTGTATATATCTGCGAATACAGAAAAAAACTAAATTGTACACTTTAAATGGGTGAATTATAGGGTATATGAATTATATATCAATAAAGCTGCTAAAAATAAATTTTACTTTGCTAACATTAGCATTACTGCTCCTGATTAGTTGTTATTGCTCATCTGCTATTGAATTTCTTTCTATAACCATTTATTTTTAGAGAAATTTTAATTTCCATTGGTTTTCATAGCTTTCCACTTGATCTAAGTTCAGTCATTTTATATTATGTTTTTCATACATTTTAAAAAATTCATCTTTTGCTGTACCAATTATGTCTTTGTTGCTGTTCTATAATGATTTAATTAGGTAACAACTCTTTCCTGAATTCTGTTAGTGTTACTTACAAAGTTTTCAAAATGTTCTTGGTTCTGGTTTCACTATGGTGGCATAAACCACCCCCAACCCACTCCTCTAGCTGATTATAACTAAAACCCAGAAAAAAATACAAAAACCAACCAATGTGTGGACTCTGAAAAGTAAACACAAGTAGGAGGATTGTGAATAGAAATCAAACATAGAGAAGCAAACTGCAAAGGAGTGAGTTTCCTCTTTAGCAGAAGAGGACATGTCCTAGACATGGATTAGTGCAGTGCACAAGCTGCTAAAACTTTAAGAGATACCCATCCTTCTGGCCAGCGAAACCAGGAAGGAGAGTGGAAGAGTATGTGGGAGAGAAGAAAGCTAAAGAATGGGCTTACCAAATTCTACATATAAAACCACATAAAACATAAATGTTTACCCTAAATCCTGAGTGATGCAAGCAGGATACAGGACCAAAGCAATACAGCTAAGGCTTAATGAGTAAAACTGACATTTGAGCCATTCACATGAGTCTCAGATTAGTCCCTGAGTAATGCTTGCATGAGTTGGACCCAAATGAAGAAAGCAAATGTTTAGAGAAATGAACTGAAATTTGAACCAGTACCTACAGAAGATAAGGCAAAAATCATGGTCTAAACCTAACTCAGTTGATTGCCTGGGAAAAGAAAGTGGAATAAAAGTATCTACATGGCTTCAAAGTTTCTACATTTTATCACTAAGTAGAGTATAAAAGATTAAATTGCAAAGCATAATCCCTATGATAACTACTGAAAGAAAACTACAAAGAGATATAGTAAAAAAGATGTGGATAAATGAAAATGGGATACTAAAAAGTTTCAAATAATCCAAAAGGAGATAGAGAATAGAGAAGAGAGGAACAAAAAACAGAGAACAAACAGAACACAGAGTGAGATGATAGAACCAAGTCCAAGCATATCAATAATTACATTAAATGTTAATAGTCTACATATTCCTATTCAAAGACAGTTTGACAGAGTGGATTAAAAACAAGACTATAGGCCAGGCGCAGTGGCTCACGCCTGTAATCCCAGCTCTTTGGGAAGCCAAGGTGGGCAGATCACGAGGTCAGGAGATTGAGACCATCCTGGCCAACATGGTGAAATCCCGTCTCTACTAAAAATACAAAAATTAGCTGGGCATGATGGCATGTGCCTGTAGTCCCAGCTACTCGGGAGGGTGAGGCAGGAGAATTGCTTGATCCTGGGAGGCAGGGGTTGCAGTGAGCCGAGATTGCACCACTGCATTCCAGCCTGTTGACAGAGCAAGACTCTGTCTCCAAAACAAAAAAAAAGAAAAGAAAAACAAAAACACCAAGACTATATTATTTGTTGCTTGTAAGAGACATATTTTAAATATAAAGATACAGATAGATTGAAAGTGAATGATAAAGTAAATGAAAAAGACATGCCATGCACACAATAAGAATAATAAGATTGGAGTGGCTTTTTTTTTTTTTTTTTTTTTTTTTTTTTTTTTTTTTTGAGACGGAGTCTCACTCTGTCGCCCAGGCTGGAGTGCAGTGGTGCGATCTCGGCTCATTGCAAGCTCCGCCTTCCGGGTTCACGCCATTCTCCTGCCTCAACCTCCCGAGTAGCTGGGACTACAGGCGCCTGCCACCATGCCCTGCTAATTTTTTTTTGTATTTTTAGTAGAGACGGGGTTTCACCATGTTAGCCAGGATGGTCTCGATCTCCTGATCTCGTGATCCACTCGCCTCAGCCTCCCAAAGTGCTGGGATTACATGCGTGAGCCACCGCGCCCAGCTGGAGTGGCTCTTTTTAATATTAAATAAAACAGATTTCAAGACAAAAGGTGCTACCAGAGATAAGAGGGATATTTCATAATTTTAAAAGAGACCATTCATCAGGAAATCATACAATTGTAAATGTGTGTATGTCTAATAACTTAGCCTCAAAGGGTATGAAGCAAAAATCAACAGAATTAAAAAGAGAAATGGTAGGAAATTTTAACACTTTTTCTGAGCAATTGGTATAATTAGACAAAAATCAGTGAAGACAGAGAAAATCTAAACAACATTATCTTCCTTTTAGAACTAATAGTCATTTTTTCATGTCTGAAATTCTGACTAACCTTTTTTTTTTTTCCAACTTTCATATTAGATTAAGGGGGTACCTTTGCATGTTTGTTTCCTGGGTTTATTGTGTGATGGAATCATTCATAACCCAGTTTTTCAACACTTTTCCCCCCTTCCTCCCTGCCCCCTTAAGTGGTTGATAGTTTCTGTTGTTGCCATCTTTGTGTCCATGAGTATCCAGTGTTTAGTGCCCACTTATAAGTGAGAATATGCAACATTTGGTTTTCTCTTCCTGTGTTAATTCACTTAGGTTAATTTGCATAGGATAATGGCCTCCAGATACATCCATGTTTCTGCAAATAACATGATTTCATTCTTATTTATGGCTGCACAGTATTCCACGGTGTATATGTGCCACAGTTTCTTTATCCAATCCAATGTAGTTTTTCATTGACTTTAATTACAGAGCATAGTAATGCTAACAGATGCTCTAAGGGATCTCCTGTATTCCAGATTTATTCTTCCTTATGTCCATTGTGGAGTAGTAGTCCAATTTCTCCTTGGTAGCTTGCCTATCATGCCATGTGATGATTCACCTTAATGGGCAAGTTGAGGCTCCCTGCCTTTTTTCTCCATGTAGTCAGTGTACGTGAGTGAAATAAGTTTTCCTGATAATTTGAAGATAAAATTACCTTAGAGAATGACTAGTGATAATGAACCCAAAAGTCATTTAGAGCAGAAATGCACATAGATGTTACTCGTCAATAGGTTCATGAGGATGACTGGTCCTAGGAAAATTCAATTATTTGTAAAATGAAACAAAAGAAATTATGCACTGCAGAAGAGAGAAAAGGATAATCTACAAGGTATCTAGAACAAAAAGAAAATATAATGAACAGGAATTTGTCTGTTTATCCAGCATTATCAGAAGGAGAAAGGCCCTGAATCTTGAAAACAAGAATATATGATCATTGTATTGAAGATCAGAGACAGTTCATCAGGGTTTACCATGGCCTTGAAGAAATAAATCCTGATGATTAGGAGACTTCTTTTACTCCATTCCAGTTATACAATAAGCTTTCTGCTTATGAAATCAATCTCTCAACAGTGTTGAAAGAGGAAAAATAAGTATTCTAAAGAAGGCAAATTTTACAGCCAATAGAAGAGTACTTCTTCTACTTGACATTTATAAATTGGTGTTCTGATGCATATAGACGTCCCTATACATGAGTTTGTTGAATATACATGAGTCCTAGGAAACTGATTGACTTTAGGTATTTTGACAAAACTGTATTTGAGAACTGCTAGAGCTGAAGACTAGACACTGGGTCATGGGTGACTATGTTAAGTTATTATCATTTCATGGGCTTTCTTTTGAGTGCTGATCTGTTTTTCTTCCATTTACTACTCTCTTAGTTCTCTCAATAATAAAAATACAACCCAGTATAACTTGCTTTCCTTTCTCTGCTCTTCATTGGCATTGGGGTTCCTGAATGCTTTGCATGTAGTCCCACATGAATCGTGAAGAAAGTTATGTACAGAGACATTAAAGCACATTCTGTGGATATAAGATGAAGTGTGTATAATTTTATTAGTAACTAGATTGTAATTTAAAACAAAATGGTGTTCTACATTGCAGTGTATTTATAACACAGATTCTCAGATCTCACAGGGCTTTTGTATAAAACCTGTGACTCTTTAAAACCTCTGTTCAAATACTACAATTGGAGGCTCTGAAGGGCCAAATACTTGACCCTTCAGAGTATTGACCATATATATGACAAGTATTTGACCCTTCAGAGCCTCCAATTGTCACGGCAATTACATTTTGTATCTAGGGTTACATGACAGTGAGAGCTAGTGATCTTTGATTCTGACAACAATGTTTCTTTCTTGGAGCAGAAGTTTGTCCTATACAAATTTTCTTTCAAACTTCAAATATAAAGGTCAAAAAAGTAAACTCAAATGTTGAGCTAGAAAACATGTTGAACGAAGGAGGTTCTCTGGTTGTGCCTTTGATATAGGTAGGGACTCAGCTGGGTGCCTCATGATGGCCAGTCCTGCCCTTGCTTGGGCTGGGGTTCTTTGCTCCAGTGCCACAGCCGCATGGCTCAACCAGCTCCAGAACCCACTGACTAGTAGAAAGCAGGACTTCTGGACAATAAGTAACACAGCACCAGAAGAATTATCCTTAGGCACTACTTAAATGTAACATTGCCTAACTAAACAACTTGACTTAGTGCTATTTGCTGTGTAAGAAGAGAGGAGAATTGAGTTTAAAATTTCATTTTGCAGGAAAGGCATCATTATTGTTCAGCCTCTAGTCTTCCTCACCTAAAACATATCAACCATGGCACAAGCACCTACAGAACACTTCAATGTCTGCCTGACATTGCATTACATAACAAGATCCAAAAGCTGGGCAGGAGACAGGGCTGGAAAGTTCCAATATCATCTTTCCTGTGTGAATTTTAAGCCATTTTTCACTTGCTAAGTCATTTCCAAGAATATAAAGAGAAATAGGCATTGTTGTATGAACAGAATTCGTTAATTGAGACTGTGAATTTTGAAAGTGCATTTGTAATAACAAAACCTCACTAAAGGTAACAATCAGGAGGACTCTTGGAATGGGGACTTACTTAGATTTTCTTCAGATGTTGCTATGTTTGAGAATATATCCATGGGTTCAGAAATAAAAATTGATTTGTTTCTATTTTGTTTTCTTTTAAATGACTCTTTCACTCATCTCTTCTACCTTTATGTGTTTGTTAAGTCTATTTTGTCTTTAACTCTAGATTATCGGCTGTAGGTGTTCAAAAACTTGTCATTATTGTATCACACTTTACTTCTATACAAGTGCAGCAGCACTGATGTCATCTGGTGACCATTAAGTATCCATATTCACTCGGCTACTAGTTGTTTTACTGCCCCGGGTAGATTGATAAATCTCTTATGTTGGTAATTTACAGAAAACCTCATTTAGAACTTTTCTTCAAGATATTATTACTTTTCATCAATTAAGTGGATAGAGAAAATGACAACTGGAGGATATCAAGACTATTCAAGAATGTGAAAAGTCCTTTGTTAATCCTCCAATCAACAAATATTTGCTGATTAATATATTTAGTACTAGTTTATGACTTTAGATTAATTCGTGTAATATTTTATACCATATTTTATGTCATTGGTTAAATTATTTTATTAAAAATATTCTGGATGGGTCATTTCTCCAGCATCAAAATTTTCCATTGTAATATGGAATTAAATATTTGAAAATCTAGGTATAATATAAATATGCCACTCTTCTGTGTTTCTCTTTTATACTCACTTTATATACCTCTACATAGCATTCATAACTTTGTTGAAATTGATTGATTTTTTAATCTAGTTGTCTAGAACACAAACACTTTGAAGAAGTTCAAGAATGTGTTTAGATCACTGCTTTATCCCCAAAGACTAACTCAATAAATGTTCATTGAATAAATCACTTTAAAGGAATCTTCTTACAAGGCAAGTGATTATAAATATTTAAACAATACCTTATTGCTAGGTTTTAATGTAATGTTTCAACAGATTTAGTGAATGAGACAAGTTTGTTGAATAAATTACAGTATTTAATTTTCCCATTCCTGGTTCTCTGTCTTCTTTTTGGAACTTTGTGCACTGATTTGGTATGCTTTTCCACAAACTTAAACATTTTGTTAATTAATTTTAGTAAAAAAAATACAGTGCCTGGTTACAATTTTAATCATAGAATATACTTTAAGAATCCCAGCCTAGGAATAGTAATTTTCCTACAATACATGACTGTCAGTTCTAATGTTTGGAAATTTTATAAAAATATTTATTTGCTCTTTATATTAGTTTTCTGTTGCCACTGTAAAAAAATGCATTAGGGAAAAGAGCTAATGCATACTGGGCTTAATACCTAGGTGATGGGTTGATAGGTGCAGCAGACCACCATGGCACACGTTTACCTATGTAACAAACCTGCACATCCTGCACATGTACCCTGGAACTTAAAAAAAATAGCACAAATTTAGTTACTTAACACAAATTTATTCTATTACAGTTCTGGAGGGCAGAAATCCAAAGTCAGTTTCACTGAGCTAAAGGCAAGGTATCAGCAGGGCTGGTTCTTCTAGTGTCTCAAGGGGAGAAAGTGCCCCTTGCCTCTTCCAGCTTCTAGACGCTGGCTCATGGTCTTCTTCATGCATCTTCAAAGCATTTTACTTCTCCTGTCTCACTGCCTTCTGCAGTCAAATTTCCCTCTGCCTCCTCTTTTAAGGAAACTTGTGATTATAGTATCCAGATTATGTGTGTTATACTCAGATATCTAGGATAATCTCACCATCTCAAGATCCTTAAATACATCTGTAAGGTCCTTTTTGCCATATAAGGTAACATTCACAGGTTCCAGGGATTTGGAGCTGATATTTTTGTAATGTCATTATCCAGTCTACCATACCCTCCTCTATTAATTCAATTTAAAACTAATAAAAACATTTTACGATGTGCATTAAAGGATTTATTTTTTATTGATGCTATTCACTACTTTGTCTTTTAAAGAATTAAATAATTTTGATATAAGAACATGACAAATTATATTCCCATATAAAATACAAAATTGTCTCAAGTTGTCATTTCCAAGATGTCCTAAATCTGTTCTTGGTGGCTGTGAAAGATTGGAAGGTCAATGGGTTAGAAAGGAAGTTTGGTCAGTGGGCTCCTCACTCTCCAAAAGACAACAGTGGAAATTGACTTTATTTCTTCCTGTTCTGACACTTTTCCCCTCCTATTACCTTTTTATTCAGGAGTGGTTACAGAAAACATATGTTTACTCAATTTCAGATTCCTGCCTGGACTAATGCACTGTTCCAAATATGTCACACCCTCTAAAGTGTCCATCAGTACTTTTTTATAGGCTGACTCCTGTTTTCTGAAAAGCTTTTTCAATTCTCTTCTTTACTGAGAGCAATTAGCCTTCAGAACTCAGCTTGGGACTCACTGCTTCTGATTCCACCAGGAAACCCCAGTGAGACCCTCTTATATGATCTCAACACACCAGCCCTGAGCTATCACATCACTCATCATCCTGGATTGTGACTACGTATTTATTGGTCTCTCTCCTCCTTTAAGTTGTGTGCTCCATAAAGGTAGGGATTGTGCTCTTCAGATTGTTTGTGAATAAGTAAAGGCTTGTTCAATGATTATGTCCTGAATGAATGAATGAAGTATCACTTACTAGTGAGTTGACTTATGTCACTAACTTCCTACTATTGCAATTTTTGGCTCATGCACATTAAGTAGAGTCTGAGGTATCCTAAGAAAATGACTAAAGCTTTTTTATTTATCCATAATGATATTATAAAAGTGTTCATATGCAAAATATTTTATATATTTGGGGGTGGGATCATATGGATAAGATCATACATTGGCACATGAATTTGTCATTCTGGACAAATGGACCAGTCAAGATGAAACAAATATGTGTCACTATCCCTGTGAAATGATATTAGGTTCTACATAAGAACTCTGATGAAACAGCCATTTTTACATAAGGGTACTGGAGTTATATCTGTTACCACAATACCTAAATAAAATTATACTTCCAGTAAGAATACTATTGTTTAATGCTTTGGTAGTTGAACCTATACATGTGTTTTATCATTTATTTGTATTTATTTTAACAATGTAAAATAAGAATTCTGAATGTACTGATTGATTTCACCATAAAAACTGCATATACACACATTATATATATTTACATTATATATATATATAAAATGTAAAGTCACTTAAAGATTAAGAAGTCAGTTACTCTGCATGAAGTACATGTCATTTCGGATATCTGAAAAAAAATACAGGTTTGAGTTGGGATGAAAATTATTTTCCTCAGGCAGTTTTGTAGAAGGTAGAATTTTATAGTTAAAGTAGAAATCTTGAAAAAATGTCTGCCTTTCAACTATCAATTTTTTTTTTTTTCAAAACAGGTCTTGCTTCTTCACCCGGGCTGGAGTGCAGTGGCATTAACATGGCTTACTTTAGTCTTGACCTGCTGGGCTCAAGTGTCAACTATCAATTTGTAAATCAATCATTTCCATCTTGAAAAATCAATGACCATCAACAGTCAAAAATTACTAAGTTCTTACTTTTTTTCCTGAAGGTAATATTGGTCTTTTTATTTATTTATTTTTACTGCTAATCACATTTCCTGGGTCAATTGAGAAACTATGCAACAATGATACATGAACATCCATTTCAACTGTGTATAAATAATACTTATTGACCAAACTTCAGGTTTATAGTGGAACCTGCCAACCATGGAAAATAGAGGCTGACAGCAGGATATACTATCCAAATTCCACACTTCCTGCCAAGGGTCCCCAGCATCTCGATCACTTCATTACTCTAAAGTGAATGCCCTGGCAAAATGGATGCATGGCTTATACAAGCAGGGCCACACACTCCCAGCATGACTTTGCTTCTGCTGACTTCCAGCTTCCTAATTTGCAAAAGTGAGGACTTGAGCTGATGGTGCTTTCTGAGGCCCAGCTCTAACAGGTTAGGACCTGGATTCTGACATTAATTTTTTTATTTTTTTAATACAGAGATTGAGAATTTTTGTTAATGGAACTACAACTTCAAAAGCAAATAGAAAGTCCAGTTAATTTGAGAAATGGGCATCTCTAAGAGCCTAAAAGACCCAGTAGATATATTTTTTCCTTGTAGAATTTCAGAATACTGGGACTGAGAGGGACCATAGAAATCACTGATTTTACTGTGTATAGTTTTAAATTTTTTATTTTACTTTATTTTTTGGTAATAATAATAATAGTACGTATTTATGAGGTACATGTGATATTTTGATACATGCATACTACAGGTATGCTTGTGTTATTTTTAAGATATGGACACTTTCTCCTATAGAGGTAGTGATTTGCCCCAAATTAAAGAATCACATATGGGACTAGAATCCAGTCCTTCTGCCTAATTATTCTATTGCTGTCTCCACTATACCACAATAAAGTAATTTAAACATAGTTTTCAAAAGTTACTAGGCCTTTCAAAATTCTGAACCAGATAAATAATTTGCATTATTCTCCACCTTGCGGTGAGAAGTGGTGAGAAGAACAGTAGATTGAGATCACAGGACGTGGGTAATATTGACTGAGGTTATTTGTTGCAGCCCATGGGATTCCCTGCAGTTCACTGAGCAGAAAGAGAGGAAGTCCTTTGCCTATCCTGGCACCACTAAGACAGCAGCTGCTCCCGCCATGGACGGGAGCTACAGAGTCAGGAAGCTGTCTGTCCTCTGAACAGGAAGCGGCTGAACTAGAAAACTTTGATGAATTGTAAAGTCAACACTGTGACTGCTGGCTTCCAAATCCTACTGCTTCTGTCACAATATGGGGCCCCTAAATGGATGCACTGCACCCTGTCTCTCGCTCCACGCAACTTCGATCTGAATGAAAGTCTTATGTAAGTGGATTTGAATGGCAGTACCTACCTCCATGCAGAATCTTCCCTTCAAATCAGACTGGAAAGTGGTATTTTTAGCATAAGAGAGAGGCCCAATAGAAGAGGGTTAGAATGGCTCATGAGTGATTCAATCCCCAGTATCAAACACACTGGTTTTAATCCTTCTTGGATGATCACGTGATCTTGGGACAAATTTAACCTCTCTAAAACCCCAAATAAAACAATGGATGTGAAAGCAATTTATTGTAAAGAGATTTACAAATGCTAGTTATTTAGTATTACTCTCCATGCCATTTGCACCCTTCTAGCTATTCCGGCTTCTGTTTAGCCTGTGTGGTGTGCCAGTGGATAAAACACAACGATCTTACCAGAATACAGTACCACCCTTTTATCCAATCCCTGAATATATCTGCCCATGAAAATAGTACAAAAGGGACTGGGGCGTATGATATCTTTAGCTTGGACTTATTTCCATGGCTATGTTTAGAAAAGTGTTTTAATGAGTCTTCTTGTTAGCAGGCTACAGCTTAATGCCATTTGGCTCTCCTTGAAGACTATCCTAAAACTATTCTTGATCTTGAGACTTATTTTACTTTAAAGTAAGCTGGCACACTCTGAGTCTTCAGCTGGTTCATTAATCACCTGGTGAGAAATTAGTTACCTTAGAAAACTTACTGGTGTCCTTTGGCAAAATTTTGGCATATTAAATTTAAAATTTTTAAAACTACATTCATAATCTAACTTGCCCGCCTGGGGAAACTGACCTGCCCTATGGACGCTCACTATTTTCCAGTGGCGTAGGGCTGTCTCTCATGCCCAGATGATGGTCCATCTTGATTTCCATCCTTCCTTTCTTCTCACCTGCTTTCCATCCCCTCCCCAGGATCTTTGCTATGGCCCCCCTCAATTATTTTTATTTCCAGAGCTATGTAAAATAAAAATGTAAAGTACGTTCCGACATATGCTCGTTAAGTTCTCTTGGATAACGAGCCATAGTTATTGTGGGTGAGAAAGAATGCTCACTGATTCATTTTGTAGGGAAAACATGACAGAAATTAATTTTCAGTATTGGCAGGTATTTGTACTTACACTTCCCCGTGCTTAAAAAATATTTCATGCCAGTTGAAAAATGAATTCAACATTATGATTTGTAAATATTGCTTATAAGGATTATGAAATTTTCTGTAAGAAGTAGGTTATCCCTACTGTGACTGCGGAGTGAGAACCTGAACTCTTTCTGATGATGCCTGAGTCCTTGGGCAATCTCTCTGGCCCTCAGTTTCCATCTGCATAAAACAAGATGAGTTTCGTCTCTAACATTCTATGAATCTATGAATTTTTAGCTAAAAGGGATGTCTCTTGCCCATTTCACAGATCTACCCCTAAATAAGAATATGAAGACATAATACTAAAGGGGCATTCCTACATTCTCTTCTCTTTCTACTTTTTTTCTCCTCTCTCCTTCTCCTTCCATCTGTCTTTTCTCCTTGCACTCATAGACTTTAAAAAATCAAACAAACAGATTCTGAAGAGTTGTCTTTCTTTACACAATCAGAGCTGGAGGCAGACACAGCATTTAAAAGGTAAGAGTGGAATTACCTTTGAACCTCTGGACTTATTCTTAAGGGAAGTACTAGGACATATATCACCAGAACTGTGTCAATAGGGAAAGTTTTCACTTTCTTCCTTAGCCTGGTTAGTTATCATGAGCAGTTACATATTCAAATGAATCTGTCAGGGACAAGAGTCTGGTGCTCGAGTTCCTGCTCGGCCCAATGACATTGATTTGTGAGCATAATGCTTGGCTGCGGGATGTGTGACAGATAAATTTTATCAAAATTAAGGCACAATTAAACATTTCATCTTCCTAATTACTGGCTGTAGATTCAGCCTGATGACCATGTGCTGTAAGAAATCAGCGACCATTACACATTTTAATGGAGCACAGCTGTCTTACAGCTTGGTAATATTTGCACAGTGCCACAGAACTGTAATTTATGATAAAAAGAAAAAATGTGTATTGGCACTTTTTTGCCAAAATAGATTAAGGATTCATATACTTTAATGAGATTTGGACCTAGTCTTGGATTATCGTTATAAATGATTTATGTGCATGTTGGTGGACTCCTGTAGTTCAGAGTTGATTTGTGTTTTGGTCTACCAATATGGAATTCAATATTTATTCTTGAGCCAATACCTATCACTTTCCCCCTCTTCTCTTTCTTTCACGTCTTACCTTTCTTCCACCTCTTACAAAGGACAGATGGGGAGGTGAACAAAACGAAAAGGCAATAGCAAGAAGGACTTTGTTGGAAACAACGGAAGCTTCTTTAAAACTCAGGGATTGAGTTTAGGGAGAGGGTGGACAGCAGAAGCTGAGGCACATGGCCCTCTCGGCACCACCCTGGCCCTAGATGCATGGGGCAGAGCCACACGTGGGCCTGGGGACCAAGCACGATTGCAGAAATGGCCATTGCTCTCCTGAGAAGTGGGGTGATCACGATTAAAATCTCCTGCTCTGTATTTTATAAATGCAGGGAACGACTCATTTCCCCTCCCTTCCTGGGACTCATAAGAGTACTAATGAAGATTATTATGAGTTATTTATAATTATAAATGGCAACGTGGCAGAGCTACATCTCCTGATGCCTACCGAAAGGACCTCCAGGCTGTGAGTTTGGCATTTCTTGCTGTTAACTACTGTTGGTGCCCATTTCTCTTTAGGACTGTTCTTACTGAAAAAACACTTGAAAGTGCCCATGTCTGTGGATGAATTGCTTTCAACAGATTGGGCACCAGTAAGGTCACCAGCAGTAAAAAAATGTGCATGGAAATTGTATGTGAACTGTTATGCCCCTGGTGCACAGTTGTTGTTAATAAATTGAAGAGTAAATGTAAATTGTTATATCCTATTAGTAATTATTACGATGATTAAACTTGTCCAGCAAGTTGACGTCATAATCTCCAATCCTCCTTCTATGAAAAAGATGCGTCTCTCTTCAGAAATATTTCTTTTCAGAAAGCACAGTGGATGAGAGAAAAAGGCGAGATACCAGAGTCTACACGAATCTGCTCAATTTAGGTGTTAACTTGCCTACTGAAAACAGAGAACATATCCTAATGAATTCAGCAGGCCTAAATATATACATGTAACAGGGAAGGAAGAGCTCATCTTTTTATCATCCCAATCTTCTCCAGGCTTGATTTATTTCAGCACTCATATGCTGGAATGCTTCATACTGTACCAGGTTGCATATGCTTGTACACTAATTCTCAATTGCCGTATGCAGTTTGTGACAACCATCTGCTTCGACCTCCCTTTGAGTTCTTTCTCCCACTCAGCCCAGCTGAAGTAAAAATATGGACAGAAACAACTTCTGCAGGGAAATGAAAAAGTTAATAGGAGAGTTAAAGTTACATTGTGTATCTGCCTTTCGCATGGATGTGCTCCTGCCACTTAGGCTTCACTTATCAAATATTTCTGAAGTGCAAAGCCTGACACTTAGCAGAAAGCTGTAAAAAATGCCATGTTTCCTCTGACAGTCTTGGCTGTGGAGGAAAGGTAATAATAAAATATGTACATCCAGTGCACATGCCAACGCTAGAGCCCACAGCACTGCTCCAGCAACCTAGACTTACAGTATGTAGCACCTTGTCACACACCAGAGGGAGAAGGGGGAGAGGAAGACTGAAGAGGGAGGCAAGCATATTTGAAAATGCCTAAAAAGAAATCAACAACACATTTTGGAGTTTGACTTGAAAAGGAGGGTTGATTTATATTTCCTAAAAATTATTGAATTAGAAGGTAGGAGAAAAAACCTCTATAATAACAGAGCTCAGCTCTTCTATGTTTTTGCACAGAATGTGAAAAGAGAAAACAGAGAAATGTGTCTGAGAATTTTTAAAGAGAGACCATGCATTTGTGTATTTGTGTTTGGGAGGGAGATTGAACAAAAGAGTGCTGAAGTTATTAGAAAACATACCACTGTCCTGAAAGTAATAATATTGTACTTCACCAAATCACAGGCACTACTAATTGTATCAGACCTGATCTTTTGAATGCTGAAATGTGAAAACGTGATGTCTTAAAATTAGTGAGAAGCCACACACGTACACACCATGGCTGTGTGTCTAATCATAACAATAAATAGAAAAATGGGACCACAAGAAGAATAGATGGTATGGGAGATTTATGGGAGAAGGAGGAGAGAAAAAAATAAGAGGAGATGAGAAAGAAGAAAAAACTGGAAATGTATAGAGAAGAATGCAAAAGAAATCTGAAGTAATACTGTTACATTTATATTCAGAAGACTGCCATCATAGTCTCCGTCTTCCAAAAGCATTAGTGTTTCCTCAGGAAAAGCACAAAGTGAGAACATCAAATGAAATTGGCAGATAAAGAAAAAAGAAACATCCTGGATATAGTTCTGATGAGTTTCAGATGGAATCAAATATAAAGCCTGGTGAATCATTACTAAAATGGGCAAAATACAAGTTCAGTGTGTTCTCTTGGAGTCTGAACTGCCAGATTCTATCTAATTATAATTGATCAATTCTAAAAGCCACAAGTCATGCAAACATTATCTGTTGCATTTTACCTTTAAATTTAGGTGAATTATCAGATGAATTTCAGTATAAATATATCAGAAGCAGATTGTATAGCTGGGATATATGCAACCAGATTGTATAGCTTGCAACTATTGAAATAATTTTAAAATTCTCTTAGGAAATCCCAAGGTAATTGTTAATGATCAACTGAGAGCATGGGCTTTGAAATCAGACAGGCTGGGTTAAAAGTAAGCTGGAGTTTTGACTCTGCCATTTATTAGGTTATAGACTTGATCCTCAGTTTCTTTGTCTATAAGACAATTGAAAATAGCACCTATTTTACTGTTGTTAGAACAAAATGAGAAAGTGTATGTAAGTAACCTAGAACAGTGCTCAGCACATAATAAATGCTTAGCAAATGATAGTTACTCCTCTGAGAAAAAGCTTCATGGAGACGGAGAAGAGAGATACTGAGAAACGACCAAGGACAGTTGTGGTGCATGGGACATTAGTTTTTTCATGGGCAGGCAAGGATGTGAGATGTTAAATTTGGTCATTTGAGAAAATGTGATCATATTTTGTCATCATATGATGGTGACGCTTAAATTTATAAGGATCATTCATGCCACTGATTCTTTGGCAGATATTCTATAGAACGGTGGTACATCACTCCATTTCTGGAAATATAATTATCTCCCTCCTAAATTAAACTGCTTTATCTCATGAAGGATAAGCCCTTGCCACCTTTTGTTGATTAATGCTTGAAGTCAGTTTGAAATATGTGGGACTAACTGTGTTTGTGGTTGGTGTTACATATTACATATATAGATTATAGGCACATACACTTATTAATGTATTTTAAAAATCTTTTGTAATTTCAATTTTCAAAGGTGGTCTCTATTTCATTTCTCTTCATCTCTTCCAGAAATTGAAAGACCTGATCGCTTTCATTGTTATTTTCAGTTAACTGGTTTCATCTACTTTGATTTGTGTTGTACGGAAGAATTTTTAGACACCAGATGCCTAAAACACATAGGTTAAAAGCAGGTCGATTTCAATACAAGACTATCATTTTACAGTTTAATGAATATATTTAAAAATTCCATAGTTACAAGCCTGTTGACACAGGCACATGAAATTTTTATTCTCAGCAAATAATCCAAAGCAAAAATGTTTTCTTCAGACCCTGTGTACCTATCAGTCACTGATGAGAGCCCAGCGCCTGACACTATGGTTTACGAAACTTTGAAATGGAGGAAGAGGAGATGTAGCTTGGGGCTCTTGTTAATGGTTACAGAATCCTCACACCGCAGCCAAGGCTGGCAAAGTCAACAAGAAACAGCAGGGCTTAAATAGCTCACTGCTAGTCCTAGCAGGGTTCTTGTCAGTCAAATATATTCACTGCATACCTATTGTGTGCAGAATGCATCTTTTCACTTGCCAATTCAGCACTGAGAGGTTGGTTTAGCTTTTTTATCTTTATGACCTGCAGACTGGTAACAGCCTTTCTAGCAGTATGTTCATTTTAACAATAATTTATTCCAATAAAACAAGGTGGATGTTCCCTAGATATGGCCACCATATGGCCTGAATTTTCTGAGATAATCCTGATTTTATGTAATTTTGTTTTCATTCCAATAAAGGCAATGAGTGAAATACATAATGAAATGTGATTTCAATGTTTTATGCTATTCTGAGATTTTATATAATGAATTGGCAAGTCAGAAAAAAATATTTTGCTAGATTATGTTTATGAATTTCTGGTTTGGAAAATGTGGCTACTGGGTGGGCCCTAGTATTCCTTATAAATAGATTTTATTAAATTTTTTTTTGATGTGTGCATGGTTTTGCACAAAACCATGATATTTCAGGAAGGTGCGCTAGCATCTATGGACATCTTTGACTCCACTGATGACTTCCCATTTCCTCTGTCTCATCCTTCAAGGCACACTGAAAGTTACATCCTGATGTAGTCATGGATCTTACATGTGTTAGGAATCTTTAAGTTTCAAATCACAGAGACCCCCAGCTCAAACTGACATAAACAACAGAAGAAATTTGCTAGATCACACAGCTGTGAAGGGCAATCAAGACTGGCTGTAATTGAAACTTAACCTGAAAACTCATGTGATGTCGTCAAGGACCAGTTTTTATCTCAGTTACTCTTATCTTTTGTGTTTATTTTATCCTCAGACTCTACACAGGGACCCCTGACAGTCTTCAGGTGCCATCAGGGTTTCAAAATGGCTTAGCAGTTCTAGATCTTGCATCTTCACGTCTCACTGGCAAGGAAAAGAAAGAAGATTTCTTTAGGTAGTCTCCATGGAAGAGAGAAGCTTTTTATTTCCAGAAGCCAAAACAAACATTTCCTCTGTTTCATTGGCTCTGTTTAGGTTCTGTGTCCTGTCTTCAACCAATTATTTGGCCGGAGAGATCACAAGAGGACTTAAGCTAATCAATTCCCACTTTAAAATTTGGGGATGAGGTCAATCTTATATATATCATGAAAGGTGATTAAAAATGGTTCCTCCAAAGCAAAGTTCGAGTTCTGTTTTCAGGCTATGGGAGGATGCTGGAAATAATAAAACAACAAATGCTCACTATAAGTCTCTGTGTTTGAGCACACTATAAACACACACAATTTCCTAGAAGTGCCTGCAGTGTAAAAACAGTCATATCATGTAGATGTTGATGTTGAATGGCCAGCTAGAGTTGACTCACACATTAGCTGAAAGTTTCTTTCTCAAAGATTAAGCACACAACTCATGAGATGAAATTTCATGCCTCATCCAAAGTGCTACCCGGAGTGATACAAGTTCACTCATAAGTAGTCAAAATTACAAATGTGAAATCAGGAAAGTCCAAGTGGGCAGAACAAAGAAATACAATAATATCAACCTTTCTTTTCAAAAACATGGGCATTATGAGGATTCCCTGAATCACTGAAGAGTGAGGAACATTCTAGAATCAGGGATCTAAAGTGATACAAACCCTTAATATGGTAGCTCCCAAACTTGCTCCATTATAAATATCACCAAAGGAGTTTTTGAAAAACAGAGATGCTGATGTTCTACTTCAAACCTCCTTAATCAGTATGTTCGTGGGGCCTAATAACCTATATTTTAACAACAGGCAACATACATTGACTTTCTCTACATTCCTACTTTTCTACTGTAAAAGTCATATAAATTTATGCAGAATTGGGAAAGTGTCACTCAGAATTGCTTATTCACCCATTTAACTAATATTTCTTTTATTTTTATTCTGATTTAGAACCTACTTCCAGGCAGTAAATATACGGAGAAGAATAGTCAGATATGGCATCTGGATTCAAGAAATTTATGGTGTAATAGGGGATACAGTTAATAAACAAGAAATATATAGACATATGATTACAACTATGATGTTTACTACAAATGAGATGTGTAGGACGCTAAGAGAGTGATTAGAAGACCTAGCCTCATCAGAAAAGCCTTGACGGCTTATTCATTTGTCTGTCCAAGCATGTGATACAATCGAACCTCCAGTACTAGGTGACAAAATTTAGGGTTAGTCTAAGACAGACCATACTTCATTACAGCATGACTAGGGAAATAAACTGTACATTTAAGAAATCTGTGGAAAGAGATCTTAGGGTAACATTCTCATCACTGGTGTTTATCTTTTACAGATCTCCCTAATGTTTATTTAAACAGAGCTGAAGCTATTTCCTGGTATCAAAGACCAAATTCCTAGAACTAAGGGACTGCTGATTTTGCTTTTTTCAGCAATTACCAAGGCAAATATCAAGATCACATATGTAGATATGAATGTTGATGCTATGTGTTTGAAACAGGCCTTTCAGACCACTGCAATTTAGTCACACAGTTCAACATTTCCTGTGTCATTTCTCTTATGTAAAATTTGAATAGATCAATGCAGGAAATGTTTTGTCACTTACATTCATAGGAATAGATTCTATTCTATTTGTTTTCTATTATTACTGTTTCAGTGTGATGATTTAATATTTAGTAAAACAGTGCTATTATAATGCTTCTAAGTGAGAATTATTATTGAAATATGTCACAAATTTTCATTTTAAATACCAAGGTCCTGCCTGAGATTTGTTAATTCAAATAACAGAGCAGAAATAAAATGTTTTGTCATACTGGATATCCTTTCAGCTCCCAAGTTGGTATAGATACTGGAATTTTATCAATTCAACTGTTGAGATTAAAATATTGCCTAGTAAAAACATGCTATGTCAAAGGCAATAGAATAAAAAAAAAGGTGATTCTTTATAGCACTTAGCTGAATATCTATGTTATTTTCATTTCAGGTTGATAGTTCGCTATGGAAAAGTTTTCATGTCACTCACAGCCAGGATTTTAAGATTCTATTACTCTTGTAAATCAATTTCTTGTTTTCTTCTCAAGTGGTTTGTTATGAAAGTAGGTACTTGTACTTTATTTAAATGCTCACAATAAAACAGACATCCTACTGGACAAATGAACTTTGTTTTCCATGCCCAACTTTCTCTCTAAACTAGCACCACAATAGGATACGATTTGGTTCATTCCTAGCACCAAAGGTAAGCTAAAGGGTGCTCAGATGTTTGAGGTATGATAAAAAGCCATTCTTTGGAAGTCTGACTTTTTGAACACATTTCTTCTTACCTGATAAACATGCTTACCTACAGGGGACTGCATGTGCTCTTTATACTTCTGTATTCCTCTCTGCTTTTGTCTTTCTTTTTTTTTTTTTTTTTTTTGTAATTTTGACAGGATTTAAAAAACTATCAAATTTATAAAATACTCTTTGAGACTGAATTACATTTATCAATATTGCCATAATTTTCTAGCATCTTAAAAGTACAACTCTTTATCACTATCCATTGTAAAGTACTTCTTACTTGGTTGAGTTTGCATTTTTGGTCTGGGATCCCAATCACCATCAAGCTAAGTCTTCCTTTTCATACAATTAGTTACTTGTTTTTTGTAAGTGCATTTTGAGTTCTGCCCACATGAAACTGCAATGCCTTTACTAAAATTGAAAACTCAATCAATGAATGGGTATTTTGGTTTCAAAGCCTAGCCACTGAGATTGCTGGGTTGTTTGGTTATCTTGAGGGTTTTTGTTTTGTTTCTTTGTTTTCTTTTAGATATTTTGCATCAAAAAGATATAGCCATAGAAAATCCCTTTTACTAAGCAAATGAACACACTTCTCTTCCTTGTTGTACAGCATAGAGGTGACCAAAATCAAAATACTTATTGGGCAATTATTTAACAGTCTTTTGTCTGAATAATATCTGGCTTAGAAGCCACGGTATCAACATAATAAGATGCAATTCTTAGACGGAAAACCCTTGGAAAAAAGTAAAAAGCAAAACAAAACCATTGCCTTCTTATGAGTACTGCGTATTTGGGGGGTGCTTAGGTGGTATACCATTTGTCTAAGGCAGGAAAGGATAAAGCCAATGAGTGAAAAGAAGACTTAATTAACAAGATGGTGAGACAGAGACCTGATAACATCATTTGAATTCCTGGGTCCAGCCATGCTATATTCAATTTTAGATTCTTCAAATTTATGAGTCAGTAAACTCCTTTTTAAAAATTTAAGTTACTTTAATCCTGACTGATATATCAGATGTTGAAGAAAAGTACCAGTGATGGAGGCCGGGCGCGGTGGCTCAAGTCTGTAATCCCAGCACTTTGGGAGGCCGAGGCGGGCGGATTACGAGGTCAGGAGATTGAGACCATCCTGGCCAACATGGTGAAACCCCGTCTCTACTAAAAATACAAAAAATTAGCGGGGCATGGTGGCGGACGCCTGTAGTCCCAGCTACTTGGGAGCCTGAGGCGGGAGAATGGTGTGAACCCGGGAGGTGGCGCTTGCAGTGAGCCAAGATGGCACCACTGCACTCCAGCCTGGGTGACAGAGTGAGACTCCATCTCAAAAAAAAAAAAAAAAAAAAAGTACCAATGATGTAGAGTTCTTTTTGTGGTTATGAGAGAATAAAAATGTAACATTATGTTATTTATTTATTTAATTTTATTTTTTGAAACAAGGTCTGGTTCTGTCGCCCAGCTGGTGTGGTAGCATGATCTCAGCTCACTGCAATCTCTGCCTCCTAGGCTCAAGCAATTCTTGTGCCTCAGCTACCTGAGTAGCTGGGATTACAGGCGTGCGCCACCATGCCTAGCTAATGTTTGTATTTTTAGCAGAGACAGGGTTTCACCACGTTGGCCAGGCTGGTCTTGAACTCCTGGACTCAAGTGATCTGCCCACCTCAGCCTCCCAAAGTGCTGTGATTACAGGCATGAGCCACTGTGCCCGGCCACATTACTTTATTTATATTCATGATCTTAAGTAGCAATATTATAAAGTTTGAGAAGATGATAATATTTCCTTATGAATATAAAGCTATTGAATTAGAAAATAGGTTAGAGCTCACAGGAACAGAAAACCAAATACCATATGTTCTCACTTCTACATGGGAGCTAAATGATGAGAACACATGGACAGATAGAGGGAAACAACATGCATTCCTCAAACACTGGGGCCTGTTGGAGGGTGGAGGGTGGGAAGGGGAAGAGGAGCAGGAAAAATAACTAATGGATGCTAGGCTTAATATCTGGGTGACAAAATCATCTGTACAGCACACCCTCAAGTTTACCTGTATAACAAGTAACATGAGACACAAGTTTACCTATGTAATAAGCCTGCACATGTATCCCTGAATTTAAAATAAAAGTTAAAAAAAATAGGTTAGAGCTGATGACAGTTTCACTGAAGGCAAAACAATAAACAATATTTTCACAGCTTTAATTTAATAATACTTTTGTAATTATAGGATATGGGAGGCTCTGCAACAGCATATTCTACAAAGAAAAAGATAAATGAACAGAATTCACTCTAAGATTCACCATGGATGTTTACTAGTCAACTTGATGTCCCAAACCATCTGCCTATCTAACACAGCTGATCTTAAGTTCAGTAAGTTCCATTTGCTAATACATGGAACTGTATACCATACATCACGGAAATATTGCTATTGAAATGGGAAATTAAAAGCTTTGGTCAATTAAACTATCCATAAAATTACTGAATAATCGGTGGAAAGATAAGTTTTAATGATTCTCAAGCAAGAAAAAGGCAACTTGATGTGTAAGAAGAATTGTGGAATCTTTGGAACTTTTAGAGGCACTTTACTTCTTGTTTAGTATTTATTGCATACATGGGGCAAATGTATTCAACATTTTAGTCCAGTTTTTTTTCTTGACACAGGTAGCATTGAATGAAAGTAGGTACTTGTACTTTATTTAAATGCTCACAATAAAACAGACATCCTACTGGACAAATGAACTTTGTTTTCCATGCCCAACTTTCTCTCTAAACTAGCACCACAATAGGATACGATTTGGTTCATTCCTAGCACCAAAGGTAAGCTAAAGGGTGCTCAGATGTTTGAGGTATGATAAAAAGCCATTCTTTGGAAGTCTGACTTTTTGAACACATTTCTTCTTACCTGATAAACATGCTTACCTACAGGGGACTGCATGTGCTCTTTATACTTCTGTATTCCTCTCTGCTTTTGTCTTTCTTTTTTTTTTTTTTTTTTTTTTTTTTTTTGTAAATCTTTCCTCTGCTTCCCATCTCTCCATGTTCACAGTTACAGATGACAGTTTATTTTTACTGGTGATGCTGCTTCTAGTCAGAGCTAATAACAAACTTCACCAATTTTTATTAATTTTCTTTGCTTGTTACATCTTCTGTCACTCCCCATGATTTTTATGACTATTATTATTATTAAGTACCTGGTTAAATTTGACTATATACTGGTTATTATAGTTCAAAATTATTTGGAGGATTAGTATGAGGCATAGAATGTTTACGCCTTTCTCCAGAGAGAATGTAATGGGTTGAATGGGTTGAACTGTGTCCACCAAAATTTTAGACACTGAAATTCTAACCCCCAGTATCTCAGAATATGAGCTTACTTGGAAACAGGGTCATTGCAGATATAACTAAGATGAACACTTTGGGAGGCCGAGACAGGAGGATCACCTGAGGTCAGGAGTTCGAGACCAGGCTGGCCAACATGGTGAAACCTTGCCTCTACTAAAAATACAAAAATTAGCCAGGTGTGGTGGTGGGTACCTGTAATCCCAGCTACTCGGGAGGCTGAGGCAGGAGAATTGCTTGAACCTGGGAGGCGGATGTTGCAGTGAGCAGAGATCATGCCATTGCACTCCAGTCTGGGCAACAAGTGCAAAACTCTGTCTCAAAACAAAACAAAACAAAACCCGATGAGGTCATACAGGAGCAGTGTAAGCCCTTAATCCAATTTGACTGTTGCCCTTATAAAAAGGGGGAAATGTGGACCTACATACACACACAAAGGGAGAACATCATAAGAAGTTTGGAGTTGGCTGCCTTAATTAAGGGATGACCAGAAGTTAAGAGATAGGCCTGGAACAGATTTCTTCCTTGCATTCAGAGGGAGCATGGCTCTGCTGACAGCTTAATCTTGGGCTTCTAGCTTCTAGAACATAAGTTTCTGTTGTTTAAGCCACCCAGTATATGGTACTTTGCTATGGCAGCCCAAGGGAACTAATAGAGAGGGTATTCACTTGCTTCCACTTTGGGCAGGGATAAGGAAATCCATGCCTTTGGCCACAAGTACACTCTATGTCCAGAATTTGATACTGAACATTTAACCTCTCTTACTCTCCTTCAACAAGCTAATATACAGAGACAGTTACTGACTAACTAGTAAAAGACAATAGAATTCAAGGGCAAAGTAGTTCGATACTAGCCTAGGCAACACAGCAAGGCTCGATTGCTACAAAAAATTTAAAAAATTAACTGGGCGTGGTGCATGCCTGTACTCCCAGCTACTCGGGAGGCTGAGGTGGAAGGATCGTTTGAGCCCAGGAGTTAGAGGTCACAGTGAGCTATAATTGTGCCATTGCACTCCAGCCTGAGCAACAGAGCAAGACCCCTGTCTTAATAATGATAATAACAATAGTTATTATTATTATTCAGGGCAAAATAACACATATGGGAAGGCCCTGCAATTCAAGATTTAGCACTTTTCTTGTGTTGCATGTTCTGCCACATTTTACACATGTGTTTGCAATCTCAGAATATTAGCAACTGTCCTTTACCCTACACTACTCAGCCTGAGTAAAAATATGCTTTCACGGCCAGGCACAGTGGCTCGTGCCTGTAATCCCAGCACTTTGGGAGGCCAAGGCGGGCAGATCACGAGGTCAAGAAATCGAGACCATCCTGGCCAACATGGTGAAACCCCATCTCTACTAAAAATACAAAAATTAGCTGGGTGTGGTGGTACACGCCTGTAATCCCAGCTACTTGGGAGGCTGAGAAGGACAATTGCTTGAACCCAGGAGGTGGAGGATGCAGTGAGCCAAGATTGCACCACTGCACTCCGACTTGGCAACAGAGCGAGACTCTGTCTCAAAAAAAAAAAAAAAAAAAGCTTTCACAAGGATACATTTACAGTTTAATGACCCAAGCAGCCAAGTTTCCTAAAGAGAGGTCATCTGAAAGAAGGGATCAATATACTTTTTCCTGACAATTAAATATTTTAAAAAATAGCTTTTTCATTAGACAACTAAACCTAAATTTTTAGAGAGGCATTGGATGGGCTTAAAAGCAGATTAATAAAGGAAGCAAGTCCTTGACTATAATTGAAAACTTTTTTGATTGAAACTTATACTATTAACCAACTTAATATGCTTTTAGATTTTATCTAGGCTTCAGCAGAACATTTTTTCAAATTTTTCTGACTTTCCCTTGTCATCAGGCTAGTTTATAGGCTGCTTGTTTTCTGCTATGCATCTCCCCTATACCATCATGAATGTCTGTTTGCATGTCCTAGCCCCAGGCCCTGAACTATTATACAAACAAAAATAACGATGTCTCATATCTGTATAGTGCCTTCGAGTACACAGGGCACTTTAAACAGCAGAAGCTCCCCTAAACCAACTTTACTAACACACTCTACCAGATATGGCAACTTCTCATTTATTGCACGGCACAATGAGGACCCTCAGGCCACTTGTCAACAACCTGGTCACCTTTGTGTCCAACAATGGAGCGATTTCTGCAAAGTCATGTTTCTCCTCAAAGTTGCTTAAAGTCCTTGTTATTGTAATGGTGTAATTTAAATAAATGTTATGTAAGCCAGTAACATTGGAGTACAAAAAGAAAGAGAATTGTAGCTATAAAACCTAAAACCAATATTTTAGAAGAATCAGAAAAGGTGAACCACATAAAAAATTAATTTCAAATTGGTTGCAAGGCAGACATTATAAAAAGAATTGGGAAACAAATTAGGAAGAATTCACACATGTTGCTTTCCAAATGTCTACAAAACGTTATTTCACTTTAAAGGCACAAACTATGAATCATAAACAATACAATTTGTGTGTGTTTCCTCATCTTGCATCAGCAGAGCCATGCATGGCAGGCAGAGTAATGCTCCCCTCCACTTCCATGCCCCAATTTTTTTTTTTTTTTTGAGACAAAGTCATGCTGTTGCCCAGGCTAAAGTACAGTGACACAATCTTGGCTCACTGCAACCTCTACCTCCTGGGTTCAAGCAATTCTTGTACCTCAGCCTCCTGAGTAACTGGGATTACAGGCTCTTGCCACCATGCCGAGCTAATTTTCTGTATTTTTAGTAGAGACAGGGTTTCACCATGTTGGCCAGGCTGGTCTTGAACTCCTGACCTCAAATGATCCAACTGCCTTGGTCTCCCAAAGTGCTGGGCTTACAGTCATGAGCCATTGCCCCTGGCCCCAAAGATGTTTATGACCTTATCCTATAAACATATTACCTGCATGGCAAAAATGACCTTGCAGATGTGATTAAGCAAAAGATACTGAGATGGGGAGAAAATCCTGGATTATCCAAGTGGAAAATAACTGTACATTTATGTGTTTAAGATTAAAATGAAAAAATTGTAGTATGTATACATCCTTTAAAAAATCACTTTCTACTGAGCTGATTTTTTAATTATTTGACCAACTATGGCTTCATATGCTTCAAACAAGAGTTACTGCTCTCTCTAGGATCCTACTTTATCCACAGGAGTCCTGTGGAGTCCATTTCACAGCTGTAGTCAAGGTTTTACTTTTGTCTCTGTCTTTGGCTTTATGACTCAGATGGAGAAAATTATTTCACTTGTTAGTAATTTTTATTTATGAAAACTAGGTGCTTGGACTGGATGCTATATAAGGGACTTTTAAACTCTCAAGGTCTCTGATTTTAACATTTTCATCAAACAATCTGACTTATCTTCTCTCATCTGTTTAACTTGCCGCTGAAACCCTTAGGTGTATGTGTGGTTCAGCTCTGATTTAACTTAATATTAAAATTTCAGTGCTTCACAGCTATTGGATGCCCCTTAACCAAGGACTTAGGGCTCAAATATTTGAAGAACACTGGAGTCAGGAGACCAGGATTTCAGATCTGACTGACACTAACTAGGTGGGTGTCCTTTGACAAATCTTTTAGCTTTTCTGGGATTAGTTTTCTCATTATGAAGCTGTAGTCAATATTATCTTTCAGGTCCCTTTTAGCTCTACAATTCTATGATTCCATAATTCTGATTCTAAGAAAATCCAGTTCTAAGAAATGTATTTCTCTTCAAGGTGGGAAGAAAGCTATGATGGCTAGATAGGATAGCTATGCAGATTCTTGTATACGCCCATGAATATCTTCTCCAGAGAACTGGAAGTATCTAGGTCCTACTGTTTTTCATACAACTCTAAGGACTAAATTTAGATACAAATTAGTTTTTGTCAAGATAGTCTTGTCTCAGTCATGGATCTAGCTCTCCATTCCATAAGACACAGGGAGTTCCCAGTTGGTTATGGACATTGAACAGCATACCAGGGTGGGCTGCAATGTCTCACATATTAGGACGAATCAGACTTGAAAACAGAACAATTATAATATCACCCAGTAAGTGCTGTGACCGACTAAAAGCAGAATCCACACAAAGGAGGAAGTGATTAACTGCAACTGTAGTAATGGCAAAAGCTTTTGAGTGCT
Organism: Homo sapiens; assembly: GCF_000001405.40. Classification (NCBI taxonomy): domain Eukaryota; kingdom Metazoa; phylum Chordata; class Mammalia; order Primates; family Hominidae; genus Homo; species Homo sapiens. The sequence goes on along the minus strand of NC_000008.11, from coordinate 65,175,105 downwards.
ACTGCCCCATGAGATACATCCTGAAAGTTCTGAAGAGGAAGTTCAGGGTCAGGGAAGCATTTCAAGCAGAGAGCAGAGCCTGTTCGAAATGCCGAGTTGTAAAAGGCACAGCATGTTTGGGAAAAGGTGGGAATTTCATCATGTATAAACAGAAAGCAAGTGAGATAAAGGACTGGGAAAGTACATGGAAGAAAAAGTGAAGGCCATTTTATGCCAAACTAGAAGCAAGAAGAAATCCACCGAAGTTTCTACCTAGTGACAGGGCATGATAGGATGCTGTTTTTGAAGAGTTAGCTCTGACAGGTACTGGAAGGATGCAGACTGGGCTGGGTAGGCTTGGTGGAAGGAAAAGAGAAAGGAAACTTTGAGATATAATGAACACTAAACAAAAGCAGGGGTGTTTGGCAGCCATTTCAGAAAAAGAATCCATTGGCTTTTATAACTGAGTATCCTTTCTCAAAGCACCACGCTCTAACCCAGGAGGGGCTGCCACGGCACTGACTGTGTCTCCTCAGCTCATTCTCAAGAGCAATGAGGAATATTTTACAATACAGAACTCCCCATCATCACCAATGGTAGCACACAAAAAAATCACATTTTAAAAACACATTTAAACAGAATTTACAAGGATTCAACGGATTATGAAGTAGTTTCTTATCCCCCCTCGCAGCTATGAATACATTGCAAAATCTAGGACAGTTAAATACTGTATTTAAATTCAGATGTGATATATACATATGTTACTTATTCTTTTTATAAAGATCTGCCCTAGTGAAATTTAATTAGCCTTTGCAAGTTTATATACTGTGCATGTTGGAAGGGTGGTTTAAACCAAGTTGGTTGTTTTAACCTGACTAAATTCTCCAACCTCACCAGCAGAGAGGTGTGTCAGAATTAGATTTCACTAAAAATGATAAAAAATCTAAATAACAATGTCTATAAAAATAGAAGTTTATCTCCTGGGTAAAGAAATATAATCTGTAGCACAGAGCTGGGAGTTGGTAAAGCAGGTTCACAAAGTCCTCGCCATCAGGAACTGAGGCTCCTTCTACCTTATAGCTCTGCTGTCCACGCCGTGACTTCCATCTCATGATTTAAGATGGCGGGGAGAGCCCAAGACATCATTTCCTCAAATACCAGGGAAAAGAGGAAAGAATGCAGACAACTGCACCTCTTTAAGGGCTTCTTGGAATTCATATGTGACATTTCTGCTTGCATACAAGTAGAAGGAATATATTTACATGGCAGCAAGGGAGGCTAAAAAATAGACTCATTATTCTAGGTGGCATTACTTTAGCTAATAATGGGAGGGTCTATAACTAACAAAGAAGAGCTGAATGTCTATCAAAAGATAACTAAACTAGAAGTCTTTGCTAGGAGGAGGAACTAGACAAAGTATGGTAATGATAGTGGGGTCAAAATTAATTGCTGTAGTAATCTAAATGACTGGTCAGTGACCAGCTTCACAATTTAAAACCAATTCTCAGCAGCTCGGGTACAAACTGCCTAGGAGATAAATCAACTAGAAGTATGCGAATGGAATCGTCTGACTACTCTAGTTTCTTATGTAATGTGTGTGTGTGTGTGTGTGTATGTATGTGTGTGTATATATATATATATATATATGCACATACACATATGCATATATGCATACACATATATCATGTATATATTGCAAAAAAAATAAAATTAGAAAGGTAGGTGTGGGAGTTTAACTCCAAGATAGCTTCTCTCTTTATATATACAGAGGGGAAGCTCTGAAATTATTTGTGTTCTTTGGAGAAAATAGAGATAATAGGTGATATACATTCTTTGCATCAGGCAGCTAAATATTTTATATTATTGTATCACCCACACACCTTCACCTATACTGACCCCCAACTATGACCCTCTCCAGATCTCTTCTCCTTCCAGACTGATGCACATGGCACCCTGCCACCATCCCAGGGGTTCAGTGTCACACCCAGCTCTGCCCACTCCAAGGGGCACTCACTGCTCCAGCACCATTTTTCCCACTTCATGCTCTATTTACCCACAGGGGAAAACAAAAACTTATCTTAATAAACCAATGTACAGTTCTGGATTGAGAAGTACTCATGGTTGATTGGTCATGCCTCTCTCCCAAGTCACATGAGAGCTTATTTCCCCCAGAAATCTTTTAGTGACTCAAATGAGTGAATGGAGAGCCTAGTTAAGGGAGATGACTTTGGAATATCAGGGCCTCCTGGTGCTCTTTAAATAGTTTCACATGGAGATGACCTAGTAGGGACACTTACCATGCTTGAACATAGTCTTGGCACAAACTTGTATGCATTAACAACCTATATATTAGGTAGGCAACTATAAAAATTTTAAGTAGGGAAGAAAAAGAAAATATTAAAATGAAAATGGTAGGTATGGCAGTTTGTCATCAAGATAATTGCCACTGAGTCCTTCCCTCCTCATATGGGGCCCACCATTTTCCAATGGAGACGTGGAGTCTAGTCCTCCCCCTCCCTCTTGAATCCGAGATGGCCTTAGGGATTTGCTTAAGCAATGAGTATGAAGCTTTGCAGCTTCCACTTGGGTCTCTTGTAATGCTTGCTTTTGGAAGGCTCACCTGGGAGAAACCAGATGCTCTGTAGGAAATGCAACGGTCCTGCAAACACCATGCTATGGGAAGCCCAAGCCATGTGCAGAGGCCCTGGAGGAAGAGATTCATTGTGTCGAGCAAGAGACCACATGCATGAGGAAGCCATCTTAGAAATGGATCCTTCATCCCACCCATTTCAGGTGAGGCCATGTGGATCAAGATGATCCCTTCTCAAATTCCTAAGCTACAAAAAATGAAGGGTAAAATAAAATAGGTGTTAAGCTCCTAAGGTCTGGCATACATAGATAATAGAAAAGTAGTTTAGAATGAGAATGTAATATAGGAAATGTGGATGAAAGATAAGCAAGAGGTAAGATGGGGTTGAAGGATTCAAAATGATCTGTAAAACTGTGAAGTCATTAGTATAAAGCTGAATTCAGTGAATGAAAAGGCCGGGTGATAGGGAGCCAATCCATCAAGTAAAAGTGGAAAACATGTCAAAGGAAATAATATATTAACATAAAGACAGTCTCTTCCAAAAGGAAAATAATAATCTCAGCAATACAGAAAACTCAAATAGCATTGCAAATACCCCAGGAGAATTGTGTAAAGACCAAAGTAATGTTAACAGAAACTTGGGGAGGAAAATCTCATTGACATTAGCGTTCACATTTCATATGTAATAACTATTTATTGAGTATATATTTGGGCTAGAAGTTGGTAATATATTGATGGAGGAGACATAATTCTTGCCATCATGGAGCTCACAAATATGTTCTATCTAATTTTTGTCCTAGAATGATAACTCAATGACCTTTCCCATTATAAAGAAATATTGACACCTTTAGTTTGTACAGGAATAGCAATATCTCTGCATTGTCAACATGAAGCCATATCTTTAAGAAGAGAAGACAAATATATCAGGAAAATATAGAAAAGCCAAGTGTGGAAGCTAAAATCTGAAAAAATGAAAGGATGCTAACACAGGGTCATGCCTTCTGGGAGGTTTGTTATTGATTGATGAGAGGTTGCAACGCTGGATACAAAAGAAATTTTCTCATCCATATGGAGGGGAGCCTGCTACTGCTTTTTTGAAAAAGAGAAAAGAGGATTAAAGAAGAGGATTAAACAAGAAATAAACAAGAAAAAACAAGAAGTGCATCTTGCTTCATATATTCCTGAAAATTCCTATATAATTGGAATCTGTTTTTAAAGCCCAAGTATATTTGTCATCTAGAATATCATAGTAATCCTTATGGTATATTGTCAAGAAAGCAAAACTCCACAGACATACCTTCATTTTTAAAAACATTGATATAGATTTTCACATTCATAATTAATTTTGCTGAAAGTGGGGTCTCCCCATATTGCAATGCGATGAGGGGTACTAGAGTTTTTAAAACTTCAAGACTCATTCGCATCAGCAGCAAAGAATAAAAAGAGATACAATCACTGATGCTTCTACTCCTTTGACAGTTTTAGCCAGTTTTCTGAAGTAACCATCTGTTTTCTTTCCTCTAGATAAGTCTAACCTGCTTTATAAACTTTTTTCACTCTCACCTTCCCTCCTTTACCCCACCCATTGCCAATGTCCCTCTACCTGTGGCATTTCACACTTGGAGAGAGCTGCTAATGGTTGACAACAAAAGGACTGCTAATCGCACCAATTAAGAGGTGTGAATGTCACTTGTTACCTTCCAGCTTTGTTACTGAACATGTTAATTACTAATTGTACAGGTGCAGGCTTTTAAGTTCACAAGGTTAACACTGAAGCACAGCTTTGTTTGAGCTGTTTGTTTAAATATTGAAAAATCATGGGTAAAGGGTTGATCTACGCTGAAGAATGAACAGATGCCATTGCTGTACTTTCCCAGGCGGAAAATCTTTAGACTGACTTAGCAATATAATTGACCTTCAAGAAGTGATTCTCTGTGGTGAATCTACCAAAGAACAGGTGTTTGTGGTTCTCTTTACATGAAGAAGCAGGGCACTTCTCTTATGTCACAGGACTATGGAACTCTACTGGAAGGTCAGTTGAGGGTACTCTGCAAGAAGTGTGTACAGTTAATTAAAAGAAAATCCTCAGAGAGACTTTTTGTAAGCTCAAGGTTTCTATGTTCATCTCTTTCTGAAAGCTTTACTCATTCATGATTCAGTATTATAGATATGTCCTTTGGACTTCTTTTTTAAAAGTTTTGCCTAACAAAACACCTGGAGGAGGGAACCTGTTTCAGAATCACATAACCTCAGCTTGATAAGAATCTCAAGAGATCACACTGAGTGGCTTCCACTTAGAGAAGGTAACAAGACCACTTTACAGAGAAGACAACAAAGGTCCAAGATATTATACAACTCGCTCAAGGCCACTACATCAAGATTAAGTTGGATTTGCAAAGTGAGTTAGATTTTGGAAAAAGCTAACCTTCAATTGTTCTCCAGGGGAATGAGTAATTACTATGAGGAGCTGGTAATTTTTAGCTTGTCCTCAGGCCTACTGAAATATCTTTGCTCTTTCCCTGCATCTGTAAGAGCAACTGTTGTTTTCAGTCATTCAAGTAGAAAGTGTGCGGTAAGTGCCTCTTCTATTTTTGTGGTAGACTCCACAACAAATAAAGAAAGTCTCTCTGGGAAGCCCAAGGGTGGCTTCTTGGAACATAAACTGCAAGGTTTTGAGAGTTGCCATGCAATAGTAAAACCAGTTGATGGATTTGAGACCAGGAACCTGTGATCACCTTGCTCCTTGCTCATGATGTATCTCTCTTGTTATCTGCCTGACAGCAAGGGATAAAAGTGGAGGTGCTATAGTAGAATGCCTACGAGTATAGGCTGCTCTCTAAACATAGGGGGTGAATCTAACCCCCCTTTAACCCATGATTAAATGAACAAATGAGCTCCAAATTCTTAATATGTGCTTGGCACATTGTAAAGTCTCAAGAAATTACCGCTAAAGAACTTATCCATGTAACCAAACACCACCTATCCTCCAAAAACCTATTGAAATAAACAATAAAGATAAATTTGCATAAATAAGAATATATATATGTCAATAAATTCAAATTAACATGTATGATTGTCTTCCTATTAAGTTAGCAGATTAAATGGTGATGCACAAGTTCTTCAAGATTTCATATGGAAAAGGGCCCACAAATTCTGTGCTAATAGAGATATATTTGTAGCTTGGTTGTATTTAATCAAAAGTGTTAAACATATATTGTGGTAGACAGATTCTTCAGGTGGCCTCCACTGGAACACATCCCAGTGTTCATGCCCTCGTGTTATGCCCTCCACTGAAGTGTTACTAGACCTTTAGCTTATGTCTAGCCAATAGAATGAATGAGGCAAAAGAGACAGAATGTATGTGATTACATGATCGTGTTATATAAGGTTATAATACCCATCTTACTGGAGTATGTTTCTTCTTCTTTTGCTGGCTGTATACAAGCAAGCTGCCATGTTTGGGTTGCCTATGTTGGAAGGTCCACATGGCAAGTAACTTATAGACTACCTGTAGGAGCTGATATTTATTTATTATATGATATAAAGCAAAGATTTATTTTTGTTATTATTTTTACTGTACATGATTGGTAAGTTTCTAGGAACTCATTAAGATTAAGAAGCCTGAAGAACCTGAAGCAATGAATTGTGATTTGTAGAATTTTTAGCATCAGGAGAGGCAGATAAAACAAATATTCATTTAAGAAATGGGAGCTTAAGTTATTCCTTGTGGTAGCTGTCAGTGATATATACTTGCTCAGGCCCCTCAGGTATGCCATGAGCTTACTTTTCATCTGTGAATATAGCAGAGAGGTACTGTAATAAATCCCAGGGTGGTCCCTGTGAGGTTAATCTGACCAAGTGTAGGAGACCTTTCACTTGTCTCCTTCTTTCCTTGTGTGGTGGAATCTGCTAACTGTTCCATAAAATGCATTCTCCATCTCTTCCTCTTTAATAATAAACTGCTTCAGTTGTAGCAGGGCTCATAAACATGCATTTACAGTCTATACTTTCCAACCTCCTTTGTAACCAATTATGGCCATATGACTGAGATCAGGCTGATGGGATGTGATGAAAGTTATGTGTGCAATTTCTTCGTTAGGTCCTTAAAAAGACTATCTTTTGATTCTTTTTTCCTTTTCTTTTGTGCTGGAACATGCATGTGCAGGAGATTCAGCTTTGACTAGGAAGGCAAAGGCCACACTACAGGGCTGTGGTTCTCAAAGTGTGATGTCCAAACCATCAACATCAACGTCACAAGAGAACCTGTTAGAAATGCAAATTCATCGGTCCCATCCAAGACTTATAGAATCAGAAACTCCAGGTGGGCTCAGAAAGCCCTCCAGGTGATTATGATGCCCGAAAGCAGAGACTGGCAAACTGCAGCCAATGGACCAAAACCACTGGGTGGCTCGATTTTGTACAACAATGAGCTAAGAATGGGTTTTACATTTGCGAACAGTTGCAACAAAAAGTAACAAAGCCAAAGAAGAATATGTAATTGAGACTTATGTGGCTGGTAAAGACTAAAATTTCACCTTATGGCCTTTTACAGAAAGTTTGCCAACCTCCGCATTCAAGTTGAGAACTATTGCCATAAAGGCTTGCTCAGTAAAAGGAACTTAGATCCCTGAATAACTTAGTGGAGCAGAAGTGCTCTGTCAGTTTGGCCTGCTCACTCCAAAACTGCTAGAGAGAAAAATAAACTCCTAGGCCGTGTAAGCCTCCATACACGGGGCCTCTGTTACGGCAGCTGAGCCCAAATCCTGACCAATGTAAGAGGTTAAGAAGGAGCTGCTATACTACACGTTGATCTCTCTTCCCACACCTTATTGTCAGCTCATGGTCTGAAGTTTGCTTTTAGTTTCCATCATTACATGTCTCCTGATTACTCTCTTTAAAGGTACAGATATTGGATTCATCTAATAGTTCTCCATAATTTTGAGCCCTAGAGGCTTTAGAACACTTACTGGAACTTCATAAATTGAATCTATCCAGGTGACTACACTTATATGTTTTCAACCCAAATAATTTCTTTATTTTTTATTTTGAGACAGAATCTCACTTTGCCACCCAGGCTGGAGTGCAGTGGTGTGATCTCGGCTCACTGCAACCTCTGCCTGATGGGTTCAAGCAATTCTCCTGCCTCAGCCTCCTGAGTAGCTGAGATTACAGGTGTGGGCTACCATGCTCAGCTAATTTTTGTATTTTTTTTAGTAGAGACAGGGTTTCACCATGTTGGGCAGGCTGGTCTCGAACTCCTGACCTCAGGTGATCCACCCTCATCGGCCTTCCAAAGTGCTGGCATTACAGGCATAAGCCACCGTGCCCGGCCCAGTAATTTCTTACATACATTTGTTCAGTAATCTTGTACTTACATATCCTTATTCTGAAAGATTGAATCAGAATGGTTGGTTTGCTCAACCAGCGTTGAGCAAACACAGGCACAACCCCTGTTATTCTGGCTAATGCAAGCAGATTCACCCTCGTTTGTAAAGGTGCATTGTGTGACAACAGTTAATAATAGATAGGATTTGATGATGATGATGTCTGAAGCTGTTGGCTGTGGAATTTCTTTTTAGGAGAGTAGCTATAATTTAGGCCAGAAGCGAAAGACTATTGCAATTAGGGAGGTGATTAAAAGGTTTAAATTATCTTGTATGGCATGGGGTCTGTATTCCCAGCTATCTGTCCTCCCAGTATGATGTAAATCACCATGTCTAGATGAGGAGATGGTGCACTGTAGACTCAGTCTTGGGGAGCTTATGGGGAAGGAAAAGAAAGGGTGAATCTGAACTTCATTAGTTGGCAAATACAGTTCTTTTCTTGGTCTCCCCGGAAATTCATAAGCCAAACAGCAAGGAAGGTGGAAAAGGCCGGTTTCCAGCAGAAGCCACGTGTGCCAGGTAGGGCACATACATAAGCAAAGCTCAGGTTTGGGGCGGCAGTTCGGTGTGTGGGTCAGTGGGAAGGAGGGGACTGGTGTTGCAGGACGATGCAGTGGCTTTGCTGCACACCATAAGCGTAGTTGTGGGCCGCAGACTCTCTCCTGTCATTTTGTGTGCAGTAATGAAGCCTGACGAGAGGTCTCCTGCTTGCAGATAGCAGGCTGTTGTCCTAAAAATGCAAACCATTGCCTCGGGCCATGGAATCGGGAACAGGCAGAGGACAGAGGCTCCGGCTGGGCGCCCCACGGCTCGTCCTCCCTTCAGCACTCGCGAGTTGGATGTAGAAAGCTGGTCTTTACCCTTGTACATAAGGTCACAGAAGGAAGATTTTTTTTAAGGTGTCCCAGAGACCAACGGCTTTAATCTGGATTTTTTGCAGGGAAGATAGAGGATGAGGGATGCCTACCAGCAATCCTCAAGCCTCCTGTATTTTCTCATGCAAAATAAGCTTTAGAACTTGAAAGCCTCATGTTCGCCTCCTCCCCTAGTGTCTTCCCCCGCAACGCCCCCATCCTTTCTTTTCCTTCTCTCTGCAGAGTAGGCAAGTCTGTCCCAGCCACCTTTGGCAAGGCTTTTTTTGAAACAATGGCTCATTAATATTCGATGGGGCAGGTATGCCAGGAGATAGCAGGGGTTCACGACCCGGTTGGGGGGGGCGGTGCCTGGCACTGCAGACCTTTAGAAGTTGCCAGCCAGGAGGAAGCCCCTCTGCCCCAGCTCTGGACGGACGGGCACGCTGGGGCACTGCTTTCAGAGGCTGCTCTATATCCCAAGACCGGTAGAAACCAGGCCTGGTCTTTGGTAGCTCTGCCTGGGCCTGAGTTGGCTATGCAAAGGGAGTTGTCCCTTTTTACAGTATTTGTTTGTTTATTGTTTGTTTTTGTTTGTTGAAATGTTGCCTTCCTGCTTCCCAAGCAGCCTGCTGGTCCCAAGGCTGCAAAGATGTCCTTGACTCTTGAAGCAGGCAGTTTGTGAGTTCTAACCTTGTTCCCAACTCACTCTGAGGGACTTTATTACCCACCATCTACATTTCAGAAACCCTCCTTCTCCCTCATGTCAGTCTCCTTGGAGGCACACCTCTGAAGTGGGGAAAAAATGCGCTTTTCCTTGTGTTTTCAGGCATCTATTATTTCTATGGAATTCTTGACAGACAACAAAGAATTAAAATAAAAAAAAACCTGTCAATTTTCTGCTGTCAAGGAAACAAGCTGTTCTCCCCATTTAAGGCTCCCTTGGTAAGCCTGGTGAAAACTTTATTAAGAATTGATGAATACATTCAGTCTCTCAGAAAAGTCACCTGGAGTCATTTCTAGAACAACATGCTGCGGGGAGAGCTTTCTGAATCCGTGATTGTGAGTGCCGGCTCTAGTGAGTGACCCTGGTTTTCTGGAAGACCAGGCTAGGGGGGCTGACCAAAGCCGCGCCTCCAAGCGAAGATGCCATTGTGCCTCTCCAGAATGAGGACGACACAGACACCCACAGGGGTGAAAAGGCAGGATACCTTTCCTCGTCCATTTCAAGGTCCATGGCTGCTATCTCTGTAACAAAAAAAGACAGACTAAAAAGGGAAAAGCATAACAAATTTGTTTAATCAAAGTTTTATGTGACACAAGAGACTTTAGACATGAAGACCCAAGGCCTAGAAAAAAACTGTATTTTTATGCTTAGGTTTCATGAAGGATGGACAACCATGTAGAAATGTGATTGGACAAAAAAGGGTATTACCTGATGGTAACACATTGGAGGGAACTTAGCGAGGCCTGTGTGTTCCGATTCTTCTTGGCCTTCCTGTGTGGCATTCCTCCACCCTTCCACCCCTTACCCTAAGGTATGGGGCAAGACCCTTTTGGAATGAGGGTCTTATGGCCTGCTTCCATGGGAGCTAGGTTAGAGTGACCTCTGTAGGTTTTACAGTTTGCTTTGGGGGAGAGAAGTTCTAGTTTGTATGATCTGCTTTGGGGGGAAAATGGGAGAAGGAGAAAGGAGGGCAAGAGAAGGTCAGAGAGAATTTCTTGCTTCTGAGGCCCTGCTGATCCCCTTGTAGAGTACTCAGCAGACTGAAGAGCCATATTTTGGGATGTCGTTCTAAGCCCCAAAACCTTACAACTGTGTGGCATTTTATAGTTCATAAGCCCTTCTGCACAAACCACCACAAGTGGTTCCCCAAAAACCCTGACAGTAGCTTGGGCACGCAGAGCACAGGGGGGGCACAAGAAGATAAGGTGGGAGGCAGCCAATCTGCTGCCCTGCTAAGGTTTCAAGTAGGACTGAGCCTGTACCCGCCTCTCTCTGAACTTCTGTATCTTGCTTTTGCACATTTCTCTCTTGATTCATATTACTCATTTGCTAATCATTTTTTAAAAAATTCCACTTTCTGGTGAAATTCAGCAGGAAATTCAAGCTTTTCTCCCGGCTGTGCTCATATCCTCACTGACTGTCTCTCTTCTTCTTGGTTAAGAGCCAATCTATCCACTAACCACTCTGATTTCAATACAACTTAATAAAACTGAACTGTCACCACTTTGGCAGTACACTGGTTTTCAGAGTACTGGTTTCAGATTTAAACCTTGTTCTCTTAATTGAACCTCACAGCAATCCTGTGAGGTAGGGATTCTCAACCTCATTCTCAGGTAAGGCAACTTTACTCAGGCAAGCTGGAACTTTACTTTCTTCTTGGTAGTCCTGCTTCTTCACCATTCCCAGGCATTTGGCTGGCAACTGAGGCTTGTTTACAGATGCACAAGGCCTATTTTCTGTTTTTATGAAGCCTGTAAACCCACAGATAAGCTATGATATGTACATAAAAAATATAATTAAAGGTAGAATTGCATTCCTATGAAAAGAATATGAGCAAATCATTGTATTATTTCAGAGAAGAGAGATTATTTTTGGTGGAAGAAATATGTTTGAGTGGTCGACCAAAGATGGCCTCTGGCATCACAGGTATCTGGGCTGAATCAGCCTCACTATCTGCTGGCTACTGACTTGGGACAAGTTATTTAACTTCCTTGAGATTTAGATTCCTCATCTGTAAACAGGTTTTTTATACATACTGCATTTCCACTGGGATTAAATGAGATAATGTGTGTAGCTTACTGAGGCTAACACAGAGTGAGGACTCAATGGTAGCAATTATTGGAAGACTCTCCATGCATAGGACTTTGACAGCTAGAGATAGGACAGATGACATTCTGACAAGGGAAGACCCTACTATTTATGCTTCATATTCTAAAAATGCATTGTGATAAAATTTCTCTTGCAAAGCAGGTCATTACCAAGATAGTTAATTTGACTTTGTAAAATTCACCTGGTAGGGGAGGATATTGGCCTCAAAATTAAACTAATGCCTCAAACAGGGAAAAATGTCTCCTCTTTGTTGTTTGGACAAATGTATTAAGCTGATGACATCCATGGGTTAAGATCCTTAACCAAGATAGTTAATTTCCCCTACCAGGTGCATTTTACAAAGCACTATCACTTTTTCATTTAAGTCTATGGAAGGTTGTTATTATCTTCTCTGAATAGGAGAGAAAATAGGAGCCCTGAGAGATGAAAGAACTTGCTCTTGATTATACTCTTAGTAGCCATTCTACATTCATTTTTCTCATTCCTGCTCAAGACTTCTTTCCTTAAACCCATTTTGTGTCACTTATGTTTGTCTAGTACTAACAGTGTACTAAGCATTGCTCCAAACACTTTATAAATGTTAAGATATTTAATCTTTACTGCATCTCCTTGAAGTAGGTACAATCATTATCCTACAAGTGAGGGAACTGAGGCACAGAGAAGGTAAGGAACTTGCACAGGTTTTCATAGCAGTGAGAGGCAGAGCTGGATTCCACCCCAGCTAGGCTGCCTCTGGAGTCTGCCTGCGGGACGACTGATGGACTCTTCCCGTGAAATTGTGTGTCTCTCGGGGTATGCTCTGTGTTCTACAGTTTCCCTTATATGATGCCTTCTGCCTTGTTCCAAGCAGAGTAAGAACCAGCCTGAGGCAGATAGGGAGTCAATAGGTGCTTTCAACACTGGGAAGCTCCCCTTGGCAAGGAGAGGGCAACTCACTGCTACACTGTAGCATATTCCCAGGCTCCCTCTGATCAGGAGTGATGTGGCTGAGAGGCTGCAGGAGTTAAGGTGCTGGGGCAGGTAGGGTGGGGAGAACGTGAGATTTGCAATAAGCAGACCGGGGTGAAGACCATGTAGGGATGGGCACTTGCTCCTTTGGAACCTACAGCAAATCACTGCAAGTTTTTGGTTTTAGTTACAACAGCTGAAAAAACAATAGGGGCAATATCAACATTTTTTTCACCTGCCTCGCACATTGTTCTGAGAATAAAATAAAGCAATGAGCAAGTATGCAATTTGGAGACTTTAAAGGATATACAAATATGAGTCACCCAAAGGACTCAAACTATTTTTAATGTGAAATAAAATCCTGATTTGCCTAATTGGCTAGAGTGACTAGCGGGAATAATTTGTTTCTATAACTGAACCCAGACGAGATCTCTATAGACCAACTTTCTTTTAACCCACATTAGCTTTTTAATCCATTGAGTTATCTGCACCAACAACACCTGAGTAGTGAGTTTTAATGACTATATCACAACCCTAGACTTAGGAGAGGATCTTAACCCATGGATGTCATCAGCTTCATACATTTGTCCAAGCAACAAAGGAAATGTTTTTCTCTGTTTGTGGCATTAGTTTAATTTTGAGGTCAATATCCTTCCCTATCAGGTTAAGGTATAGAATGAGGTCACATTGATTTCGATGTTCAAATTATGATAACTGCATTTTCATCCAATTTCTTCCTTCCCTGTAGTGTTCCATGGAAAGCCCAAGGCTCTCAGGAACTGAAGCCCAAAGTGCTTAGTCATCCAAGATATATATTACCTTACAGAGGAAGAAACTGGAACATTTGTTCACACTGCAGAAGAGCCCCTTTCTCTGCTGCCGTTGCTGCCATCAACAGTAAACACTAGAAGTTTAGGAGCTGAAACCCCATTGATTGGCAGACTGCTCTGTCAAGACTGTGGAATCAATGGTAGTTTCTCAACATGTGCTTTGGAGAAGAAGGGAAGACAACTTATCTGAGGTTCTCTATATTCCAGGAGGCCTGAACCTCTGGGATTGGATCCCCAGGTGAGCAGCTGACTCAGTTCTCACACCTGCTGCCCTGCCCTCATTCTGGAGTGACTGTCAGAAGGGGATTGAGCCTCAGCCACCTGGCCTAGGGCTAGTCCTCCTCTCCAACAACCCAGATCCTGGAGTTGTGTGCCTAGTTTTGGACTCTCCTTTCCATCAAATGACTTTCCCTCTAGAAAGTCCTTTCGTCTCTCCTGCAGGCAGCATCTGTTGGATTCACCCTAGTCCAGGATTAATCTATGGCCAGAGGGCCACATCCGGACCACTACCTGTTTTGGTAAATAAAATTTTATCAGAACGTAGCCATGCTCATTGCTTTACATATTGTCTGTGACTGCTTTCTCACAGCAGAGTTGAGTACCTTGTGGCCCACAAAGCCTTAAACATTTATATTTGTATGTTAATAGATGTCTGTGCCCTTAAAAATGCTATGGCGATATTGCTTATCAAAGTTAAATGTTCTTGTTTCTCTTGTTCCTGTTTCTCTTCCTCCTAAAAGATTCCGTAGTCAAATAAATGGATAGATGTAAATGAATGCAGGTGGGAGGGGTGGCTCTGATCACCAAAAGCAGCCATGCTCCGGGTTCTTGTCAAACCAACAGCAAAGATTCTTTTATACTATTTTCCTAGAGCAATGATTTATTTTTCCCTCTAGAGCAAAGATGAGCTCTAAGTTGGCCTGATGTCTTCACTCCCAGAAATATAAATAGGTAGCAAGTTTTAAATAGAAAACAGTTCTGACTCACCAGTATCCCAAAACACACTACCAAGGATAGAAAGCTCTATAATAGGGCACACCCAATCGTAAGGCCTCTTATAATAAATAATAGTACTAGTAGCGACTTCAGGTGACTTTTGGACTCTCAAAAGATTAAGAGACATGAAATCAATCCTTCTTGAATGATTCTGTGGACACTAATCATTATATTGAAGACCATTTGTGAGATAAGGCTAGGTTTTAAATAGTGTTAGATTCGTGTTGACCTAACTGATTGAAAATGAGAATATTCACAATATAGCTTGGCTTTTCCTCTCTCCCTTCGAGAGCCTTGTTGTACAACAGCCTGAGCTAAACATGCTGTGTCAATCTCATTTTTTTACATTTCCCGGGTGTTTTCTTCTTAGATCATGCAACAACCCTGTCATTATTTTAAATATTTTTGCCTGTAAATTGCAGAATACTTGATCTGATTTTAATAGGGCCCATGTGTGAAATCCTTTATTTTTTTTTAATCTATCGTTCTGATTCTTTCTGCTCTTTAGTACAGCACAGCTTGGTAGCACTAGGTACGTCTTGTTGAAAGTATGTCCATAAATATGTCCCTTGCAGCATGGAACAGCTTGTTAAATTGGCAGTCCTCAGCAGTTTGCCTAGAAAAGTTTGCCTCACTTGCGATAGTCCAAATGTAGGGCAGAACACAGCGTAACTTTTTATCTAATTTTACCAATTGACATATTCTTCAAATTTTTAACTACCTCGTGCCTTTTCCTTACAGTGCTATCACTTGACTTTAAAGTGGCTAAATGTTCTTACAATGGTTCAATGTGGGCAGGAAAATTACCCTTTATTACTGGATATTAATTTGGGGGCAAATACTGTAACTTAAAATAGGATGCTAAAGCCACTGTGGGAGAAGTGTTTGGATAGGACTGAGGCCACCAATTTCTATTCCCTAGGGGGATTGGTGCTGTTCTCCATCATGGCAAGGGTGGGGCTCACCAATTTTAGTCTTTTAAATTTTACTGATATACTCTATTGGTATACCCTCCTTAGTGGCACCCCATTAGGGATATTGATATACTTTGATATTTTACTGATGTATCGATATGCTCTGATTTTCATCTCTCCAGTTAGGACACTGTTAGAACTAGGGATGACAAGTATAGAAATTCCAAAATTCAGTGTCCCAAGGATGAGCCTTCAATGCCACAGCCCTTTGCCCTTACTTCTTTGGGAGGAGGCTGGGTTCTCTCTCTTCTTATGTTCGTACCACATAGGCAGGCAGCACCACCTTGGTCTCCATGCCTCAGGACACCAGAAAATCCTCCCTTGTCAGCATGTCATCATACTTGTTCAAAATTTGTCAAGCTTTGTTCTCAGGGAAGGCAACACAACAAAATAAGACATAACAAAACCCATATCAGAATATGGCGTCTGTGCAGGGACTTGGGGATCTGGGCAGAGGACAACATAATGACTGTGTGCTCGGAGTCCCTATCTTGGTGGCCATGCTTCTAGGTGCTTTGGGGGTAAGTGACCTGAGGAGAAGGCATTTTCCATGCTTAGCTCCTGGTTGCAGATTTTACCACACAGTAGGGTATTCACCTGTCTCTGAAGAATCTATTAGAAAATTCTATTTCCGGAGCAGTTTTTGAAGAAATCCTTCTCAGAAATGTTGAAGTACAAGATGGACCTTGCAGAGACGTTGCCAGAATTTTCTGTCTCCTTCTCAGATGTGCTTTCCTGGCTGTAGGTGGGTAAGGACCACTGCATTTGGATCATTTTAATTTTACTGGAATTAAGTATGTGAGACATATCACAACCTCTTATTTTTAAGGTGGGATAAGGGGAGTTTATATGCCACAACTCTGTCTCAAGATTAAGAGACAGAATCTGAAGTTTCTGTCACAGTATTACTCGAAAGTTGGGGATTGAGCCTCACTTACTTCAGAAACATCTTGGATAGTTGTTATAAATGCACATTTGTGAGGTCTACTTTGAACTCACTGAATTAGAGTCATTAAGGTACAATCTAGGTCAGGGGGTCCAATCTTTTGTCTTCCCTGGGCTACATTGGAAGAAGAACAATTGTCTTGGGCCACACATAAAATACACTAACACTAATGATAGCTGATGAGCTAAAAAAAAAAAAAAATTGCAGAAAAATCTCATGAAGAAAATTTACGTATTTGGGTTGGGCTGCATTCAAAGTTGTCCTGGGCCGCAGGCGGCCCATGGGCTGCGGTTCAGACAAGCTTGATCTGGGTGGTTCCAATACACAGGAAAAAACTGAGACCACCACATTAAATGTACTCTTTTAAATACATTTTTTTTTGAATGAACACAAATAATCCAAGGGAATAAAATGAAATTATTCAATCAAATTAAGTACATTCTTTTATTATTAAATGTCCTTCAGGCTTTATGTCGATTTAACCATGTTAAAACTGTGACCAGAGACATTCTAAACTGTGGAACTGTGGCTGATACTTGAAAGAAAAAAATCTCTTGTCTGGCATCTTGAAGAATATTTTCTTATACTCTTGGAGGGGTCTATAAAACACATTTAAAATAGTTATCCTGGATTATTTTATCTTTTTTAATGAAAAAATTAATTGTTGCCAAAAGCTATTTGCTGGAATTGTGTAAAAATGTTTACAGATGCCTTAGGAAGAAAACAGCAGAATGTGGAACTAATTGTGTTGATTCAAGATAATTATGAAATACAAATGACCATTACTTACAACAAGTCCCCAGACACTTAGGGTTTGACTCCGGGGATCGGGCTCAAACAAAGAAAAAAAAAACTAATATATTTGTGTGATAATATTCAAACTAACAAATGCTCTTTCTCTAAGTTAATAAAGATCTTTGGTGACATTTCAATATCCAAATTATATAAGCTATAATATAACTTATATAGCTTTTTATAACTAAGAATTTTTTTTTCTAATTTCAAAGGAGCATATTGTTTTTTAAAAAATCTTGAATTCATATCACTTTAACTCCTGGACATGAGAGGTGAATGAGTGTTCCATTTTCTGCATTTCCAGGTTCTCTTTTAAGCAAAAAGTGACATAGGTAGGTATGAATTATTTTCATTTCTTTTCCATCCTAGATTGTTAGTGATATTTCACACCACAGTTAGAAGCAGAAGCCCAGAAGAGACTTCTGGATGCTACAAGTTGTGTTGGCACAACAGACCCAAACGACCCCAGTGTAATTCAGATCTTTGTAGGGTTATCTGCGGGCTGTCTCCAGCATGCATGGACCTCTCAGTCTGTTGTGATTCGGTCATGCTCTATTTAGACCAAAATGTAGAATTGAAAACATAGAAAAGGCCAGAAGCTTCTAGTGGGAATCACCACTAACAAAAAATGCTAGAGGACTGAACATGATTTTAACTTTCTGTTGAACAGCCATATGAAGAAGAGAGTGTCTTCCACCTTTATAGGAAAATAGCTTTCACTTTTACATTACTAACTGAGAGAGAAGCTGTAAGTCAACATATAAACCCCCAGACCAACACTGTCTAGTAGAAATAGAAGGTGAGTCACAGACATAATTTTAAATATTCTACCAGCTACTTTTTAAAAAAGTAAAAAGAAAATATTAAGATGAAAATAACTTAATATATTTTATTTTACTTAATATTTACAAAATATCATTTGAACATGTAACCAATATAAAAATGATTAACAAGATGTTTAGTATCCTTTTTTATCATATTAGATCTTCACATCTCAATTTGAATTGGCCACATTTCAGGTGCAATGTAGCCACATGTGGCTGCCATATTAGACAACATAACCCTGGACTATCAATCTTTCATCAGCATGTGAGTTCTCTAAGAGGGGATCTTCTGAAGGATGAATTTTTTCAAAGGCAGTTGACTGTTGTCATTTCTGTTGTGATTTTGGGGCTTGGCGCTGCCAGTCTGGCAGGTGGTGAGTGTCTAGAAGCAGAAGTGAGCATGGGGAAGCATACTTTCCACTGATGTTTATGAAGGGTGCCCTTGGGTTTGCCCAGACTGCAGAGGTTGAACCCTTCCAGAGTGGTTATTACTTGTCCAGTTGCTGCATTTACCAAGTGGAGCTGTCAGACACTGAAGTTTGCCTTGTTCTAGGCTCTGCTGTACTTTTGGACCACTGGATGGGACTTTAAGATGTCTTTACAGGATGTTCATCCCTCTTTGCTTGTGGCTGTCGCACTTCAGCTTGCCATTTAGCAGCTGCTTATGCCTCCTCGGTCAAAGATGCTGAGCCATTCTAGTCCCATTCCCAGCTCTCAGTGTTGATTGGTAAAGAGAGAGACGTCTCAAGGAGCAAGATGTGACATGACAAATTCTTAAGTTTCACAGGCAGAGAGTGTAGGTTGAACCACACAGCTCAGTTTTCAGTTTTTCACCTCAATCTGGAATATGCCAAATCAATATTATCTTATTGTCCTAGAAACTTATCTGTTTTCTTGGACATTTTAATTTTATTTCTGAATTTCAAGTGCAAAAATTTGTTAACCATGCTTCCTAGTTTATGGAACCATATCATTGGTCTGCACAGACTTCTTTCTTGACCAACTGGCTAGCTCATTTATATGTCATCTATCATCTATCTGTCTATCTATCTATCTATGTATCTATCTATCATCTATCTATCTATCTATCTATCTATCTATCTATCTATCTATCTATCTATCTCCATCATCTATCATTTCTTCCATCCATCCATCTTTCTACCTATCTCATTTGATCCTTGTTTCTCAATTTCTCACTACCATTTCCATTGTTCCTCCCACCATCATCATTTTAATCTCTTTGATGATATCCTTCTGTTTTCATGTGTTCTTGTAAAACATTTGATCATGTATTTTAACTTACACAATTATCATTATGCTGGATAGCTCATTCTATTTTTTGGCAGTTTTATAGCTTTGTTTGATGATCAGTAGCTAGTTCTCATTCACATTGACTTTCTGTACATTTTGAAAGTGGTAACAGTTATGTAGGTAACCAAAGTGCAGAGCTTATTTAGTGAATCTTCATCCTCATTAAGTTTTCTGGACAACCCAACGTGGATATGGTATGGGACATTCCTTATTCCTTTGGCCCAGGCAGCTTTGTTGAGCCTGGTATCAATGCACACATCTGGAGTTCCCCGTCTCTTTCATGGAAAATTTCCAGATCTCTTTGAGTGCCTAAGGGGCATACTTCTTGAAGTCCACTTCCTGTATGTACTTGTGAATGTTGGTGGTGTATTATTGGATCACCACCTCTTTGATGGCGGAACGGCCCTTCTCACCACGTTTCTTTGTGGGAGCCATTCTGCTTGGCCCATTTTGGAAAAGAAAGCTCTATTTTCTTTTATCATTCTGACCTATTGTTTCTAAGAGCTATCCATGTAGCAGTATGAACATCCAGTCCTTTGTTTCCAGTTGCTGAAGGATACTTTATAGTGGCATCTACCATGTTTTACCTATTCACAAGTGACAGACAACATGATCACCTCCCACTTCCCAGCAACACAAACACTGATAAATGTTATGGAGCATGTCTCCCAGTGTGTGAGAATATGTTTGAG
Organism: Homo sapiens; assembly: GCF_000001405.40. Lineage (NCBI taxonomy): Eukaryota > Metazoa > Chordata > Mammalia > Primates > Hominidae > Homo > Homo sapiens. The sequence continues at coordinate 65,155,149 of NC_000008.11, read as the reverse complement.
AATCATATCCAGGAACAGGATTACTGTGGCATAGGGAATATGACATAGTACTTAGTTAATAGGTAATTCAATGAATTCAATTAAATACTACCAGGTTGTTTCCAGAATGTCTGCAGCAGTCTAGATTTATTTTTTCTTTTTCTTTTCTTTCTTTTTTTTCTGAAACAGTGTCTCACTCCCCTTGTCCAGGCTGAACTGCAGTGGCACAATCTCAGCTCACTGCAACCTCAACCTCCCGGGCTCAGGTGATTCTCCCACCTCAGCCTCACGAGTAGCTGGGACTACTGGTGCATGCCACCTCACACAGATAATTTTTTGCATTTTTAGTAGAGATGGGGTTTCGCCACGTTGCCCAGGCTGGTCTCAAACTCCTGGATTCAAGTGATCTGCCTGCCTCAGCCTCCCAAAGTGCTGGGATTACAGGCATGAGGTACCACACCCAGCCTATTCTATGTTTATATCAACAGGCACATGAAGGTTTGTATATCTTCATACGCCCCCAAATGATGACATTATCCAGCTTTCCCATTTTAATCAACCTAATGAGTTTCTTGAACTTTATCTTACTGTTGTACTTAAGCACATGGTAAAAGCAGGGGCCAAACTAGGTGATAAAGCCAAGTTTTCTATTTCCTTTAAAAAAATTTTTGACTTCATGCTGATTGCTATAGTATGAGAGGAAATAAAGTCACTAGTGTCATACTTTAGAAGGACAACAGCCTAGAGAGGGAAATATACCAACACAAGCAAATACATTTGAACAGTTCCAGGAAGTCTGTTCTTGGTCTAGGTTGGCCTTGGGAACCTGGGAGACTTCTGAGGATCAATCAATTCTAGGGGAACCTCAATACTGATAAAATGTCTAAAACCAACTTGTGCTTTCTTACTTCTCCAGTGGATTCCTAGATAACTCAGGAAAGACTGTCTATGAGTACATTGATAGCATGAGTCAAAGAAAAACAGTAAAATGTTGAAACCTGATGGGCTCAAGGAAAGAACCTAAATAGTAAGCTGTCTATCGGGCACTGCAAGAGTGGTTGACATGAAACAACAGTGTGCAATGGGGCACTGTGGACTGGACCAATATCTAGGTCAGTGTAGATATTCAAGAGGGCCTAGTCTGGTGGCTGAGGCATGGTAGGACTCTCCTGATGATGGCTATTCCAAAAGCCATAGGATGACCATCTCTGGGGAATTTTTCTGTTTTGAAGGAAGACATAATTGTTGACTAAAGGCATAAAATAGAGTTCCACACCATCTAAGGCAGGACTGGCAAGAGCTAGGCAGGGCTTAAAGGCCCAGCCAATTGGACTAGATCTCAGAGAAGCTGGTTGCTAGAATTGAGGTCAGGCCTAGTTTTAAAATCTGAACAAAAGTGAACGGTCTTAGAGAAGATCTGGGACCCAAAGACCTTTAGAGGACTCAGAGCCCACCCCAGATCCCAGAGTGATGAACACAAAGATTTTACCAAACTACACATCACTGGCTGGTGGAGCTAAACCTAGTAATACAGATCCTCTCTTGGCCAAAGCAGCTGAGAGCCTGGATGTGGGTGCACCTACTGGTCTAAACTCCTATTGCCTAGAGTTGAGGGGCTGGAGAAGACAGAGACCGATTGAGATTCCCGAGACCCGGATCCACTGAGCTTCAACGCCCCATTGTCTGGATTCCCAATTTGGCTCTGAAAATCACTGCAAATATATTTCAAAATCTTAAGATTTTCCTGAAAGGTCCATTGTTTACTTCTGTTCCTTCTAATATTTTAAAACTTTCCTTTCTCTCACCAAGGACTCTCTAGGTTATATCAGCATGTTCCTGCATAGGTGGGTTTTTCTTAGAGTCAGCAGACACTTAAAAAGGCTCTCAAAAGGAAGAGGTGAACCTAAAACCAGGTGAACAAGCACCACTATAGTAAGAGGAGAGTGGGGCAACTGTTACTCCTATACATTGTCCTGACCAAGTACACTTTGGTAGTGACCTTTTGAATTTCATGGAATGAGCTGGATAGAGATCAAGTGACTTCACGTTGCTCTTTGGCCAGGCTTCAACCATGATTGTGTAAGCTGTTTTATGAACTCTACATGGAATGTACCAAGGGGATCTCTGCATCATTTTAAATAATAGCATCATTATGTCCATGCACTTAACAAACTTTCACAAACATTTGTTGCATGAATGGATAAGTAAATGAATGGCAGAAGAGAGGGATGTTGACTCATGCCATGTAAAGACAAGAGGGAGGCTGCTGTTTTGTAATGTGAGTAATAGTAATTATGAGAAGACAAGAGAACCAAGTCCAAAGACAACAAATTAGTAGATATGTATAATCAGAAAAAACAAAATTACAAATTACATAATTTATCCACATATTCTTTTAGATATTTATTCAGAATTAGGTTCATTGTAAAGTAATTTCAGAAGTGATCTTACACAGTTGGTAAACACTGCTCTGTGGGGTTTTACGAGAGTCTTTGTTCCTTGAACAAAGGCAAAACAAGGTCACTTCATGGTTTGTTACCAATATTGGGATTCCTCTCCACTTACTCGCCCCTCTGGAAGACAGCTTACTCATAGAGGTGGCTGGAAACTATTCTGTTTCTCTGATTGGTTCTGTAAAGCCTTATGAACGCCTGCAGGAAATCCTAACCCTCCCCTCCAGGCTTTGATCACTCTTAGTCCGGAAGCTGTAATGAGGCCTATAGTCCTCAGGGCCTGAGCATGGTCCTGCCCTTCAAACTCAGGCGCCAGCTGATCCCCAGCTGAGGATGCCGGGGAAAAGTTCACTGTCAAAGGTGAATGGGGTTAAAGATAATATGAGCCTAAACATCCACAGGGATAGCAGATCATGTAGCAAGTAATAATTACACAAGCCATTACCACTGTGTGGACAGGAAGAAAGAGCCAGAGATGAGAGACGTTTGCCAACCTGATTAAAAATAAAGGACCGAAAATACTAGATTGTGCCAAATGTGTGAACATTAGAGGAACACAATCAAGTTAGCACCGCTGAAAGCTTTACTCGCCGAGGATGGCACATTCTGGGGCCGGGGATGCAGTGGGCTGAGGGTGGGGCTTAGTCAGAAGCTCCTCACCCCTCCTTTTACCCCTATATGTTTGGGGGCACGCTGAGAAGTGCAGAACCTCCGTCCAGGCAGAAATAAAGTCAAGAAAGGGGTTTCTTCACGAGCTTTCCTCCATTGTCTGGTTACTGGGAATGCAGTTTCTTCAGGCTTCACTGGAAAAGTAACAAAAAAGTAGAGGCTACACCACAGCCCGAACAGCAAAGAGCAGGCTGGTCTGAGCTCTTCTCTGCTTCACTTCCCAGGCTGTGACTCTGCCTCCGGAGCTATGCTCAGGGCTGGGAGATTCCTCCTTTGCCTTGTTTCCTCGCATCCTGAGGAATTAAGGGATAATACCGACTTTCTGCTTTTAAAGATTGGTCAGTATTTTAATTAGTTCAGATCTCTCTGACTCAAGCCACATAAAGAAATAAAAAAGTAGTTGAGTGGCAAATTAATCTCTTCTCGTGGTTTTACCCTTATAACAGATATTAGTCAAGGTTTTTAGAAGAACGGGATGATTTTTGTAAACAATCAACACAAAAGGCATTTCAGGTAAACATATTCACAGACTATTTTGGGCTATAGATATTATAAACTGCTGTTTGGGATGATATATGTCCATATTTCAGCCAAAGTAGGTTGTCAAATGCCGAGCAAGCAAGCCAGTCAGTTTAAAAGGTTTTTTTTGTTTTGTTTTTTTTTAACTTTTTGTTTTTCTTGGACAGCAAACTAACCACCACCACTCTCCTCTACCCACCTCTTCACATTGCTTTAGCTCAGTGTCATTATTTAAATCTGATGCATAAATATAAATCAGCATCGAGGCACCTCAATTCATTTAACCTGGCCAAAGCCCTGCGTTGTTCTAAATGCAATAACACCATCTAAAGTGTAGCCTCTGCCTAAAATTTAAATGGGAGGATGTTCATTTTCTTGCTTATATAAATTCTGTAAAAATATTTAGCAATTTTTAGCTTTTGAGATAGTTTTCCAACTATAAAATAAATAATATCTGGTTTTCAACATTTTCAGCTCCAAAATGAAAGAGAAGCAAAGGCAGTATCCATTAATTTATAATTAAACTGGTTTGGAAAAGGGAAGCACATGCTAGCAGATTGGTCCTCGGTGACTGATATGCTCGCTGCCACAGAGCCGCCACCGGAGGATGATTTATTATTTTTCCTAATGTTTCTCATTCCTATTTCAGCCGAGAAGGTCAGCCACAAAAGACAGAATCTGGAAAAGAGATGAAAACAGTTTGACTTTGGTTCCAGCCTTTTTCTCTTTCCTTTCACTTAAATTTCAGTACTTACAACTTACCAGTCTTAAATTTGACACTCAGCAGACATAAACTGTATTCTTGAGAGGATTAAAGGATTATTCACTTGCTAGCTTAATCAGATTAATCAGAGATTTTGAACAAGATATCTAATGCCATTCACAAGATGAGATGTGTGATCACTGCCTGTAAGTTGAATTTGACTTGACCACACACGTACACACACACACTCACACGCACATATACACATACATTGATTTATACACATTATGATATTATTATTCATAATAATTATAATCATATAATCATGACCTACCTTCTAATGTACCTTATCTGGTGACAGAGAAAGAAAAGGCTATATGCATGTATGTTGGCTACTGTTAAGTTACATTTGAACTCTGTGTTCAGTATAGATAATTTGAATTTATGTTTAGAACTGCCTTTTTGTTGGCATACTATTCCAGAATCTCTGGAACTTTCAAAAAAATAATTACTTCTGCTTTTTACATTCATATGATGTAACCCCTGACATTTTAATATTACTAATTTAAATTATAATGCAAGAATAATAAATGTATTTTAAAAATGTATATTATTATTTCAAATTATTGCTTTTTCATTCTTATTAGAGGCTTAAGTCCTAGTCTACATTTATTTTAATAAGCTCTTTGTTTTTTTTTTCTGCAGAAACAGGAGGCAGCAAAGACCCTTTGTACTGCAGACATATTAAATCAGGATTGGGACCAACTGTCCCATTGTATGAACTCTTATTTTAAAGCAGTCTGAGTTAAGCAGATTTTGTTGGATTTACTTTTATTTGGGTCTTATGCTATTTGCAGGATAGACATTGTAATATTGAAAATATTCTCAAAGATAGGAAGAAGCAAAATTAAAGTGTGAGCCCTATTTGTCCACTCTATTAATCAGAATCATTTGATCCAGGAACTTCTGAGACCCTTGGGAGCAGAATTTAGATCTATCTTCATATTGGCCTTGTGGTTCAAAAGGCGATGGCTTAGATATTCTTGCTTTCCAGCTAGAGTCTAATTTATTTCTGGAAATTACACATTTATTATAAAATCTTAATTAATCTGTTTAATATAGTCATTAATGTTTGCCTGGTGATCATGCTGTCTTTAATATATAATACCAATACCTAATACTTGAACTTGTTTTGTGTTTTATATTTTTCAAGGTCCTTTCACAGATTTGATCCTTACAGCAATTACATGAAATTAAAAGGCATTTCAATTTGTATTTTGCAGATGAGGAAACAGATAGAGAGAGAATAAGTGCTTTACTCAAGGTTAAGTGGTAGGGTTAGGACCAACATCCAAATCTTTTAACTTTGAGTCCAGATTATGACACTCCTTTTCCTGTTGTACTTTGAGACATTTTCCCAGTAACAGTTGTGAGTTTGCATAGATCCAGCTACAATTACCCTGCATAAAAAATTGTGTGTGTCAAGAACAGAAAACCAAACACCGCATGTTCTCACTCATAAGTGGGAGTTGAACAATTAGAACACATGCTCACAGGGAGGGGAAGGTCACACAAGGGGCCTGTCGCGGGGTGGGGGGCTAGGGGAAGGTTAGCATTAGGAGAAATACCTAATGTAGGTGATGGGTTGATGGGTGCAGCAAACCACCATAGCACGTGTATACCTATGTAACAAACCTGCATGTTCTGCACATGTACTCCAGAACTTAAAGTATAATAAAACAAAATTTGTGTGTGTGTGTTAGAGAGAGACAGAGAGAGAGAGAGAGAGAGAGAAAGAGAGAGAGAGAGATGTGATATAGCTTAGTAAGTTTATAGGTATGGTTTACAGCAATTAAATAAAATAAACAATGGTTCCCACTGAAAACCAAAAATAGCAAACAAATGTGAACAATGAATTCTGGTCAGTTTTCTGGGCTTTGAAGCTTCAATATGATTTTATTGCTACACTAGAGCCAAAAGTTAGCAAAGGATGAAATCATGAGCTGCCATTTCACAGCCTTCGGTGCACTCTGAATGCTACCTCACTTTTATAGCACTTACAATTTGTCAGGCATGTTACCTACATTATCTCATCCATCTTGACAGCCATCTTATGAGGTAGGTTCCTTAGTCTCACTCTCATTTTTCAGGTAGAGAAACTGAAACAGAGAATTTAAGTAACAAGCACAAGTCACACAGCTACCCAGGGGTGGGTGGAGCCTAGAGCTGAAGGCAGGGCCTTTGTTCCCCATCACTACAGACCTGTCTTCCTGCCATCCAGCTTGCATTTAACACTCTGGTTGCCTTACAAAATATGCTTCCTATATTGAAACCTAATAATCTTAATGATTGCATTGTGTGTGCATTTGCAGCATTATCTTTTAACAGAAATGGTGACATTTGTTCTGATTTAATTTCATTTTCAGCATGCTTTAAGGACTTAGTATATGCCAGATAGACATGAGATGTTTTCCCATTTGCTGAAGTTAATCCTCAGTTGGGAGACTGGTATTGTTTTGCTCACTGGCAGATAGAGAATATGAGGCTGAAAGAAAGTAAGTAACCTACCCAAGTACAAGGCCAAGTAAAAAGGCTGGATTCAACCCCAGCCTGATTCCATGCCCTTTGGCTTTCTCTGCACCTTGACACCTCATGGAGGGTAGCTGTAGGGGAGGACTACACTGAGCTTCTTGTCCTAGCCTAACTAGAAGTGATGAAACCAGAACTGGAAATAAAGATGCTCAGCATTTCATATTTGCAGAATTATCTTCTCCCCACGTGGGGGCCTGGAAATTATTATGTATCTCAGCAAATTTCATTAACATGAAGTAATCAAACCCAGTTTCCCTTTTTTTCTCCCTGAACCTAAGTAATCTTTTTCATTTTATAAAGTCACATTTTTATTTTTAATGAAATGCACTATATTACATCTTATTATCTTTCATCTTTTTTGAGAGGGTGACTGTGTTTGGTGATTTGGTTTTCAATATGTATCCCTATAGATGTTTTTGTTCTAAGAGAACAGAGCAATGTGAAGTTGCAAAGGTCAGGATCTTCTGTTTAACTAGGTAGGGCTAATCCCATACTGATTCCTATCTGTGCTGCGTAGAAAAATGATATACAGTAGGGAGAATGCTGATATTTTAAAAATCTATGTGCTTAGGTGGAATTCATTATAGGCTAATGTTCAGGGACAAAGAGTTAATTTAGATAGGCATGACTATTTTTTCCTGTTTGTGTCTTTACATACCATTTGCAAAATATCTTAAGTACAGTTAGCACACAGCCTATCAAATATGTGCATCTCTTTCTCATCCCTACACATTCCCGGATGCCCCAAACCAAGGCAAAACAAAACAAAACACAAAACGAAAGAGCGAGTTTAAGAACAGGAGTTTACCATAAATCTCTCCTCTGAAAACACATTTGTGTTGGATTAAAGGAACACTAAATTTCTTCCTCCAAAAATATTTGGTAGTGACTTTCATTCCGTTAAGAGCGGTTGTTTTATTTCATAGAAAATGTTAACAAAGCAGTACTATTGTGGAAGTTGATGAGTTAAATGAGGTTTACTGAAAAAAAAAAATGAAGTCAGTCTGTTAAAAACATTATTAGCTTCTGTCAAAATATCTCCTGGAAAGGTCCCTAATGTGTACACAAAACATGTGGAATAACTTTTGGACTTGTGTTTAAGAAGTGTCTTGGCTCAGTAACCTTTTCAGGAAACATGGCTATGTGAGGTGCTTGTTCCTGTGTGTGTAGGTGCCTGTGTGTCTGTGTGTGTGTTCACAGTGGGATTTCTCATAGTTGTCTTTTTTAAATTTCTTTATTTTTAATTTTTTTTTTTAATAACGACTCTGTTGTAGCTTATCCTGCGTTTTCAACAAAGGGTGATACTTCTGAAGGCCTTTGAGAACTGGTGTGCAAGAGGTTATGGCTTGGTCATTTCATGGATTGAGAAATCCTATTCCATTTTAACCTAAACCATAAGGGATTGTGTGACTATCTTAGCAGGCTCCAGGATCGCTCAGATTTAGTGTCTGAGCAAAGATACTGGATTTAGGTAATTGCAACCATTGGTTAACGTGGCAGTTATTCTAAATGAATGACCCAAATAGGCGAGACTTCAAGGTTATGGGTCAGTAGAAACCTTTCCCTGGTTTCCACATACAGCTGCTCACTAGTGGGGGCTTTCCCACAAAGCCAGGGTGTGTGTGTGTGTGTGTGTGTGTGAGAGAGAGAGAGAGAGAGGCGAATTCTAAGCTTGGATGTATTGTTAATTTTGGAGATAGAGCCCTGGAGGCAGAGGAGGTGGGCCTCTTCGTGAGTCTGCATATGAGTCAGCTGGAGCTCTGGAAATGTCCTATATCTTGGTCTGGATGAAATATTTATATGTAAAAAACAAAATGTGTATTTAAAATGTATATGCTTTACTGTATATAAATTATACCTAAAAATCAAAAAGTTGAGAATTACTTTCTTTACAACGAATGTGTATTATTCTGGCAGTATTTATTTTTGCACATGTTACAGTTCCACTTCAGGTTCTTTTAGACCTCTTTATGAATCCCTGACAGCGAGAGGCAGTGGTGGTTTGGGAGAAAGCGCTCATTTTCACAAGCAGTCCCAGATCTGCTCAGTCCGTGCTCTGAGCCATGCGTGCTCGGCTCTCCTGCCTACTCCCAGCCCTCCCCATTATGTCTCTTGCCCAACAGAGAGTTTACTAAAAGGAATTTTTCAAAGTTCCACTGTACTGGGGGTTTCCATTCTCTTTCACAGTCCCCAGCATTTAAATCCCTCCCTGAGCCCTTATGCTTTGACACACAGGTGGTCCTGCTCCTGGGATTATTTCAGAAAAACAACACTGAATTTTAAAATTTGTAAAATGAACCGAAAAATCCTTAAGTGAAAAAGAATGAGGCCAATACAATGGAAGCCATAATCTCAATGACGAAAAATAGGATCACGTCGCTTTATTTCCAAGCAGCAGCCCCTCTTGATCTCTTAAAAAATCAACACATTAATGATGCATTTGCAAACAAACTTGTTTTTACCTAGTGCTGACAGTCAGGCAAGCAAGGGGTTAGAGAAAAGAAAGGAAGGCAAGGCCAGGGGATTGCTTTGCTGCACTGTCTTGGTTTCCCAGCCTCGGCTGATGGAATTATTGTTTATTTTTTTAATTTTCAGAGGTGGGCCGATGACAGCTGAAGAAGACTGTATTTGCTGAGGAGCAGCATGCTGGTCGAGAGGAGCAGAGCTCCTGAGGGAGACCTAATGGTTCCTCTCCTTCCTGCACGGAGATAAAGACTTATAATAAGCGTGTATGTTCACCATCTGGCTCTGCGCATGTGGTCCTTATGGAGGGGAGAGCAGCACAATCTGTAAATGATCAGGAGCCATGGCGCTCTCTCCAGAGAATCCACGATGCAATCAAGGTGACAGATGGCATGGCCACTGCTGTGGCCTCATGGAGAAGATCAAAATCACCTTCAATAAACTCTGACTGAAATGGGCATGAGCACCTCAAAAAAGTCAGTTTGTCAGTCAAACTGCGACAGCAAGCTGCATTGGGGAAACGCAGCGGCCAGCTCTCTGTTTTCAATCGTTTCCGTCTGACTGGGCCTGAACTATGATCTTTCTCAAATTGTCCTTTCTGTTTAGCTGAAGCAGGCCAGCAAATTGCCAGATTCATTGCTTTATTGAAGAAAATTGAAAACACGATGTCCTCAATTCCAGGGACGCACAGCTGGCAGGTGCTGGGACACCCAGGCGCAGAGAATGGACCCCGTGTCTTCAGCCCAAGTTTGCCCAACTTTAGGCAGATTTTTGGATACGAAAATAAAATGCAAATGTGTGCCTGATCTGAAAAGATCAGCTGGCAATGGTTATGTAAAGGGTATTAAGTGTCCAGTAAATGTTTGTAGAATAAATAAGTGGTTGAAAAGAGGAAGAAGGAAGGAAGAAAGGGGGCAAGGAAGGAAGAAGGAAGGACAGGAACTCCTAGTGTCATTGATACTATGTATTTTAACAGCAGGCTGCTGCCTTGATGATGGAACTGATATTTGTTTCCATTTCTATGCATATGGGTTCTGTGGACTTGAAGCCTTGGCCATAAGGTTGATGAAATACCAATATATTATATTGTCCTTGTTAAATTACGTAGAATTGTCAGGGATCAGCAAGTTTAGACAAATTTTTATTTTTGCCTTTCCCTCATCAAACTGAAAAAATTTCAAAAGCTCCAACTGCTCATAAATCTAGAGAGAAATGAGTAAAAGTTACTTACAGTAGGAGAAAAAATTATACTACTGTCTCTTGAGAGGTAAGGGTTCTGATTTCAGGTCAAAGATAATGGATCTTAATGAAATAAACCTCTCCCCCTCCTCTTCCCTCCTCCTCCCTTGGCAGAGTTCCACTGTTGTTCTTCCTCCCGAGCTCCATGAAATGTGGATGGAATGCAAAAGTCGACTTTCTCAACCTTGTGTTCCCCCACGTACCCAATATCTGCTATGTGATACCGATGTTTTATTTACAAGTTTGTGAGGGGACCTCGAAATTCCAAATTCCCATTGATTTTCCTGTGTGAAACAGTAATCTGGTGTTGCCTACTTGCTTCATTTAAAATCCAAATCCTACTCCTGCCTTGTCCCCATCCTCCACATTGTGAATTATTTGTTTGACAGTTGAGAAATATTTTATTGTTGGGTCCTGGATTCTCATCAAGTCTTCACTCTTCTCCTAGGTGCAATCTGAATGCTAATGTTTTGGTCTAGAGATTTACAAACCTAACTAAAGGGGCTTCATCCTTAATACGTGTACCCCAAGCAAGAACAACCATGAAAAAGGGCTCCCATTTTGAGTGACAGGAATGGCTAGCATTTGTACAGGGACCGCTTTTCACAGGTCATAGAAGTATAGTAGACTTATTCCACATCACAATGAAGTGTGGCCTTCCAGGAACAGAAGATGAAATTCATTCAGGAGGAAATACCCATTGAGCGCTGAATACTGACTATGTGCAGGCTCTCAGAGCTGAGGAATGAGCCTTCATGAAGGGAATGGAGGTATAAAGGCCATTGTTACAGGCACTGTGCTCTGCCTGCTCCCTCGTCCCTCAGTGCGGCTCGCTGGTGGGCAGCACTGGATCCCTATCAATACTCAGCTCTTGTGTGACACCAGGGCCCAGCATGGGCTGGTGGGAGCATGCTGCCTGTCACACAGGAGACGCTGTGTGCATTCTTTGTCTTGACCTTTGGCTCTCTGGAATGACAGGCTCAGTAATAGACATGTTCATCAATGCCGCCACCAGGAGGGGTGGCAGGACGGGGAGTTTCTGTCTTTTCAGCAGCAGTTCTTGCCCTTCAACTCCCGTCACTGCAAGGAGTGCAGTGCTTCTGAAAGGCAAATGGATCTAACCCTTTTCTTAAGGAAGAAGATCGTATGGGGAGAATCGGCGGGGTCCAGATGGTCAAGGTAGTGTACCCTGGAACATGAATGTTCTGAGACACACATCTAGCATGAAATTTAGTCATCAGAGCTTGGCTTAAATTCAGATAATTATGTTCTAGCCCTCTGTGGCATGAACTGTCGCCTGATTGTATGCAAGTTACATAACCATAATATTATTCCTCTCCTTTATGTCCTCCCGTTCCTACATAGTAAATTGCTTAGAGAAAGTTTCTCAAGGGAATTTAAAAATGTTTATGTCTGTCAGCAGAGCTCTTCCTTTATAATGCTACATATATGCATTTGCTCTATGTATTATCTATCCATCTACCTATCTATCAATCATCTATCTATTATCTATTATCTATCATCTATCTATCCATTATCTATCATCTATCATCTATCTTCTATCTATTATCTATCTGTCATCTATCTATTACCAATCAATCAATCAATCAATCATCTATCACCTATCTCTTCTTGGGGGAGTGACAGTTGGTCACTTGGGAGAGGATGTGAAGATATGTAGGTCTTCAGGTTACACCAGCTCTTGGAACTCACAAAGAAGAAATCATGAGAGAATGCCTTTCAGTCAAAATAAGGAAAGCAGTTGCAAAATGAACTAAATAATTTTGAATTGTAAATTTTTTAAAAGATAGATACAATACTGAAGAGGTTACATGAAATGTAAACACACACACAAAGACATGCAATTTACTGAACTCAGATCTCAAAAGCATGCCAATGGCCTGGATGGCCTTGCTATAAACAATAATAAATGAATGTTAATTTCCCAAGCCCTCTGTCCACCAGGCTTTTTCAGCTTCTCTTCAAGAGGACTATGCTGTCCTATGTCAAATGAGGGAAAGGATGGTTCATTACACAATTGCATCACTACTGGTAAAGTAGCTCAGACATAGCTCTATTGATTTTGGAACAGAGAAATGGAATACCGTTTTACCTGTGCCATATAAGCATACACCAGTTTTAAATTGGGTATTTGGAGGCCACTACATTTTTTCTTAAAACCTCTCAGTGTCTGCATTTTGTCTGTCCATGCACATCCAAATAGAAACCTGAGAGCCAGTGAGGATGCCTCTGGCACATCAAGTACTTCCCAAGCTGCTGGTGTGTTTCAGTTCAGCTTTCAGGACTTTTTATAACCAGATTTGTGACTTAAAACATTCCACAGCAAAATATTTCACTTATGCTATGATATCTTGCTTATAAAGATAAATATCAATATTTTTTCTACTGATTACTGGATGCTTTGTTCTATTGATTACTAGATGCTATTTTTTTTTTTTTTTTTGAGATGGAATCTTGCTCCGTCACCCAGGCTGGAGTGCAGTGGTGCGATCTCGGCTCACTGCAAACTCTGCCTCCCAGGTTCAAGCAATTCTCTTCCTCAGCCTCCCAAGTAGCTGGGATTAAAGGTGCCCGCCACCACATCTGCCTAATTTTTGTGTTTTTAGTAGAGAGAAGGTTTCAGCATCTTGGCCAGGCTGGTCTTGAACTCCTGACCTCATGAACCACCCAGGGTGGCAGGGAGCGAATAGTTTCTGACCACCATTCAATTCTTGCACCTTCCCTAAAGAATGAGTTGTTGATTTGATTTCAATAAATCCTCTTTGGTGAAAAATCCACTATAACAAATTTCTTCTTTGGCTATAAAATTATTTACCCTCCATAAAAATGCTATTTCTGGGGCATTTTGAGCTGGTTGTAGGGCATCATTCTTTTCTTGGGGTTCTTATAGTCAGTTATAAGCTGCTTTCATTTTTTCTTCATGATGACAGTAAAAAAATTCTTGAGGTAGTTTTTTGTAGGCTTCTGTAAAAACTTTAAAACAGTGTTGTCCAAGAGACATATAATACAAGCTACGAATGTGAGCTACATGTGTAATTTTTTATTTTCTACGAGCCAGATTTTTTAAAAGCAGGAAGAAGCAAATGAAATTAATTTTGATGATAGATTTCATTTAACCCAATGGATATACAAAATGTGTGGTGTATACATACAGCCCTAAAATAACAGTGCAATTTTGGTATATGCTACAACATGGATGAACCTTGAAAGCACTAGGTTGAATGAAATAAGCCAGATCCCAAACTTACAGTAGTCAGATCCATAGACTCAGAAAGCAGAATGGTGGTTGCTAGGTACTGGGAGGAGGAAGAACAGGGAGTTAGTGTTTAATGGGTATGAAGTTTTACTTTGGGAAGATGAGAAGGTTCTGGAGATGGTTGGTGGTGATGGTTACAGCACAATGTGAATATACTTAATGTCACTGAGCTGTACACCTAAAAATGGTGACAATGGTGTACTCTATGTTATGTATTTTAACACACACACACACACATACACACACACACACACACACACACACACAGGATCAGATCATATCATTCCTTTCCTTGGAAACTTCCAGTGGTTTCCCATCACACCCTGAAAAACACCCAAACATCCTTTCCATGATCTTTGCATTCCTGGGACTGGGCACCTGACTCCTCCAGTGCCTTTTCTGCTGATATCCCCGTTCTCACTCTGTTCCAGCGGAACCTTCCATAACCAAGCTTTTCCTGGCTTAGGGCTTTACCCTTACTGATTTCTCTGCTCAAAATTATCTTGCTCCAGGCATTTAGGGGGTTGGTCCCTTGAGGATTCTAATGAAGTGCTGTCTCCTTAGAGACCTATATGGGACACTCCCACATCCCACCTGATGGCGCCACATGGGACACTCCTGCCAGGCTAACACCTCCCATCGCTTGCTGCCTCCTCACCCTGCTTTCTTTTTCTCCATAATACTTATTACTAGCTGAAATTTTAATAAAAATGTGTTTTATTCTGTCTCCCCATTACAATATAAGCTCCATGATGGCAGATAATTTGTTCTTTTTGTTCATTACCCAGCATCTAGAACAGTATCCAGTATAAATGGAATGTTCAATAAATATTTAACAACCAGGGCAGACAAGCACTTCGACACCTCCTGGAAGGTTTTTATCAGTTCTTAACTCCTACTGAGGAATGAAGAGAATCAATGTAAGAACCATTTTGTGGCCATATAATTTAGTGGTTAAAAGCATGGGTTATAATTTGTGTTTAGGTCTGGCCTTTGCTGCTTACAAGTCATGTGACCTTCTATAACTTACTCAACCCGTGTCAGCATCAGTTTCTTTATATATAAATTAGGGGCAATTCTAGTACCTTTCAACCTTGTGCAGTTGGTGAGGATTAACTGAAAGAATGCATGTAAAGTGCTTAGCACAGTGCCTGGCATATAGTAAAGTCTAAATAAAGCTAGGATAAATTAAAATTTGCAATTGTTACATGTAACAGGCAAATTTCTGCTGTGTCAATAAAGATAGGGCAAGTATTTGTTGATAGGTTTATCTGTTGTAGAGTGGTCATTGTAGACACACTGACATGGAGAACAGGAGAACATGAAGTAAAACTTTTTTTTAACTTTTTTATTTTATTTTTCCATAAGTTATTGGAGTACAGGTTGTATTTGGTTACATGAGTAAGTTCTTAGGTGGTGATTTGTGAGATTTTGGTGCATCCATCACCCACATATACACTGTACCATATTTGTAGTCTTTTATCTCTCGCCCCCCTCCCACTCTTTCCCCCAAGTCCCCAAAGACCATTATATCATTCTTATGCCTTTGCATCCTCATAGCTTAGCTCCCATATATCAGTGAGAACACACAATGTTTGTTTTTCCATTCCTGAGTTACCGCACTTAGAGTAATAGTCTCCAATTTCATCTAGGTCACCGCAAATGCTGTTAATTCATTCCTTTTTTTTGAGACAGAGTCTCGCTTCGTTGCCCAGGCTGGAGTGCAGTGGTGCCATCTTGACTCACTGCAAACTCCGCCTCCCAGGTTCAAGCGATTTTCCTGCCTCAGCATCCTGAGTAGCTGGGACTACAGGCACGTGCCACCATGCCCAGCTAATTTTTTGTATTTATAGTGGAGACAGGGTTTCACCGTGTTAGCCAGGATGGTCTCGATCTCCTGACCTGGGTGATCGACCCTCCTCAGCCTCCCAAAATGCGGGGTTACAGGCATGAGCCACCACACCTGGCCAGTTCATTCCTTTTTATGGCTGCATAGTATTCCATCATGTGTATATATCACGGTTTCTTTACCCACTCATTGATTGATGGGCATTTGGGTTGGTTCCATGATTTTGCAATTGTGAATTGTGCCACTATAAACATGTGTGCCCAGGTATCTTTTTTGAATAATAACTTCTTTTCCTCTGAGTAGATACCCAGTAGTGGGATTGCTGGATCAAATGGTAGATCTACTTTTAGTTCTTTAAGGAATCTCCACACTGTTTTCCATAGCGGCTGTACTAGTTTACATTCCCACCAGCAGTGTAGAAGTATTCCCTGTTCACCACATCCATGTCAACATCTGTTTTCTGATTTTTTGATTATGGCCATTCTTGCAGGAGTAAGGTGGTATCACATTGTGGTTTTGATTTGCATTTCCTTGATCATTAGTGATGTTGAGCATTTTTTCATAAGTTTGTTAGCCATTTGTATATCTTCTTTTGAGAATTGTCTATTCATGTCTTTAGCACACTTTTTGATGTGATTGTTTTTTTTTTTTCTTATTGATTTGTTTGAGTTCGTTGTGGATTCTGGATATTAGTCGTTTGTCAGATGTATAGACTGTGAAGATTTTCTTCCACTCTGTGGGTTGTTTACTCTGCTGACTGTTCCTTTTGCCGTGCAAAAACTCTTTAGTTTAATTAGGTTGCAACTATTTATCTTTATTTTTACTGCATTTGCTTTTGGGTTCTTGGTCATAAAATCCTTGCCTGAACCAATGTCTAGAAGAGTTTTTCCATTGTTATCTTCTAAAATTTTTATCGTTTCAGGTCCTGGGTTTAAGTCCTTAATCCATCTTGAGTTGATTTTTGTATAAGCTGAGAGATGAGGATCCAGTTTTATTCTCCTACATGTGGCTAGCCAATTATTCCAGCACCATTTGTTGAAAAGGGTGTTCTTTTCCCACTTTATGTTGTTGTTTGCTTTGTCTAAGATCAGTTGGCTGTAAGTATTTGGGTTTATTTCTGGGTTCTCTATTCTGTCCCATTGGTCTATGTGCCTATTTTTATACCAGTACCATGCTGTTTTGGTGACTATGGCCTTATGGAGTAGTTTGAAATCAGGTAGTGTGATGCCTCCAGACATGTTCTTTTTTGCTTGGTCTTGCTTTGGCTATGCAGGCTCTTTTTTAGTTCCATATGAATTTTAGAATTGTTTTTTCTAATTTTGTGAAGAATGATGGTGATATTCTGATGGAGATTGTGTTGAATTTGTAGATTGCTTTTGGCAGTATGGTCATTTTCACAATATCGATTCTACCCATCCATGAGCAAGGGATGTGTTTCCATTTGTTTGTGTCGTCTGTGATTTCTTTTAGCAGTGTTTTGTAGTTTCCCTTGTACAGGTCTTTCAACTCCTTTGTTAGGCATATTCCTAAGTATTTTATATCTTTTGTAAAAGGAGTTGAATTCTTGATTTGATTCTCTTCTTGGTTGCTGTTGGTATAATAGAATAGCTGTTGATTTGTGTATCTTAATCTTGTATCTGGACGCTTTGCTGAATTGTTTTATCAGTTCTAGGAGCTTTCTGGAGGAGTCCTTAGGGTTTTCAAGGTAAACGATCATATCATAAGCAAACAGTGACAGTTTGACTTCCTCTTTACCGATTTGGATGCCCTTTATTTCTTTCTCTTGTCTGATTGGTCTGGCTAGGACTTCCAGTACTATGTTGAAGAGGAGTGGTGAGAGTGGGCATCCTTGTATTGTTCCAGTTCTCACAGAGAATGCTTTCATCTTTTCCCCATTCAGTATTATGTTGGCTGTGGGTTTGTCATAGATGGCTTTTATTACACTAAGGTATGTCCCTTGTATGCTGATTTTGCTGAGAGTTTTAATCAAAAAGCGATGCTGGATTTTGTCAAATGATTTTGCTGCATCTATTAAGATGATCATGTGATTTTTGTTTTTAATTCTGTTGATGCGATGTATTACATTTATTGACTTGTATATGTTAAACCATCCTTGCATCCTGGTATGAAACCCACTTTACCATGGTAGATTATCTTTTTGATATGTTGTTGGATTCAGTTAGCTAGTATTTTTGTTAAGGATTTTAGCATCTATCTTCATCATGGATATCATCTGTAGTTTTCTTTTTTGTTTATGTCCTTTCCTGGTTGTGGTATTAGGGTGATACTGGCTTCATAGAATTAATTGGTGGGGGGTTGGGGTTCCTTATTTCTCTATCTTGTGGAATAGTGTCAATAAGATTGGTACCAACTCCTTTTTGAATGTCTGGTAGAATTCTACTGTGAATCTGTCTGGTCCTGGAATTTTTTTTTGTTGGCAATTTTTAAATTGCTATTTCAATCTTGCTGCTTGTTATTGGTCTGCTCAGAGTATCCAATTCTTCCTGATTGAAGCTAGGAGGGTTGTATTTTTCCAGGAATGTATCCATCTCTTCTAGGTTTTCTAGTTTATGTGCTTAAAGGTATTCATTATAGTCTTGAATGATCTTTTGTATTTAGTGGTGTCAGTTGTAATATCTCCTGTTTCATTTCTTAGTGAGGTTATTTGCATTTTTTCTCTTCTTTTCTTGGTTAATATTGCTAATGGCCCATCAATTTTATTTATCTTTTCAAAGACCCAGCTTTTTGTTTCATTTATCTTTTGTATTTTTTGTTTGTTTGTTTCAATTTCATTTAGTTCTGCTGTGATATTGGTTATTTCCTCTCTTCTGCTGGGTTTGGATTTGTTTTTTTCTTGTTTCTCCAGTTCCTTGAGGTGTGACCTTAGACTGCCTGTGCTCTTTCAGACTTTCTGATGTAGGTGTTTAGGGCTATGAACTTTCCTCTTAGCACCACCTTTGCTGTATCCCAGAAATTTTGATAGGTTGTGTCATTATTGTCATTCAGTTCAAAGAACTTTTAAATTTCCATTTTGATTTTGTTTTTGGCCCAAAGCTCATTCAGAAGCAGGTTATTTCCATGTATTTGAATGGTTTTGAAGATTCTTTTTGGATTTGGTTTCCAGTTTTATTCCACTGTGGTCTGAGAGAGTGCTTGATATAATTTCAGTTTTCTTAAGTTTATTGAGGCTTATTTTATGGACTATCATATGGTCTATCCTGAAGAAATTCCATGCGCTGTAGAATAGAATGTGTATTCTGTGGTTGCTGGATGAAATGTTCTGTATATATCTGTTAAGTCCATTTGTTCCAAGGTGTAGTTTAAATCCATTGTTTCTTTGTTGACTTTCTGTCTTGATGACCTGTCTAATACTGTCAGTGGAGTATTAAGTCCCCCACTATTATTGTGTTGCTGTCTATCTCATTTCTTAGGTCTATTAGTAATTGTTTTATAAATTTGGAAGCTCCAGTATTAAGTGCGTGTATGTTTAGGATTGTGATATTTTCCTGTTGGACAAGGCCTTTTACCATTATATACTGTCCCTCTTTGTCTCTTTTAACCACTGTTACCTTAAAGTTCCTTTTGTCTGATATAAGAAAAGCTACCTCTGCTCACCTTTGGTGTCCATTTGCATGAAATGCCTTTTTCCACCCCTTTTACTTTAAGTTTGTGAGTCCTTATGTGTTAGGTGAGTCTCCTGAAGGCAGCAGATAGTTGTTTGGTGAGTTCTTATCCATTCTGCGGTTCTGTATCTTTTAAGTGGAGCATTTAGGCCATTTAAATTCAGTGTTAGTATTAAAGTGTGAGGTACCATTGCTTTCATCATGCTCTTTGTTGCCTGTGTACTTTGTTTTTGTTTTGCTTTTTAACTTGTATTTTTGTTTTATAGGTCCTGTGTGATTTATGCTTTAAAGAGGTTCTGTTTTGATGTGTTTTCAGAATTTATCTCAAGATTTAGAGCTCCTTTTAGCAGTTCTTGTAGTAGTGGTTTGGTAATGGTGAATTACCTCAGCATTTGTTTGTCTGAAAATGACTGTATCTTTCATTCATATGTGATGCTTACTTTCACTGGATACAAAATTCTTGGCTAATAATTGTTTTACTTGAAGAGGTTGAAGATAGGGCCCCAATCTCTTCTAGCTTGTAGGGTTTCTGCTGAGAAATCTGCTGTTAATCTGATAGGTTTTCCTTTAGAGGTTACCTGGTGCTTCTGTCTCACAGCTCTTAAGATTCTTTCCTTCATCTTAATTTTGGATAATCTGATGACAATGTGTCTAGGTGAAGATCTTTGTGTGATGAATTTCCCAGGTGTTCTTTGTGCTTCTTGTATTTGGCTGTCTAGGTCTCTCACAAGACCAGGGAAGTTTTCCTTGATTATATCCCAAAATATATATTCCAGGCTTTTAGAATTCTCTTCTTCCTCAGGTACACTGATTTTTCTTAGGTTTGGTCATTTGACATAATCCCAGACTTCTTGGAGGCTTTGTTCATATTTTCTCATTCTTTTTCTTTTTCTTTGTTGGATTGGGTTAATTTGAAGACCTTGTCTTCGAGCTCTGAATTTCTTTCTTCTACTTGTCCAATTCTATTGCTAAGGCTTTCCAGAGCATTTTGCATTTCTAAAAGTGTATCCAAAGTATTCTGAATTTTTATTGTTTTTCCTTTAAGCTATCTATTTCCATGAATATTTCTCTCTTCACTTCTTGTATCATTTTTGGGTTTCCTTGCATTGGGTTTCACCTTTCTCTGGTCCCTCCCTGATTAGCTTAATAACTAACCTCCTGAATTCTTTTTCAGGTAAATCAGGATTTCTTCTTGGTTTGGATCCATTGCTGGTGAACTAGTGTAGTTTTTAAGGGGTGTTGAAGAGCCTTGTTTTGTCATATTACCATGGTTGGTTTTCTGTTTCCTTCTCATTTGGGTAGGCTCTGTCTAGGGCTGAAGGCTGTTGTTCAGATTCTTTTGTCCATGGGGTGTTCCCTTGATGTAGTGCTCCCACCCTTTTCCAGTGGATGTGGCTTCCTGTGAGCCAAACTGCAGTAATTGTTGTCTCTCTTTTGGGTCTAGCCACCCAGTGAATCTACCCAGCTCTGGGCTGGTACTGGGGGTTTCTGCACAGAGTGCTGTGATGTGGACCCTCTATGGGTCTCTTAGCCGGAGATTATCCGGCTACCTGTTTCAGTGGAGGTGGCAGAGGGTGCAGTGGACTCCATGAGGGTTCTCAGCTTTGGTGGTTTAATGCTCTATTTTTGTGCTGGTTGGCCTCCTGCCAGGAGTGGTGCTTTCCAAAAAGCATCAGTTAGTAGTGTGGAGAGGGATCAGCAGTGGGCAGGGCCCTAGAACTCCCAAGATTATATGACCTTTGTCTTCCATCAGGGTGGGTAGGGAAGGACCATCAGGTGGGGTGGGGCTAGGTGGGTCTGAGCTCAGGCTCTCCTTTGGTGGGTCTCGCTGCAGCTGCTGTGGGGGATGGCAGTGAGATTCCCAGGCCACAGGAGTTGTGTACCTAGGAGGATTATGGCTGCCTGTGCTGAGACATGCAGGTTGTCAGGGAAGTGGGGGAAAGCCAGCAGTCACAGGCCTCATCCAGCTCCCACGCAAACTGAACAGTTGGTCTTGCTTCCACCGAGCTTCCCCAATAGCCTCTAGTCCATTTCCAGGCAGAGGGTGAGACAGGCTTGAAAATTTGCCCAAGGCTATCCACCTCCCAGCTGCAAGAGAAAAGGGCTTTAGTTCTTCCCCCGCCCATGAAGTCTGCATGCCCTATTTGCCCCCTCCCCCAGTTCTGGCCAAGAGGCTTCTCGCCCTGTTCAAACTGTTACAAAGTTCAGCTAGAGAATTCCTTCTTCCTGTGGAGTTTTACCCTCTGGTCCTCTGGCCACCCTCCTGATGGATCCCTGTGATGCCAAGCAGGTGTTAGATATGAGTTCTAAATTTCTTTTCAAAGAATTAATATGTCAGTATGTTCAATTCTTTGCCTTCTACTTTTAAACTTAACTTCCTTGTAAAGCAATCTTTTTCGATTACCTACTCCACCCTAACTCATTCTGATCACCTGCTCCACCCTAACTCATTCCAATTACCTGCTATCTGCTCTGCCCTGACTCCCGCCAAAGCACTCACCCTGTCATTTTCTTTAAATTAGCCAATCAGAATTAGTTTAGCCGGTGCGGTTTAACCCTAGCCAATAGGGGAAGGACACAGCAGCAGGGGCCATGTGCATCAGGGATAAGAACCCCTTCCCCACCCTTGTCCAAGTGTGTGGTCACCATTGCTCCATCTGTAAGGGCACACCCTTCTATAGAAGTAACTTGCCTTGCTGAGAATTAAAAAGAAAATTTTATATTCAAGTGCTATTTCTTTTGCGGCACCAAAACTTTATATATAACAATTTTCGGGCTCATCCGTGATTACATTCCCCTCTGGGGATGGTCTCTGGTTCTCTCTTGTGAGGAGGCGCGCCCCGCCCCCTTGTGGCGGCCTCAGGGGTGAGAAATCAAGACCCACCCAGTGCAAGGAATAACCCAAGCTTTCAGCAACGTGGGTGAAAAAAAACCAAACTGGCCAGCAATCTAGCTTAAAGGATCCTCACATCCTGCGGCAATGACTCTGTGCACAGATCAAGGAAGGAGAAACTGCGGGAGCTGGTAAAGTATTTCCTTGGTTGTTGGGACCAAGGTAAGGAAGCCATGGGGGGCGGGGGTGGGCAGTGAAG
This sequence comes from Homo sapiens, assembly GCF_000001405.40. NCBI lineage: Eukaryota > Metazoa > Chordata > Mammalia > Primates > Hominidae > Homo > Homo sapiens. The sequence goes on along the minus strand of NC_000008.11, from coordinate 65,132,691 downwards.
TACTCTTTGGTTGGGGTGGCTTAGAGGTTAAAAAGAGGTGAGATGTCCCCGTTGCGGGGGATTGACCCTCACACAAACCTCCAGTAGTAGAAAAGGCAAGAAATTTCCAGTGGGGGAAATTGAGCTTCACCCTAAAAGGCAAGAAATTTCCAGTGGGGAAATTGAGCCTCACTCCAAAAGGCAAGAAATTTCCAGTGGGGAAATTGAGCCTCACCCCAAAAGGTAAGAAATTTCCAGTGGGGGAAATTGAGCCTCACCCCAAAAGGCAAGAAATTTCCAGTGGGGAAATTGAGCCTCACCCCAAAAGGTGAGAAATTTCCAGTAAGAGAAATTGAACCTCGAACCTTACCCCAAAACCATCAAGATGGGAAATACCCCAAGCAAGACAAGGAACAAGGGGGATAAAGATGGTAGCAAAGATATCCCCCCAGATAGCCCCCTAGGTCTCATGCTAAAACACTGGAAAGATAATGAAAGGACTAAACACAGGAAAAAGCAACAAATGATAAAATATTGCTGTTTTATTTGGACTCAGGGACCCATCCTCAAACTTTCAATCTTCTGGCCAAAGTTTGGGTCAAATGAGGACGTAATGCATCAGCTTCTAATCTGATATGTTAATAAAAGTCCAGTGTCTCAAGAAGAACTAGGCTATACCCTTTGTTGGAGGCAAGGACCTGCCCTCCTTTTTCCCTTAAAAACATAGGGAGGAACCCAATCTGGCACCTCAAAATGAAAAGTCAGAGGAGCTAGCTCTCATGCCTAAAGACTCCAGTGAATGGGATCCCCTAGACTGTCTTCCCCCATTCAGTGTCCCCAATCTTTCCCCTCAGACAGCCACTGCTGCCTCAGATCCCGTTCCAAATTCCCCCTGACTGACGTTATCCCTCCTCCTTATAACCCTGACTCTTGGGAATTACCATCCCACCAGCCTGTTCCCTCCCAACCTAAAGACCTCTCTCTAAAAGGACCCCCCCTCCATCTGGAGGACCAAGGTCCTCATCTACCAGGACCCCTAAAGAGTATGGGGGAGCAGGGTTAAAGAATCCCAGAACTAAGAGAGAGGAAGGACATGAGAGGTGCTATAGATGTGGAAGAACAGGCCACTTCAAGAGAGGATGTCTTGAACTAAGAAAGGAGAAAGGAGCCCTTCTACTCATGACTTTCAAGGAAGAAGAGGGGGGTCAGGGACTCTGTCTTTTATCTTGAGTCTCACCAGGAGACCCTGATGAATTTGGAGGTGGGACCTAAACATGAGATTATCACCTTTTTAGTTGATTCAGGGGCTGCGTGCTCCTCTGTTTGTTTCCCCTCGTCTAATGTCTCCTCCTCAGAGGAACTTTTAGTCTTCAGGGTAAAAGGGGAAGGAGATGGGGGAGAACAGCAGCATAAGCGGCTGGCAGAGGCAGGGCAAGACCAGTGGAGAGGAAAGAGAAAGAGAGAGAGAGAGAGGAAGAGACAGAGACAAAGAGGGAGTCAAAGAAAGAGAGAAAGAGAGAGACAGAAAGTCAGAGAGAGAGAGAAGTAGTAAAGAGAAGACAATGTACCCTATTCCTTTAAAAGCCAGGGTAAATTTAAAACCTATAATTGATAATTGAAGGTCTTCTTCGTGACACTATAACACTCCAACACCACCTTGTTGTCAGTGTAAACGAGGGCATAGCCCGAAAGAGCTGAGGCCACTGACAACCCATAGCCTTCCTATCAAAAGCCTTAACCCAGTGACCCACGGATGGCCCAAATTCATTCAATCTGTAGCAGCAACTGCTTTGCTAGCAAAAGAAAGTAGAAAAATAACTTTGAGAGGAAACCTCATTGTGAGAACACCTCACCAATTCAGAACTATCCTAAGTCCAAAAAAAAAAAAAAAAAAGAAAAGAAAAGCAAAAAGGTGGCTTACTAACTCAAAAATCTTAAAATATGGGGCTATTCTGTTAGAAAAAGATGATTTAACATTAACCACTGATAATTCCCTTAACTCAGCAGGTTTTCTAACAGGAGATCTAAATCTTAACCAGTTACCATACAGAGGTCCGACCAGACCTAGGAGGAACTCCCTTCAGGACAGGACAATAGATGGTTCCTCCCAGGTGATTGAGGAAAAAAGACACAATGAGTATTCAGTAATTGATAAGGAAACTCTTGTAAAAGCCGAGTTGGGAAAATTGCCTAACAATTGGTCTGCTCAAACGTGTGAGCTCTTTGCACTCAGCCAAGCCTTAAAGTACTTACAGAACCAGGAAGGAACCATCTATACCAATTCTAAGTTAATTTGGACTAAACAAGGTCTTATTAATAGCAAAGGATAATCAAAATCCCAAACTTACAAGGTTTTCAACAAAAGTAAAGTTTGCTAAAAGTTAACAGTGCAACGTGTATTATCCTAACTTCTAATCTTGTGGCCTTAGACAGTCTAGTCCACAGACATGAAGAAAGTTTGCTTTGGAAAAGAATGGTTATCATCTGTGAGAAAAAAAAAAAGTCGGGGGGAGAATATATGTAAAAAGGAATGTTATATGGTAAATTCTTGTCCTAAAATAAATTAACTGGTTGTTTTGAAAAAAGGGATGTTTACAATAAGTCAAAAAGTTGAGGTGTGTCGAAGAACTGTCTGTGAAAGTCATGAAAAAAAGTATGTTATAAAAAGGAATTTATGCAAGAAATGTTGTATAATTTGAAAGTACTTAGGCCTCCTGAATGTAAAACTGTTGAAGAAACAGTTTATGTGCAAGGTATATAAGGAAAGTAAAATATACTTTTGGTAAAAGAATTATAAGGAGGCATAAGAATGTAGATTTTTACCTACATTAGAAGGTTAAAATATTTTGTTTTGAAGTTTTAAGGAAGTTTTTTTTTTTTTTTTTTTGAGATGGAGTCTCGCTCTGTCACCCAGGCTGGAGTGCAGTGGTGTGATCGCCACTCACTGCAAACTCCGCCTCCTGGGTTCACGCCATCCTCCTGCCTCAGCCTCCTGAGTAGCTGGGACTACAAGCGCCCGCCACCACGTCCGGCTAATTTTTTTGTATTTTTAATAGAGACAGGGTTTCACCGTGTTAGCCAGGATGGTCTCGATCTCCCAACTCATGATCCACCAGCCTCGGCCCCCCAAAGTGCTGGGATTACAGGCATGAGCCACGACGCCCGGCTGGTTTAAGCAAGTTTTAAAACATTAATTGTAAAGGAAATTCTGTGTGTAAACATATTTGCTAAAGTTAAAAGTGTATCATCCAGTTTTTCCATGAACTGGACATTAAAATAAAAGCACAACGGGTTTTTCTTAAAGCACTAACCTGCTCTTTAACAAAAATTATAAAAGGTTAAAAAGAGTCTATAAAAAAATCTTACCTTATAGTCAGATGTTAAAATTGGATAAATATGTCTATAAGGTTGTATTACAATTGAGTTTTACATTAATAACACACTAATATAAAGGTGAAATTTAGCTTATCTGGTATAAAATCATACAGGAAGCACTGTCAAATACAAAATGGTGTTTGGCTTTCTTTGGTCTAAAAACTAATAAAAATAGGTTCTAAAGGAAATTTCTCAGTAAGAAGGCACCAAGGACTATAAAGTCCACTGCTGATGTCTCCACATTTAAAACAAAATATCAATTTCTTAGAAATTATATACGTGTTTTATCTTCCACTTTCCTTTCCCTCAAAACTAAAAGTCTTTTAGCACAGGTACCACCCCTAGAATTTCTGGCAAACCAGCACCAGCCTGAGGATCACGTTCTCATCAAAGGGTGGAAAGAAGGAAAACTCGAGCCAGCCTGGGAAGGACTGTACCTTGTGCTGCTAGCCACTGAGACTACTGTTCCTACAGCAGAAAGGGGATGGACTCATCACACCCGAGTCAAGAAAGCACCGCCCCCTCCAGAGTCGTGGGCCACAGTCCCAGGGGAAAACCCTACCAAACTAAAGCTAAGAAAAATTTAACTCTCTTTCATCTATTCTATTATTCTTTCTTCTTTCCTCACTCTATTGCTGAACATCTAGTTATTAGCATAACCAAGTCAATTTCACCTCAAACGATTGCATTTAATGCTTGCCTTGTTATACCCTGTGGGGACTTGCCAAGTCAAAGACAGATTTCTGCTTCAGAAAAGTACCTGTGTCCCTCCTGACTGTCTTCAGATTGGACATTAGTGAATTGGGACCATTTAATCCAGGGAGATTCCGATAAAGACCCCAGTGTCAGTCAGGAGAGTTGTTCCCTGATGTAGAGCTTTTATGCCATAGTTGGTCCAACGTTCTGTGGACCACTAAAGAGTAAGAATGGACTGCCCCGACTGGTTTTTGTAATTTCCTAAAACCATACATTCATTTTACTAGAGGGACAGCCCTCCCCTCTAACTGTCAGCTAAACCAGTGTAATTCTATACAGGTTATTATCTCAAACCCTCAAAGTTCTTCCCCTTTCTAAGCTGATTTCCTTTTTTAAGCCAGTTTTATGGTATGGGGTCTGAAGTTTCAGGGATAAACCCTATTAGATTCTTTGAAATGCGTTTCTTTGATCCCCCACTGCCTGCACCTTCCTCTAAGCCTTCTTCCAAAACCTCTCACAATGGAACAATTGCTCCTTCTCCATTTAACGACAAGACCAAGACAGCTATCATAAAAGTTAAAGACTTAAAACAAACTTTGGCAATTAAGACAGGATACCAAGATGCAAATACCTGGTTGGAAAGGATCAAAGATTCTGTCTGCATGTTAAACAAAAGCAATTGTTATGCTTGTGCACATGGCAGGCCAGAGGCCCAGATTGTCTCCTTTGCACTAGGGTGGTCCTCCAGTCGATTGGGCATGGGCTGCATGATAGCTCTTTTCCAGGATTCTACAGCCTGGAGTAATAATTCATGCCAAGCTCTCTCTCTGCTATATCCTGAAGTCTGACACCCTGCGGGTCAGCCCCTGAGGGCCATCCAGCTTCCATCTCCCAACACTAAGTTCACTTTGTGTCTCTTGTGACAGGGAGAAAACTTAATGTTCCTTGGAGAGCTGAAGGGATGCAGTGAGCTTAAGAATTTTGAAGAGCTTATCAATTAGTCAGCCCTTGTTCATCCCTGAGTGGATGTGTGGTGGTATTGTGGTGGACCTTTACTGGACACTCTGCCAAATAACCAGAGTGGCACTTGTGCTTTAGTCCAATTGGCTATCCTTTTCACCCTGGCATTTCATCAACCAGAGGAAGGAAAAATAAGACATTGTAAAGCAAGAGAATCCCCTTATGGGTCTTTCGACTCTCACGTCTATGTAGACACAATAAGAGTTCCACGGGGAACACCAGATCAATTTAAAGCCCAAAATCAAATAGCTGCAGGATTTGAGTCAATATTTTGGTGGGTGACAATGAATAAAAATGTAGATTGGATAAACTACATCTATTACAACCAACAGCGATTTATTAACTACATTAGCGATGCTGTTAAAGGAATAGCTGAACAATTAGGGGCTACTAGCCAGATGGCTTAGGAAAATAGGATAGCCTTAGACAATATATTAGCAGAAAGAGGAGGAGTTTGCATCATGATTAAAACTCAATGTTGCACCTCCATCCCAAACAACACCGCCCCTAATGGAGGTATAACAAAGGCATTGCAAGGTCTGACTGCTCTATCCAATGGGTTAGCCAGCAACTAAATGACCCCTTTACAAGATGGCTAGAAAAGTAGTTTGGTAAGTGGAAAGGAATAATAGCCACAATTCTGACTTCCCTTGCAGCCGTAATAGTTGTACTTATTTTTGTCGGGTGCTGTGTCATACCATGCATCCATAAGTTGATGCAGAGGCTCATAAAAACGGCACTTACTAAAACCTCCCTTACCTATCCTCCACCTTATCCAGAGAAGCTTCTTCTTTTGAAAAATCAAGCAAAACAACTAAGCCAAGACATGTTAAAAAAAAGTTTGAAAAGAAAGCTGTAAGTCAATACAAGGGGAGGGGTTGTTAGATATGAGTTCTAAATTTCTTTTCCAATAATTAATATGTCAGTATGTTCAATTATTTGCCTTCTACTTTTATTTTTTTTCTTTTTTTTTTATTATACTTTATGTTTTAGGGTACATGTGCATATTGTGCAGGTTAGATACATATGTATACATGTGCCATGCTGGTGCGCTGCACCCACTAACTCGTCATCTAGCATTAGGTATATCTCCCAATGCTATCCCTCCCCCCTCCCCCCACCCCACCACAGTCCCCAGAGTGTGATATTCCCCTTCCTGTGTCCATGTGATCTCATTGTTCAATTCCCACCTATGAGTGAGAATATGCGGTGTTTGGTTTTTTGTTCTTGCGATAGTTTACTGAGAATGATGATTTCCAATTTCATCCATGTCTCTACAAAGGACATGAACTCATCATTTTTTATGGCTGCATAGTATTCCATGGTGTATATGTGCCACATTTTCTTAATCCAGTCTATCATTGTTGGACATTTGGGTTGGTTCCAAGTCTTTGCTATTGTGAATAATGCTGCAATAAACATACGTGTGCATGTGTCTTTATAGCAGCATGATTTGTAGTCCTTTGGGTATATACCCAGTAATGGGATGGCTGGGTCAAATGGTATTTCTAATTCTAGATCCCTGAGGAATCGCCACACTGACTTCCACAATGGTAGAACTAGTTTACAGTCCCACCAACAGTGTAAAAGTGTTCCTATTTCTCCACATCCTCTCCAGCACCTGTTGTTTCCTGACTTTTTGATGATTGCCATTCTAACTGGTGTGAGATGGTATCTCATTGTGGTTTTGATTTGCATTTCTCTGATGGCCAGTGATGATGAGCATTTTTTCATGTGTTTTTTGGCTGCATAAATGTCTTCTTTTGAGAAGTGTCTGCTCATGTCCTTTGCCCACTTTTTGATGGGGTTGTTTGTTTTTTTCTTGTAAATTTGTTTGAGTTCATTGTAGATTCTGGATATTAGCCCTTTGTTAGATGAGTAGGTTGCGAAAACTTTCTCCCATTTTGTAGGTTGCCTGTTCACTCTGATGGTAGTTTCTTTTGCTGTGCAGAAGCTCTTTAGTTTAATTAGATCCCATTTGTCAATTTTGTCTTTTGTTGCCATTGCTTTTGGTGTTTTGGACATGAAGTCCTTGCCCATGCCTATGTCCTGAATGGTAATGCCTAGGTTTTCTTCTAGGGTTTTTATGGTTTTAGGTCTAACGTTTAAGTCTTTAATCCATCTTGAATTGATTTTTGTATAAGGTGTAAGGAAGGGATCCAGTTTCAGCTTTCTACATATGGCTAGCCAGTTTTCCCAGCACCATTTATTAAATAGGGAATCCTTTCCCCATTGCTTGTTTTTCTCAGGTTTGTCAGAGATCAGATAGTTGTAGATATGCAGCGTTATTTCTGAGGGCTCTGTTCTGTTCCATTGATCTATATCTCTGTTTTGGTACCAGTACCATGCTGTTTTGGTTACTGTAGCCTTGTAGTATAGTTTGAAGTCAGGTAGTGTGATGCCTCCAGCTTTGTTCTTTTGGCTTAGGATTGCCTTGGCGATCTGGGCTCTTTTTTGGTTCCATATGAACTTTAAAGTAATTTTTTCCAATTCTGTGAAGAAAGTCATTGGTAGCTTGATGGGGATGGCATTGAATCTGTAAATTACCTTGGGCAGTATGGCCATTTTCACGATATTGATTCTTTCTACCCATGAGCATGGAATGTTCTTCCATTTGTTTGTATCCTCTTTTATTACCTTGAGCAGTGGTTTGTAGTTCTCCTTGAAGAGGTCCTTCACATCCCTTGTAAGTTGGATTCCTAGGTATTTTATTGTCTTTGAAGCAATTGTGAATGGGAGTTCACTCATGATTTGGCTTTCTGTTTGTCTGTTATTGGTGTATAAGAATGCTTGTGATTTTTGTACATTGATTTTGTATCCTGAGACTTTGCTGAAGTTGCTTATCAGCTTAAGGAGATTTTGGGCTGAGACAATGGGGTTTTCTAGATATACAATGATGTCATCTGCAAACAGGGACAATTTGACTTCCTCTTTTCCTAATTGAATACCCTTTATTTCCTTCTCCTGCCTAATTGCCCTGGCCAGAACTTCCAACACTATGTTGAATAGGAGTGGTGAGAGAGGGCATCCCTGTCTTGTGCCAGTTTTCAAAGGGAATGCTTCCAGTTTTTGCCCATTCAATATGATATTGGCTGTGGGTTTGTCATAGATAGCTCTTATTATTTTGAGATACATCCCATCAATACCTAATTTACTGAGAGTTTTTAGCATGAAGGGTTGTTGAATTTTGTCAAAGGCTTTTTCTGCATCTATTGAGATAATCATGTGGTTTTTGTCTTTGGCTCTGTTTATATGCTGGATTACATTTATTGATTTGTGTATATTGAACCAGCCTTGCATCCCAGGGATGAAGCCCACTTGATCATGGTGGATAAGCTTTTTGATGTGCTGCTGGATTCGTTTTGCCAGCATTTTATTGAGGATTTGTGCATCAATGTTCATCAAGGATATTGGTCTAAAATTCTCTTTTTTGGTTGTGTCTCTGCCCGGCTTTGGTATCAGAATGATGCTGGCCTCATAAAATGAGTTAGGGAGGATTCCCTCTTTTTCTATTGATTGGAATAGTTTCAGAAGGAATGGTACCAGTTCCTCCTTGTACCTCTGGCAGAATTCAGCTGTGAATCCATCTGGTCCTGGACTCTTTTTGGTTGGTAAACTATTGATTATTGCCACAATTTCAGCTCCTGTTATTGGTCTATTCAGAGATTCAATTTCTTCCTGGTTTAGTCTTGGGAGAGTGTATGTGTCGAGGAATTTATCCATTTCTTCTAGATTTTCTAGTTTATTTGCGTAGAGGTGTTTGTAGTATTCTCTGATGGTAGTTTGTATTTCTGTGGGATCGGTGGTGATATCCCCTTTATCATTTTTTATTGTGTCTATTTGATTCTTCTCTCTTTTTTCTTTATTAGTCTTGCTAGCAGTCTATCAATTTTGTTGATCCTTTCAAAAAACCAGCTCCTGGATTCATTAATTTTTTGAAGGGTTTTTTGTGTCTCTATTTCCTTCAGTTCTGCTCTGATTTTAGTTATTTCTTGCCTTCTGCTAGCTTTTGAATGTGTTTGCTCTTGCTTTTCTAGTTCTTTTAATTGTGATGTTACGGTGTCAATTTTGGATCTTTCCCGCTTTCTCTTGTGGGCATTTAATGCTATAAATTTCCCTCTACACACTGCTTTGAATGCGTCCCAGAGATTCTGGTATGTTGTGTCTTTGTTCTTGTTGGTTTCAAAGAACATCTTTATTTCTGCCTTCCTTTCATTATGTATCCAGTAGTCATTCAGGAGCAGGTTGTTCAGTTTCCATGTAGTTGAGCAGTTTTGAGTGAGATTCATAATCCTGAGTTCTAGTTTGATTGCACTGTGGTCTGAGAGATAGTTTGTTATAATCTCTGTTCTTTTACATTTGCTGAGGAGTGCTTTACTTCCAAGTATGTGGTCAATTTTGGAATAGGTGTGGTGTGGTGCTGAAAAAAATGTATATTCTGTTGATTTGGGGTGGAGAGTTCTGTAGATGTCGGTTAGGTCCGCTTGGTGCAGAGCTGAGTTCAATTCCTGGGTATCCTTGTTGACTTTCTGTCTCGTTGATCTGTCTAATGTTGACAGTGGGGTGTTAAAGTCTCCCATTATTAATGTGTGGGAGTCTAAGTCTCTTTGTAGGTCACTCAGGACTTGCTTTATGAATCTGGGTGCTCCTGTATTGGGTGCATATATATTTAGGATAGTTAGCTCTTCTTGCTGAATTGATCCCTTTACCATTATGTAATGGTCTTCTTTGTCTCTTTTGATCTTTGTTGGTTTAAAGTCTGTTTTATCAGAGACTAGGATTGCAACCCCTGCCTTTTTTTGTTTTCCATTTGCTTGGTAGATCTTCCTCCATCCTTTTATTTTGAGCCTATGTGTGTCTCTGCACGTGAGATGGGTCTCCTGAATATAGCACACTGATGGGTCTTGACTCTTTATCCAATTTGCCAGTCTGTGTCTTTTAATTGGAGCATTTAGTCCATTTACATTTAAAGTTAATATTATTATGTGTGAATTTGATCCTGTCATTATGATGTTAGCTGGTGATTTTGCTCGTTAGTTGATACAGTTTCTTCCTAGTCTCGATGGTGTTTACATTTTGGCATGATTTTGCAGCGGCTGGTACTGGTTGTTCCTTTCCATGTTTAGCGCTTCCTTCCTTTAGGGTAGGCCTGGTGGTGACAAAATCTCTCAGCATTTGCTTGTCTGTAAAGTATTTTATTTCTCCTTCACTTATGAAGCTTAGTTTGGCTGGATATGAAATTCTGGGTTGAAAATTCTTTTCTTTAAGAATTTTGAATATTGGCCCCCACTCTCTTCTGGCTTGTAGAGTTTCTGCCGGGAGATCTGCTGTTAGTCTGATGGGCTTCCCTTTGTGGGTAACCCGACCTTTCTCTCTGGCCGCCCTTAACATTTTTTCCTTCATTTCAACTTTGGTGAATCTGACAATTATGTGTCTTGGAGTTGCTCTTCTCAAGGAGTATCTTTGTGGCGTTCTCTGTATTTCCTGAATCTGAACGTTGGCCTGCCTTGCTAGATTGGGGAAGTTCTCCTGGATAATATCCTGCAGAGTGTTTTCCAACTTGGTTCCATTCTCCCCATCACTTTCAGGTACACCAATCAGACGTAGATTTGGTCTTTTCACATAGTCCCATATTTCTTGGAGGCTTTGCTCATTTCTTTTTATTCTTTTTTCTCTAAACTTCCCTTCTCGCTTCATTTCATTCATTTCATCTTCCATTGCTGATACCCTTTCTTCCAGTTGATCGCATTGGCTCCTGAGGCTTCTGCATTCTTCACGTAGTTCTCGAGCCTTGGTTTTCAGCTCCATCAGCTCCTTTAAGCACTTCTCTGTATTGGTTATTCTAGTTATACATTCTTCTAAATTTTTTTCAAAGTTTTCAACTTCTTTGCCTTTGGTTTGAATGTCCTCCCGTAGCTCAGAGTAATTTGATCATCTGAAGCCTTCTTCTCTCAGCTCGTCAATGTCATTCTCCATCCAGCTTTGTTCCGTTGCTGGTGAGGAACTGTGTTCCTTTGGAGGAGGAGAGGCGCTCTGCGTTTTAGAGTTTCCAGTTTTTCTGTTCTGTTTTTTCCCCATCTTTGTGGTTTTATCTACTTTTGGTCTTTGATGATTGTGATGTACAGAAGGGTTTTTGGTGTGGATGTCCTTTCTGTTTGTTAGTTTTCCTTCTAACAGACAGGACCCTCAGCTGCAGGTCTGTTGGAATACCCTGCCATGTGAGATGTCAGTGTGCCCCTGCTGGGGGGTGCCTCCCAGTTAGGCTGCTTGGGGGTCAGGGGTCAGGGACCCACTTGAGGAGGCAGTCTGCCCGTTCTCAGATCTCCAGCTGCGAGCTGGGAGAACCACTGCTCTCTTCAAAGCTGTCAGACAGGGACATTTAAGTCTGTAGAGGGTACTTCTGTCTTTTTGTTTGTCTGTGCCCTGCCCCCAGAGGTGGAGCCTACAGAGGCAGGCAGGCCTCCTTGAGCCATGGTGGGCTCCACCCAGTTCCAGCTTCCCGGCTGCTTTGTTTACCTAAGCAAGCCTGGGCAATGGCGAGCGCCCCTCCCCCAGCCTGGCTGCCGCCTTGCAGTTTGATCTCAGACTGCTGTGCTAGCAATCAGCGAGACTCCGTGGGCGTAGGACCCTTGGAGCCATGTGCGGGATATAATCTCCTGGTGCGCCGTTTTTTAAGCCGGTCTGAAAAGCGCAATATTCGGGTGGGAGTGACCCGATTTTCCAGGTGCGTCCGTCACCCCTTTCTTTGACTTGGAAAGGGAACTCCCTGACCCTTGTGCTTCCCAAGTGAGGCAATGCCTCACCCTGCTTCGGCTCGTGCACGGTGTGTGCACCCACTGACCTGCGCCCACTGTCTGGCACTCCCTAGTGAGATGAACCCGGTACCTCAGATGGAAATGCAGAAATCACCCATCTTCTGCGTCGCTCACGCTGGGAGCTGTATACTGGAGCTGTTCCTATTCGGCCATCTTGGCTCCTCCCTGCCTTCTACTTTTAAACTTCCTTGTAAGAAAACCTTTTTCGATTACCAATTGCATCCTGACTCATTCCAGTTACCTATTCCACCCTGACTCATTCTGATCACCTGCTCCACCCTAACTCATTCTGGTTACCTGCTACCTGCTGTGCCCTGACTCCTGCCAAGCACTCACCCCAATCATTCTCTTTAAATTAGCCAATCAGAATTAGTTTAGCCGGTGCGGTCTAACCCTAGCCAATAGGGGAAGGACACAGCAGCAGGGGCCATGTGGGTCAGGGATAAGAACCCCTTCTCCTCCCTTGTCCAAGTGTGTGCTCACCATTGCTCCATCTGTAAGGGCGCACCCTTCTATAGAAGTAACATGCCTTGCTGAGAATTAAAAAGAAAATTTTATATTCAAGTGCTATTTCTTTTGTGGCACCAAAACTTTATACATAATGCAGGAATGGGCTGCTTGGGGATCCAGCGAGCTCCCAGGGCTTTTCTGCTGCTTCCTCTACCCCTATATTTCACTCAGCTCGACTAACTGAGCTCCAGGTAAATTTGGGAACTTATCCTGCAAACAGACCTTCAATTTCTCTAGTGGAGGTGTGCGTTCAGGAGAGGAGGGTCTCCTTTTCCCACTTCTGCAGTTGGGGCACTCACAGTATTTGGGGTGTCTCCTGGGTCTTGCAAGAGCAGTCTGCTTCCTTCAGAGGGTGTGTGGGTCCTCTTTTGCTGGTTTGTTCTTGCTGTCAATCTGGAGCTCAAATTCACAATGCAAGCCTCCGTATGCTGCTGTGTCCAGAGCTGCAAGCTAGTCCTGCCTCCTGTCTGCCATGATCACCTCAAAACTGTCTTAAAAACAAGCATGTGGATGAAAAGAAAGCTTTCTCTAGAACAGACTATTTCCATGTAGCTGCCTCTTCACAGTGGTCATATTCTGTTGATCCAGCTACAGGGCATTTTTCAGACTCTTTGCAGGGCACTCAACTATTGGCAGAGGAGAACTGAGGTGTATCAGAGATTTTCACAATTCAACATGTTCCTGCAACCAACACCTACAAAGAGATAATCCGTTGTTTCAGAAAACTAGATAGACACAACTTGTACTCAAAAAGAACTATTCAATACATGTCATTATTAACTGGGGTCTCCAGGCTGCTTATTGGATTTCTAGAAATTACTCACCTTATAACTGTAAGTTAGTATGCTTTGACCAACATTTCCCCATGTTTTCCACTCCATTAGCCCCTGGTATACTTGAAATTTGCTAAGAAAATAAATCTTGAGTGTTCTCATTATTCTCATTACAACAAAAAAAGGTAACTATGTCAGATAATGGATAGGTTAATGAGCTTGATTGTGGGAATCATTACACAAGGCATATTTACATCAAAATGCAACATTGTGCACCTCAAATATATACAATTTTCTGTCAATTATGCTTCAATAAATACATGGGGAAAATACAATAAAATAAAGTATTAAGAAAAAAGAGCTATTTATGTGGGTTTATTAGCATCTGATCCACCTCTGTGACCCTCCTTCATTCTTACCTTCAGCCAACAGGTAGCACAGAGCTCCCAGATCTGGGTCAGTGTGGAAGTGGTCAAACAAGTTTTACCTCTAAACGTGACCAAAAGTTCCTGTTTTTATTGAGATAAAGTTTGGAATCAACAGGATGTGGTTGAGTTATATATTTTTCTTTTTCTTACAAAAACTTAGAAGCAAAGCTTAGAAATGTTTAAAGAGTAATCACTTTGTCTATTAATATGTGCATGGTGAATGCAGTTGTTTCTTCGTGTCCAGAGTCTGGAGAGGCCTTCAGAGGCCTTGGCCATGCCTCTTTCTCTGCTTTCTCTCATTGCCTAGCATTTAGCAGTTTCCTCTAGAGTTGGCCTGCAACCAGGGCACAATAGAAAAACTCAAACCAGTTCAAATTAATTAACAGATTTAAGGAAAAAGGTGAAGATATACCTAAAATTAAGTAAGTTTTATTTCTAGGATCTATTTGAATCCTAGAACCTAGTGTGGTTTTGTAAAATCACCAGACCAAAATGAAGAAAATGTACCTCCAAACCCTTTTGTAGCCAATTCTCTAGCCAAGTAATTGTTCTGTGGGTATAGTTTCCCTCTGTGTTAATAATATTACCTCACCAGCTCTATAAGAAGTGTTAGCTATACTTTTATTATCCTATAAGCTTTTATCACCTTATAAGTTAATTAGGAATTAAACACCCTGGAATGCAAGTTTGGAATTCTCTTCCCATTTTGACATGGTTTCCATCTTGAAAGGGGGGATAAGTTATTTAACTTAAAGTATTACTATTCCACCACACTAGTGGAGGAATAAATTTGCATGTGGGTGGTATTTGGGCACAATTTTATATTACATATTATTTTGACAACTCAGGTCTTAAATAATTTGTTACTAGTAAAACACACAAAGGATTTGAAACTCTCTGAAAAATGTGAAGGAACAGTTGAGGCTAAATTTGATAAATAAAGTGAGATCTGTGTTTTGACTATTTTATTGATATTTCACATTTGTCTCTCTTACATTCAACAATTACAAAAAATGTTGTGATTCAGACTGTATTTTGCAGATGACTAAAGAGTTTCAAGATACAATTTCAATTTTATTTATACGATTGCTATGTTGAGGCAAAACTGTAGTCAGTATTTTATCAAAATAGTATAATATCCACAATTGTTAACAGATTTCATTATCAGAAGATATACTGGGTCAGCAGAAGACATAGGAAGGGTGTTTATGGAGACCCCGGATATATAAATGAATTAATTATAAAAAATTAGTTATTATATAAATAAAAGCCTAATGTTGTTGGGGTAAAGAATATGAACATTTAGGGCTTTTTGTTCTTTGTTTTTGAGATGGAGTTTCGCTCTTGTTGCCCAGGCTGGAGTGCAATGGTGTGATCTCAGCTCACCGCAATCTCCACCTCCCAGGTTCAAGCGATTCTCCTGTCTCAGCCTCCTGAGTAGCTGGGATTACAGGCATGCACCACCATGCCTGGCTAATATTGTATTTTTAGTAGAGTCGGGGTTTCTCTATGTTGGTCAGGCTGGTCTCGAACTCCCGACCTCACGTAATCAGCCCACTTCGGCCTCCCAAAGTGCTGGGATTACAGGCATGAGCCACAGCTTCCAGCCTTATTTTTGGTTTTAATCTCAGTTGATCACTGGATTTTATATTGAACTATAGAGTAACAGAATAATCAAATTTTTGGATTTCCTGAAGAAATTATTATCATTTTTGGTCTTGTGAAAGGAAAGGTAACTGTCTTGTCTGTTTTGCGAATAAAGAGAAAAATGAGAATATGCACAGACATGGAAAAGGAGGCCATCCAGTTCAGAATTCAACATTCCAGTCTCTGTTTTCAGAAAGGACTTTCCCGTTTGGTGTGCCCTGCTCAACAGACTCAGAGCCTTAGAGAAGGAACTGAAGGTATCCTGTTCTCCAAATGCTTTCCATGTGTGGGTGGTGGCTTTGTGTGCCCATCTCTAGGTGTACCTTAAAATTCATAAAATGCTGCTAGAAAACAAACAAACAAACCTGCTCTTCTTTTAAACATATAGGTCTGTGTCATACTCAACTTTTCTGAATAGACTATAACTGCAAGCAATTTCCTCAGTTTCTTCCAGTGGCCAATGCAGGGGACCATTGACTTATGTGTGCCTTAGCCAGTGTGGTAGAGAAGAAATACCTCTCTGTACAAGGAAAGGTATTTTTTTAGCAGACGATCCTTTCATGTGCAGCATAAGAAGAACAAATACAATATTTTTCCCAACCTTCATTCTCTCCACTGCCAATCCATTTCCTCTTTCAAATGTATTAAATACTGTTAGAAACAATTTCATTTTACAAGATTTTGCTTTTTTTCAGTATGATTCTTAGGATTTGGAGGAATGGATGCCTGAAGACGGTAAGGCATTTAGATTTTCTCTTCCAGACATAATTAGCTTCATATATAGGAAGATGATACAAAGAAGAAAGGCCTGAATAATATGTGATAAGATATTTCCATTGAGTTGGAGAAAACATAAACCTTTCTAGGTGATAGAAATCTTCAGATAGTTATTGGTCTTTGGTTAGCTCCTGACTGATCAAAGTCATTTCAAAATGTTTCTCTACTACTTAACTTTATTAGATTGAGAACTATGCCTAGAAAGAATGCAACCTATTAAGAGAAAAATGAAAAAAAAAGTAGATATGGCATTAACACATTCAGAGCTGATAGAGTATGTTGCAAATTTTATGTTCTTACAAGTTCCCTTTGTCTTGCAATATGATGGATATTAGTTGGGAAATGCAAAAGTGAAGCATCTTGAAGACACATTATTATTCCTATTTTAATTGTTCAACTTATTTTAGATTATTAGACTTCAAAGTGCATATCTGAGCTACATGTACAATGAGTCTTACTTTATTATAAAGGGACCAGAATTTTTTTGGATTCAGAGAATATTTAAATGTAGAATACTGGGGTTAAATAATACAATGAGTTTTGGCATTAAGTAAAGAAACCTAAAGAATCAAAAGGCTAAATTTACATATACACATTCTTTCTTCCTATCCCAAGTTTGTAACATCAAAAATATAATTTTCTTTCTTTTTCTGCTTCTTATCAAAGGAGGAGAGGGCAAGGGAATGGAACAGGGGCTCAAGAAGATAGAGATGAGAACTGATTTTGGTTAAGGACAGAGACCAAGAACAAGGATTCCAAGTTGTAGTCTGGGCTCTAAAATTGGACGGTGATCTTTCATGAATTGTTCCTCTTCTAATCTATCGAGACAGCCGAGTAGAGAGGAAAGGATGAGAAGCTTCAGAAATATACCTTGATATGGTTTGGCTCTGTGTTCCTACCCAAATCTCATCTCGAATTGTAATCCCCATATGTGGAAGGAGGGAGGTGATTGGATCACGGGGGCTGCTTCCCCCATGCTGTTCTCGTAATAGTGAGTTCTCATGAGATCTGATGGTTTTATAAGCATCTGGCATTTCCCCTGCTTGCACTTCTCTTTCCTGCTGCCTTGTGAACAAGGTGCCTACTTCCCCTTCCACCATGATTGTAAATTTCTGGAGGCCTCCCTAGCCATGCTTCCTGTTAAGGCTGCAGAACGGTGGGTCAATTAAATCTTTATAAATCACCCAGTCTTCAGTATTTCTTCTTCTTTTTTTTGAGATGGAGTCTTGCTCTGTCACCCAGGCTGGAGTGCAGTGACTGATCTCAGCTCACTGCAACCCCCACCTCCCAGGTTCAAGCAATTCTCCTGCCTCAGCCTCCTAAGTAGCTGAGACTACAGGTGTGTGCCACCACGCCTGGCCTTTTGTATTTTTAGTACAGGCAGGGTTTTGCCATGTTGGCCAGGTGGGTCTCGATCTCCTGGCCTCAAGCAATCCGCTCGCCTAGGCCTTCCAAAATGCTAGGATTACAGGCAAGAGCCACCACACCTGGCTGGGTATTTCTTTATAGCAGTGTAAAAATGAACTAATACACACCTAGATTGAAATCCTCATTTCAGCTCTTACTTTCCATGTGACCTTGGGACAGGACTTAATCTTTTTGAGCCTTCATTTTAAATACGTGGATAACAATAGCTACCCTCCGAGGTGGTTGTGAGAATCCAAAGAGATTCCATTGGCAAAACACCTAATACACTGTTTGGTACCATGTATATACTTAATAAGTAGAGCAAATTATTATCTTCAAAGGAAGCTGTTAGGCCAAGTCCCTTTGGGCTGTAGTACTCTGGGATTCAGGAACTGATTGACAGGTATATAAATTTTGGTTCAGGAACAGGTAGTTTGCTAAGAGCCCACCCGAACCCACCACCATCTCATATGTGGCAGCCACATTGTGGCACAGACATTGACTCAGGTTAGTTTTGTGCCTAGCATGGAAGTAGGACACCTCAAAACTGCTCAAACACTTGGTTGCCTGAGCCACATTTTAATCATTCACCATGACTGAGTGACCTATTTTTTTTCCAAGGCTGCTATAAAATCAGAGATGGAAGCTAATACCGAATCAAAGCACTGTGGTTCTGTCATACATATTTTTTGGTATCCATCCAACCTTATTTTAAATATCTCTAGGGATGGGCTTTCATCACTTTTCTTGGAAGATGTTCCTTGTATAAAAATTTTCACTGTCAGAAAGTTTTCTCTCCCATTCAGGGTAAATTTTTCTTTCCTTCTTTATACTTGTCTAGTTATTTGTCCTAAACCTGATTAAATAATTCTCTCTGCCTGTTCAGTATTTCTCCTGTCAGATTTTTGTAGTCAACTATTAGTCCCCCCTCAGCCATTACTTAGCAACACCAGACATAGTCTTTATCTTTAATCATTTCTCATAACTCACTACTCCATCGCAATCATTATTCTCTCCTCTCTGAATTAATCCATCTGCTCTTTTGAAGGTAACCTTAGTGTCTTAGCGGCATGTTCCTTTGGAAGTAAAACACACCAGTGTACGCATTTATCTTAAATTTTTCTTTAAATAATATAACATTATAGACAGTTTTGAAAACAAAGGAAAAAAAATTAACCTGCTATCCTAACCCAATGGCTATTGTTACTTTTGTCTTTTCCACTTTTATCTTTTCAACTATAAATACCTTACCCTATTGAGTGGAAATTTTGTATCAAGGCTGTACTTAATTCTTCATGTGCAAGATCCCGGTTGCTACCATAGTGGCCCTGTGAGACAGCTTTATAACCCCCTCATCACAGATGAGGAATCGAAGAGTCAGAGAATTCAAGTAAGTTGCCAAAAATCTGGCTCAGGGAGGCTTCCTAACCATTATGCTATCCTGCCTATGCTATCTTTTACCATGTTGTGTCATAATAATGATGTTAATGGCAGGATACTGGATGAAAAATCATTAGGTAATCATTGCCCATCAAAAGTTCTTTAGAGTGCTTTCATTTTTTTCCTTATTACAAACATCACTGAAATAAAAGTTTTGAGCAATGAATATTCAAAATCAGAGGATTGTCTTATTTCACCCCTGCATCATAGTTTTAAAAATTTTTAAATCAAGAAATCATAAAAGAAAATGATAGATTTGATTAAATTAATTTCTAAAAAGTAAGTTCTTCCTGGCATAATATACCATAAATAAGATGGAAAGACAAATGATAAACTGGGACAAATTATCTGTAGAAAATTTGATAGGTAAATAATACTATTCCCAATATGCAAGAAGTTCATATGAATGAATTTTATTTATTTATTATTTATTTATTTATTTTTGAAATAGAGCCTCCCTCTGTCACCCAGGCTGGAGGGCAGTGGTGTGATCACAGCACACTGCAACCTCCACCTCCCAGGTTCAAGCGATTCTCCTGCCTCAGCCTCCTGTGTAGCTGGGACTATAGGTGTCTGCCGCCATGCCCAGCTAATTTTTGTATTTTTAGTAGAGACAGGGTTTCACCATGTTGGCCATGGTTGGCCAGGCTGGTCTGGAACTCCTGACTAAACACTTGAACTAATGTCCAACCATACTAGCAATTAACATAATTATCAATGCACTAATTTGACAGTAGTTTTTATTTATCCAATAGGCAACACCATAAAAAGATGACAATACCCAGTACAGGCAAGGCTATGGAAAAACATATTTTCTCGTATAATGCAGGTGGAATCAAAACTAGATGCAATTGTTCTAGAAGTTAATTTGCTATATATATTGAAGGTTTTGGCTTCTCCTCTTTAATGTAGCACTTCCTCTCATAGGCATAAGAAAAAACCTTAATGTGTGATTTGAGGTAAATTCCTCCAGGAATGCACTCTCTGGAGCCTAATCTGGTATAGGCAAGATTCAGGTAATGCTTAACAGATCAACATCATACTGCCTGGCTTCTGTGGAGAAGGAATGCTGTCTATTTTGTTATTATTATAAAGAGGATGGGTATATTGTGATAGATTTTACCCATGAGGACAGTCCAACTCTGACCCTCCAAAAATTAGGCTTAGAAAACAGAGACATATTTTGATCCACAGAGGAACGAAAAGTGGCACGCAAATCATCTATTTGCCATCTCACAGAGGAGGTGGGGCAGGCAGCCAAGCACTCAGCTGATGGAGCTCCAGCCCAGAAGGAAATCTGTGGGAGAAGGTGCAGTCTAGGAATGCCATTGCATTGCATTTTCCTAGGTGCCAGAGATGCAACAGAAACAAAACATGACCAATTTCCCCATGATGGTGCTAACTTGCTAGCAGTAACTCAGAGGTCGGTATCAACATGGGGCTGAATTGCTCTTCACAATTGAGATGTGTAGGGTGGATATGAAAATGTTAAAACAAATAAGAAGGAGGCCATTAGCCTGAGGTTGCCAGGTTTGGGAGTATTTTTTGTAACTGATGGAAAACAACAACAATAACAACAACAAAAATGAGATAAAATCTTGAGCCTCTGCTTGGGTCAACCAGCCAATTGATTATATAACTGGGAACCTCCTATCGGCCATATACAAATAAGGCAAGCACATTTATTGTAGCCAATGAATTCCTTCTGTTCAGTCTATGAAAACTCACTGCTCAGGCAGGTGGAGTGGAGCCCTCTGGACTTCTGGTTATGAATGCCGCCTGATTCATAAATCATTCTTTGCACAAATAAACTGTTAGATTTATTTTGTCTAAAGTTTTTATTTTAACAAAAGAGAATGGGAGATAGTGAAACTGGGAACAGCGTGGGGAAAAAAATGGGAAAGAAGTGGAGTGGGAGAGGGCTGGGAGGTACCCTGGACAGGAAATGTCATGGGAATTTGGGGTCAGATGAAGATGACCTGATAGATGGTGTGGGATGTAATTCCTTCCTGCATACTCTCAAATCATCTTTAAAATCTATCAAAAGTTAAAATTAAATGCTCCCTGAGGTTACATTTCATGTGGAAAGTGGTGATGGAACCCAAGTCTGCATTTTAATGGCTGGAGAGTGGAAGCAGCTACAGAGGGGGAGGTGCCCATCTGGGTAACATCTTCTCCACGTTGCATATGCCTACAGTGAGTTTAGAAAGCGTCTTTACGATATTACCTGTTTACCTCTGGGCAGTCAGGAACACTTTTCTTTATTAAACTTTTTAGCTTTAGCTTTTACAAAATAATTAGCTTGTATTATCTCTGTAGAAAGCAACAACATCGTAAAATTAGGTTTGCAATTTTGTGTTCTATCAACTCAGGTTTCTATGATGGTTCTAATTCTATCCCCTACCCTGCCCCAATTGAACATTCAGGTTTTATACTGTTTTTTTGTTTGTTTGTTTGTTTTTTTCAGAATAGGTTATTTGATGTGTGTGCCACTTTGTTCTGTTACATTGTTTACTACAAGATAATTTTCCTAATTTAACTTTTATGTTACAGTTCACAACTTTGCTAATTGCTCACTAGTATTCAATTTGGGGCTCCACAACTTAAGATGCATTTGGAAAAAATACTTTAAAGTGTTTTAATCCAGAAAAGTAAAAATGATTATGGAGTGAGGAAATAGGAACTATGCTGAAAGGTTATAGGAGATGAGCTCACTTAATCAAAAGATAGTAAAAGATATACTAAAAGATCTGTTTAATCCATTGAGCCTCACATTTTAGTCTCCATTTTTAAGGAATTCATCTGAATTTGAAACAATTCTTTAACTATTATTTTACAATGTTTCTTTTAAAAACTCTTGTTCTTTACCCTTATTTGTCTAATACTAACACTTAAGTATTCAATATTATAAGTTGCCTTGGATACAAAGTTTATGGTGCACATAAATAAATGAATGAATGATGACTCAAATGTTTTTATAATTAGAAAAGGCTGATAACCAGATGCTTTTATATTTAAACTAAACCAGAGAGTTTATATTTATGTATATATTTATTATAAATAAATATAAATATTTTATAAATAAATATAAGTATAAACTATTTATGAATATAAATTCTCTGGCTTAGTTTAAGTATAAAAGTATCTGGTCATCAGTCTATAAAAACATCTGGTTATCCTCTTATTTATTTATAAATATAAACAATCTGGTATTTATAAATGAATAAAAGGAAATTGCTCCAAACTGCAGCCTAAAGTATTTTGCTGTTATATAATGTGGAATACCAGCAATTATGTCTGTCCACTGTTAGAGTTGGGTTATCATCTCTCTGGTAGGAATCAGTGTGAGCCATTCAGCACATTCCCCAGAAGCTGCAAACTTTCTCCTGTGTGTCGCAGAATACTAGTCTTTCCCTGGAGCCCCAACTCTGGTGCTTGTCTTATGGAGAAAATTGTTAGAACTCTGCCCCTTTCCTATTTCTTTTTCTAGCTTTTTATGCCCTTTCCCACAATATTTTTATCAATGTACATTTTTAATATCTGTATTAGTCCATTTTCTACTGCTATAAATAACTGCCCGAGACTGGGTAATTTATAAAGGAAAGAAGTTTAATTGACTCACAGTTCAGCATGGCTGGAGAGGCCTCAGGTAACTTATAATCATAGTAGAAGGTGAAGGGGACACAAGGCACCTTCTTCACAAGGCTGCAGGAAGGACAAATGCCGAGTGAAGGGGAAAGAGACCCTTATAAAACCATTAGATCACATGAGATCTTACTAAATACCATGAGAACAGCATGGGGGAAACTGCCCCCATGATTCAATTACCTTGACCTTGTCTTTTCCTTGACACATGGATATTATGGGGATTATAATTTAAGATGAGATTTGGGTAGGGACATAAAGCTTAACCATATCAATGGTCTATGAGAAGGTCATATTCTTGTGTATGTGAAGATTGTTTAGAATTATTTATACCTAAAATTAATATTCAGTGTTTATTAAATTAACATTTAGATTTTAATAATAAACTGAGAACAGTCATCCACACTTTTTTCTGATTAAAGACGTTCCATAAACAACTAAAGTTGATGAAATAAAACTCCCTTCAACAGAGTTTAACTTACAACTGAGTTAACTTCAATTCTCTGAAATATTTAAACTCTTTATGTAACTTTTATTTTAAGATTGTGTACTTAAAGCCAATTATTCAATTATTTAAAGGAAATTACAAGGCTTATCTGTCAGAATCTCAATATACAAAAGTTGTATTAATTATGAATGCACTAATATTGAATTTAAAACAGAATATTAATATTTTGTGTTGGTTTATTTAATCAACTACTTACTTTTAAACCTTTCCAAGGTTGGAAATACCTATTAAGACAATAGTTTTATTATTTCATAAAATTAAATATATTATTCCCAACTGGTTGCATTACTATTCTAGTGGAAATAGGTACATCTACTTGATGGGGAGAGCTTGTCTTTCTGGATTTATTATCTATGGTGGGTAAAAAACTACCCCCAACTTAGCAGTATGAAACATATTTTATTAGGCTCCCAGATTCTATTGGTCAAGGATGACTTATCTCTGCTCTGCAGTAGCACAATGTCTGGGGCCTCAGCTCTGAGGACTGAAATGGTTGTAGACAGAAATCACCTGAAGGCTTGTCACTCTTACATCTGTGTCTGATCTGGGATGACTCTCAGGCTGGGTTCTGCTGGGATAGTTGATCAGAGTACCTACACATGGCCCCTTCATGGTGTTTCCTCTCTTAGCATGGCAGCTGAGTTCTGAGGGGGAATATCCTGAGGGGGAGCAAGAATTCCCAAAAACTAGGAGCTACATAGCCTTTCACGACCTGGCCTCAAACATTACGTGATATCATTTTGTTTTATTCTATTGGCCAAAACAGTCACAACTGCCCAGATTCAAGGGAAAGGGACATAGACCCACTTCTTAATAGGAAGAATGTCAAAAAATCTGCAGTCATTTTTCAAAATTTCCATGTTCCACTAGCCTTTTCTGAGAGATATATGAGACCATGGTCTGCAGGTATGCAGAGCCATCCTTCTCCCACCCAAATAGGAGTATTTTATAGTTGCTCTGGAAATAGCTTCCATGTTTATAACTATTAGAGAGAGATTTCACCATTCTCTAAGTTTAAGGCAATCAATTTTTTTCCATCGACTTTCAAAATGTTATCTGATTCGGGGAGATAAAATTCAGTAACTGCTACTCTGATTGCCTCCCCATCGAATTGTACCACACTCATCTATTTCCTCTCCCACTGTTGGTCATAGCATTAAGGCTGTTCCAATAATGGCATTTTTCCTGGGAAAATAGTTGCTAGAACTTTACCTTTCTCTGGTTTCTCCTTTCCCTTTTTATTTCCTCTCTTTTATTGTCTTAAATACAAATTAATTGACAGGATCATCATCAATATTCCCCAACTTACCCTTAAAAGTCCAGGGCATTTCTGTTACCCCTTTTCCTTTTCCTTGCATCCTCCTTTTTTTTTTGTCAGGCTCCCCTTATTGTAAAAAAAAAATTCCATATCACATATCCTCCACCTTCATTAAAATGTGTGCCACCAGATGCCTGGACCAATTTTTCACCATGACTTCTCTCATTTATTAGAGTGAAACCAGGGAAGTATTTGGGAAGCAAATGGCTGGACTGATGACCTCTCAGGATCTTTCCTGGTCCTGTGACTCAAGAGTCACGAGGAAGTTGTGTAATACTCAAAAAGAGTAAGAACTTACTCTTTCACAGAGATGTTTATTAAGGAACAAATTACCCTTATCCTCAAGTTATTTCATTATAGTTCTTAAGAGCATCATTTTGGGAGAAACAAAGTGAAATTGCAGTTAACTAAGTGCTAGCATCTATTTAATTGTTTCAAATCTATAAAATGTGATGATTTGTAAAAATTCTCTGCCATGATATACTGTTTATAAATCCCTGCAGCTGTAATAATCATTTGTTAATTCACTCATTTTTTTTTTCAGTAAACATTTATTTAATACTTATGAATTCACCAAACATTGAACCTAGGTAGTGGGTTGCCAAGATAAAGTAATTAAAGGAAATTTTGTTTAATTATTTTAAATATAAAATAAGCTTTTTAAATAAAGTAGTTTTGGATGTCCCCTTAATATATGTCAGGCCTTAGGCTTAGTGCTTTGATGCTGAAAATAAGATAGGTATATCAGTTCAACAAGAGAAACAGACCAGTAGGCAATACATTGTAAGAGATTTATTGTGAAGAATTGGTTTGCATGACTGTGGGCTCTGGCTAGGCAAATCCAAAATTCGTGGGGCACAAAATGGTCAGAAAGCGCAGGCTGGAACTTTTGGGCATGGGTTATGGTCATTGTCCACAGGTGGAATTTCTTCTTCTTCAGGGAAGCCTCAGCTTGCTCTTAAGGCCTTTCAACGGATTGAATCAGGCCCATCTGGATCATCTAAGGCAATCTCTCTTATTAAAGTCAACTGATTATGGGCTTTAATCACATCTACAAATCACCTTAACAGCAACACCTAGATTAGTGTTTGATTGAATTGCTGGGGACTGCAGCCTAGTCAAACTGACACTAAAACATTTCACCCATGTCAGCTTGGCACCCATCTACATCTCTTGAAATCATGCCTAATCTCCACATAAAATCATAATGAAGTTATACTTCTGCCTAACATGACACAACCCTCCTGCTCACAACCCAGAATGCACTAACCCTTTACCCAGATGAGAATGCAAAGTCCTTGGGTGATGTTCACTCTCCTCCTTTGATATCCTGTATATTAAACATTGGGATGTAAAGTTAACCATTATTAATGCATCTCCTGTTAGATGATAAAGGGACGAGAGAGGGAAGAAAACAAAAATATCTGGTTAAAATATATACAAATATGTTTATAACAATATAAGGAAATAATACAACTATTACAATTCTTGTGTCTGCAACTGATCAGGTGGTCGCAGCTGGTATTTATAACATACTCTTCCGTGACACGTTCCATATTCCTTTTTCCCTCAACAATCACCTTGGCAGATTGTGGTTCTTTGCCTGGTGGGGTGACTCATACCTTCATTCTTGAAGGCTCTGGGCCATCATTAATTCCTGTCTGAATTGGGTTATTGTAGTTTTCCGTGGGCCTTCATGGCAGGACATAGTAGTACGGAGACATGCCCTAAGGGATCTCCTGTGTTCCAGACATACCCTTCCTCACCTCCATCCTACAGTAGTAACCAATTTCTCCTTCATAATCAGGATTAATCACCTTAGCCAGTACAGTAACTCCCTTCTTTGCTTATTCACTGAAAGGCATAAAGAGCCTACAGTGGTCAGAGAGCAGTGTGACTTTTCGTTTAATAGAATCATTGCTGTATCTCTTGGTGGAAGCATTCCTCCCTTTGGAACTAAGACTTCTAGATACCAGAATCTAAAGTTGTGGTAACAGGAAGCAAAAATTTTGCTAGCGGTTGCCTAGGGGTAATAGTGAACAAAGACACTTCCATTTCCGCTGTTTGATTACTGGACCCATGAATCCTGGCTATGTGAGAAACAGCAAGCAGAGACCTTGATCACCTTTTCCTTCCACATGACAGCACACAGGTCCACTACATTCATGATAATATGCTAAGTGAACATGGTGAACAAGAAGTAGTAACAACTTTAGACTAATTGGTAAGACATTTGCATGTCAAAGGCTGAGAAAGAAAAATGACACAAACTTGGGGGCCTCTAACCTAGTGAAATTTCTAGGGGTCCAGTGGTGTGGGGCATGTTTGGATATCCCTTCTAAGGTTAAGGTAAGTTGTTGCGTCTGGCTCCTACAACCAAAAGAGGCACAATGCCCAGCAGGCTTCGTTGGATTTTGTAGGCAACGTATTCCTCATTTGAGTGTGTTACTCCAACTCATTTACCAAGTCACCTGAAAGGCTACTACTTTTGAGTGGGGCCCAGAACCAGAGAAGGTTCTGCAATAGGTCCAAACTGTTAGGCTACTTGGACCAAATTATACAGCAGAACCAATGGTGCTTGAAGTGTAACACATGGAGATGCTGTTTGAAGCATTTTGTAAGTCCCTATAGGTGACTCATAGCGTAGGATTTTGGAGCAAAGCCCTGCCATCTTCTGCAGATAACTACTCTTTTAAAAAGAAAACCTTCGGCTTGTTACTGGACCTTAGTAGAAACTGAACATTTAACCATGGGCCACCAAGTAACCATGTAACCTGAGCTACCCGTTATGAACTGTGTGTTGACTGACCCTCCAAGCTATAGAACTGGGCATGCATAGCCCAAGGTTGTTGGGATTTTCACTGGAAAACTTTGAGAGTGGAATAATTTATCCCCAGTCCATTAAAAAAACGTAAGTTGTGGAATGACTTGGCCTTCCCTTAATACAGTTACACAGCTGTATCCTGTTATAATTCAAGGGGAAAAAAGATTTAAAATAGTTGGGGAAAAGGATGACATATCTGTTTGTCCTCTTATTTAATTGTATGCTTTTATTTTTCTACTTACATTTTTTTCTGTGGAAATAATTTTCTGGACAGCAAAATGTTCATTTAATAATTAGAAATAGGTTCATGCTTGTTACTAGTTTTAGCTAACCTGATCTCTTACTTTTGAAGTTTACTGGGTTTTGTTTATACTTTTGAGATAAGAATACATTTTGTCCTCTCGTCACGTTCATAAATATGATATATAGTGATTTCTTGTAATAAGCTGAATGTACTTTATGCTGGGAAAAGAGTTAAATTGACATAGATAATAAGCTATTTATTAGCAGTTTTTCACTATAAAATTAGGCTGATTTCATTTATTTGGATTTGTAACTATATGTACTCAGATGTATACAATAAAAAGTAATTTAATTTTATAGAATTTTTGGTGTTTTTTTCACAAGATTTATTTTAAAATCAGAAATTGTATTCTAACCTCTAAATATACAAATGCGTAGGGCTCATGAGACTGAAGTGGGTACTATACTTAATAAAATCCTTTATCTTCCCATATGCTAAACAAATAAAGACCACCTGCTTTCAATCTATTTGCTTTCTAGACTGCACCAATAATGCATATGAGACAAATTACAGTATTTTCCTGCTTAAATGACAAAGTGATATTTAAAATAAGTGAAATTTAATTATCTTATTTCAATATATTAATGTTAACAGAGGAAAATTCATAAGTTGTCAAGTAATTATATAGCCTAAGCATAAATACATAAATCACCATGTAGAATCTGTAGTAAAAATGCACAATTCTAAAGGATTCCAGGAATTTAAAATTTAAATAAAATGAAAAGTATTATATTTTGTGATAAATTACTAAGAAAAGTTACAGATACTCTCTTATATAGGATTGCATAATTATGAATTGTTTTAATCTATTTGAGATATCTGAAGATCTTGATGTGAACTATATAACTTTTCTCTTTGATGAACAATATATTTCATAGATTTAAAAATTAGCAAATAGAAAAATGGGATACTTACAAAAGAAAAAATAAAAACCTCCCAAGATCTTTGGCAATTTCAATACCCAGAAATAAACATTTGACATATTTGTCTCCAGTATTTTCTTTAAATCATGTATGTGTGTTATATGAGGTTTATGCTTACACATCCATTTAATGTAGAACTATATTTTTTGAATAATTAAAATCATGTTCTGTATATTCTCATTCTTGCATTTATTTACAATCATAAACATTTTCTCATGGTGTTAAATATTTAGAAAACATCACTATAGTGCCTACAAAGTATTTTTTATGAATACTTCTTTAATTTCTTAGAGCATTCCTCTATTACTAGCATTTATGTCTATTTCTATTTCTGTCCTAAATAGATTCTGTTCCAATTTTTATCATAATCATCTCTTGCTTTCTTAAATACTTTTAACACCTTAATGTACATTTAAAATACTATAGTTTAGTTTTGCCTGAGTTTTGAACTTAATGTAAGTGATATCATAATGTTTATATTATTTTGTGCTTGGCTTCTGCCATTCACTTTTTCCAACCATTCATCTTTGTTGCATGTTATTACGGTGTTTTCTTTGTCATTGATATATTATATTCCACGGAATGAAAATGCCATATTGTATTTATGGGTTTGGGAGTTTGTTTTGTTTTTTTTCCTAGTTTGAGGCTATTACAAACAGAATGTTGTCTGTATCCTTGTGCGTGTTTCTGAGTGCATATATATATATGCGTGTGTGTGTATATATATGTGTGTGTGTGTGTGTGTGTGTGTATATATATTTATATATGTATATGTATTTCTCTTGGTTATGTAATCATGGTGGAACTACCAGCTCTTGGAGTAGATGTATCTTCAACTTTAGTTAATTTAAAATTATTCAACAAAGTGGTGACAATAATTGCTCTGCCCATTCATCAGGAGTGGCAGTTACAGTTATTCTATATTCTAGCCAATATTTAGTATTTTATTTATTTATTTATTTTTAATTAATTTTTTTTTGAGATGGAGTCTTGCTCTGTTGCCCATGCTGGAGTGCAGTGGCGTGGTCTCAGCTCACTGCAAGCGCCGCCTCCTGGGTTCACACCATTAGTCTGCCTCAGCCTCCTGAGTAGCTGAGACTACAGGCGCCTGCCACCACGCCTGGCTAATTTTTTTGTATTTTTAGTAGAGATGGGGTTTTACTGTGTTAGCCAGGATGGTCTTGATCTCCTGACCTTATGATCTACCCACCTCGGCCTCCCAAAGTGCTGGGATTACAGGCATGAGCCACCGTGCCCAGCCGCCAATATTTAGTATTGTCAGCCATTACATATGTAGTGTTTATATATCTGTATATCACAAACATACATAGATCATTACGATTTTAATTTGCATTTTCTGATTGCTAATAAGATTTTATGGCTATTTGGATTTATTTTTGTAAAATGCCCCTTAAATCTCTCCCTCATTTTAAATTTATTTTAGAGTTCTCTTTATTTTCTGGATATAAGCCCTTTGCCATTTATAGGTCTTGTAAACTTACATTCCTGGAGAATATTTTAGTTGATATATAATTTTCATTTTATTTTATTTTTACTTTTTGTAGAGATGGGGTCTTGCTTTGTTGCCCAGGCTGGTGTCAAGCTCCTGGTTTGAAGTGACCCTCTCCCCCTGACCTCCCAAAGTGCTGAGATTACAGGCATGAGCCACTGTACCCAGCTGAGTTGATATATGATTTGAAGTTGTAGTTATTTCATTTCATCATCTTGAATCTATTTTTATAGCTTTATTGTATCTTTTGATAAGTCAATTTGGTTTTTTGAAAGTAAGGTAATTTTTTTTTCTGTGGTTATATTTCCTAACTGCTTTTGGATCTAATATGATGTGTCTAAGTATACTTTTCTTTTTATTTATCTACCTTTGCATTTGATAGGATCCTTGAATCTGTGGGTTAAGGTCTTTCTAAGTGTTTTGGAAAACACTTATCTTCTATTTCTTCAAACATTGTTTTTGTGGCAGTTTCTCTCCTCTTTTTCTGAAATGCCAATTACCTGGCTCTTAAACTACCTTCCTGTATACTTTGTGTCTCTTACTCTTTCTTCTGTATTTTTCATCCTTTTGTCTCTCAGAGTTTTATTCTTAATAATTTCTTCTGGGTTCTTTATCTCTTAAACTCTTTTTAATATCCCATTCATTAATTTCTTAATTTTGGTTTTTCTTTTTAGAATTTCTGTTTATTTTTTTCTATCTGCAACGTCACCTTTCATAGCTTCCAGTTCTCTGTTAAAATTTTTATTCTTGAATATTACACAGACACCCTAATATATGACAAAGAGGATCACATTTATTTTGGCTTATCACCTCATAAGCCTGGTTATTTTTATGTTCAAACATTATAATTGAAAATGTAATGATTTGATAAGCAAGATGATGTTATCTTCCTCCAGAGAGGATTTTCCTTTATCGATTCCAGGTTCAGGGGACACTAGCAATCCTGGATCATATTAATCCAATTATAGGAATTGAAGATTCTTTGGAAATTCCTAAATTCTTAAGATTCTTAAATTCTTACTTCACAGAAAGTCTTTACTGGGTTTGACTTTCAGCTCTGTCACTTAATTTGCATTAAACCTCTGTATTTTGACAGATTGCTTGATCAGTCACAGCCCTAAGAAAAATTAAATATATCTACCTTATAAGATTAGAAAAAATATAGAAATCGTGTAGTATTTAGTTTACATTCAAGAAATAAAAAAAATTTCATAATCTAAAGCAGACAAAAATAGAAGCATGTAATAGTATAGAAAAATTACTGAGTGGCCGACAGTTTTCTAGGGGCCCAGGAAGCTCAGATGAAGTCCACAAGAGGATTGGTTTACCTCTGGCTCATCCTTACTTTACAGTGTAGCCTTTTGGGTTCCCGACTCAATGAATGAGGAAAATCTGCAAGCCCCCATCTTCAGCTGGGCCAATACTTCAACTCTTAGTCCTCTAGACCAACAGGGCTGTCAAAAAGTACTGCTCAGGCTCTCCGTAGCCTAGTCTGCTCAGGAAATGACCCCTGAAAACATGGCCCTACATGCTAAGATTACATGTCTAAATTTCAGTCTCATCCTAGATATTATCCCAGTTATTCTTCAGTACTTTTAAAAGTTCTCCACTACTTCAAACATTTTTCTTTAAAAAAAAAAGTCCAGTTTTCCTCATGGTCCCTGGCGAATGGATTTGTTCAAGTAACCTAGTCCCTTATTAAAGAAAGAAGAAACATTCTAATTGATTTTTAAAACCTTGGCTATTTGTTGAGAATTTGATCCATCCAAATTGATCCCCTGGTGGTTTATTTATCTTAAAGGCAATCTATATTATCATATATATTTATCACATATTTCTTCATTGTGTTTTAGACTGGCAGTTTCGTATAATGGATAAACACAAAAATCTCTACAGCTGGATTGTCTAGGTTCAAATTCCAGCTCCACTACTTACTAATTGTGTGACATTAGGTATTTTACTTAATGGCACTGTGTTTTCAGTTTTCTGTAAAATGCAGAAAATCATAACAATGTCATCTATATCAGAGGGTTGTTGGTAGGTTTAAGTGAGTAATATATGTGAAGGCCCCTAGAAAACTGTCTGGCACTCAGTAACTTCTCTATAGTACTACATGCTTCTACTTTTGCCTACTTTAGATTATGAAATAAAATTTTTTATTTCTTGAATATAAACTAAATACTAGGTGATTTCCATATTTCTTCTAATCTTATAAGGTAGATACATTTATTTTTTTCTTGGGGTTTTGAGTGATCAAGCAATCTGTCAAAATACAGAGGTATAAAGCAAATTAAGTGACAGAGCTGGGAGTCAAACCCCGTAAAGTCTTTCTGCAAAGTAAGAATTTAAAAGTTTCCAAAAATTTAGAAAAAGTCTCATTGCTCTGTAGCCATGGTAATAAGTAGCCACCAGAATGTATTTTAAACCTGTTCAGTTATTCAGTGACAACTCACTTCAGTGAACATGCTTTTGCAAGCCAACCAATCCACCAATTAGGATCAATCTCTTGCTTCTTTAACTTTGTATTATAGATTTTTAAAAACCTTGGGGTATTAGTCCATTTACACACTACTGATAAAGTCATACCCAAGACTGGGAAGAGAAAAAAGGTTTAATTGGACTTAGAGTTCCACGTGACTGGGGAGGCCTCAGAATCATGGTGGGGGGAAACGGTACTTCTTACATGGTGGTGGCAAGAGAAAATGAGGAAGAAGCAAAAGCAGGAACCCCTGATAAACCCATCAGATTTTACGAAACTTATTAACTATCACAAGAATAACATGGGAAAAACCGGCCCCCATGATTCAATTGCCTCCTCCTGGGTCTGTCCTACAACATGGGGGAATTCTGTGAGATACAATTCGAGTTGAGATTTGGATGGGGACACAGCTAAACCATATCACTTGGTTATTTATTGAGAATTTGATTCATCCAAATTGATCCCTGGTGATTTATTTAGCTTAAAAGCAATCTATATCTCATATATATGTATCACATATTTCTTCATTATGTATTAGATTGGCAGTTTTGTATAATGGTTAAACACAAAAATCTGTAATTTAGTAGAATAAGTGCATCTCTAGTGAACACACCACCAAGTGCTAATCAGTCACCAACAGTCTCACCTGAGTAACCACACTTCTATTTTGTCTATCCACTTACACCTATGAAAGTCTACCAGCCCTGAAATTCCATGGTCCTCTAAAACCCAAATAAGATCAGCACTTGTCTCTGCTCAGACTGACTGGGCTTGATCATTATTGTTCCCCCTTAATATAGTAATCAATAAATTCAGCTTTGTCTTTTTATTTCAAATATTGTATGGTGGTCCCATCTTTGACAATTCTTAAGGTACCATGGACATAATTTTGAATACCTTTGCAAGGCAACATCTCAGCAAACACTTGGATCACAGGTATATTCACAGGACCCCTCCCAACAAAGTCCCTTCAGATCTGCTGCTTTGGAGTCAAACAACGATCTGAGCTTTGATTAGTTTTATTAAACTCTCATTGCTAAATTAATTTTGTTATCATAGAGATTAAGCCAAGTAGATCTTGGTATAAGGTAAGAAATTAGGCCTAGTTTTTTTTTATTATTATCATTATACTTGAAGTTCTAGGATACATGTGCAGAATATGCAGGATTGCTACAAAGGTATAAACGTGCCATGATGGTTTGCTGCACTCATCAACCTGTCATCTACATTAGGTATTTCTCCTAATGCTATCCCTCCCCTAGCCCCCGACCCCCCGGCAGGCCCCCTGTGTGTGATGGTCTCATCCCTGTGTCCATGTGTTCTTATTGTTCAACTCCCACTTATGAGTGAGAACATGTGGTGTTCGGTTTTCTGTTCCTGTGTTAGTTTGCTGGGAATGATGGTTTCCAGCTTCATCCCTGTCCCTGCAAAGGACATGAAGTCATCCTTTTTTATGGCTGCATAGTATTCCATGGTATATATGTGCCACATTTTCTTTATCCAGTCTATCACTGATGGGCATTTGTGTTGGTTCCATGTCTTTGCTATTGTGAATAGTGCCACAATAAACATACATGTGCATGTGTCTTTATAGTAGAATGATTTATAACCCTTGGGGTATATACCAGTAATGGGATTGCTGGGTCAAATGGTATTTCTGGTTCTAGATCCTTGAGGAATTGCCACACTGTCTTCCACAATTGTTGAACTAATTTACACTCCTACCAACAGTGTAAAAGCATTCCTATTTCTCCACATCCTCTCCAGCATCTGTTGTTTCCTGACTTTTTAATGATCACCATTCTAACTGGTGTGACATGATATCTTAATAAATGGTGTTGGGAAAACTGGCTAGCCATATGCAGAAAACTGAAACTGGATCCCTTCCTTACACCTTATACAAAAATTAACTCAAGATGGATTAAAGATTTAAATATAAGACCTAAAACCATAAAAACCCTAGAAGAAAACCTAGGCAATACCATTCAGGACATAGGCATGGGCAAAGACTTCATGACTAAAACGCCAAAAGCAATGGCAACAAAAGCCAAAATTGACAAATGGGATCTAATTAAACTAAAGAGTTCTGCCCAGCAAAAGAAGCTATCATCAGAGTGAAGAGGCAACCTAGAGAATGGGGGAAAATTTTTGCAATCTATCTATCTAAGGGTGAATATCCAGAAGCTACATGGAATTTAAACAAATTCGCAATAAAAAAAATAACCCCATCAAAAAGTGGGCAAAGGATATGAACAGACAATTCTCAAGAGAAGACATTTATGTGGCCAGAAAACATACGAAAAATGCTCATCATCACTGGTCATTAGAGAAATGCAAATCAAGGCCTAGTTTTTTAAAAAATTCATTTGGACTTTTTGATTTGGAAGTGCACCATTTGGTAATTAAACATCTCTTTGTATAAGTTTAACAGACCTTTTTTTTGGAGGTATACCATTTTACAAATATGTTTTCCATTAAATATATGCAGCTTACTTTGATTTTGTCAATATGTGCAGTCTTGTTTTATTCTCAATCCAATCCAGGTAGGTCCTGAAGTCCTGTAGTTATGGATCCATTAAAAAAATTATGCAAAAGAAAGTGGCCAAGCTTTGTAGGCACCCTCTAAATCTGTCATGTCTGCACACCTTGTCTTGTCAATTTGTTATAGAGGGTCTCTTTCTTTAATTTGTATTCCTTGATGGATCATATAATATCTTCTTCACCTCAGCTTGGTCTGCAGACCCGAGTTATTCATAAGCACATACTGCCAACCAACTGGAGTGGCTCCTCCTTCTACCCTGTCACGGGTTTGTCTATGTAAAAGTCTCAACTTTCTCCTGGAAAACATCTACTTTCTATTATATAAAAAGTTGCACTGTAATCCCAATTGTTGTACTTTCCTTGGTAAACAGAGAAATGAAAGGGTGAAAAAAGAAAAATAAAGAAAGAAATTAACAATGTCAAAATAACATATGACATGTCAAAATCAGTAAATTAATATGTGTAAGAGGAGCTCTTAACATGAAATAAGCAATAGTCAGTTATTAATAGATACACTAAAGGCTCTAATAAAATTAAAAATCCAAGATTGATTTCGTATAACAAATACTTTGGAACTTTTGGAAACTTATCTTCTTTCATCTCTGTTTTTCTACTGAGCTTTATGTAATATTTGATTTTCTTTCAGGGCTTTCTAAAGCAAAGAACACTCATAAATTTGACAGAACTCAGATCTATGGAAGTGGGATTAAAACTTTGATGCAGAGTAAAGTCAGGGTCTATATAATTAAGGAGTTTCTTAAACTTTAAAAGATCAGGCAAAAGTTTCCTATGGAATTCAGGACTTTACTGGATACTTATCCTGAACTGAAGATCTGCACTAACTAATCAAATAATTGTTAGCTCCCTCAGATGGTAAAATTCATTTAAGAGAGTCAGGGTAGAAAAGAGGAGATTTAAAGAACACTAATGCTTAAAGCTTAAGAAGTAAAAACAGAATACTTCCTAAGTCTTTCTTTTAATAATAATTAAAAGAAATTAATAATAATCAATCAAATAATAATCAAAATTTTAAACTAAATAAAAAATGAAAAGTAGATCTAAGAAAATATTCAAGTTGTATTCTAGGGTAGACCCCAATGCTGAAATAAAGGGAACCATGTCCTTTGGTTTTGTAAGTGGCCTCAAACTTGAATTAATAAATTTAATAAGAAGAAATTAAATTAAATGTGAAATTGCCAACTTAGAAAATATCAAACAAGTGGCTAGATATTTCTAGATAGTCTTAAAAATTGCTCAGCCTCCTTGCTTCAGGGCAACTGTAGGAAAACAGCCTGTTGCATGGCAAGGGTGATACCATCTTGAAGCGAAACCACCATGATGACTGATACTTGACTCATGCCTTCTAAGGTGTTCTTCAGCAAGGTCTTAAGACATAGACAACCCCTCATAAACATGCTTATCTAACCTCCCTGGTGATCATGAGTTTTGGCAAGAAAGTCTGAGATGTGTTCAGTTGCACATGTTTTACCCTAAAAGCTTGCTATCTGAAGGATATTTTCTGGAGGGTAGGTTCAGGAATTCACTATCTCATGGCTGCCTGACACATTATTTCTGTTTGTCCCTATTAAATATTTTGTTTTTGAAAAACTGTTTGTCAGCCTCTTTCTTCAGCTCTCAGTGTCCTCATTCTTTGTGGGTAGGTCTGCTCAATGCAGAACATTTGGCAAGCTAGCCAGGAGCTGACTGACCAAGAAATATGTACAAAGAATGAGGCATCTTTGGGGAAAATTCCAGGATGGTCAGCCACATCTATGTGGGGTGGGGTGGCACCTCTCTTAGATGCTTGTGGATCTCTGAGTACAGGTGCCCCCAAAATGCTGGTTGACCTACAGCAGTTATTCACTAAAAGCTGTAGAGCACACTGCAGTAAGGAAGGGCAGTGGATGGCCCCTGCAGTGGGTTGGCCACTTCTGTGGGCCATTCATTTGCTAGCAAGGACCCAGCTAGCAGCAGAAGCTAAAATTAAATGGCTGGAAGAGGAATTGCAACTAGAAAAGGACATGAGCCTTTCAATTTCTCTCCTTGCTTTCAATTTAGTGGACAACTTTGAAGACTAAGAGACAAAATTCGAAACATTAGCATGTAGATTTGTCTACCTAGGGAGAAAGAAATGGAAATAACAAAAATTCGGAGCTATCATAACTAAGCCTGATTGTGATGTGAAAACATGGAATCTCTGGAATGTTATGAAGAGGAAGACTCGGGTGACATAAAAGTAATAGATAAGGAGGAGGACGAGGATCATTGGCAAGCTCCTTCCTCATGCAAAGCAAAGCAAAGGCTCAACAAATGCAGCTAAATGGGAGTTAACCATACAGGAGACTCTCACTATCAGGGAAGACACTGCTGCAGAACTATTAGAGATTGCAAAGACCTTTAAACAACTACCTAAGGAAACCCTGACAGCTTGGATGGGCCAATTGTAGGACACAGTGGGTTATGGTGTTTCCTTGGCTGGGAATGAAGCAGACAAAAATGAGTGCCATCAGCATCCACACCAGCACTGCAGCAACACTTTTATAACACAAGGCAAACATAAGGGAATCATTGCCTTATGGACTGGGTCATCCTGGCTATGAAAGAGGCTTGGCCTAATGAAGGGGACTTAACAGGAGGGATGACCTCCCAGAGGTTGATCAAAGGGGTGCAAGGATTTCTCTGAGACTTAGGAATGGGGCAAACTACCTATGCTTGGGTTTTTGCAGGACCTGATTAAGCAGTTTGTACTGTTGGGATAAAAAGTAAATTGCTACAAAAATGGTGTGGCCCTTAACTGTCTTTGTTGTGTGCTATAGTGGCATAAGACATATATCCCATAGGAGGTGGGAGAAGCTATCACAGATTTGGGAGAAACCAGGAAAGTCAAGGATAGAGTACACTTGGTAACCAGACATGAACTAACAAAGGGCAAAAAGAAAACCCCAAAGACAGGAGAAAAGGGGGAAAGTGACTGGTAAGGGTCACATGTAAATAAACATGGTATGATTTGTTGGGAGCAGAAACACCCCAAGAAAAAAATATACAACCAAATGCTGTTTTAGTAGCCTTATGGAGAGAACTACAGCCTGACCAGCAGTTTGATCCTGTCCCTCTGCCCTGCTGGCAGAAGAGGAAGACAACTCAACCCTCCTCCATCTAATGTCTTAGGCTATTGAGTGTGGATCCCACCTCAACCCCGAGATTAGGAGTGAGGCCAAAGTCAACTCTGTGTTCGAGCCATAGGGGGTGACCAGAGGCCCAATACTGTGCTCATGATTTACTAGTTCTTCCAGAATAAAGAGAAGACTATTGCCTTAGTAGATACTGGGGCAGAATTTAATTTAATCCATAGAAATCTAAAAAAACCCTGGTCAATGGATGGCCATTAATGGTTATGGGTGCAAACAATCTGAGTAAAAAGGATTTTAATACATTTAGGAATTGGAAAAGCTCCGTGTGTCCTGTGTAAGGTATTTATTTCCCCTATTCCAGAAGACAATTTAGGCATGGATATTGTGTTAACAGAGATTTTGCAAACTGCTGTGGGAGAATTCAGATTGAAGGTGCCTATAGTAAAGGCTATCTTCAGGGGAGTGGAAAAATGAGACCCTGCACAGCTCCCTGACCCTAAGCAGATTGTTAATGTTAAACAAAAAAATTGCCTTGTGGGCAGTGATATATTGAAATAAATGCACCTATTGGAGAAATGGCAAATGTGTATATTTTCTGCCCAGTTCAAAGCCAGTTTAAGAGTCCCATCTGGCCTGAATGCAAAGCAGACAGTATGTGGCAGACGACTGTGGATTATTGGGAATTAAACAAGGTAACCCTAGCCGTGTATGTTGCAGTTCCTAATATCACTCAGGTAGTCAACTACATAGTGTCCATGCTGGAGATACATCACATTGTCTTAGATTTTGCTAACGCCTTTCTCAGCATTTCTCTCTCCAAACAATCACAAGGCCAATTTGCTTTTGCCTGGCAAGGCTACCAGTGGATTTTTCAACTGTTGCCTCAGGGATAGCTTTATAGTCCCACTATTTGTCAGAGAATGGTGGTTAGAGACTTGTCTGTTCTCATTCCCATCTTTTTTTTTTTTAATTTATTTAAACAGTTTTTGGGAAACAGGTGGTTGTTGTTACATGGATAAGTTCTTTAGTGGTGATTTCTCAGATTTTGGTGCACCCATCACTTGAGCAATGTACACTGTAACCAATTTGTAGTCTTTTATCCCTCACCACCCCCCACACTTCCTTGAGTCCCCAAAGTCCGTTATATTATTCCTATGCCTTTGCATCCTTGTAGCTTAGCTCCCACTTACAAGTGAGAACGTATGATATTGGGTTTTCCATTCCTGAGTTACTTCACTTAGAATAACAGCCTCTGTTCCATTTTTATGGCTGAGTAGTATTCCATGGTGTATATATACCACATTTTCTTTATCCACTGGTTGGTTGATGGGTGTTTAGGTTGGTTTCATATTTTTATAACTGCAAACTGTGCTGCTATAAAATATGCAGGTACATGTGTCTTTTTCATGTAATGACTTATTTTCCTTTGGATAGTAGTGGGATTGCTGGATTGAATGTATATTCCACAGTTGTTAGGTAAAATGTATCAGGGCAACCAGCCCCCGATATTTCAATGTAGGTTCTTTTCTATTTTCCCTAAGTGTTGGCCGGTCTGAGAAATGAAGAGTACAAAAGAGAGAAATTTTACAGCTAGGCCTCCAGGGTTGACATCACATGTCAGCAGGTTCCGTGATGCCCCCTGAATCACAAAACCAGCAAGTTTCTATTAGGGATTTCAAAAGGGGTGGGGGGTACGAATAGGGAGTGGGTCACAGAGATCATATGCTTCAGAAAGCAATAAAAGATCACAAGGGCAAGGAGGCAGAGCGAGATCACAAGGCCAGGGCAAAACTAGAATTACTGATGAAGGTCCATGTCCCACTGGGCATACATTGTTGTTGATAAACATCTTAACAGGAAACAGTGTTCGAGAGCAGATAACCGGTCTGACTAGAATTCACCAGGCTGGAATTTCCTAATCCTAGCAAGACTGAGGGTGCTGCAGGAGACCAGGGCGTATTTCATCCCTTATTTTTAACTGCATAAGACAGACACTCCCAGAGCGGCCATTTTAGAGACCTCCCCCTGGGAATGCATTCTTTTCCCAGGGCTATTCCTTGCTAAGAAAAATAATTCAGTGATATTTCTCCTATTTGCTTTCTGTAAGAAGAGAAATATGACTGTTCTGCCTGGCCGTGCAGGCAGTCAGACCTTACGGTTATCTCCCTTGTTCCCTGAACATCGCTGTTATCCTGTTCTTTTCAAGGTGCCCAGATTTCATATTGTTCAAACATATATGCTTTACAAACAATTTGTGCAGATAACACGATCATCACAGGGTCCTGAGGTGACATACATCCTCAGTTTATGAAGATGATGGGATTAAGAGATTAAAGTAAAGAGAGGCATAGGAAATTATAAGAGTATTGATTGGGGAAGTGATAAATGTCCATGAACTTCACAATTTATGTTCAGCAATTGCAGTAAAGACAGGTGTAAGAAATTATAAAAGTATTAATTTGGGGAACTAATAAATGTCCATTAAATCTTCACAATTTATGTTCTTCTGCTGTGGCTTCAGCCGGTCCCTCTGTTTGGGGTCCCTGACTTCCTGCAACAAAAATGTTCTATAAATATCTGTTAAGTCCATTTGTTCTAGGATATAGTTTAAGTCCATTGTTTCTTTGCTGACTTTCTGTCTTGATGGTGCTGTCAGTGGAGTACTGAAGTCCACCATTATTATTGTGTTGCTATCTATCTCATTTCTCAGGTCTAGCAGTAATTGTTTTATAAATTTGGGAACTTCAGTGTTAGGGGCATATATATTTAAGAATGTAATATCTTCCTGTTGGACTAATCATTTTATCATTATATACTATCTTTCTTTGTATTTTTCTTTTTTTTTTTACTGTTGATGCTTTAAAGTCTTTTTTGTCTGACATAAGAATAGTGACTTCTGCTCACTTTTGGTTTCCATTTGCATGGAATATCTTTTTCCACCCCTTTACCTTAAGTTTATGTGATTCCTTATGTGTTAGGTGAGTCTCTTGAAGATAGCAGATACTTGGTTGGTAGATTTTTATACATTCTACCAGTCGATATCTTTCAAGTGGAGTGTTCAGGCCATTTATAGTCAATGTTAGTATTGAGATGTAATGTACTGTTCTATTCATCATGTTAGTTGTTCCCTAAATACCTTGTTTCTTTCATTGTGTTATTATTTTACAGGCCCTGTGAGATTTGTGCTTTAAGGAGGTTCTATTTTGATGTATTTCAAGGTTTTGTTTCAAGATTTAGAACCCCTTTTAGCATTTCTTATAGTGCTGGTCTGGCAATGGAAAATTCTCTCAGCATTCATTTGTCTGAAAAAGACTTTATCTCTTCCTCATTTATGAAGCTTAGTTTTGCTGAATACAAAATTCTTGGCTGACAATTATTTTGTTTAAGGAGGCTAAAGATAGGACCCCAATCCCTTCTGGCTTGTAAGTTTTCTTCTGAGAAATCTGCTGTTAATCTGATAGGTTTTCCTTTATAGGTTACTTGATGCTTTTGTCTCATAGCTCTTAAAATTATTTTCTTTGTCTTGACTTTAGATACCCTGATGACTATGTTCCTTGATAATGATCTTTTTGTAATGAATTGCCTGGGAGTTCTTTAAGCTTCTTGTATTTGGATGTCTAGATCTCTAGCAAGGCCAGGGAAGTTTTCCTTGATTATTCTCTCAAATAAGTTTTC
Source organism: Homo sapiens (assembly GCF_000001405.40). Lineage (NCBI taxonomy): Eukaryota > Metazoa > Chordata > Mammalia > Primates > Hominidae > Homo > Homo sapiens. Next base: position 65,090,966 of record NC_000008.11, on the reverse strand, counting down.
CAAACTTTTAGATTTCTTATTCCTCAGGAACACCAATTATGCTTAGCTTTGGCCATTTTGGCTATATTTCTTGGAGACTTTATTAATTTTTTAAATTCTTTTTTTCTTTGTCTTTTTCTGATTGGGTTAATTTGAAAGCCTTGTCTTTGAGCTCTAAAGTTCTTTTTCTACTTAGTCTAATCTATTGTTGAAACTTTCCAGTGCATTTTGTATTTCTCTAGGTGTGTCTTTTATTTCCAGAAGCTATTTCTATTTCTCTGGAAAATTTTTCATCCATATTCTGTATTTTCAAAAATTTTCTTTAAGTTGTTTTTCATCTTTCTCTGGTATCTCCTTGAGTAGCTTAAAAATCAACTTTCTGAATTCTTTATCTGGCAATTCAGAGATTTCTTCTTGGTTTGGATCCATTGCTGGGGAGCTAGTGTGGCCTTCTGGGGATATATAGAATCCTGTTTTGTCATATTACCATAATTACTTTTCTGGTTTTTACTCATTTGGATAAACTATTTCTTCAATTTGTTATTGAATTTAGTTTCGATTGGACTGTTTTTTTTTTTTTAATTTTTTCTCCTTTTAAGGATTGGACTTCAATGTTTATTTTAGTCTGGTGCTTGTAGGGTGAAGACTCTGTCTGAGTTCCTTAGTTATAGAGAGTCTTTGTGTACTGGCTTTCCTCAGTGCTGGTTGTAGCAGTTATGCTCTTGTGTGTGGGTGAGTTCAATGTCTCCTATGGAGTTGGAATGGCAGGGATCTCTTGATGCTTATCTCATCTCATTCTCTCTTGGTCTTTCTTTATTTAATTTCCCCCCAATATTTTATTTACTGTATAGATGATTGAGGGTCCTGTCCCAGTGTTTTGGCTATTCAGATCAGATAGACACCTCTTTTCATCTATAGGAATGTTGATGTTTTAAGTAGGGAGGAATTGTGACTCTGCCTCTTGTGCAGGCCTGAATCTGGTGGGTGCTCCTCCTGTGAAGCTTTGCTCCCACTTGATGATCCCATGAAGGCTGTCTATAGGTGCATCTATGCTGCATTCCTGTTGGGGGAGTCCCAGCTATGTTTTCAGTAGAGTGCCATAGGGGAACAAGGACCTCTTCTCCAAGGGCCTTCACAATCACAGAGGCTGCTTGCCTGTTGGGGTACAGGTGCAGACTTCCTCTGTGCCCAGCACTGCAATTGTGTCTCTGCTGTGAGAAACTTCCCACCAGCAGAAAGATTTGGGACTCAAGGCCTGATGGGATAATCCCTCAGTGTTGTACTCTCCCCCTTCCACAAGGAATGGGGCTTCCTGAGAGCCAGATTGCAGTGATTGTTATTGCTATTTTGGATCTAGCCACCCAAGGGGGCTACCAGGTTCTAGGGAATGTTTGCCAAGAGTCCAATGATGTGACCAGTCTTCAGGTCTCTCAGCTGTGGATTCCACCATTTGCTCTGATGGAGGTGGCAGAGGAGTGATGTAGACTCTCTGAGGTTCCTTGGTTGTAGATAGGCTTAATATGCTGGCTTTCTCAAATGCCAGTTATGCCAGTAGTGAAGTTGTCAGGACGTCTGGTTAGCCAAGGTGTTGCAGGCAGTGGAGTTAGCTGTTGTTTTCTCCTTCCTGGGAGTAGGCTTATTCTGCCAAGAGTTGCTGTAATGGCCTGAGCTGTTTGGCCTCTAGCCAGGTGGTGGTGCTTGCAAGAGAGCATCAGCTCTGGTAGTAGCAGTGGGATTTGAGCTTGCTGTAAGTTGGCCAGGTAAAGTAGTCTGGTTTTTTAGGCAATGGATGGGGCCATAAAACTCCCAGGAGCTTCTGTATTAAGTTACCAGAATGGGTAGAGAAATACCATCAGGTAGGGGCTGGGTTAGGTGGGTCTGAGTTAGGACTCTTTTTTGGTGGGGATGGCTGTGGCCACTGTAGGGAATTAGAGGGTGGATCTCAATCCAAAGGGGTTGCATTCCAGAGGGGAGTATGACTGCCTCTGCTGTACAGTTCAGTTCAGAATAGGAGTGGGGAATAGCCAGTTGTGAAAGGTCCCACCCAGCTACTAGGCTGTTGGTGAGGCTAGTCTCACTCCCACAGTGCCCCACTAACAGTGCCAAGTTTAGCTCCAGGCAGCCTGTGCATAAAACTCGGACCTGCCCCATGCCATAAGCTTCCCCACTGAGAAAACAAGCATGGCTTTCAGGCCTTGCCCCTCCCTACCTGCCTGCAAGTCCAGGTGCCCAGTTCCTGTGCTTGTATCTGCAATGCCCTTCCTCCTTGCCCCCAGGCTCTGTTCAAGGGAGTTCATGCCCACTTGAAATTACATCACAAAATTCAGCTGGAAGCTTCTTTCACCCTGTGACCCCTCCCTGAGTTTGTTTGGTGCCTTCCCCATGGGCCGCTGTGAGATATACTTAGGAATGGCTTCCCTGGGCTTGAGCTGGAGACTGGGAGTGCCTACAAGGCTCTTCCCACTGCTGCTTCTACTTTTATATTTCACGCCACTCCCTAAAACTGTTCCAGCTCTAGGTAGGGTTAAAGCCTTTTCTTGTGTCTGGATTTTCAGATTCCCAATGGGGATGTGTTTGAAGGCAAGCTCTCCCCTTCTTGCTTCTGGAAACTCACAGTTTTTCACCTGTTTCACAGAGTTTGCTGTGGCATGTCACTTCTTTCAAAGGATCTGAGGATGTTTTCATTTTTTTTTTTTTTTTTTTTTTGGTGAGTGGTTCCTGGAACAAAAGTTCACAGTGTGAATCATCACATAATATTCTGTCCTTCCAAGTGGGAGAGGCACACTAGCACTGCCTCCTATCTGCTATCTTGAAAGGAAAACAAAACAAAACAAAACAAAAACCCTGTCTTTTCTTTCTTGGTTTTATTATGTTTGTAGCATTATGTTAACTTCTGAAGATTTTAATGTGATACAGGCAGTCTTACTGCATTGTGTGCTCATTTATAGGAATAGGGATGGGCAATCAATCCATAGAAGATCCAGGGCACAGGGCCTGCAGTGAAGTTTTTAGAGGTTAGGTGGTCGAGTAAGACTTATTTACTACCTGGTACAGTAATTGAAAAAGTCCAACAATTTCCAACTTCAAAATGGTAAAAGGAATCCAAACATTTATGGGTCTTTTGGGCTATTGGATTCATCCCACACTTTGCCCAGTGTTTGAGAACACTACATGGGCTTGTTAGAGAAAGGGCAGCACCTTGGGCCTGAGAAATCCCTCAACAGGAAGCTTTGAACAGGCAAAAGTGCTGGTACGGCAGGCACAGGCCTTAGATGCCCTTTAGAGGGTACAGCTAGGACTTTGAGTGGTTACTGCTACTCCTGAGGGTATGAGTTGGGCCTTGCAGCAATCATACTATGGTAAATCATTCCCTTTAGGACTTTGGTCACAATTATGGAAAAGAACCCAAACCAGGTACTCTCCCATTGAACAAGGTCTAGCAGCAGGTGGGATGTGAACAAAAACTCTTTCGATGACTATGAGAATTGGTCTGCCAATCAAGAGATGAACAGAAATATTGTTTAAATGACCCACCTCCACTGTAGCCCAAACACCTGCCTTGAATAAATGGCATGCCTATTTGCAACAGTGAAGTGTTCTGTCAACCAGTCCTTTAAGCCCAGAACCGCATGCTGTCTTGGGCCCTGTTACATATGAACAACCAAAGGACACCCTGTTATGCCCTTTTACCTCAATGCCTGACACAGTATGAGAAGGAGTGCCACCCATCCAGGTTAGTACTTGGTATACAGGTGGCTCCAGCAGGGAAATCCCTGTATTTGGACTGCTGTTGCTACACAACCACAAACTGACACGATCTGGTATGAAACAGATAAACATCAGAATATTCAGTGGGCTGAGTTGAGAGCTGCTTGGTTAATAATCACACGTGAGCCCCAGGCCTTGGTTCTTTGTACTAATAGCTGGGTTGTATTCAAAGGCCTAACTATGTGGCTAGCTCAATGGGAACCAAAAAAGTAGATGATTTTGCACAAACTGTATGGGGCATGAACATGTGGCAAGACATATGGGAGAAACTGCAACACCCTGCGGCTGATTTAACTGCATTCATGTGGTTGCACACTAAAAAGACTCGGTTCCAGGAAATATAGAAGCTGACACTCTAACAAAAATTGGAAGCATCATGCTGGCTCAGGTTGCTGAACTAGTGACCTGGGTACAAAACAAAAGTGGCCATAGAGGTGCAAGAGTAGGCTAGGAGATAGCCCTGGGGGCAGGATTGAGCTAGATGATAGTGACCTCCCAGCAGCTGCTGCAAACTGTTTACCTTGTTCTCAATTGTGTCCATGGTATAGACCATATCAAGCGGGACACATTTACAGGGATGTTCTCACTGTAGCTGACTGGCAATTAGATTATATAGGACCTCTCCCTGTAAGGAAGGAAATATGTGTTAACCCATGTGGACACTGCTACTAGACTGCTGTAAGGTTTTCCTCCTAAGCAAACTAATCAAGCGAGTACTATTAAAGGGTTAGAGGCTCTAGTACTATGTATGGATACCCCCACTGCATTGACAGTGACTGAGGGACTCACTTTGCTGGACATGATGTCCATGCAACACAATATAGCATGACACTTTCATTTCCCGTATAACCCCCAAGCAGCATGGTTGATTGAAAGGAAAAATGTTCTGTTGAAAGCACAGATTCAAACTTTACTGGGGAAACCTGCCTTGCACGAGTGAATGACTCTTTTATCTGCAGTCCTTATTTCTTTAAGTTCAGCCAAAGAGATGTCTGCCCCATATGATTTGTTGGGACAACCTTTCTCCAGGCCTACCACTGTTCACATATGGGTAACTGAGACAACTTCCTTGCTCCAAGACCTGTTTGACAACCAGTGTTTTTTATGCATGAAGACAGCAACAAACATACTACCAGGGAAGGGGATACTCCAGTGGGGCTTAAAATGGTAAATACCCAACGCTGGTTAAGTTACTCCTGCCAGAGAGTGGGGAATATCCTGGACAGTTAGAGTGGTCTCCATTTGATCCTATTGAACTGGACTCATGATCACCTGCTGTAAGGGGTCAAGATAAACATGTCTAGCTAATGGAATGCTGGTGGGCTCTCAAATATGTTGTACTCTCAACCAAATTACTTTGACAACGACTGCTGACATCTCCTGGGCAACATATATGGTATATGGCCCCTTTACAAAAGCCAAGAGCTATTTCTTTAATAACTGCTTTACATGAATCAACCAACATATGTTCGGAGATGGAGAAGATCTTCCTTTGCAAATACACTAAATTTCTTTCTTTTCATCCTTAGTTGTTATATTCGGCCACTACTGTAACCAGATGTTGCCTATGAAGCAACTTTTTCTTTATATTCCTGATGAATCAGATAATTTCACTAAATTAATGACTGATATAAAAACACGAATAACTAATCTCTCAGACCAAATCCCCACTTTGAATGATTGGCTTTGTAGCTGGTTTGGGTCCGGGGGACCTAGTGACAGAAGCTGCCTCTTGGTTTAAGTATTATACTCACGTGTTGTTTACTGTTCTGTTTTTGCCTTTATTGTTGTGCTATCTGCCTTCAATGGAGCCAACGCACTGTTGCTGAAGCTATGCAATATCAAATGTCTTCCCTTTAAGCCCAGAAACTATCACAGAATAGGTGGACACTTGAGATTGTAAAGGCTGGTTTTGAGGGGTGGAGTGTAGGAAAACAGCCTGTTGCATGGCAAGGGTGATGGCATCTTGAAGCAAAACTGCCAAGAAGACCCATGCTTGACTTATGCATACCAAGGTGTTCTACAGCAAGGTCTTAAGACAATGTCAGTAGCACAGATAACCCTTTGTAAAGATGCTTATTTAACCTCCCCAGTGGTCACAAATTTTGGCAAGAAATCTGAGATGCGACAAGTTGCACATATTTTACCCTGAAAGCTTGCTGCCTGAGGATATTTTCTGGAGGGTGAATGCAGGGATCTACCATCTTGTGGCACCTAGAGATATAACTTCAGTTCATAAGTCCCTATTAAATATTTTATTTCTAAGAGGCTATATTTGTCAGTCTCCTTCTTTGGCCTCTCAGCTACCCTGGCCTTTGGAGGTAGATTTGCATAGACCTGTTCACCTTGGAACAACAATTACAGACATCAACTAAATTAGTGAAAGTACCTTCAGACCTTATACTAAGCCTATGAATCTAAAGTAACCACAGTCGGGAAATACGGATTGCTTGGAAACCACCTAACCTTTTTCTACTAGTTGATTAACAAATCATGAATTACTGTTACCATATCCTTGTATGTCCATTGGTATAACACCGTTAATCCAGCAACTCCATAACCATTATTCAGTGAAGGGGAGGCCATCATTATGCTTCTTTAATTCAACAAGTATGCACACCCAGGGTAGAATTTTTGGATATTCCAATAGCAAATGCTGACTTAATGTTGTTTGTTGATGGGGTCTTATATTTATAATATAAAAAAGGACAATACCAGGCTTGATTTTTAAATAGTCCAGTTTTCTTTTAAAATCTAATTCCTTACCAGAAGCCAGCTTGTTTAAATGGCTGATCTGTACAGCCCTCTCTATGGCATATGAAATTACTAAAATAGAAGAGCAAACATAAAATTACTGGCTGGTCTATTTTAAAATAATTATTTAAAATGCTGAAGAAAAATAGTAGTTTTAAAAAAATTTCTTATCCTCAGGGATCTAGAACTAGAAATACCATTTGACCCAGCAATCCCATTACTGGGTATATACCCAAAGGATTATAAATCCTGCTGCTATAAAGACACATGCAGACGTATGTTTATTGCGGCACTATTCACAATAGCAAAGACTTGGAACCAAGCCAAATGTCCAACAATGATAGACTAGATTAAGAAAACGTGGCACATATACACCATGGAATACCATGCAGCCATAAAAAATGATGAGTTCATGTCCTTTGTAGGGACATGGATGAAGCTGGAAACCATCATTCTCAGCAAACTATCGCAAGGACAGAAAACCAAACACCGCATGTTCTCACTCATAGGTGGGAATTGAACAATGAGAACACATGGACACAGGAAGGGGAACATCACACACTGGGGCCTGTTGTGGGGTGGGTGCGGGGGGAGGGATAGCATTAGGAGATATTCCTAATGTTAAATGATGACTTAATTGGTGCAGCACACCAACATGGCACATGTATACATATGTAACTAACCTGAACGTTGTGCACATGTACCCTAAAACTTAAAGTATAATTGAAAAAAAAAAAATTTCTTAGCTATTTTGAAATGATAAACAATGAATACATTAATGAATAGATGCCATGACACTACCCTAAAATGACTGCTGTCAAAAAGTAGATACTTGTTATCAGAAATGTTCTAAAATTAGATTATGGTAATAGTTGTACACCTCAACAAATTTTCTTAAAGTTACTGAATTGTATACTTAAAGTAGGTGAATTTAATATAAATTAAACCTCAATAAAACTGTTCTAAAAAAGTAGAGATAGAAAAAAAATTTCTATAAAAGCTAGTATATGATACTCTCGATCTTATAAAATAAACATACTATCAAAATAAACGATAAATGCATTCTATAGAAATGCTTTTGAAATACTATAGAAATACCTTAACAATCATCATTCTAAACAAGCTGTTGAGTGCCATCCCTATAAAAAAGCTTCATATAAATAGACAACAAAAATACAAACAAGTCCCTGAAGAAGTTCAAGGATCCTATCATAAATTCACAGAATATAGCCTGCCAAAAAGAAGCTCTAGAAGTGATTAGATTGTATGATTTATAAAAATAACATCTGGAAAAACGTGAATCATCACCTGATAGCATCATCTGAAATTTCAAATACATGCTTGAAAAAATCTTCCATGAAACAAAACATCACATAGGGACAAACTTGCCACAATATTAAGCCCCGATTGGGACACTTTTGATGGATAGCACAGAACATAGCCAGTTCCTGCTACATCTGTAGTTAAGTTAATCTGGAAAAGCTGTGGAGGTAGAGCATGGACTGGCTTCATGCCCGAAGAACCCTTTGGTTCCCTCCAAATAGATTTTATGCAGTTGTCTTCCTCTATGGATTATGCATATGTAAATTGAAATGGTAGATTTGTTTTTCTGGATGCATTTAAGCATCTTCTCCTGTTGGAAAACCACAATACTCACAATGACTAAAATGCTGTCATGTATTGTACTTAAGACTTTCCAATTTACTGATCCAGTTACATGGGGCCCATCTAACTGAAACAGTTATCCATGCATTTAAGTTATGCCAGGCTTTGCCCCTTACTCAGAAATCTACCTGTTTTCATGACTTCCATTCTTCTGAAAAATAAGGAATTTAACATATCTGGAAAGTTACAGCCATTAGTGATCTTCAGCACCTGTTGTCTGGAGAGTCTCCAGAGGTAGATAATCCTAAAAGGTTGACAGCTGACATAAGAACCTTGGAGGAAGCCAATGGTCATATGAAGTAGAAAGCTTCTCCTCAAGGCCACTGGAGCAAGAGTCTTCCATGCCATGCTCATCTTTGCACACTTTTGTTTATTACGGTTTTGGCCATACTTCTCTACTAAAGTTATTGCACTTCTGATTTAGTCTACCTTGTTCTTCTTACTAATAACAATGACTTGCTTAACTCCAGCTTTAAGTAAAATGTCTTTGCATTAAGATGGCTATTAGGCCAGGCAGCAAACATTGACTTTAAAGGGAAGACAGTAAATAATTACGGTTTTGTGAGCCACATAGTCTCTGTCATTTCTTCTTCTCGTTTCTTTCTTTCTTATCTTCCTCCTCTTCCTTTCTTTTTCCTCTCCTCTTTCTCCTCCTCCTCCTCCTTTTATATTGCAAACTTTTAAAAATGTAGAAACCACTCTTAGCTGTGGTCTGGGTTTGCTTTGCAGACCACAGTTTGTTAATCCCAGAGTCAAGCCATTCCAAGCATGTGACTACACAACATCCTCAGTGGACTATATATCTCTTTTTACAAAAAGTCCAAAGGGATAGGATTTTTTTTTTTTTTGGAAAAGACTTTTGATGGTGATGGCTATATCTGTACCAGTTAAACAATTCAAAGAGGTCATCAAAAATGTATTCCCTCATACAAGCTGACATATGACATAGCTAATAATAGTACAGTCCAGATCTGCAGGTCTAACACATCAGTTTAAATTTCTTAACCAAAGTATGTATGGATACTAAAATATTCATAGATTTTCTTTTGGCTAACCAGGGAGGAATCCACACCACTGTTACCAGAATTAATGATATAAGGGAGAAAACAGTCTATAACTGAGATAAAGAAAAACAATCAGGCTGTTTTACATATGCACAGGGAATTGTTAGAATGAATCCTCTCTTCACTTCTTTTTCAAATATAAATAATCTGTTTCTACTTATTTGTCTCGCTGTTGTTTATTGTCTATTGCCCAGAATCTTAAATGCTTCTGAACAGTCACTGTCCTGATAGATGATTCTACAAATGATTAAATGAAAAGCAGGATAAAATTCATGCCGATCATCTCTCAAACTAAAAATCAGGTGTCCATAATAATCAAAGCTTTATCTGCAATAAGAATGTACACCTGTTGTGAGGATCTGAACAATCCTGATAATCTCTCCTGCAGCTTTGACTGAATGAGGACTGAAAGGGAAACAAAATAACTTCCTGCAAAATTAGGAAAAGACTGATTGTTCTGTAGCCATGGCAACAAGTAGTCACTAAAACCAATTTTAAAGCTGTTCAGTTGATCAATAGCAACTTTAGTCAACAAGCTTTGCAAACCAGCCAATCAGTGTCAGCACCTTGATTTTGAACGTTAGCCAATCAGAGATGAACTCAATGCCTTTGTCAACAGATGTGAATTTGTATGCCAACCAATTAACAACCATCTTACTTGGGATTCTACAGAAAAAATCAATTAATATATGCATCTGGAAGTCCATGCACCTCTAAACTCCTTGCTTCCCAAAACTCTGTATAAGGTCAGCACTGGTCTCTACTTGGAATCTGTATCTGACCAACATCAAGCTTCCTTAAAACAATAAATTTAGCATTTTAATTTCAGATATTGAATGGCATTTCACCATGACAAATGCCTATGTCTACTTCTCAGTTATATAAAACTATCTGTGATATTCCTGTTGTCAATTCTTTCATATGTGCCATGCTTTTTTGTTCAGTGTAGCTGTATAATATAATTTTATATTGGGCAAGGCAAGTTTATTATATTACTTTCCTTACAAAATCTTTTCATTTTTTTTTCATTTGACATTTAGTTTTGTTTGTTCAAATTCTTAAAAAAAAGAGATGAGGCACTTTGAAATTATATTCAATCTATAAATTAATTTGGGAAGTATGGATGTCTTTATAATAGTGTATTCCTAAGTATTAACTTATCTTTTCGTTGACTTAAGACTTTTCTAGATGTAGGATTCTTAATTTATGTTAAATTACTTTGTTGATGTTTTATATATTTTATACTACTGTGGTGGATCTATTTTTTGTTTTATTGTTAATTGATTATTAATGGTATCAAAAAAATGTTGGGCTGAATAATTTTACTTTGTATTGGGACACCGTGACATTTCCTTATTTTTCTAACACTTACTGCCTTGATTTTATTAAATTCATAATTCTCAAAGAGGGGTTCACTTATTCCTAGGTATACAGTGTTTGGCAACCTCTTAGGGCTTAATACAAAACCATGGGCTAAACAAAGTCTTTCTTGAAACATCAATTTTACTCAATCCTAGGAAACATTTGGTTTATATTAAGATGAGCATGGATGTATAGTAAGTCCTTACATTAATAGGCTCTTGAAAACTGTGACTTTAAGCGAAACATATAAAGAAACCAATGTTTTTTTTTTTATCAACACTATAATGAAATGATGTTAAACAGACGAACAGTAGGGGACCTGCTGTACATCCTTTCACTGTAAGTCACACTTTCCAAGAAGCTATAACTCGTATTTTAGTACGCCAGTTAACATGATTCCCTGAGTTTCTCAAGAGTTACACATTCTCTGTCCTCTGTTATTCAGGGGCACTTTAAAGGAGAAAGTAAGCGAAAGGTTTTTCTGTTATATTTTAAGCTCTGTAAAATCAAATTGTTTTATTAAATGTAGTGTTCCCAGAACTCATCATAACATATGAAACATAGTGCAGGTGCATTAAGTATTTGTTGAATGAAATATTTTATCAGTTAAAATTTTTAGGTAGATAATTGTATTTTTCTGAAAACATTTTTTCTTGTTTTTCAATATTTTCTTACTTCTTCCCGCCTATTGACATTGTTTATACTCCAGAATATTTAAAGAAATGTTAAATAAAAGTGGTGATAGCTACGCCTTTGTTTTCTTCCTGACAATTAAAAATGCCTTTCAAATTTTACTGCTTATGGCGATATTGCTGGTGTACTTCAAATAGATATCCTAATGTACATTAAATAATTATCCTTTTATTTATTTTTACTATACTACAGATTTTCAAATCAAGAAAGGTATATTTTAATGTCTATATAAAATCTATTAAATTACCCTACTGATAGAATAGAAAAATAACAGTTCTGGTCTATTCTTGCAATCCTAGGATACATCATGAGACTGATTGTGGTAGATTATTCTCTTAATACATTTTTTATGTTGATTTGGCAATCTTTTACTCAGGTTTTTCATAGGTAAGATTTGTATACAACTGAGTGTATGTGTTGTATGTCATTTTGTTCATTTTTATTATCAGGAAAATTCTTGATTTATAAAAAGTTGTGTTTTTTTAAAATTCTGAAATAGATTATATAATTACAGAATGATATATTTTTTGGAAAATGAGAAAGACTTAAGTAATAGACATTTGAAATTATTTAGGAAGCTTTTTTTAAAAAAATTTTCAGTTTCCTTCATGATTATTGGTCAAGCAACTTCTTGAATTATTTTGGATCATTACAGTTTTTTTTAAATGATCATTCGTTGATATTTTAAGTTATTAATATACAATGGAACAATTATTTTTGGTAAATTACATTGTTTCTATTATTTATTATAGTCTTTTCTATGTCTTTGACTTATTTCTCCATTTTTGACATTTAGATTTTTGAGAAGTTAAATATTATTGGATTTCTTCAAAGGATAATTGATTCATTGATTAAAAAAATTTTTTTTCTAATCTATGTTATATTTATTATGCCCTTCCTTCAGCTTTTCTTGGGGTTTATTTTTTTAGCCATTTGCTAGACTTTTGAGTTGTGTTTACTATTCATCTTTTCCTCTTCCTTTTTGTTTAATGAGGAAATAATTTAAGAATACTAATTTGCTTTTAATCAATTTGTGTCTCTTCTCAATAGTCTCTATTTGTACAATCAATAAATTTTTAAAAAAACTTTTAATCAAAGTTTTAAATCACACTCATGTTAGCACAACACAAAGAGAAATGAAAAGAAAAACAAAAGCTGTCATCTCATCCTGTAACCACCTCCATCCCAGTCCTTTCCCTTAATGGAAATTATACTCCTTCCAGTGTGTCTTTTGTTTTCATATTAAAAACCTACAATTAATATAAATTTTACCTATAATATAAATATATTTTAAATATAAAATAAATATGCATAGAAAATACAAAAGTAACTTAAATAACACAATGGTTTCCATGTTTCGGCTGTTACCAATTCACATCCACTTAGCATAGCTGTGGTATTTCAACCTTTCACTTCTGCTCTTTGCTGTCATTCTCCAGATGTATATCATTGTATTGTTGAAATTAATAAAAAGTATTTACACTACTATGATGAAGTAAATGCTGTCTGCAGAATCAAATGTATGATGATGCCACTTCCTACCTCAAGCAGAGACAGGAAATTTTGGTATTTTCCATTTTTTTCTTTTTGTAATGATTTCCTTTCTAATAACCCTCCTCTCTCCCCTACCAAAGCCCTATAATATTAGATTTTCCTTTTATAATCAGAAAAGCCTTTCTATTTCTGTTTGTCTTTGCCTTCTCTCCGTGTTTTCAGAACCCTTAACTAATTGCCTTATACAGTATTATATTTCTTCTTAATTTCTTTTTTGAGAATGTGAAGGTTGCCTGAATTTCTTGACATAGAAATAAAAACTTCTTTTCTCCTAGGTTATAAGGCAAATTGGCTCATGTCCTGCCCTAGCCCCCAATCTGCTTCACTAGCTTTTTCCATTTTATCTGGGATTATAGATTCATCACATTATTATGCAATCTAACACCTTTTACTTAGAAAAGATAGACTATGACATATGTGTTCTATGATGTTAGATATTTGCAGTAGCCATTTATAATTTATCATATGTATTTAATCCATTCTGGTGCTCACTTTATGTAATCCAACTTTGCCATTTTTGATTTATAGGCATTTTTTTGAATGCATTGGCTTATTTCTTTGTATGGTTGTCTGATGGGGATTCATTTTCTGTCTTTCCTTATCTAAGTGTGTTTACGTTGGTTTTGCAAGTGTGCCACAGCTTGATTTATTATCTAATTCTTTGATCAAAATTACTCCACTTCTGTTGCGAGGAAACCTGAGAAGAGCCTTATTTTGGTTCCCTTGTAAGTTGCCCAATGTGATGCTCTCAGGATTCCTCTGTGTCAAGAGAAAGGGAAGTAAGGAGGAAGATATATGGGTGCTGACCAAAGGGAGTGTGTGGGGCAGGTCCAGGAGTGTGCAGAGGACGGGGGGCATTCCTGGGTACGCTGGCAGGAGATTGCCTCAAAGGCAGTCATTCCAAATTAGGTACCTCCACATCACAGGGAAGTCAGTAGCATAATTTGGGCAGGCACCCAGAGTTCCCAGGTAGAGTGAATAAAACCCGAGTGCCAACCTGGAGAATTTTGGAGATTTCCTTGGCTCAGGTGAGACACAGGGAGCCAGCGGTTACCAACTGTCCTGGATAAGAACACTCTAACCAAGAGTTTGTTGGCCCCAACTTCAGCCATGGTTACTAGATTGATGAAAGCAACCAAGCGATAAAAGCTATCACTCCAGAGCCCAAAGGAATGACAGGAATAATGTGGATCTAAGAAGCCCTTCTCAGCTGTGGGAGTAGAGAAATCCCTCTTGAGTTAGTAGGTGGAGGGACAGGGAGGGGAGGGCTCCGAAAAGAATCTGCTTCAAAGGAACTTGACTTAAACTTTAAAAAGACTGTTCAACTTAGTAAATCGGATTAGTTTTTTTTTAACCGAATTGGACTATATTTATTCTCCTCATAGTGAAATATGAGAAAGGGAAGATAATTTTAAAGAAATAAATGAGCTACAATGCAAGTTTAGCTATATATTAAATATACTTTTCTAGTTACTTTTCTTAGGGTTCAGATCACTCTCTGGCTTCTAAATTCTTCCAATGAGATCTGAATTCTGTGAATATACATGATTATCATTTTTGTATTTATCGATATATTCTTTTTCTGGTGGTTCTCTGTCCCTATGGCAAGTATCTTCTCTCAGCAGTTTCTTTTTTTATCTTTTTTCTTCTATATTCTAGGTGAATATTCCATGTTGGTTTTCTGCCATTAATTTGATTCTCTGTGGTGTTAAGTTTATGATTCCTTGCCTCCCAAGTCTGTTTTAATTCTGCTATTATTTTTTAAATATTTAAATGAAAAATTTCAAAAAATAATAGCAAAGCACAGTAAATCATATACACTGGTGATGTGGCCATGGAGGTGAACTGCTTGGATGTCTATAAGAAGGACCTTGCCCTTCAGCTGTGAGGAGTTCAGTTAGTTGAGAGCCTCCAGATGCATCACTTGGAGATTTGCCCATTCATTCCAAGATCTCTGTCCAGGACAGCCTACAGCCAGTGTGAGATCACACCTGGGACAGGAAGGCCTGATCATTTCTGCCCAATTTGGGACTCCTCTAATGAGTGTTTGCCAGTTGGGTTGGCTGACACTGTCCAACCCGCATCCCATCTGAAGCTCTGCTGTTCAATTCTGTTTCATCCTTCCTCTTCTTTCATAGGTATTGGATGTGTATCATGGCCTGAGGACTTACCCTGACAAATTCCTGCTTTCTTCCCCTTCATCTTTCATAGGATTTAACCCTAAGAAACCTCTATCCTCCAACTCTACCTCAGCATCAGCTTTTCATAGAAAAGCAACTGACACAACCCACCACTTCTCTGTAACTATTTAGATTTTACCACATGCAAATCATGTATTCATTCTCTAATTTTCATGTATTTGCTGAAGTATTTTAAACAAATCCCAAGCATCGTGTCATTTTATTTCTCCATAGTTTGTCATACATCACTTAAAATATGAAAAATGTATATGTTCATATTTATTCATTATTAATATACATTAATAATTATTCCCTAATATCCCCCAAAACCCAATATAGAATCAAATTTTCCCAGCTGTCTCAAACATTTTATGAAGCAAAGTCTCTGTGTCTTAATTCTTTTTTTTGCTGTTATCTTTTAAAATCTGCATTATTTTAGTACTTCAGTCAGCTCATTTAGACATATATGTTTTGGACAAAACTCATATAAGAGTTTGAGCAACATTAATCAAATTTCTTCTAAAATGTTTGTCTTTTTTTTTTTTTTTTTTTTTTTGAGACAGAGTTTCACTCTTGTTGCCCAGGCTGGAGTGCAATGGCATGATCTCGGCTCACCGCACCCTCCGCCTCCCGGGTTCACACGATTCTCCTGCCTCAGCCTCCTGAGTAGCTGGGATTACAAGCATGTGCTACCACGCCCGGTTAATTTTGTATTTTTAGTAGAAACAGGGTTTCTCCATGTTGGTCAGGCTGTTCTCGAACTCCTGACCTCAGGTGATCCACCCACCTTGGCTTCCCAAAGTGCTGGGATTACAGGTGTGATCCACTATGCCTGGCCAAATGTTTGTCTTTTTAAAGAGAAAATTAGAATTAGAAACATCATCTTCTTAATCTTCAAAATAATAGTTTCTTTGCCTTGTGTACTTACAGAATCGCTCCCTTTTCTTTTCTGTTTATTCATATTAAAAGGGGAGAGCTATATTTATTTCTGGAGTTTACAACAGACAAGGTGGAATAATCTAGATTCCTTTAATATGTACTTGTGCTAGATGATTTTCCCTCTCAGATTCAACCCAAAATTTTCAAGTTGGTAGAATTTACAATGGCTGGCTGGCAGTCTTCCCATGCCAGTCTCCTGAATTGAGGTTGGATCTTCTGATTCAGCTATAGGATTTTCTGATCCAGCTAGACAGACTCAGTTTCCAGTTCTTTGAACAATCTGGAGGCATTTCAAAATGGTTTTCTCCAATTCCTTCAAAGTGAGTCATCTTAATCAACTTTGCAAGTAGTGCACATTCCACCTAGACTTTCGACATGTCATGTTCTCTTATGTTGAATTTCTGATGTAATTGTTGGTTTCTTTTATATTTTCATGGGTATTTTAATGGAAAGTTGAGCAGGAAAGTTTTGGGCCTGGTTCCATTTTAACCTAGATATGTATAAATACCATCATTACAGTTTATTTGCAGGATTCTGCCACAGGATAGGTAAGTAATATGATCAATGAAATGCACAATTTTGTTACTTTCTCCATTACCTCTCATAAGAGAGAGGGGATAAAACAAAATATTAATATGCACACTGGAAAAAGACTGTATTAAACACAAGTTGTCACACATGTTACTAAGAATTTACTAAATATTTCAATTTGTAAAGCATGCATGGCTATAAATTTTGATTAATTCCCACTGAAACTATGTATCTAATTCAGGTGCTGATTATGAAATGCATTATTTACAACAATATTTTATCAATGGAAAGAACTTTCTCTAAAGAGTAGTAGATTTTCTTAGCACATGATGCAGCTAATCTTCTTTTCCTAAAGAAAAGGAGAATGGATTTTAATGAAAATAATTGTGAAATCACATATACAGCTTTTCATGGAAATATGTGCATCTAGTGTATATTACTATTTACAACATTTTATAATTATTCGCACCTCAAAATGTCAGATATATATGATTTAAGGTAAGATTTATATATTTGTTATTACTTTTTTTTCTTTTGAATCTGATTTTTCTTTTTGCTTTCAAAGTGGGTAAGAGTTAAAGTTTCTGAAGTGTTTCTCGTAGGTGCCCTCTCTTTTAGAGGATGGGAAGGCAGTTGGTTTCCTTTTTCTTTGCTTTTTCTGGCAATGGCATCAAAGTCTTTAACTATTTGCTTTATGTTTATGTCCCTTTTAAATTCCTGATTTTTAAAAAGAATTTGCAGCTGTGGTGACTCTTCTATACCTCTTTCATGCCATTAAAAACATCTTTTTGTTTCTCCGTAGGGTTTATTGAACTAAATCATTATGTATTCCCTTTTGGACTAAGCAAAATTAAAATTTGAAGTAAAGTTTCCCTCTTTGTATAGTTTATCTGTTATTGCTCCCCACTAAATTAGAAAGGTTTTTTTTGGAATGATACTACTATAGTTCTTTCTACTTTTCCTTACCAATACTCAACATTGCTTGATAAATTCAGTTACAGAATTTTAGAGCTGCCTTTTATGTCATAAATTACGTCTTTTACTGTAAAAGGGATGGAGCATTTTGATAATAAAAGTTTTATATATTAAGTGAAATGCAAATTATATGCTCATACACTCATGTACACAATGACATCTGCCCAAGAAAGCCCACATAAATATATCTAACACATGATTATACCTGAGCTGTTTTACATTTATTTGCTATCATGACTCAGCTGCTCAGCTGATTATCTAATCTACTGCCTGAAAGATAGGTTTTAAAAGAAATTTAGAGTTAACAGTTTTAAGTCATTACCCCCAATTAAAACAAATGCACATTTCTAGTACCCCATAACTGTCAACATTCACAAAATCATTGCAAAATAGTTGACTTGAGCTGAAGTGAATATTTATCAGTGCTTTGTTAAAATTGTATACATGCAATATTCTTTAACGTTCCTTTTTATCATTCTAAGTTTTCTTGATTTCGTTTAGTCATTTGAAATTCTAAGACACGAATGGGTTTAAATTTGCAGTGTCCTTTTGTGGGAAGAGAGATTAGTTTTTTAAATTACCTTTTTATTTTGCATAAGTGTAGATTCACATGCAGTTGTAAGAAATAACATTAGAGATCCAGTGTACCCTTTACTTATTTTTCTCCAATAACACTTGCAAAGCGGGTATAATATCACAACCAGAATAGTGACATTGATGAGTCCAGATACAGAACAGTTTCATCACCACAGGATACCTCATGCTGCCCTTTCAATGCTGCATCCATTTCCCTTTCATCCTCTTCTTAACTGGGACACCATTAATCTGTTGTTGATTTCTACAGTTTTGTCATGTCAAGAATCTTATATAAATGGAATCATACAGTTTGTGACTGAGATCTTTTTTTAAACACAATGCTTAACACAATGCTCTGGAGGTTCCTTCAGGTAGTTGTGTATATGTGTAGTCCATTCCTTTTGTTGCTGAATAGTCTTCCATTATGTGGATACACTACAGTTTATTTAAATGATTCACCTATTGAAGGACATCTGAATTTTTTGCAGTTTTCAGCTATAAGAAACATAGTTGCTATAAACATTTGTGTATGGTATTGGTTTGTGGTTTTCTTTTGCTATGCTCTTTTTGTCTGGTTTTGTTATCAGCGTAATAATAACTTCACAAAATGTATTAGAAAGTGCTTCTTCCTCTTTTATTTTCTGAAGAAATTCTGTAGAATTAGGATTAATTCTTCTTTAAATTTTGGTAGAGGGATAGAGCAAGATGGCCAAAAAGAAGGCTTCACTGTCCCTGCACCCCCCAACCCCCACCGAAGGACCCCAATTTAACAACTATCTACACACAAAAAATCACCTTCATAAGAACCAAAAATCAGGTGAGAACTTGCAGTAGCTGGTTTTAACTTCACATCACAGAAAGAGGTACTGGAAGAGGGTAGGAAAGACAGTCTTGAATCATCAATGACACTTCTCCCCTAACCCCTGGCAGCAGCTGTGTGATACAGAGAGATAATCTATGCTCTTGGGAGAGGGTGAGCACAGGGATTGTGAGATGTTGCATTGAACTCAATGCTGCCCTGTTACAGCAGAAAGCAAAACCAGGATGAACACAGTTGATGTCTGCCTATACAGGGAGCATTTAAACCAGACCTAGCCAAAGGGGAATCACCCATCCCAGTGGTGGAAACTTGAGTTCCAGCAACCCACATCACCATGGGCTAAAGTGCTCTGGGGCGCTAAATGAGCTTGAAGAGCAGTCTAGACCACAAGGACTGCAACTCATAGATGAGTCCTAGTGCTGAACAAGTCTCACAGCAAGTGGACTTCAGAGGCATGTGCCCTATTGAGATAACAGCTGGGGCAGCTAAGGTGAGCTAAGAGAGTACTTGTGCCGCACCGTCCCCCAACCCGTTCCCCCTCCCCCCGCCCCCCGCGCCCTGCCCAGCCAACCCCAGGCTGCACAGCTTGTAGCTCTAAAAGAGACCCATATTTCTTCCAGTTGAGGAGAGGAGATGGAAGAGTAAATAGGACTTTGGCTTGCATTTTGGATACCAGCTCAGCCACAGCAGGATAGTGTCATGAGGTTCCCTTTCTAAGCCCTAGTTCTCAGATGATATTTCTAGACATATCCTGGACCAGAAGGGAACCCATTGCCTTGAAGGGAAGAACCCAGTCGTGACAGGATTAATTACCTGCTGCCTAGAGAGCCCTTAGGCCCTGGTAATTCAGAGAGCAAACAGCAGTGATACCTAGGTAGTATGCCATGTGCCTTGGGTGTGATGCTGAGACTGGTTGGCTTTAGGTGAGACTCAGAACATTCTTAGCTGTGGTGGATATGAGAGTCACTTTCTGCTTGAGAAAAGCAGAGGGAAAAGGAAAGGAGACTTTGTCTTTCACCTTAGGTACCAGCTTGGCCACAGTAGGGTAGAGCATCAAGCAGGCTCTTGGGGCCCCCGATTCCAGGCCTTGGCTCCCGGATGGGATTCCTGGACCTGACCTGGACCAGAGGGGAGTCTACTGCCCTGAGGCATGAGCCCTAGACCTGGAAGCATTCACCACAAACTGACTGAAGAGCTCCTGGACTTTAAGAGTATATCGGCAGTTGCCTGGCAGTACTCTACATGGACTTGTGATGGTGACCGTTGGGTGAAGCTTCTCACCTTTGGAAAGGAGAAGGAAGAGTAAAAAGGACTGCATTTCATGGTTTGAGTGACAGCTTAGCTCTAGTACAACAGAACCCCAGGTAGACTTCTAAGGTTTTAAATTCTAGTCCCTTATTCCCAGAGGGCACCTCTGAATCTGCTAGGGCAGGCAGAACTCACATCCTGAAGGGAAGGACACAAGCCTGGCTGGCTTTGCCACCTGCTGATTATATAGCCCCAGAGCCTTGAGCAAACATAGGTGATAGCCAGGTAGTGGTTAGCCAGATAGTGGTTACAGCAGGCCTTGGGTGAGACTCAGTACTCTGCTGGCTTCAGATCTGACCCAACAGAGTCCCAGTGGTAGTGGCCACAGGAGTGCTTATGTCACCCCACCCCCAATTCCAGTCAGCATAGAACAGAGAGATAGGCTCTGTTTGGGAGAAAGTAAGGGAAGAGAACAAGAGTCTTGGCCTGGTAATTCAGAGAATTCTTCCAAATCTTATTTAAGACCATCAAGGCAGTATGTCTACAAGTTTGCAAGAACCACAGTGTTCCTGGCCTTGGGTGCCCTCTAATGCAGATACAGCTTAGATTAAAATACCCAAGTCCTTTCAAATACCTGGAAAGCCTTCTCAAGAAGGATTAAGTACGAGCAAGCCCAAACTGCCAAGACTACAATGAATACCTAACTCGTCAATGCCAAGACACAGGTGAACATTCACAAGCATCAAGACCATCCAGGAAAACATGACCTTACCAAGTGAACTAAATAAGGCACATTGGACCAATTCTGGAGGAGAGACATGTGACATTTCAGACAGAATTCAAATAGCTGTGTTGAGGAAACTCAAAGAAATTCAAGATAACACAGAGAAGGAGTTCAGAATTCTATCAGATAATTTAACAAAGAGATTGAAATAATTAAACCACATAGAAAGACACAGAAATTCTGGAATTGAAAAATGTAATTGACATAGTGAATAATAAGTCAGAATCTTTTAATGGCAGAAGAAATAACTAGTGAGCTTGAAGACAGGCTGTTTGAAAATACACAGTAAGAGGAGACAAAAACAAATGAAGCACATCTACAGAATCGAGAAAATAGCCTCAAAAAGGCAAATTTAAGAGTTATTGGCCTTAAAGAGGAGATAGAGAAAGAGGTAGGGATAGAAATTTTATTAAAGGGGATATCAGAGAACTTCCTAAACCTAGAGAAAGATATCAATATCCAAGTACATGAAGGTTATAGAAAACCAAGCAGATTTAACTCAAAGAAGTGTACTTCAAGGCATTTAATAATCAAACTCCAAAAAGTCAAGAAAAAAGAAAGGATCCTAAAATCCACAAGATAAAAGAAACAGATGACATACAATAGAGCTCCAATATGTCAGGCAGCAGGCTTTTCAGTAGAAGCCTTAGAGACCAGGAGAGTGGCATGACGTATTTAAAGTGCTGAGGGCAAAAAAAATCCTTTTACCCTAGAATAGCATATCCGGTGAAAATATGATTCAAACATGAACGAGAAACAAAGACTTTCCCAGAAAAACAAAATGTGGTGATTTTATCAACACAAGATTTGTCCTATATGAAATGCTAAAGGGATTACTTCAATTAGAAAGAAAACGATGTTAATGAGCAGTAAGAAATAAGCTGAAGGTGCAAAAATCCCGGGTAATTGTAAATACACAGAAAGACACAGAATAATATAACACTGTAACTGTGGTGCACAAACTCCTCATCTTCAGTAGGAAAACTAAAAGTTGAACCAATAAAAAAAATTAGCTAGAATTTTTCAAGATATAGACAGTATAATAAGATAAATAGAAACAGCAAAACATTAGAAAGTGGTCGGACCAAGTTAAAGTGTAGAGTTTTTATTAGTTTTTTTTTTTTTTTTTTGGCTTGTTCATTTGTAGACGTAGGCAATGTTAAGTTGCTATCAGCTTAAAATAATAGCTTACTTGATAGTATGTGCAAGCCTCAAGCATCATGAAAACTTCAAATCAAAAAGCATACAACATATACACAAAAAATAAAAATCAAGTAATTAAATTATGCTAATTGAGAAAATAACCTCACTAAAAAGAGATAGGAATGAAGGGAAGAAGGAAGAGAACACCACAAAACAACCAGAAAACAAATAACAAAATGGCAGGAGGAAGTGCTTTCTTATCAATGATAGCACTGAATGTAGACAGACTAAACACTCCAATCAAAAGACAGTGTGGCTTTATGGCAAAAAACAACAACAACAACAACCAACCAACCAACCAACCAAGACCCAGTGATATGTTACCTACAGGAAACACACTTCACCTATAAAGAAACACATAGACTGAAAATAAAAAGATGAAAAAAAATATTCCATGCCAATGGAAACCAAAAAAGAGCAGGAGTAGCCATACTTATATCAGACAAAATAGATTTCGAGTCAAAAACTACAAGAAGAGACAAAGAAGGTTACTATATGATGATAAAGGGGTCAATTCAGCAAGAGGATATGACAATTATAAATATATATGCACCCAATACTGGAGCACCCATATATAAAAAACAAATATTTTTAGAGCTAAAGAAAGAGATAGGCCCCAATACAATAATAGCTGGGACTTGAACACCTGACTTATAGCATTGAACAAATCTCCTAGACAAAAATATCAACAAAGAAACATCAGATTTAATCTGCACATAGGGCAAATGGACCTAATAGGTATTTATACAACATTTCATTCAATGGCTGCAGAATACACATTCTTTTCCTCAGCACATGGATCATTCTCAAAGGTAGACCATATACTAGGTCACAAAACAAATCTTAAAACATTAAAAAAATTGAAATAATGCCAAGCTTCTTCTCTGACCACAGTGGACTAAAACTAGAAATCAATAACAAGAGTAATTTTGGAAACCATGCAAACACATGGCAATTAAACAATGTGCTTCAGAATGACCAGTCAGTCAATGAAGAATTTAAGAAGAAAATGGAAAAATTTCTTGAAACAAATAATAATGGTAACACAATATACCAAAACCTATGGTATATAGTGAAAGCAATACTAAGAGAAAAGCTTATAGCTGTAAGTGCTTACATCCGAAAAGAAGAGAAACTTCAAATAAACAATGAAACAATGCATCTTAGAGAAAGAGAAAATCATGAGTTAAACCCCAAATTAGTAGAAAAACATAAATAATAAAGATCAGAACATAAATAAATAAATTTGAACTAAAGAAAAATATACAAAAATTAACAAAACAAAAATTTGGTTTTTTGAAAAGATAAACAAAATTGACAAACCTTTAGCCAGACTAAGTAAAAAGAAGATGGCTGGGCACGGTGGCTCACACCTGTAATCCCAGCACTTTGGGAGGCCGAGGCAGGTGGATCATGAGGTCAGGAGTTCGAGACCAGCCTGACCAACATGGTGAAACCCCATCTCTGCTAAAAATACAAAAATTAGCTGGGTGTGGTGGTACACACTTATAATCTCAGCTACTCAGGAGGCTGAGGTAGGAGAATCGCTTGAACCCAGAAGGCTGAGGTTGCAGTGAGTTGAGATTTTACCACTGCACTCCAGCCTGGGTGACAGAGCAAGACTCCATCTCAAAAAAAAAAAAAAAAAAGACACAAATAAAATCAGAGATGAAAAAGAAGACATTATAACTGACACTGAAGAAATTCAGAGGATCATCAATGGCCACTATGTGCAACTATATGCCAATAAGTTGGAAAATTTAAAAGAAATGAACAAATTCCTAGACACATAAAACCTACCAAGATTGAACCATGAAGAAATTCATAACCTAAACAGACCAATAACAAGTAATGGAATTGAAGCCATAATAAAATGTCTCCCAGCAAAGAAAAGCCTGGGACCTGATGGCTTCACTGCTGAATTCTACCAAACATTTAAAGAACTAATACTAATCTTACTCAAATTATTCCACAAAATAGAGGAGGAGGGAATACTCCCAAATTCCTCTTACAAGGCCAGTATTACCCTGATATCAAAACCAGACAAAGACACATCAAAACAACAACAACAACAACTACAAGCCAATATCACTGATGAATATTAGTGCAAAAATCTTCAGCAAAATACTAGCAAACGAAATTCAACAATACATTAAAATGATCATTCATCATGACCAAGTGGGATTTATCCCAGAAATGCAAGGATGTTTCAACATAGGCCAATCAATTAATGTGATACATCAGATCAATAGAACGAAGGATAAAAACCATATGATCATTTCAATTGATGCTGAAGAAAGCATTTGATAAAATTCAACATCACTTTATGATAAAAACCCTCATAAAACTGGGTATAGAAGGAACATACTTCAACATAATAAAAGCCATACTTAACAGACACATAGCTTGAATCATACTGAATGGCGAAAAATTGAAAGCCTTTCCCTTAAGATCTGGAACATGACAAGGATGCCCACTTTTACCACTGTTTTTCAACATAGTATAGGAACTTTTAGCTAGAGCAATCAGACAAAAGGAATAAATAAAGGGCATCCAAATTGGAATGGAAGCAGTCAAATTATTCCTGTTCACAGATGATGTCTTCTTATAAGAAAAACCTAATAACTCACCAAAAAAAAAAAAAACTATTAGAACTGATAAACAAATTCAGCAAAGTTTCTGGATACAAAATCAGCATACAAAAATCAGCAGCATTTCTCTATGCCAACAGTGAGCAACCTGAAGAAGAAATTTTAAAAAGTAATCCCATTTACAATAGCCACAAATAAAATTAAATACCTAGGAATTAACCTAACCAAAGACATGAAAGATCTCTGTAATGAAACCTATAAAACGATGATGAAAAAAATTAGAGAGGACACCAAAAAATGGAAAAATATTCCATGTTCATGAATTGGATGAATCAATATTGTTACACTGTTTATACTACCCAAAGCTATGTAATCCCAATCAAAATTCCAATGACATGCTTAACAGAAATAGAAAAAATCCTAAAATGTATGTGGAACAACAAAAGACCACCAATAGCCAAATCTGTCCTAAGGAAGAAGAGCAAAACTAGAGGAATCTACATTTCCTGACTTTAAATTATTTTTTAAAAATTAAATTACAGAGCTATAGTAACCAGAATGGCATAGTACTGGCATAAAAACAGACACACAGACCAGTGGAAAAGACCAGAAATAAATGCATACATTTATGTGAAGTAATTTTTGACAAAGGTGCCAACATACATTGGGGAAAGGATAGTCTCTTTAATAAATGGTGCTGGGAAAATTGGATATCCACATGCAGAAGAATGAAACTAGACCACTGTCTCTCACCATATACAAAAATGAAATTAAAATTGATGAAAGACTTAAATCTAAGACCTCATATTATAAGACTACTACCAGAACACGTTAAGGAAACTCTCCAGGAAACTGAACTGGGCAAAGCTTTCTTGAGTAATACCCCACAAGCATAGTCAACCAATGAAAGAAATGGACAAATAGGAAAATAGGATTACATCAAGTTAAAAAGCTTCTGCACAGAAAAGAAACAATCAACAAAGTGAAAAGACAACCCAGAGAATGGGAAAAAAATATTTGCAAACTATCCATCTGACAAGGGATTTATAACCAGAGTATGTAAGGAGCTCAAACAATTCTATAGGAAAAAAAATCTAATAATCTGATTTTAAAACCGGCAAAAGACCTGAAAGACATTTCTCAAAAGAAGACATACAAATCAAAAACAGATATATGAAAAGGTGCTCAACATCACTGATCATCAGAGAAATGCAAATCAAAAACTACAATGATATATCATCTCACCCCAGTTAAAATGGCTTTTATCAAAAAGACAGGCAATAATAAATGCTGGCAAGGATGTGGAGAAAAGGGAACCCTCATACACTGTTGGTTGGAATGTAAATTAGTACAGTCACTATGGAAAACAGTTTGGAAGTTCCTCAGAAAACTAAAAATAGAGCTACCATATGGTCCAGCAATCCTATTCCTAGGTATATGTCCAAAAGAAAGGAAATCAGTATATTGAAGAGATATCTGCACTCCCATGTTTATTGCAGCTCTATTCACAATAGCCAAGATTTGGGAGCAACCTAAGTGTCCATTAACAGACGAATGGAGAAAAAAAAATCTGGTACATATACATGATGGAGTACTATTCAGCCATAAAAAAGAATGAGATCCTGTCAATTGTAACAACAAGGATGGAACTGGAAGTCATTATATTAAGTGAAATAGGCCAGGCACAGGAAGACAAACTTCGAGGGTTTTCACTTATTTATGGGAGCTAAAAATTAAAATAATTGAACTTACGAAGATAGAAGGAAGAAGGATGGATAGCAGAGGCTAGGAAGGGTAGTTGGGGTGGTGTGGGACAGAAGTGGGGATGGTTAATGGGTACAAAAAATAGGAAGAATAAATAAGACCTAGTAGTTACTAACACAACAGTGTGACTATAGTCAAAAATAATTTAATTGTACATTTTAAAGTAATTAGGAGAGTAAAATTGGTTTGTAACACAAATGATAAATGCTTGAAGGGATGGATACTTTACTTACCCTGATTTGATTATCATGCATTGCATGCCTTTATCAAAATATCTCATGTAATCCATAAATATATATACCTACTATGTACCCACAAAAAATAAAAAATAAAAACAATAAGTAAACAATAAATAAATAAAATTTGGTAGAATTTTCCTGTAAAAACATCTGCATCTGGATTCTTCTCTGGGAAATTTTGAATTCATTTTTTTTCTGAATAATTATAGGGCTATTCAAGTGATCAATTTCAAATGAGGCGAGTGGTGGTAGTTTATATTTTAATAGGAATTGGTTCATTTCATCTAAGTTGTCAAATTTATGTGTTTAGAGTTGTGCATAATTTTTCCTTATAATCCTTTTGATATCTGCACGTTCTGACTAATAGCCATGTTTTGTTTCTAACATTGGTACATATGGTGCATTGCTACATCTGGGTCTTCTCTCTTTTTTTCTTTGTTAGTCTTGCTATATATGTGTCGATTTTACTGATCTTTTCAAAGTGAATTCCTGGTAGATAGCATATATCTGGGTCATGTTTTTAAGCCACACTAGCAATATTTTTTCTTTTAATTGGTGTATTTACATAATTTACACTGAATGTGAACATTGATGTGTTAAGATTTATCTGCCAATTCTTTTCAGTTTTTTATATCTGTTTTTTATTTCTCTTTTTTTCCTACTTTCCTATTGGATTACTTAAATATTTTTTATAATTTTATCTGTATTTATCTATTGTTGTTTTGGGTGTGTCTACTTGTATAGTTCTTTTAGTGGTTGCTCTATATATTACATTATATATGCATAACTTCACATTCTAATGGTGTCCTCATTTTACTATTAATAGTTTTAGTAAAGTATAGAAACCTTACTTTCTTGTAACTTTATCCTTCCTCATTCAGAATATAACTGCTTTAAATATTTCTTCTACACACATTTATAACCATATCAGACAGTGTTATAATTTTTGCTTTAACTGTCAAACATAATTCAGAAGACTTAAGAGAAGGCAAGTCTACCATATATACCTATATTTTTTGTCTTTTTTTTGTTTCAAGATTTCTTCCTTATCATTAATTTCATGTTTAGAGAACCTTCTTTCTAGTTTTAAACTAGACAAATTATCTAGGGACAAATTATCTTAGTTTTCCTTCATCTGATAATGTCTTGATTTCTCCTCATTTCTGAGGGTTATTATCTCTGAACATAGGATTGGGTGTTGACAACCCATTTATTTTAGGACTTGAAAAGTGTTGTGTCATTTTCTTCAGTTCTCCATGGTTTTTTATGATAATTTTTTGGTTTTTTTTTTTGAGACAGAGTGTCGCTCTGTCGCCCAGGCTGGAGTGCAGTGACGCAATCTCGGCTCACTGCAAGCTCCGCCTCCCGGGTTCACGCCATTCTCCTGCCTCAGCCTCCCGAGTAGCTGGGACCACAGGCGCCCGCCACTACGCCCGGCTAATTTTTTGTATTTTTTTTTTTAGTAGAGACGGGGTTTCACTGTGTTGGCCAGGATGGTCTCAATCTCCTGACCTCGTGATCTGCCTGCCTCGGCCTCCCAAAGTGGCGGGATTACAGACGTGAGCCACCGCGCCTGGCCGATAAATTTATTTTCATTTGAATTGCTTCTCTCTTATAGGCAAGGTATCATTTCGATCTTGGTACTTTCAAGGTGTTTTTCTTAGACTTTAGTTTTCAGATGTTGTCTATGATGTGTGTAGGTGTGGGTTTTGGGGGTTCATCCTGCTTGGGGTTTTTTCAGCTTTTTGAATCTTTCAGTTTACACTTTTGACGGTTTGGAGGATTTCACCCATTACATCTTTGAGTACTTTTTCAGCCTGCCCTCTTTCTCCTCTCCTTCCAGGAATTCAATGAGTAGAGTGTTAGATCTTTTGTTATAGACCCACCGGTTCCTTTTCATTTTTTTTTTCAGTCTATTTCTCTTTTTTAGATGGAGTATTATTATTGTTCTATATTTCAGTTCACTAATATTTTCTCTTTGTCTTCATTCTGCTGTTGCATCTATCCACTAAGATTTTTATTTCTCTCTCTCTTTTTTTTTTTTTTAATGAGACAGAGTCTTGCTCTGAGCCCAGGCTGGAGTGCAATGGCATGATCTCTGCTCACTGCAACCTCTGCCTGCCGGGCTCAAGCAATTCTCCTGCCTCAGCCTCCCAATTTCATATCTATTATTTCTTTACTGAGACTCTCTAGCTCTTTGCTGAGACTTTCTTCTTTTTTGATTGTTTCAAGCATGATTTTAATTGTTCAATAAAACATGTTTATGATGGCTGCTTTAAACTATTTCTCAGATAATTCTAACATCTTTGTCATCCTGTATGGGCATCTATTGATTTCTTTTTTCATGCAGTTTGAGTTCTTCCTTGTTCTTTGTATGCTAGGGATTTTTCAATTGAAATGTGAACATTTGGTGTATTATGTTATGAAGATCTGGATCTTATTTAAATTCTCTATTTCAAATTGCTTCTTCCATTGCCACTCTGGCCAGGGAGGTTGGGGCACTGCGTCATGACTGCAATGTGGGGCTAAAAGTCCAGGTTCTTTACTCAGCTTATTGACACCCAAGGGTATAGGCTTCTCCTTATTTTTAGGGGGAAATAAGAGTTCTGGGTCCTACTAGGTCTGCAGTGATACCTCTTTGGCAGGTAGGGGTAAGAGTACCTCATCACTGCTTTCCATATGGCCAACACTGACACCACCGCAGAGCCTCATACTGTTGGCTGAGAGTGAAGTCCAGGCTCCCTACATGGTCTCTACTGACATCATGGCGGGGGCAGGGGGAGCTTGTTACCACATGATGGAGATGACAGTTCTGGCTTCTCACTCAGCCGTCAGCAGGGGGTTTGGGTGCCTTGTTGCAGCTGGGAAGGGTAGGTTCCCATTCAGATAATCCTTACTGAATATGTGCTGCGTGTCAGACATGGTTCTAAGAGCTTTGAATGTATTAAGTCATTTAATTCTTGCAACAACCCTATGAGGTAGTTACTATTATTTTAACACCGAGAGGTGAAGTAACTTGACCAAGGCAAAGAGCACAGTATCGTGGGGGAAATACTAAGCTATAACAAACACACAAGCAGAAAGTCAGTGAGGTGGCTGTTAGGAGTGGCAGTCAGGAATACTAAGGAAAGGAACAATGAAGTCCAACTATGTGGCTTGGTAAAGCCTGCTCTTCCCACCAAAGAAATAATGTCAAATAGAAAGATGATCCATGTGTCTGGTGCAGCTGCTACACTAAACATATAAAAGGTAGAAAGTGAAAACTTCCCTACAAGGTTCATTTACATGTCTCCTGTCCCCACTCATCTCAAATTGCTAGACCACTGAACTGATGATGGAAATGTACCTCGAACTGCCTTCCAGCTTGAGCTTGAGAGAAGGATTTCAATAGCATTCCACCATGCTGAATAAGGCAATTGAAGAGAAACTCACTCTCTTCAGATGTAATATCAGACCAAGATAGTGTGCCCATCATTCAAAACCAAACTACAGCCTGCTAAGCACATGTGTTAACACGTGTACTCACACACACAGGCACATATACACACAGAGACACTGCATCTTCAAAAAGATTCAGCAACACAAAAAGAAGAAAACAGCCCTTGAGAACCAAAGAACACTTTTTAAACAGCTGCATGGTGGGAAACATGTAATACTCAGAGTGCATCTGCTTTGTGCACTCAATAAAACTCAAGAAAGCATGATCCTTTTACAATAAGAAATGAAGGAGGAAGTGGTAGTGAAGCAGGATAATTCCCTAACCCCTTCGTGGGACTTGTAAAAGGGGTACCTCGTTTATTCAGTTTGCAGCTCTCAAGTCTTCACAGGAGGGAGCATGTGAGTGATCGAGGCAGGAACTGGAGTGCACAGGTGCTGGAACTAGCCAGTTGCTTTGGCACCAGCAGGGTGAACTCCACTCATTTGGACCCGCTGTGCTCCACCCCTCATGGGAGGCAGCAGGCAGGTGAGCAGGTGCAGGAGCCAGGGTGATTGTCTGGAGCTGGAGGGTGCTGGCAGGAGCAAACTCCATGCAGGCCCCATGGCAGGACCTAGAGTGCATGCCTGCGACCCTGAAGCCCCAGAGGGAGTGTTACAGTGCTCTTTTAGCCCTGCCACCTGCAGACAGCTTAAGTGTTAACAGCTCAGTTGTCCCTCTGCCTTTTTGCGTGAGGTGGCTGCCTTCCGCCAGAGAGGTCAAAGGGTCACTGTGACAGCTTTTTACATCTGCACCTGTGGTTCCTGAGTTCTTGTCTGATGTCCAGGAGAAATTAGGTCACACAAATGCAAATTGAAGGATGGTAAATGTAGGGGATTTTATTGCTGATGGAGGTAGCTCTCAGTGGGAAGGAGAGCTGAAAAGGAGACAGGACAGAAAGGTAATCTTCCCCTGAAGTCCGGCCAGAGATGGCCAGACTATTCTCCAAAGTTATGCTGTCAAGCTGTCCCTCTGAAGTCAGGCCACTTCTCTCTGACTTCCATCTGTAGTCTCCGACGCCCAGCTACTTCTCCCCTCTCTGCTGGCTGAGCCTGTGGTTTTTATAGGCACAGGATGGGGCGGGGCAGGGCCGGGCCATGGTGGTTTTGGGAAAGGCAGCATTTTAATGGGAAAACAGGGATGTAAGTTCTCACTTTGGGCTGCAGTTTCAGGCTTGAGGGTGGGGTTTTGTTGGGGACCCTCCCTTTTCTGCCTAGGATTTCTCTGCCTCCTGTCCCTATCAGTAGGACAGCAACTGATATGACAAGGCAAACCAAAACAAACAGAAATAAAAATGGAGCTGAATGACTGCATTGAAAGGATGACCACAAGGAAGGACTGTATTGAAACTGAAAAGAGCAGAAATAAGACCATAGTGGAAATAATGAAGTGAAGAGTTTAATTCTTCCTAATATTTTATCAATGATAAAATTCAGCTTGAGTAAACCTTCTAGAATAAATTTTAAAAAATGAAAATGAAGACAAGAAGATACTTAATACGAAGAACAAATAATTAGAATCCAACAAACTATTAACTATATATAATGGAGGAAAAACTGAGATAAAAAATGTCCTAGTCTTGCAGGCTGATAGGGCTAACTACATACTATGCAAAATCTCAGTACCTACACATGTCCAAGCATGCTGCCTAGACTTTTAAAAACAAATAAGTATAATTATAAACATAAAAATTAGACAAAATACATGATACCTACCCCCAAAAATCACTCTGACCATAGAAATTCTCTTCGATTATACAGTAGGAAAACCTAGAAGATGACATGTAAAGAGCAATATCTCTACATTTTAGGTAAAATATTTGTTACCCAAGAATTATATATTTAAAACATTGTTGTATAATTGTGCCTGTGGACATCTTTAGATATTCAGAGGCTCAAAAATTATGCCACCTGTATTAAGATACGCTCCTGCAACCAAGACATGAATTACATTTGGAGAAACCGTGGTAGGAAAGACACGGTTTATAGCATTGGAAACATTTAAATATTAATTAGCCCAAAAATATCACAAATATGTTCAGAAAGTAGACTATAGCACTAAATCAAGATACATAAATGGATGTTGAAGAGAAGATACATAATGTAAAGAATAATTTGGCAATAATAGCTGAGTCTTAAATTTCAGCATACAAAACTTATCAAGAAGCACGAAGAGGAGAGATGGAAAAAAGGAAAAGTATAACAGGTGACTTTTCTATTATATATGGGGTAGTCAATATTTTACTGTCAATACTGAAAATTAGAGCAATATATGTTCAAATACTTTAAAGTAATGGTGTGTTACTATTATCATTTAAAGCAGCCTGTGCTTTTCTTAATAACAGGCTGACCTTGTTTTAATACACTCCACTTTTTTTTACACTTTGCTGATACTGTGTTTTTCACAAAGTGAAGGTTTGTGGCAACTCTGCTTTGAGCAAGTATATCAGCGTCATTTTTTGAGTGGCATGTGCTCATGCCATGTCTCTGTGTCAGCATTTTTTAAGCAATAAAATATTTTTAAATTAATAGGTATGATATTTTTTAGATATAATGCCATTGCACACTTAATAGACTACAGTGTCATGTAAACATAATTTTATGTGCACTGGGAAACCAAAAAATTTGTGTGATTCGCTTTATTGTGATAATCATTTCATTGTAGCAGTCTAGAAGTGAACCCACAATATCTTCGAGGCATGCTTCCACTAAAAAATATACCTATATTTTATATAAAAAATAATAGAAAATAGGTGAAATAGAATATAAGACTCAAGTACCAAGTAATCATAAAATATTGAAGTGAAATGATGCTTGTGAATATAAATAGGTAAAATTATTTTTGTAGAGACCAGCTGTGTTCATAGTGTATGAGAAAGAGAAAACCCATTCATGTGCAGTATGTAAAAGATGCATCTGAAATACAGTGATTCCAACAGGCTAATGTTAAAAGCATGGACAAATTTAATCAAATAAATGTATTCAAAATTCTCCAGTGCTCAAAGTGTTTATATACTAAGAGTCTTTTTCTTTTATATTGGCAAAAGTATAACCCATAAACAAGATAAAAGTTTCAAAACTTTTTGTGTTGCAAACTATCACCACTATATTAAAAATAGTGATAAATGTAATTAACTGAAAATTGTGAGCAATTTTGATGTACTTCAATAATTATTTGGTTATTAATAAAAAGATGGAGAAACAAAAATATAGTCATGATTGTTTTATATAAATGGTGTAATTTTGAAACATGCAAAATGAGAATATACTTTTTTTAGTTTCATAGTTTGCAAAAGTTGATTATATATTAAACCAGAGGAAATTTAAGCAATACTAAAAGATACATACATATTTTTAATAACAGCAATAAAACAAGAACTGAATAGTAAAATTCCAAACATACAGCAATTGTAAAACAGTCTCATTGACAGGTTAAAGTAAAAATAAAAACTTTTGCAATTATGGTTTGTTTAGAAATAATTAAAATGAGTAATAAAACTCTTATAAAAGATGATTTAGGCCAGGCATGGTGGCTTACACTTGTAATCCCAGAGCTTTGGGAGGCCAAGGTGAGTGGATTGTTTGAGGTCAGTAGTTCAAGACCAGCCTGGCCAACATGGTGAAACCCCATCTCGACTACAATAAAAAAAATTAGCTGGGTGTGGTGGCAGGCACCTGTAATCCCAGCTACCCGGGAGGCTGAGGCAGGAGAATTGTTCGAACCCAGGAGGCATAGGTTGGAGCTAGCCAAGATTGCACCATTACACTCCGGCCTGGGCAACAGAGTGAGACTCCATCTCAAGAAAATAAATAGATAAAAATAAAAAAAAGATGATTTAAAATGCATTTAGAGGTAATTCCATGGTGTTAATACAAAGGAAAGAATGAAAAATGAATTTATCATTGAAATAAATAAAGTACGTTCCACATATCTATTTGTATACAGTCATACGAAAGTGAAGAGAAATTAATAAATACGTAAGCAGAAATCAGTGAACCAGAAAAATTATACCAGCAAGCAAATTCAAAAAAATAAATTAAGAAGAAAACTAACCATGATCACATGACTAAGTAAGACTTATTTTAAAGATGTAAAAACTTTCTAATATTAGGGATATTAGGATAATTAACATCAACAGGTCAAAGGAGAAAAAGCATGTCACCATTGTGGTGATGACAAAAATTCACTTGATAAAAGCCATTGCTATTTGTATTAAATATTCCTCTGTGAAGTAGAAGTAGAAAGACATTTCTTAACTTCTTTAAAATATCTATCTTATTTCAACAGCAAAACTATACTCAGCATTAAAACATTAGAGCTATTACTATTAAAACTGGGGAAAACAATGATGCCCACTGTCACCAATATCATATAACATTGTTTTGGATGTTCTAATAAATTCAAAAAAATAATAAAATAATCTAGAAGCATATATTACTTCAATTATAGATGATACATATGACTTGCTTAATCAAAGAGAATTACTGAACTATCTTATAGCACTTAAAATTTCATATAATTCATCCAATAAATTCAATAATAATTGGTTAGAAGATATACACATACACACATACACACACACACACACACACACACACACATCACATCAGCTAATTGCAGTGTATAAATCACAGTAGTATGAAGGAATAAAGACCCCATTCCCATTAGCAACTAAAAATATAAAATATCTAGCAAAAAATTAACAATATATATTCCAGTCTTCTCTGAAAAAAACTTGAAAACAATAATTAAGGTACATAAAGAAAATGAAACAAAAATACACTTAGAATAGAACACTTAATATTATAAAGATATTAATTATTCATAAACCATTTTTCATTCAATGTGACTTCAACATTTTGCAATTTTTTTCTATTACTAGAAATCAACAAATTTTGAAAAAGAGAAATGAGAGTTATTCTACTAGTTGAAATTTTACAATAGTGTAAAGATACAATTGCTTTAACACTGTGATGTGGTTCAAGAACAGATAGACCAAAATGAGGAAATGTTTGCTGTTTGCTAAATAAGAGGTTAGTATGTAAAGAGTTTTTACAAATTTTAATATAAAAATGAGTATTTCAATAGAAAAATGAACAAAGATCCCTAGCAAACACATACAGAAAGATGTAACTCATATGAGCACTAAAATATGTCTAATATAACAATTACGAACATGCAAATTATTAACTCTGTACTATTTTATTTTGTCATATTGGTGATTTATAAAAGATAGCATTTTGTTTGTGGTAAGGTATGGTGATATAATTAAGCATGAAGATTGTTAGAATTTGTTGGGTGTAGCTGGGCAACATATACACAAAAACTTAAAAATTATCTTTGTCATTGACTAAGTAATTTTGCATTCAGAAATTTACCAAAACTAAACAATCAAATGAGAGCACTCTTACACAGTTTTAAGATAAATTAAACATTTAAAGCTATGTAATTTCTATACTTAGATATAAATAACTTATTTTTATAAGAAAAAAATCACAAACAATTTTAATTACTTTTAAGAGCATTTTTTTTTCTTTTTGAGATGGAGTCTAGCTCTGTCGCCCAGGCTGGGGTGCAGTGGCACGATCTCAGCTCACCGCAACCTCTGCCTCCCAGGTTCAAGCGATTCTCCTGCCTCAGCCTCCCGAGTAACTGGGATTACAGGTAACTGCCACTGTGCCCAGCTAATTTTTGTATTTTTTAGTAGAGATGGGTTTCATTGTGTTGGCCAGGCTGGTCTCAAACTCCTGACCTCAGGTGATCCACCCCACTTGGCCTCCCAAATTGCTGATATCAGAGGCGTGAGTCACTGCACCTGGCAAGAGCAATTAAAAAAATAGTTTGGTGTTTTAATGAGATAGAATACTGTGTAGTCATTGACGATCATACTTTTAGATGATTTATTTAATAAGAAATTGAATTACATATATTTGCTTTTTAGAAAGCAGGTGCATACAATAAATAATTTTACAAAAACTCTATCTGCCCAGAAAACAATCTAAAAGTATATTTACAAAATTGTTAAACATAATTATCTATTACTGTTCGAACTAGAGGAGATATAATTTTTCTGTTAAATACAAGATAGTCAATACTCTTTTTCTGATGGTTCTAAAAATTACAGCAATACATGATAAATATGATAAAAAATTTTAAAATAATTATACATAAAGGTTGGCTATAAATGTGATTCTCTTTTTTTTCATTATATGCTTTTTGCTTTTCCAAGATTTCTACAATAACACATGTTTTGTGGCCAAAACGAATGATAGTTATATGACCTAAAACAGAATAAATTTTAATAGCAGTTTCTTATGTTAAGCATGGGCCTACTGTTTGTCAGGCTCCATACTAGGAGCTGTCATACATACTCTCATTTAATCCTCAAAACAAATTTCTTTGATAAGGATTATCATTTTTATTTTATGGGTGAGAAACATCAAAGTTCAGGAAAATTAAATAACTTGCTCCAAGTGACATTAATCATAAGTGCTGCAATTGGGGGTCAAAACCCCTTATGTAGCATCCTACGTGATACCAAATGCCTTTCCCTGCCCCTGCCCGCCCTAGGATCTACCTTTAGAAATACTGAGACAGTTCTATTTAATTGACCATTTAATATGCATAAAAGAAAGATCTTAATCTTCAGTTATAATAAATCTTCATTTATTTAGATAAATCAAAGCACTAAAAATCCCAATAAATGAGCAGAGAACAATGGATTTTTTTTTTCAGGAAATAACCTTGTTTAGCATTAAGATTCAGGCTAATGATTTCCCAGATACTAAATTTCCTTAAGAGACCTGTTTTGTTGAATGATAAGAATGTTTGTTTGAGAATGAATTTATCAATTCCCTCAAAGTAATATGCTTCTCACATGTGCTAATAATCAATTTGTCCTCCAGACTTGTTAATAATACCATTACAATTGTGTTTATTGAATTTGTAATACTCTATCCATGAAGGTAGGGTATGCTAAAAGTTTAATCTCAGTCTAGACTTTATATAAAATTCCAAAGAGTTTGAATTATTTAAAAATGAATTTATAAAATTTAAGTTACAATAACCAGCAAATGAAAGTATGTGAGTAAAAGGATACCCAGGATGTTCTAAATTACTTGGGCGTGGCATGGTTTCTTCTACTAAAAGAGATTAGGAACTGGTGTGCGGCATGGAATTCTCCACTTGGTTTTGTGACTCTCATGCACTTTATTTATCATCCAGGCATTTTTCATAACAATTTCAAAAGTGAGTGGGTAAGTGTGAAGTCCTTAAGAACAGGATCTTTGTGTCTTATTCGTTTTTGTATTTCAACACCTAACAATTGCTTGGCATCTAGTAGTTATTCAATGTTCGTTTGCTAAAATCAGTGTAAAAATGATGTATAGATAGTATATTCTTATTTGTGCTCTTGTTTAGAGGTATAAGAAAATTGGAACATATTTCAACTCTTCTAAGATATAAGAATTTTCACACTCTATGATAATGGTTTTGTTTTTGCTATATTTTAATCTGGGTTATTCAGAAATTGGAGAAAGCTTGATGTTCTGTGAATATTCTTACCAGACCAAAAAACTTTTAAAAGTTATTCTTTTTTGTCTCTCAAAAGACTAGATGTTTTGATCTAATTTGTGGATGTTTGTTTATTTGAACATTGAAGGAAAGTTACTAAAAAGATTGTTGTGATTATAGGCTGCAGAATGAATTCAATTTAAACTCGAACGTATTTCTTTTTGCTTTTGGGATATATTTGTGTAAACATTGCTTTGTGAAAAAAAATTGGCAGTGGTGTGCTTATAATGAAAATAATTCATTATATTTATTGAAATCATATCTTCTGTAGTGGCAACATCCTTAGGGAGGGGAGGGAAGATGGTACTCATTAGATACTTTTCTTCATTTGTGAGCCAGACAGTATATTAGTTTTATCCAATTGCCATCTGCCATCCATTTTGTATATAGTATGCCTAAGGAGCTCACTCCATATAAGGGTCTAGAAGATAAAGGTAGACCATATTGTATTTATATTTGTAAATAC
This sequence comes from Homo sapiens, assembly GCF_000001405.40. Taxonomy (NCBI): domain Eukaryota; kingdom Metazoa; phylum Chordata; class Mammalia; order Primates; family Hominidae; genus Homo; species Homo sapiens. The sequence goes on along the minus strand of NC_000008.11, from coordinate 65,052,764 downwards.
TTTATGCATTAAATTACAAATATTTATGTGCCATTAAGGTCTGAATAAAGGAAATACAGAGTTGAAACAGACATGTCTCTCTTGCTCAAAGCTGGGGGTTGAGGATAACGTTTGGCTGGAAGCGTGGTTCATTTGTGTGTATAGTTGTATTTGTCATAACTATGTGAATGTGTCACTTTGATTTCATTTACCATTAATTTTCTCAGTACCACTTGCAAAGTAGTAGCAAAGAATTTCTGTACAATTGAGTTGATTTAAGAGTGCACTGTGAAAACACACATGGTGTAGATTCAATGATGCAATAGACCTAATGAGGAAACACACATTTAATCCATTAAAAAATATTTAAAGAATTAACATTTTATTATGTGAAATTATGTAATAAGGGTACACAATAACTGGAGCAATGGATTCTGTCAACACAATGGCACACATCAGTTTTGAAATGGGAAGAACAGAATTGTTTGATTTTTTTGCAGCTGCATACTTTCAATCATACATAGAAATATGTGCCACAAAATCTATTTTAAGGAAACAAAATATTTTTTAAAATAATGAGTGAAAAATGAGCTCTAGTCCAAAACATTAAAAAATATGTATTTATATATATATATATGTATGTATTTTTATTTTACTCAAAAGAATCTATGTAGACTCACAGGAATACTTGTATTCAGTTTGAAATCTTGAAAATAATAGCCTCAATGTTAAATGCTAATTGATGAATTATTTTTAATCTCTAGGGAGGCAGGAATAAGGTAATTTTAATAGAACTGCTGGGATTGAGTGGATTATAGCAGTGCTATTATAGCATGACAAAGATCTGGTTGTGTGCATGTGTTTGTACATGTGTGTGCGTGCACACGCGTGTAAACGTGCATGTATAGGCAACATGGCACTCAAGAAAATGAAAGGAAATGAGCCAGAAATGTCTCACATTTTGCTGGCATCTGTGAAATGTCGCCATATGAGAACCATATGACTGCTGGCAGATTGGCATGTCAGCTCAGGCATGTAAAACTTGACCTCCCTGAGCTCAGGATTTATGAGTTTATAACAGGAATATTGATACAATTTTAACTGCACTCTTTTTGTGCAAGGTAATTTTACCTTTCCTAAGGCCTTCATTCCTGATTGTACCCTTTGAAACCATCTCCAAACAGAAATAATATGCATATACATAGTTTTTCCCAGTGAAACATATACATGTTTACAATAAATGTAAATAAAATTATTTATGTTTAAATATGTTATTAATGCATATTTAATATATTAATAAAACATGTTATATATTTAAATTGATATAACTATGTATATAGTCCATGGAAAATGAGCTACTGAAGACAAGTAGCAACAAGCTGGATTTTACCTTCATGTATCAGTAAGTGCTGACCACCGTGTTCTGCTCTGAGCCAGAGATGGGTTTTCAGATGCCCCTTTAGCATGGTAACTAAGGTGGGCTCGAAAGTGGGACTGTAAACTTTCATCTCAATTGGGATGAGGAGGCCCATGTTGGCATGGTGTATACTTTCCACAAGTGGAAACTGTTGATGAATTGAATCTTCAGTAGCTTTGGGCAGGAAGAAGATGGTCTTAATTATTGATATCTTCAGGGTAAAAGAATAGAAGGTGTGAAAGAAACAGTCTCTATCTACACTCTTTGAAAGGAAATTGCCTTCTGTTGGAACAGTCTTTACCAGTCTGCTTTTTAATGAGTGGCTTTTTTGAAATAGAATGTTCCATTTAATTTTCAGAGCCAGGGAAGAGAGAACAGACAGGATATTAATCCATTTTTCATTGACTCTACTAAAATAATGATATTTCTGGTTATTAGTATGATTTAAAAATGGAGATGACAAAAGTGAGGCCTAGTCCTGACGAAACTTTCCAGTGGATGCATATGGCATGCTCCCAGGCAGCACTGTCCCTCATCTCCTCGGGCCGCCTTGTTTCAGCAAAAGGTGGCAAATAGTTTCACATACAGGTCCTCACCAAGAGTAACCACTTGCATCTCACTTTGCATCCTTGGGACTTTTTTCATCCTTGCTTTGCAGCCTTGGCCCCTCCGCCAAAGCCCAGTTGCTAGTGAAATCTAGAAATGAAGTTAACACTTTGGGGACAATCCTCAAACAATAGGGTCATGGGAGTAGGTGGGGAAATACCCCAGTCTTCCTGTTCCTGGGTGGGACAATTTTGAGGCACTTCATCCACACTTCTTCAGAGAATCCCTAGAAACATTGCTTTCTAGTTGCCTTGAGCAGTAAGTGGTTCATTAGCTACCTTTTATTGGTTTTTTGCCATTCCCAGTATCATTGTCCCCACTACCTCACTACCGTTTCTTGGGATCAAATTTAAGTGAACTGCTTGTACTGAAGATGTTATCTCTGACTCTGCTTTCAGGAGAATCCACAGTAAGATAGGAAGTGTGTCTTGTGTGTCCCATCCCCTCTTATATCCTCTTTGGGAGCATCTATCACCAAATGTGACTTGCATCCCATAGCCAACATGAATTTCAGCTCCATGATCCTGATCTCTTTAGTCATCTCACAGCTTTGGACTTCAGCGAATTTTGGCACACTTTATAGAGATGTCTCCATCTTGTTTTGGTTTAATTCCCTTAGAGATCCTGAATTCTTCTGGATAAAATGTCCTTTAAGCATGTGCTCAAAAGGCATTGATGGGCTACTTAATTTATGCCATTTGATATATCACACTGATATTTTATCAAAGCCTTAACTCAAAGCAGTGAGTCCATTGGTAGGAATTTGGGTTCCTTCCAACTCCTGTCAAAGAGGCTGACACCAGAGTTGCTGATGCAGGGAAATTGCCCTGCCAACGCCCTTCTGCAAGAAAAAAATCCCCAAATGTATGAGTTGAATGGCAAACGGGAGTGCATAATAAAATGCATGATTCAAGTATTATTACGTGAGTTATGTTTATTCAATAAAATCTTGTTAGAATTATTGACTATAGCAACCTGATATAGGAAAATGCAAAATTATGAAATTGGCTAAAGAATGATTCTATTCACTCAAAAAAGTTTCTGTGCTTTACAAAACATTACATCTTCTATGGCACGCTTTACAATATAAGTATACAAATACATGATTTCCTACAATTATTTCCCCTACAGGTGAATGTTCCTTGAGGTATGGGGACCAGCTATCCATTTTTTATTTCTATCTAATCTTTTGCTTAGATCAGACATTTGGCAAACATTGGTGGAGATAAATGTGAAATACCTAAACACTTCTGTTAAGTATTTATATAGCATTAATTACTTAGCAAATTGTGTTTCGGGTTGAATGAGTGATCTCACAGTGGAATTTAAAATAGTATTGTTGGTACTGTAAGCTGAAGAATGCTTAGAAACAACACATAATTTTTTTAGCTAGACTGCAGGAAGGCCATATTGAGCATATAATAGTCAGAAGCACTGGTTTGGGAGCCAGACAGACAGGGGTTTCAATCCTGGTTCTGCCAATTAAGAGCTGGATGACCTTGGAGAATTCACCTAACATCTCAAAACTTTATCTTAAAAGTTGGATAACAATGATAGTTAAAGTGTTTTAATTTCCCTGCCATCACACAACTGGTGGGTGATAGATCTGGGATAAGAATCCAGCTTAATGATTTTCAAACCACTGTTCTGATTGTAAAACACTAGGTCAAAATAAACATCTCTGAAATTACAGTTGTAGTCAATGAGAACACAAGCTTTAATAAAATGAACTGATATTTGTCCAAGACACAACTATGGCCCAAAGTGTCTCTGATTGATCCAGTCTATCTAGAGACCCACAGATGATTAGGTCTGGCTAATAATAAACTTAAGGGTTCTATATGGGGCCTCAGGAAACAATTTGTGTCTTTTACCTCATAATAATGAGGTCACTGGATGTCACCTCCCTTAAGAAAGTACCAGTTTAAATAATATCATTGGGAAGACAAAGCTAGTACACTCAGCCCCATTGCTTGAAATGCCAGTACCATGGGCACTGTAGTCCATGGTGACAGCTGATACAGCCGCTGTTATGCAGCAGCCCTTATACCACTACTTCAGAATGGATTGCACTAGGCTCAGGATCTGCTAACATCACAGCTAAATTTCACATTGCTGTTTATCCCACCTAGCAAGAGGGTAATCACTTCTCACTATGAACTAGACTTCAGTTTTTTTCTCTCTGAATTAAGGTTTCCTATTGGTATATAATCTGTAGCTGGTGCAATCAAGGTCTGTTTTGATGATGCAAAATTAATCTGGAAATCAGAAGTCGAATATTTTTAAAGTGTCTCTGTGACAGTGGGTCTCAACCTGGTTGCACATTAGAATCAGATGGGGATGTATTAACAACTCCTGATGCCTTGGTCCTACTCAGAGCCAGTAGCCCCAGGCACTTCTTATTTTATCAAAGCTTCCACTTATAATTTGAGAATACTTAAATCTTACACGCACTCAGGGTTAAGGACCACTAGTCTAGGAGGATAACTTTATACTACCTTTCCTCTCACTACCAGTTCAAGGAACAGGAAGCCATAATGGCATTGCCTTAAGGAGTAGTATTGGCTTTACTTTGAAGCAGACTCCCTGTAATATGGTTTGGCTTTGTGTCCCCACCAAATCTCATCTTGAATTGTACTCCCATAATGCCCACATGTTGTGGGAGGGACTTGGAGGGTGATAATTGAATCATGGGGACAATTTCCCCCATACTGCTCTCATGGTAGTTAATAAGTCTCATGAGATCTGATGGTTTTATAAGGGGTTTCTGCTTTCACTTCTCTCTCATTCTTTCTTTCTGCCTTTTGCTTTCCATCATGATTGTGAGGCCTCCCCAGCCACATGGAACTGCGAGTTTATTAAACCTATTTTTCTTACTAGTGTCAGGTATGTCTTTATCAGCAGCATAAAAATGGACAAATAAGTAGATTGGTACCAGCAGAGTGGAGTGCGGCTGAAAAGATACCCGAAAATGTGGAAGTGACTTTGGAACTGGGTAACAGGCAGAGGTTGGAACAATTTGGAGGGCTCAGAAGACAGGAAAATGTGGGAAGGTTTGGAACTTCCTAGAGACTTGTTGAATGGCTTTGCCCAAAATGCTGATAGTGATATGGACAATAAAGTCCAGGCTGAGGTGGTCTCAGATAGAGATGAGGAACTTGTTGGGAACTAGAGCAAAGGTGACTCTTGTTATGTTTTAGCAAAGAGACTGGCAGCATTTTGCCCCTGCCCTAGAGATTTGTGGAACTTTGAAGTTGAGAGAGATGATTTAGGGTATCCAGTGGAAGAAATTTCTAAGCAGCAAAGCATTCAAGAGGTGACTTGGGTGCTGTTATAGGCATTAAGTTTTATAAGGGAAGCAGAGCATAAAAATTCAGAAAATTTGCAGCCTGACTATGCGATAGAAAAGAAAATCCCATTTTCTGAGGGGAAATTCAAGCTGGCTATAGAAATTTGCATAAGTAATGAGGAGCCAATGTTAATCCCCAAGACAATGGGGAAAATGTCTGCAGGGCATGTCAGAGGCCTTCGGGACAGTCCCTCTTATCACAGGGCCATAGCGCTAGGAGGAAAAATTGATTTAATGGGCTGAGCTCAGGGTTTCCCTGCTGTGTGCAGCCTAGGGACATGGTGCCCTGAATCCCAGCTATTCCAGCTGTGGCTGAAAGGGTCCAATGTAGAGCTTGAGCCGTGGCTTCAGAGGGTGCAAGCCCCAAGCCTTGGCAGCTTCCATGTGATGTTGAGGCTGCAGGTACACAGAAGTCAAGAATTGGGGTTTGGGAACTTCCACCTAGATTTCAGAGGATGTATGGAAATGCCTGGATGTCCAGGCAGAAGTTTGCTGCAGGGGCGGGGTCCTAATGGAGAACCTCTGCTGGGGCAGTGTGGAAGAGAGATGTGGGGTCGGAGCCTCTGCACAGAGTCTCTACTGGAGCACTGCCTAGTGGAACTGTGAGAAGAGGGTTACCCATCCTCCAAACCCCAGAATGGTAGATCCACTGACAGCTTGCACCGTGCACCTGAAAAAGCTGCAGACACTCAATGCCAGCCCATGAAAGCAGCTGGGAGGGAGGCCGTACCCTGCAAAGCCAAAGGGCAGGGCTGCCCCAGACCATGGGAACCCACCTCTTGCATCAGTGTGACCTGGATGTGACACATGGAGTCAAAGAAGATCATTTTGGAACTTTAAGATTTGACTGCCCCACTAGATTCTGGACTTGCATGGGGCCTGTAGCCCCTTTGTTTTGGCCAATTTCTCCCATTTACCCAATGCCTGTATTTACCCAATGCCTGTACCCCCATTGTATCTAGGAAGTAACTAACTTGTTTTTGATTTTACAGGCTCATAAGTGGAAGGGTCTTGCCTTGTCTCAGATAAGACTTTGGACTGTGAATTTTTGTGCTAATGTTGAAAAGAGTTAAGACTTTGAGGGACTGTTGGGAAGATATGATTGGTTTTGAAATGTCAGGACATGAGATTTGGCAGGGGCCAAGGGTGAAATGATATGGTTTGGCTCTGAGTTCCCACCCAAATCTCATCTTGAATTGTATTCCCATAATTCCCACATGTTATGGGAGGGACCCAGTGGGAGATAATTGAATCATGGGGGCGATTTTCCCCATACTATTCTTGTGGTAGTGAATAAGTCTCATGAGATCTGATGGTTTTATAAGGGGTTTCCACTTTCACTTCTCTCTCATTCTCTCTTGCTGTCACCATGTAAGAAGTGCCTTTCACCTTCTGCCACGATTGTGAGACCTCCCCAGTCACTTGGAACTGTAAGTCCATTAAACCTATTTTTCTTTCCAGTCTTGGGTATGTCTTTATCAGCAGTGTGAAAATAGACTAATACACCCTGTTACTCAAAGTGCTGGCCTTTGAAGTTTCAATTTGCTTTGGCAGGTGAGTTTCAGCAATTAGAGAAGAATCCCAGGCAGTTGGACTTTTTATTTATTTTCAGAGAACCAAATCCATCTGCATGCTCAGTGCCTAAAGCTTCAAAATACTAAGAGCTGCAAAACCTTCTGTGGAGTAATGGAAATTTTGACTTGGTTTGCCTGACTCTATGTACCAGAAGCATGCTGGAGAAAGCCTGATACTTTGATTAATTTTTCCAAAAGATGCTATCAGGAATAATTGTATAAATCCAAGATATCTTTGGATCCTTTTTTGCCCATTCCCTCCCTCTTTCTAGCAAGAAGATGATACCCTTTCATCCATTCTCAGTAGAAACAATGAGGACATATGTGGGTTTTGCTCATCCTCTTCTAAGCTAGACATAATTGAGCCACCCTGTTTGTTCATATTTACTCACTTCTTACTCAGAGTAGATCTGGGGACTTTATTTTTACCTCCTTGTTGGCAATCTCCCCCACATTGAGGAGTCTTTGTCCACCCTTATCAGCCCCAGCAAAACAGACACTTCCCTACCCTTATCATGGATTTTAATTGGCCTGAATCTGTAACAGAAAGGCTCTTCTGGCCTTTTGTATTAAAAGTTTGGGTTTTATGAGCAAACCCATTCACAATTCAGAAAGATCAAGATATTTCCTTTTGGAAGAAAGATGAAGTCATATTGCAACAAAAATCTGCCTCTAAAAAAACTGTTTCTAAAAAATCTGTTCAATATGTATCAAAGAATCAAATTACACCCATCTGGAGAGATGCATATGAAAAAAAAACCCTGCATTAAACAGCAAACCACATCTATAGTGCTTCTTAACAGCAAACAAAGAAATTCTAGATGTATCAACAGGCAGGGCAGGGCAGGGCAGGGCCTCTTTTGATTAAAAAATACTTACGGGAAAAGGACAAATCAAGCTCTTTTAGCCTTTCAGGTTATTTTCATAAGGTGGGAACAGGGGGCAGCTGCACATTCTAAGTAATTCGTTTGGGAAAAAAATCATTTTCGGTGGCCTGCGGATGGCTTTGAGTGAGAGCAGATTTCGATGCAGGAATGATCTATGGGCCAAGGATTACACCCCTTTTTGCTCACACAAGGACTGATTACATGGCTCACAGCTGGAGTTAATCCAGATTTCTGTTTAATTAAATAGGAGCCATCATTTTGTTGCATTACATCAAAGCCCAGGAAGGTGACATGGAGGTGAAATGGCAAATGTAAATTTTTACTTCTTAGATTCTTAGTGAAGGGATAAAAATTCTGGTTTTCAGCAGGGTTTGTTTGTGAGGAAAGAATATAAATATAATTGAGACATCTGTGACTGTTTTAATTTCCCATCAGGATCATCCTTCATAAAATCATATATTTTTTTCTGGGGCAGGATGCTTAGTAGGGTAAATCTAAAAAGATATTGGTAAAGCAATTCTTCCCTTCAAGAAAAATCCACTGAGTGCCACCTATTAAAATGGCATTACAAATAATACTATAGTGGACCAGCCAAGAATGAGGTTTGCTTAAAATTATACTGTAAATATACTGCTTACATGGGTTAACAATTTTGGTTACCAGAATGTTTATTGCACTTGTTATTTGGAGAACAGATATTTATCAAAACCAATACATGAATAAATGTGTTTACACTGAAATTCAAAGAAACAAAATATTATTTTCCCACTTTAAAGTAAGGAATACATATAATTTACTACAATTGGCTTTAAGATGATACCAGTATATCAAATAGAAACTTCTATAAATGAGATTCTCAAGTTAATCATCTTTCCACTAAGTGATTATAAAACCCTTTCCCAAGGTATGGCTAAAGGAAACATTTCTACTAGAGGAATTTCTCCACCCCCCTTTTTTTTGGCCATGCCAATGTATTCTGTACCATTTGTGATAAAATAGTCACTTCCACGTAACGAGATTTTTATTATTGGCTTAAGAAAATTCTCAGTCTCTGTCTGCATTTGCTCATATTCCTGACTCTAAGTACAGTCTTCTTGAACTATAGAAATGGCAGATTTTTGTGATGATTGCAATTAGGTTTGCCTTTCTTTACTGTACTCTGCAAAATGGCATCTGCAATAGATTGCCCTATCAAAGGGTTTGTTTGCACAACACTGTGTCTCTTCACTTATTTTTCTCTAATCTGAAAGTTAAAATCACCACTACACTTTAATGTTGAGTAAAAATTTTTCTTCTTCCTGGTTTTGTCAGATAATAGAAATGAGGAAAAACCTGAGAAAAAAACAGAATAAATGGCTTATGATAAAACCACAGGCTCGAGACCATCCTGGCTAACAAGGTGAAACCCTGTCTCTACTAAAAATACAAAAAAATTAGCTGGGTGTGGTGGCGGGCGCCTGTAGTCCCAGCTACTCGGGAGGCTGAGGCAGGGGAATGGCATGAACCCGGGAGGCGGAGCTTGCAGTGAGCAAAGATCACGCCACTGCACTCCAGCCTGAGTGACAGAGTGTGACTCCGTCTCAAAAAACAAAATCAAACAAAACAAAACAAAAACAAAAAACCAAGAAAACAAAAAACCACAGACAGTACGGTTGTTCCTGGCAACACCGTTACCTATTACCTATCTCCTAGAGTGGTTGAAAGTGTGTATTTTAAAGGCCACAGGTCTAGTTTCATTTCCAAAATCACCACTCACAAGCTGTGTGATCTTGAGCAAGTCATTTCACTTCTTTGAATCTCAGTTTACTCATTTGTAAAATACGGGTGATGATACCTGCAATTACCTGGGAAGAAAGGAATTAACAGCAAGTCTGTAACTCAGCTTATCTCTCCTTCAAGGATGCTTCAGACAATTCTTCCCTGACTATAAAACATACAGATAAGTTTTTTTTAATAGTTGGAAGACAATAAGAGGGATTGTTAGGGTCTATTCTCTTCTAAGTATCTAGCAAGGCTTTTGGGAGGATATACCTGTTCTGTGTAGATTGCTTGTTAAAAATTTACCTGTAAATTATAGATTTATGAGTCACAACTCCAGTAAAAATTGGAAAATGAAAACTAACATGGACTCTCCAGCTATGTGACTAAGGAGATATGAAAACAGAGACACCTGAAAATCAGCAGTTTCCGTGGGCATACTTACTTCACACATAATGATTGTCACTATGTTAATTCAAAACCGAAATGCATCCCAATGCAGAAAAAAGAGACTCCATCCCATAGTTCAGGGACTCTTAGATCCTGACACTGTATCAGTGACTGCTACTTCTTTCTTGTTTCTACCACTGATCATTAGAAAGGCTCAGATAAAGTTGGGTAAAGTTTGACTCACTTTTACTTAAAGTGGGTGTGTTTGGGCCAGTGCATTTCCTCGTAGGATTATTGCAAGGAATAAATGAGTTAATATCTGAAAAGCTCTTAAAATGGTGTCCACAAACTATTATGCAACTTATATTAATACTATTATTATTTCACAATTTCATAGAACATTATTGTATACATTACTCTAGATGTTGGATGTGAGTGTTAGAAATGCAAAAACTCTCTTTCCATGAGTAATTTAAATTAAGGAGAAGGGCACGCAAAACCACCACTATAGTATGGATGAATAACACGGAAACAGAAGTTTCTATGTTTCTATGTTTCCACGTTATTTCTTGGAGGTCTTAGTTTGGATTCCCCCAGGAGGAGCTCCTCAGACAAATAAGTGAATGTAAGTAGCTTGTTTTAGAGGTGATACTAGGAAACAGCAGTAGGGAAAATGAAACAGGGAAAGCAAAAGCATCCAGTAGTGGGTAAGTTACCAGCAAATTTCCACTGTGAATAATTGGGACTTATTCCCACTGGGCAACCTGGGGAGCCAGTGTAGAACATGAGCCTCAGAGTTATCCCCACCACAGAGTGAGGACGCTGGTGTATTTATAGCGTGGCTCTTATCAGTCATTGGCTGAGAGCTGCTAGGGGTTGAGAAGGAGGAGGTAATTGTCTGGTAATTCCTGCCTTCCCTGGCAGGGCAGCAGGAGCTCAGAGAAGGCCCTCAGGCAAAGAAGCACAGAAGCTGACAGTTGGCTGTGGGCCAGTACACCTACAGCAGTAAGGCTGGGAGGGATATTGACAGGCCATGGACTGGGGCTGCTATATTCCACACTGCTGGCGTTTTATTCCTTGAAAATAAGAGGACAATCCCAGTTGTAAGATTTAAGACCTGATTTAAAAAGGAAGGGTGAATGGAACTGAAGTCAGGAGATATATATGAAAGTTCTCATAAATAATTGTTTCTGGAAACAAAACAATAAAAATGTTATACTAAGTAAAATGTCAATACTTTATGTATTATTTTATGTAAGCACGATTAGTAATTCTGTGTTCAGTAATATTAATTTTCATTTATACGTACTATGGAATGAGAATTATTTGTATCTTCATCTGTGGTTTTAATTGTTCAGTTTATTGTTTCTTTATTATCAATTATATGTGCAGTTATTTTATAATACCATTGCATCTGGTCTGATTTTATGACCTGAGAGTTGTCTCCTGCCTTGAGGACCCACTTCATGCCTTGGGGATCTACTTCCTATCTCCTGAATTTAACTTCTTAAAACCACAGGTTATTGCCCTTGTCTTCCACCTCCCTGATCCTATCTCAGTAATTATCAGCAGCCGTGTCTTAGCTGCACACGTGGTGAACCCAACAAAGAACTGCTCTGTCACGAGCTTCATTTGCTCTTATTTGGCTTCATATTTCCCAATGTGTCATCACAAAATTACCTTTTTCCTTACTCCTATTTTACATCCCTCTTCTATCCCTAATACCAGTTTTAAGTTTTTATAGTTATGTAAAATCTGGCCTAATTTCACAAATATATCTACAAGGCAAATTCCTGATTAAAAAAGACAAAACAAGCCCTGCCCTCATAAAGTGTAATATTTATCAGCAAGACAGTCATTGGAGGAAAAACATAAAAGCTGATCTACATTTGAAAACTGTAAGAAGTGCTATGATGTAAAAGGCAATGGGAGCAAGTCATGCTGCAGTTTAACCCTGCCTGAGAGTGTGGACGTGGCCAAGAAGATTCTCAGAAAACACCCCTGACATTTGATCTGAGATCTGAAGGATGATTAGGATTGAATTTTCTCCCACGCAGGAATGCTCCAAACAGAGAGAACAGGCATGTGCCTGGCTCCTATAGGGGAAGAGCCCAGGAGATGCCCAGAGAAACTGAAAGGCCAGTGTGGCCGGAGCCCGGAGCATGGGTGGGGTATCAGCTGAGCTCAGGGGCAGGCAAGGGCTAGATAAGGCTGAGGACTGTCAATTTCTGTCTTTATACAAAGACCAATGAGACAACGTTAGAGTCTTAGGAGGCCATCCCTCCAGACTACTCATGGCCACTTAGCCCCCATGACTCAATGCTAGGAGCTTTTAGACATATGTACTCATATATTCTCCAAAGTCCTGCCAATTAAAATATGTTTGGCTTCCATGAATTTAGGCATTTGTCCCTTGAGGAGGATGTTAACACTAGCCTTGCTAACCCCAGGCAGCCACCCAGGGATTTGGTCACTTTTATCAATCTACAAAACACAGAGGATTTATTCAGTGAATTCCTTCTACGAAGAACTTGATTCTTTTTTTTTCAGAAAGTCTCCAGGCATTAAAAAGATATGACAACATTAAAAAGCTGTTTACTCTTCTTGAAGTATGAAGGATGAAGGAATTCACTTACTTCTTCCTGATGAACCACAGTGACCTCTATTTTTCTACCCCAACTTCCCCCAAAGACAGAAAGAGAGTGTCTTCATACTTTCCTGAAGAAGTAATGTAAAACAAACCATAATTTAATCCTTAGGTCACTGAGACTACAATGAATCATTTGTATCTTAAGATTTTTATGACTTATAATGCCATAGTTAAAAGTTTAGACTTTGTCTTAGGCAATGGGAAAAAATGATAATTTTTTCTATATTTTTTAAATCAGAGGCAAATTCAGATTTGCATTTCAGAGAGATGGCTCTAGGAAATACTGGCAGGACAAATGGAAAGATAGCAACATCTGAGTTAAGAAAACCCATTAGAGGGTATTTCAGTTGTCCTAATAATGTGTATTTATTTAGCATCTCATATGTACCTGAAAGTCTGCAAGGTGCTCAGCATATGCAGTAAAGCCTAATAATTGAAAATACAGGCTCTAAGGCCAGTGTGCCTTGATTCAAATCCCAACTCCTCCATTTACTAGCTGGGTGATCTTATGCAAGTTACTTAACCTCCCAATGCCATAGTTTCTTCATCTATAAAATGATTACCTATCTATCTATCTATCTATCTATCTATCTATCTATCTATCTATCTATATTGTTGTAAAGACTAAAATAAGAGTACCTCTATTGTGTGTGTGTGTGTGTGTGTGTAAGAGATGGAGTTTTGGTTTGCTGCTCAGTCTGGAGTGCAGCGGCATGATCGTAGCTCACTGCAGCCTTGAATTCCTAGGCTCAAGTGATCCTCCCACCTCAGCCTCCTGAGTAGTTGGGACTATAGGTGTGTGCCACCATGCCCAGCTAAGTATAAGTTTTTTTTTTTTTTATAGAGATGAGGTCTTGCTATGTTGCCCAGACTAGTCCTGAGCTCCTGGCCTCAAGCAATCCTCTTGCCTCAGTCTCCCAAAGTGCTGGGATTACAGGCATGAGCCACTGTACCAGCCAATAGTACCTCTAAAGCACCGCATATGTGGTACTTATTTTTACCTATTTTATTCAAATAACATCCCTCGAAGTGAGAATGCTAATTTTTATTCCACAGCTGAGGAAACTGAGTTTTGAAAAGGTTATGTGGTTCGCTGAAATCACAGAGTGAGTCAGGAAAAGATGAAGCAGGCATTGAATCCAGCTCTCTTTGATTCCAAATTTCATGTTGTTTTCCTGGTACTTCCTATTTATGAGGATTCCATGTGAGGCCACAGACTGGGAGTAGGTAGAGGCTGGTAAATTTAAGTCACATTTTGAAGACAGAAGCTATAGGAAGTGAGATGGCTTCTGGAGTCACTCAAATAATGGAAAAGAGAAAGCTTGGTTGTTCAACAAATCTTTTGGCATCCTAACAAGTTCCCTCTAAACTTAAGGCTGGTGTGGTTTGCACATAGATTTGTCTAAGTCAGGGACCACATCACCTGTTTTTGGTAAAATTTGTCAATATTAGATTTGCTCAGTGGTTGGAGATTACATGAATATAGGTTACAGAACATAGAGTTAGGAAAGAACAATATGTTATTCATCACATTTAGCCTTCAAGGCTGTGCCAAATACATTCCTGAATTTTGTGCTACAGGGCTTGAATAGGATGTCTTTCCAGATGATTCCAAGAAGCATGCTAATAAGCTCTAGACTACCTTGAAATATTTGAGAGTTTCAGATATAAGAAGGTCACAGGGTAGATATTTTTGAATATCTTAAAAATGACATAATTAAATTAATGCCACAGTCATGATGTGTCCAAAACCAGCAGACACGATATGCAGACAAGAGTCATTAGATATTTGCACACTGGAAATTGCCAATGATAGGTTGCCAGAGTTAGCATAGGTCACAACCAACACAGATCTGGCTCGGAGCTTTGTACATTTAAAAGCTTAACATTATCAATTTGTCATGCTATAAGAAATAGATTCTTGCTGACCAAATTCATAAGAGCATGAATTATATACTAGAACTTACAGTTTGCAATGAGATACCAACTGAAGTGACAAATGATACCCTAAACTTAGGTTTCCTGAGTAGTTACATGCACTCAGGAGATCAAATTATGAATTCAAACATTGCTTCATAATGCTAGAATTAGAGGGAAGAGTGTAGATTGCTTTAAGGTATACTTTTTCTGGGTAAATGTACTCTTCTTTATTCTAAAGATATTTCTACCTCTGCCCCAGACCATGCTGAAAGGATCATCGCCTTTGCTGTACAGCAGATGATTTAGGGTTGGGAAGCTGGGATACCAGCTGAAAGGCACTAATTATATTTATACAGATGAGAAATAGCTTGAAATAAGATTCTGCTCATGGCAAAGAAGAAGTAGGAAAGAATTGTGATATTTAAGAGGTAGGTTCAATAGAATATAGAGATGGATTTTTATGTAGCAGGTGAGGCAAAGGGAGAAGTTGAGGCTGATTTGTAGATTTCTAGCTTTGGACTTGTCAGTTATGGATAATTATGAGATTTCCCCATGAAGAGAACCAGTAGGTATCTCATTAGAAGAGATTTTGGCTAGGAAAGCAGATATGGAAGACATTGCTGGGTCCACCTGTCTCCATAAGGATGCGATTTCTCCAGAGTGTGTGTGGGGTGGGAGGGGCAGAGGTAATGTGTAGAATTTTGTGGCACTCCAACAGTTAGGGGGCGAATGAGAGAAGAGGAGTCAACAAAGGAGACTGATGGAAAAAGGGAGGCCAGAGAAAGAAGAAAATCCAGGGAGGAATCATGGCACATAAGAAAATCTGGAAAGAATTTTCAACACAGAGTTTTTGATAAAGCCAAATGCCACACAGTAGCCAAATAAAAAGAAAGAATAAAAAATGTGTCTATTGTATTTAACATCTGGGGGGTCCTCAGTAGTTTTTTTATTGAGTGGTGAGGCCAGGAGTCCTATGGTAATGAGTAGAATGGTGAGTGAAGGAGTCAAGGCATTGATTTTAGGCTATTTTTTCCCAGAAGCTTGGCTGTAAAAATAAGAAGGTTAGACAGTTTGGAGTTGTGTGAAGGGCTTTATAAGAGGATGGGGTTTGAGCATATTTATTTAGTGATTAGAAAAATGCTAGCAAAGGGAAAGATGTTGAATATTCAGAATGGAAAGGATATAATTGATGGAACAAGGAGCAATCCTTATTTTATTATTTCTTAGAATAGGGACATTTTCTAAATAGTCATCATCTTGCATTTGTTATTGAATATATGACTTTCTGAGAGTAACATTTGCAGATTCATCAAGTTCTGCAAAACTTCTTTGGTTTCTGACTGCAGGGTAGATATCTGTCCTTGGGACTGTATCATATTGGCTGCACTCTAGACAGGGAGTGATGCTGACAAAAGAATATAAAGAAAATTTCGGTTCCAACTTAATGACCTGCTGAGTGAGCTTCAGGTTAGGGGTTACTCATAGAGAGAGATAGGACAGTGGATGGGACCAATGAGTTCATATTAATCTAAACTACTTTTCATTCATTTGTAAATATATTTTGGTTGCCGGACTCCAAGCTATGCTAAATTCAAAGCATTCATGGTCCCTACTCTCCAGGAGACTATGAGCTGAGGCCAGGGAGATAAACATTAAGCAAATAGATATTTTGGTGGGCCCTTCCCTTGAGAAAGTCATTTCAACTGATATAACACTAAATAATGATAAAAATTTTATTAACCAAAATTGATGGGGAAAACCCATTTCTGGTGGAGAAAATAGTGTATGCCAAGGCCCTGGAGTAAGAGGCATCTGTTAACTTTTTGCTGATATCTTTCTTTTTTTCCCCTTTATTTTTTCTTTTCCTATCCATTTGTTTTATTTTGAGGACAGAAGAGGAAAGCCAAAAGTTTTACGAAAATAAAGGAATGAATTTCTCAAAGAATTAAGAAATAATTGATATTATAGATGGGGTGAAAAGTAGAACCTGGGACATGTACAGCACTTGGGTATTATGAGTATTTATTTAAAACTATATATATAATTCCCATGATAGCGTTCCCCTTATGTTAATTTTATAAGTAAACATTGATTTTTTTTTTTTTTAATAGATACAGGGTCTTGCTCAGTCATCCAGGCTGGAATCCTGTGGTACAACCACAGCTTACTGCAGCCTTGAACTCCTGGGCTCAGAATAATAAGGCATAATAGGCATAATAAGGAAGGTCTTTCTCTCTCTCTCTCTCCTATTCTATCTTTCTCCCTCTCACTTTCCTAGACAGTGGCAAAGATTGCAAAGGTGATTTTAGTCTTGAGCTTGATGAACTGAGGGACAACTAGTAACAAATGTGCTTAAAAATCCAAAGCTGAAGGAAGCCAGTGAGATGGTAAGTCACAGTTATAGTTGGTGTCTTGCTGATTTTTCTTATATAGCAAAGTCTTTAAGTCTCAAACTTAACATTTAAAAGGAAAGAAAACGAAGACAGGAATAACACTATCTTTAAAAATCACTTTGTGCCCTCTTCTTTTATTTTGAACCTTTTCATATGGATTTTTTTCCATTCTAAATTTTCCCTTGAGACTTCCTTCCTTCCTTCTGCTTTTCTTGTTTTGTTATATATAATTAGAATAAAGGAAGGCAAATATGTTGAGATCTAAATTCCAATATATCTAAATTGCTAAGTTCACAATATGTACAATGGGGGCAAAGTAACATAAAATCAGACTTTTACAGACTTGTCTATAAAATCTCACAAGAGGAATAATGAGAGGCTAAAATATACAATTCCAAAACATGAAGTTTCGATGTAGAAAGTGTTGGGTTGCGTATGTTCTCACTTATAAATGAGAGCTAAATGGTAAGAACTCATGGCCACAAAAAGGGGAACAACAGACATTGAGGCTTACTTGAGGGTGGAGGATGGGAGGAGGGAGAGGATCAGAAAAAATAGCTATTGGGCACTAGTCCTAGTAGCTGGGTGAAGAAACGATCTGTCAACAAACCCCCATGATATGAGTTTACCTATATAACAAACCTGCACATGTAACCCTGAACCTAAAATAAAAGTTAAAAAAAGAAAAAAAGGTCTTGGGTTGTTGTTGTTGAGTAAATTCTTTTGTGACCAAATATAAAACTCTCAAAGCTAGTTCTGAGGTTGTTAAAGTTAATTCTAAATCTTAATTTAAATTTCTTTCCTTCTTTATTTTTTCTGTGTAAACTTAAAAAAAATTTTAGGGCTGGCGCAGTGGCTCACGCCTGTAATCCCAGCACTTTGGGAGGCCAAGGAGGGCAGATTATGAGGTCAGGAGATTGAGACCATCCTGGCTAACATGGTGAAACCCCATCTCTATTAAAAATACAAAAAAAAAAAAAAAATTAGCCGGGCGTGGTGACAGGCACCTGTAGTCCTAGCTACTCGGGAGGCTGAGGCAGGAGAATGGCATGCACCTGGAAGGCGGAGCTTGCAGTGAGCCGAAATCATGCCACTGCACTCCAGCCTGGGCAACTCTTCCTAATAATGATGGCAGAGCTTAGAAATGTAAGAGATTTACCCATGGTAAGTCAATAAGTGGGGGCATGGCTATATTGGAACCTCATACCTGTGCATGACTTAGGTTGCCCTGATGCCAAAATAGTAACTGAGCGAGACTCCGTCTCAAAAAAAATTTTAGGAGTGCAGCAGAGGAAGGTAAAGTATATGAGGAAATTTGACTAACATAATTAAATACATTAGGTCAACTAGTTTCCATATTTCATTTGAATATATAAATCTAAAATATGAAAAATAAATCTAGTATACATGTAAAATTAAGATTAAAATGCTATGACATTGTCTGAATTTATTCATTTATTTAATAAACATTTATTGAGCATCTACTCAGCCTCTGTCTCAATCCGGGTATTCATAGCAGTTAACAGATGATAACTCCTGCCCTCATATAATTTACATTTTAGTCTGAATGCTATTTTTGTAAAAAACCCTTATTTGATATGTTGAATGATACAATATGCTGTCTTTTAAAAATAACTTATTTTTCAATACTTTAAAAATGCTTAAATGTTAAATATTTTATATAATGTAAAATATGCATTTCTCTTCTTAAATATATTGCCAATCATATGGGAAGATTTTTAAAACACATGCTGTGTTTGGTTATGGATATAAGAGAATTGACAAGAAAATTATTTGAAAAGGTAATGAAGGATTTGCAAGAGAAAGCAGAGCATGACTTTAAGAAATAGTGAAACCTCTAGTGTGCAAATGGTTTATCAGAATACTTTTCTCGGTATTTTTAAAGTTCATTAATTCAATATATTTTTATGGTTTAAGTTCTTACATTTTGTGCTGGATCTTTGGTTAAATCCAAGAAGTGTTAAACCCTAGGGGAGTATTTCTGACTACAAATAATATTAATGTCACCTTTTCATAAGATAATAAAAAAATAAAATAATAGTAAGACAACCTTCCCATCAAAGTTATAATTAGAATGTCCTATTTAACTAAGAATAATGATGCTTCTTTTGGGTGGCCTTCTGCTTTGTTGAAGTTCTGCATCTTTTTAACCCACCACAAAAAGATGTTGTAACATCTTATTTGACATTTTCTTCAGATATTTGAACCACTTATATTTTGAAAAAAAATAGCATTATAAAAATATTTGTCACTTCATTGGAAATCAAGTGGTTTGTGCACACCAAAATAAAGGTTTCATAATGAGAAAGATGTGAAATGAGAAATAACGCCTGTGCAGTTTAGAATGTGAGAGCACTGGCCAGGAAAATTATGTACAACATTGCACTTAGCAAAGTTCCCTGATGCATTATAGGAGCTCAGATAAGAAAAAACAGCAAATGATGATAATTCACAAATTCATATTAACTCTATGGTAGACAACATTTTCACACTCCAAAGCTGCTAAACTACACAGGTATTTAGTAGTAAATTTAGAAAGCAAAATATAAGTCAAATATATTTCTCTTGAGTCTGTTTACATTTATTCTGTTCGAGATCTTTTCTCTCTTAAGAAAGTTAAGAAGCTTGATTATTTGCTTCTTATCACTTACAAAAAGTTAAACAATACGATCTAATTACATTTTAGCTGTTTTAAACAATTAAATCCTAAGCTTGTTTTACTTTCAAGAGAAAAACAAAAAGTCACACAAACCTCAGTTTAGTTGTAAAAAGAGGCAACTGCTATTCTTGAAATAACTGTTGATCAGCATCTAGTCTGGTTATTCAAGTGAACAGATCAGCAGACATTCACTAAAAGGTAATGTCTATCACCTGTCTAGTTTGACGCTAAATAATCTAGCCAAAGATAGCTTTTTAAAACAAACTGGCCACCCATCCATACCACTGCCTGAGGGGTTATATTTAGCCTCCCGGAAACAATGTGTATGGTTAGAAGGGCCAGGAGAGGTCACTCCAAGAAGTAGAGCTAGAGGTGGAAGACCATGACATACCTGGGCAGAGCCAGGCACTCCGTCATTTTAATAGCACACTAATTCCAAAAAGTTTTAGCACTTATGGCCTTGAAGCTTAATTACTCACATTTATCTTCCTAATAAATGATGCCAGAGCTTAGAAATGTAAGAGATTTACCCATGGTAAGTCAATAAGTGGGGGCACAGCTATATTGGAACCTCGTATCTGTGCATGCGTTAGGTTGCCCTGATGCCAAAATAGTAACTGAAATACACAACTCACAAATCACTGTACCTGTCAGACGATTGCCACCCTTCAATTGATTTCTCAATAGAATTGGCTGTGACTATACCCTTTGGCACAATGTAATTTCAGTACTTAAACGTATGCAGACATGAGTACAATAAATGGATACATCAAATAAAATTCCAAGAATGAGAGGTGAGAAGAACAAATTTGGTTTTAGCCCTTTTCACTGAAATTTAATAGAAACATACAAAAATGGAAAAGAACTAGTAGTTCATAGAGATCTCAAACAAACAAACAAAAGATAAATTGAGCGGAAGGAGCTTTAGAAATTTTGTAGAGCAATGACCTGCTCAAGTCCACGGGGAAAAAGTCCAAGAAACAAGAAAGATTCACACGGCTTGGAAATGACACCTGATGTTACAGAATGTGAAAATATTCACTTTGTAAATTAATGTGATGCCCCACTTTCTTAAAAACTATCAGTTCGTTAAGATGGTAGCAAAATATTAAAATGCTTATTGAAATTAAAACCACATTGCAGACGTCTTCTGCACAGATACTCAAGTTTTTCTCTTAATCATGTTTCTATTTTCAGTCACTAGAGGAAAGACACACATTTACATATGGTGAGCATTAGTTTCAAGAGGTCTGTTAGCTTTTGTTAAATCCTCTCGTTAAATTTCTTGGATGGATTCCTATCCAGCTTATCCTACCAAATCTAAAGTTTGTTCAGGTGTCGAGAGTGAAGAATTTCAAAAGCAAGTAAATAGCCTCATGCGCTGGTGCTAAAACATAAGAACCAGCTAGAAGCCTCATGTGTTCTATGTGAGGAGAAAAATAGTAAACAGGACAGTGAGAAGTAAGAAACGAGAAAGCAAAATAAGAAGGACTATTGCAAAAGGGCCCACTGAGAATGGTGTTTGACAGCGTTTTCCTGGGCCCTGAAAACCCACATTCTAGCACAGTGCTGGGATACTTTTGTGAGGATGAATAATTAAATTTATTGATCATTTTCTCTGTTCAGTTTTGCCCCTAAAAACCCATATACACTTAAAAAGGAGTGTATTAACCAGCTTTATCCTTACAACAACACCATTAGGTAGAAATCCTTATTATCCCCACTTCAGAGATAAAAAGATTGAGGTACAGAGATGGAAAATCATTTGTACAAGGTTACACAGCTAGCAAATGACAGAGCTGGCATTAGTAACCAGGAGCGCGTGATATCTATTACATAGTTATTCACCCTAGGGGTGACCCACTGAGAGGGAAGTTTTTGTTTTTTTGTTTTGTTTTGTTTTGTTTTGTTTATAATGCAGCAATTGGCATCGGAAAAGCAAGGTAGTGTTCTTTCCTGAAACTTACAGTTGTGCATATGAGAGTTTTGTCCAAACTCTGCCAATTCAATCCCATAATATTTGCTAAGCATCTACTCTAGGTAAGGGACACTGCTAAGTACAGGGATTACAAAGATAAATCATTTGACAGATTCCACTTTCACAGAACTCAACAGTCTAAGTTTTTGAGTAAACCAATCAGGAGGCTATGAGAAATAAAAAGTAACCACAAGGGTAAAAGCAATAATAGCTGCCACTTACTGAGCACCCACTAGGAATAGGGCATTGTGCTTGGTGCCTTATAAATTTATGCCATGTGCTCTACACAGCCATGCTTCTGCATGGATTTAACAGTGTTTATTTTACAGATGAGGAAATAAGACTCAGGTAGGTTCAAGTAACTTGGTCAACCTCGTACAAGTAGAAAATGACTGAGCCAGGATTTGTACAAGCAGAGTACAAATGGTTCTTTATAGAGTGTGAGGAAGTGTCAGCAGAGGAGTGAAGCTACTCTTGTACCTATGACAAAATGGTCCTTTTTCTGGGAATACTCTACTCCTTAATGAAGCGAGAAATTCTCAAAAGAAAGTCTATACACTTTCGGAAAAGAGGGGACATCCATCAAGATAGCATATCAGCCAGATAATGGGCATGCAAGATTTATTACTTGTATACATGGGAAATCTACAATAGAAACAACAAAACATGCTGGAGGGAGTGTAGTGAGAAGCTAGTATAACATAGGTGTCAGGGTTCACTCTGTCACAAGTTTCTTTCTAGGTTCTGAGGTGTCCCCCAGCTAGCTGTCCTGAGGTCATGTGATACATTTTTGTTAACTTTGCAAAAGAAAGCCACACTATTCACAACCTAGTAAGGCCACTGTCTTGTTCACTGCAAATTCCACTCTAATACTTCTCCTTCCATTGTGTGGCACTGGAGGGCCACCGAAATTTTGGGGATTCAGCTAGGGAAGCTGAACTAATAATGCATTTAATTGGAGTTAGTGGGATATATTTATGGGGATTTAGTGGGGAGAGGGTGCCTTAGGTTTACAGCTAAACTCATTTCTACCTGTCGCAGTATAGGAACAACTTCCCAGAACATTCCTGCAGAGCCCACGGTACCAAAGCAGCTGGTGTATGATGTGAAGGTGCAACACCAGCAGGTGCAGGCTCATGATGATATAAATGTGTCCCCACATAAGACAAATGTGGGTCATGCAGATGAGTAAGATTTGAAATACATGGAGCAAGAAACAATTAAGAAACAATTCAGTGGCAAACTTCCAAATATCAGACATGTAACGTTGTATATGGAGTATTTGGTTCTTGCCGTTCCCTAGGCAAAACGGAATTGTTTTCTCCTGATAGAATTAAGCTAAAAATTCGGTGACTAGAATTGTAAACATGCCATACATTCTTTTCATTTTTGATGGGACTCATTTGAAGTGGAATTTATCAATTCTGCGCTTTTAGGGCAAAATATTTGAAGCAATACTCCAAGCACTAGTTGTATGTGAAACTGCATGTTTAATTTACTCCAAATATCAATAATAAAACACATTTTGATTAACCATACTAGAAAAACTACATTATTTCTGTTCTCTCCATAGAAAATAATATTATAAAATTGCTATCATATGATATGGCAGTCAAAGAGTATGCAACCAAAAAAATATAGGGAAAATGATGTCATAGAGATATACCAGACAGTTAATACATATAATAATATACTGTATAATTTTATATTCAAATGATATAATACATATAATAAATGTAATCTAAATAGCATACAGTTTTATATATAAATGATATAAATAAATATTATAATATGATACAAATATAAGATGTTGTATTAATAAAACAGACCTCTCTTTCTGGATATTGTGAAGTTTACACTGTTTGACAGTTTCAAAAAATATTATTACTTATATGTTATTTAAAATTTATTAGTTTTTCTTATTCTAAAATGCTGTTTTCAAAATGTTACAGATAAATCTCAGTTTACCTATATCTACGCTTTCTGATTTCTTCTGTCAGTTCAAGTCTGCTGTTCAACTCCAGTAAATTTCTCATTTCGGTTATTGTACATTCAATTCCAGAATTTCTATTTGGTTTCTTTATATGTGGGCATATAAAGAATGTCTTTATTGATATTCTCTTATTTGACAAGACATTATTCTCCATGGTTTCCTTTAGTTATTTAGACATGGGTTCCTTTAGCTAAAGATAATAAAAATAGGTGATTTAAATTAGTTTTTATCTAATAACTTCAACATTTGTACTTCCTTGGGTAAATTTTCCATTGATTGCTTTTTCTCCCCACTACCCATAGGTCATACTTTCTTCTTCTTTGTGTGCCTCATAATTTATTGATTAAAAACTAGATATTTTGAATATAGTTAGTGATGTGGTAAGTCCAGAAGTCAGATTCTCCTGCCCCTCACCCCTCAGGGTTTGTTGTTGTTCTTTGTCATAAGTGTTGTTTGTTTCATGATTTTTCTGAATAATTTTGTAAAGTCATATTCTTTGTCATGTATGGCCACTGAAGCCTCTGTTCAATTTGCCTAGGGGCCAGCTAAGTATTGCACAGAGGTTTCAAGTGCTTGGAAGCAACAAAAATTTAGTCTTTTTAGAGGGTCTCTTGTGTGTTTGTTGGGGTACGCCTTTGACACTTCTCCAGGCAATTTGCAACTTTGCCTTAGCTTTTACTTTCTTCTTGCACAAAGGCCCAAGGTTAGTCAAGGGTAAGAGCTTAGAACCTTCTCAGGGCTCTCTTAAGCATGCACACAGCTCTGGATATGTGTGTGGCCTTCTAGATTCCCAGTAATATTTCAGAGCCTTTCAAACATTTTATTTGCAAAAGCATCTCATTCCACAGCTTTGAAGTTTTTTGGTTAGTCTATTGTTTGTTCCAACAGTTGTATGTTGCCTTTGACAGCAGCAACTGAAATATTTTCCTGTAAATATCTTCAATAATGCACCAGCCTCAATCCCCTACCCACTACCCATTGCAGCTTTAGCACTAGACATGCTTCACAACAATTCTTTGCAAATGAGGTCCATTTTACCACCTCCAGTACTAGTCCTGTGACTGTGGGCTGTTAATTTCAAATGTTTCACTGAGCTGAGGAGCTGTGGATGAGACCAGGAAAAGTTAAAATGACACAAAGCTCATTGTTCTTGCCAATAATCAGCTTTTTTTTAAAATAAAATAATCACTCCCTGAATTGCTGCAAGCCTTTAGTTTCCAAAATTTTGAAAAAGTCAATTCTGCCAATTTTTTGCCATTTTACTGGTTGCTTTTATGGAGGAATGGACTTTGGGAGTTCCTTACTCCATCGCACTTATATCACTCCCCAAATACTCTCTTTTGTACCTCATTTGGTATTTGTAATTTAATATTCTTTGTTCTCAAAGACGACCACTCAATTATGTAAGTATAAAGTCCATCAAATGTGCATCTGTCCTTATACAGAACAGTGAACAATTGTAAATAGTGCCCTTTAGGGGATGGATGCAGTATCATAGAAAGAATAAAAAATTAAAATGAGAAGATTAAAGACGGGATTTAAAGTAAGCCTTCATGGGAGAATTGGATTTTCACCAGTGGAGATGGGTAGGTGGCATGGAGAAGCTGAAAAGCTATCACAGGCCGAGAAAAATAGAAGATTTAGACAATGGGAAAGATGTCATCATTGTTGGGAAAAAGCAATTGGTTCACTTCAACTTGAGTGAAGGATGTTTGGGAAGTTGTAAGGAAGATAAGGCTGAAAACATAGGATAGGGCCTCAAAAGCCCAGACTAGAGGGTTTTATAACAAGTCTTATTATAAAAGAACAATAATAATAATGATTTTTTTCACCCTGCATGGTATTTTAGCCTCAGGTTAGAACTTCACAGACTATTCTGTAAATAGCAATGTGATTTATCCTGGCATTACCACTGTTGCCATCGGCAAGCCATGTATTACTCAATATTCTGTATATTTCAATACTATGACTGTGAGTTATGGGGCCTTATTGAACCTAAACATAATTTTAAAACCCTATATGTCTGGGGGAAATTACATTTCAGAAGCTCATCCATCACTTCTCTGGGTAACTTTTGAGAGTACTGGGTGTCATGATTCTGGAGTTAAAACAGAACATGACATGGAAAGAAGAAAGAGGTGTGCATGACAGAATTAGAGGAAACAATAGAGATAATTGCTCAGAGCCAAAAGAAAACACAAGATTCTAAGTCCTAATTTTTGGAACTGGTGAGGCTTCATAATAGCTATTCACTTCTAATTATCCTCAAATAATAAATGAATAGAACAGTCAATGCCATTAGAATAATTTACTATTCATCAAGAATAATAAATGAGGAGAGTAAGTTGTTATTCATATTTCTCTAAAAATAGCAAAGAAGAAGAAGGAAGGAGGAGAACTACTACTGTTTTTCAGTCTGGCAACAACGTGTGCAGTGGTGACAGGGTTGCTGGGACACTCGGTGTGGCAGAGGAAAAGACAGAGCCAAATGTGCTTGCAGTCAGTGCCTCTGGCTTGGCTAGACACCAAAGTCAGCTGAAACAATGATGAATCCTCCTGGTTATTACAGCTCCAAAAAGCAAAACACTTTTCTGCTTTACTAATGCTTTGTCCCCGATGGGTTGCCTCTTCCTCTCATTAATCTTTAGTTTATGAACTCTGTTGGCAAGAGGTATACAGATCACCCACAAGTCACACACAGAAGTAGATGCTGTCGACAGCTCCTGGACACATAGGGCTGTTCATTCATTGGCAGTAGTACTGAATCAGCATCAGCCTCTACATTACTAGTTTGCCACACATTGCAGATGTGATGCAGACGTGATCCAGTTGTCTTCTTCATCTACAACCCTCTTCCAGATACTCTCAATGAAAGTGGAGATGGAGATAAGCATGGAGAAACAACACTGGGCATGGGAACAAAGGGCAGGAAGTCTAGAGAGCCTCATGTCAGTTCACCTATAGGTTTTGAATTGCCATTTGTATCATCATTTGGCTGCTAGTAGCAGAGTGCTGGTATTGCTGAGCATGGAGCTGAAGCCCCAGCAATGAGCTGTTTTGAATGTTCCCCTTGTCTCCATGAAAGATTCTGAGAATTCATTGTCCAGGGAGAATTATGTCAATACAACTCAGGACCTGCATCTATCTCTGCCTCACAGCCTGACTTTGTTGATAGGCCAGATCATCAGGCCAGATTCCATCAATACTGATGGTGAGTTTCCCATCAGGGGCCTAGTTTTTCTATATAACCCAAACTGATGGGCTGCGCCACCAAAGCCAATCTCTTTTTTTTATATATAATTAAACTTATCATGGGGCTAATGAAGTTCTAAATCAGAATCTAAATCCTTTTACTCTCAATAAACTCCTCCATACAATGTAACTCTGTAGATGTAATTTATGTGAAAGAGATGCCACTCAGCTCTCTCTGGCAGCATTTAAGACCCAAATGGCAGTGGATTTGTTGGGGGTGGGGGATTGATAGCTCTAGCCATCTCTAAATGTCATGTTACTGAAGTAAAATTTCTATATGGGGCTTGTACTAGCTTGAAATATCTGTGGTTGATTTTTAAAAGTTGATAAGACCATGTTTCTAGGAGAAGAGTTGCCAGATAAAATAAAGGATGTCTAGTTAAGTTTAACGTTCAGATTAGCAATAAATAATTTTTAGGACAAGTATGTCTCAAATATTGCATGAGATACCCTTGTACTAAAAATTTGTTCATCATTTATCTCAAATAAAATTTAACATTGTACGGTATTTTAATTTGCTAAATCTAGCCACCCTACAAAGGAGACAATATCATACAAGTATCTGCTCAACTGTGGAGGAAATGCTTGTTTATATATATGATTAGGACCCCTTCATGGATAAGTGTACCTTGTGGAATTACTCATGAACTTGTTATTGGACATGTGAGAAGGAAAGGCTCTAAAGCCTGTTAAACTGTTATTAACATGTGACTTATATTGTGAATAAAATACCAATAAATATGTATTATGCTAAAATAAATAGCACACACAAATGGTTCCAAACACAATATCACTTGATTTCCAATGCCATAATCAAATGGCTTCGTGCAAATGAAATGACTCCAGTAGTTATCAGTGTAATGATGTTGTGAAACAGCCTTACTGTCAGGTAACCTTATCTTTTATGCACTTTCCCAAATGCCTAAAATGTCACACTAAAACACTTTTAAAATTAAATAATGCCTTGCTATTTCTGAGGTGAGATGCCTGCTGAGTTTAAATCATTTTTTTTTAAAAAAGAAACGCTTGTAATTTTTCTGCAAAATTAGGTAGTTATCTGATTCCGTGAAAGAAATATATTAACATATTGTAGGTTAAACTAAACATTTACTAAAATGTTTAGCTACAACAATCAATATTTCCAAATGAAATGATTATTCCAAAGATAAGTCAAAAGGTTGAGCCACAGAAACTGAGGCTCTCTGTACTCTCTCTGTACAAATGTTCAGGAGGTTTTAAAATACATTGAGAGTAACTATTGCTCACTGAAGAGTTTTCTACCTTTTCATATTCAGCAATATTCATTCTTTCCTGCCAGGCCACTAACTCCTTGAACTTACTTCATCCCCACCTCTGTCTGGGGCCACCTGATACACTTTTGCTAGCTTTACTTCATGTCAGTCTCAAGCACCAAAATCCAATCTAAAGTAGGAGAAAATTAAAGAAACCTTGCCAAACTGCATCTCATAAGCATCTCAGTTCGTTCCTCCCTGATCTTGTGTTCTGGTAACAATAATTACGCCTGACATGAAACTCAAAATAGGTGCCATAAATAGGTCCATGACGTATTTGGACCTAAAATAGTTCCAAAATAGGACCATGACTTTCCAACATTCAAAGTTATCTCTTCCACCCAGTTTTCTTGTCCCCCAGTCAAGTGAACTTCCTACAATTTAGAGTAAGATGACAATACCACAGGAGGTAAAGAAAAGCACCACAGGGTGATAATGGCGGGGGAGCCTTTGTAGCTCTGGCCTTTCTTCATTACAATACATGAGATTATCAGATTAGCTAGTTGAAAATCCGATATACAAAGGAGAGAAAACCTAAGTAAAAAAGAATCACGAACA
Source organism: Homo sapiens (assembly GCF_000001405.40). Taxonomy (NCBI): domain Eukaryota; kingdom Metazoa; phylum Chordata; class Mammalia; order Primates; family Hominidae; genus Homo; species Homo sapiens. The sequence continues at coordinate 65,024,088 of NC_000008.11, read as the reverse complement.
GACAGATCACGTGAGTTCACTTGGGTACAGAAGAGAAAGACAAAAGAGCACTGCTGTGTGGCGCTCTGAGCACTGTGATGCTGGGGGCGGAGGGGTGTGGGTTGAGCCGGAAAGGCTTCAAGATATGGGATTCCACTGATTGTGTAGGTTGTAGGTAGAAGATACTAAATGCAATTTTTCTCTTTTCCATATTTTACCTTGAACTAGCTGATTTTTTCTCCTAGTTATGGGTCACATTTCCTTCTGCTTTTCAAGTATAGTAGTTTTTATAGATACTGAATACCTAAATGTTACGGAATTTAGTGTTCAGATTTTGTTATTTTCCTTTTTATTGTATATATTTAAGGTGTGCAATATGATGTTTTGGATATACATACATAGCAATATGTATACATATATACATAGCAAAATTACTACTGCAGTCAAGCAAATTATCCTATCCATCCCCTTCCATAGTTACTCTTCTTTCTTTCTTTCTTTCTTTTTTTGTGGTACAAGTTCCTAAAATCTACTCTTTTAGCAAATTTTTAGTATATAGTAAAATATTATTAACTATAGTCCTTACTCTGTTGGACTAGACTTACTCATCCTGTGTAACTTCAAGTTTGCGCTCTTTGACCTGCTTTCCCATATTTCCTCTCCCTCCTCACTCCTGTAACCACCATTCTACTTTCTGTCTCTAGGTATTTGACTTTTCAAAAAATTCCACATCTAAGTGAGATTATACAATATTTTTCCTTCAATTTCTACCTTATTTCACTTAGCTTGATGTCCTCCATGTTCATCTATGTTGTCGCCAATGACAGTATCTCAAGTTTGAATAATATTTTATTTTATATATGTGCATATATACATTATACACACACATGTATATATATGTATATAATTTCTTTATTCATCCATCAATAAACACTTAGGTTTCCATATCTTGTGTATTGTGAATAATTGTGTAGAGTATTGTGCTGCAATAAACATTGGATTGCAGGTATCTATGCAAGGTGCTGATTTCATTTCCTTTGGGTATATACCCAGCAGAGAGGTTGCTGTGTCATATGATACCTCTATTTTTAATTTTTTGAGGAACCTCTTTACTGTTTTTATGATTGTACCAATTTACATTCTGACCAACAGTATACAAAAATCCCTTTCCTCCACACCATCACCAACACTTGTTATCTCTTTTTGATAATAGCCATCCTAACAAGTGTGAGATAATATCTCATTGTGGTTTTGATTGACATTTTCCAAAAGATTAGTGATGTTAGGCGCTTTTCAATATACTTGTTGGCCATTTGTATGTCTTCTTTGGAAAAATGTCTCTTCAGGTCCTTTGTCCATTTTTTAATTGGATTATTTGTTTTCTAATTATAAGTTGTTTGAGATTCTTATGTGTTTTAGATATTAACCCCTTATCAGATACATGGTTTGCAAATATTTCCTCCGAATCCATGGGCTGCCTTTTCATTTTGTTAATTGTTGACTTTGCTGTGCAAAAGCTTTTTAGTTTGATGTCGTCCTACTTGTTTATTTTTGTTTTTATTACTTTTGGTGTAATATCTAAAGAAATCATTGCCAAGGCCAAAGATCGAAGAGCTTTTCCCTTATGTTTTCTTCTAGAGTTTTTACGGTTTGAGGTCTTACATAGAGGTCTTCAAGTCATTTTGAGTTGATTTTTTTGTGTATGGTACAAGATAAGGGTGCAATTTTATTCTTTTGCATGTGAATATCAGTTTCTCTAAAATTATTAACTGAATAGACTATCCTTCCCCATCTGAATGGCCTTGTCAAAAATTCATTACCATATATGCTTAGGTTTATTTTTGTGCTCTCTATTCTGTTCTTTTTTTTTTTTTTTTGATGGAGTCTTGCTGTCTCAGCCAGGCTAGAGTGCAGTGGTACAATCTTGGCTCACTGCAACCTCTGCCTCCTGAGTTCAAGTGAATCTCCTGCCTCAGCCTCCTGAGTAGCTGGGACTACAGGTGTATGCCACTGCACCTGGCTAATTTTTGTATTTTTAGTAGAGATGGGGTTTCCCCATCTGGGTCAGGCTGGTCTTGAACTCCTGGCCTTGTGATCCACCCACCTTGGCTTCCCAAAGTGCTGGGATTACAGGCATGAGCCACTACACCTGGCCTCTGTTCTATTTTTCTATGATTCTGTTTTTATGCCTGCACCACAGTTTTGATTACTATAGCTTTGTAGTATAATTTGGAAATCAGGAAGAATGATGCCTCTAACAAAAGCAATCAGACAAAAAAAAGAAATGAAAGGTATCCAAATTATAAAGGAAGAAGTAAAAGTATCTCTGTTTGCTGATGATATGATTCTACATGTAGAAAACCCTAAAAACTCCACAAAACTCAAGTTCAGAAAAGTGGCAAAATATAAAAATCAACAAAGAAAAATATATTTCTTTATATCAATAATCATCAATTTGAGAAATCAAGGAACAATCTTATTTACAATAGCCATCAAAAATAATAAAATGCTTAGGAATAAATTTAACCAAGAAGTAAAAATCTGTACACCAAAAACTATAAAACATTAATGAAAGAAATTGAGCAAGACCCAATGAATGGAAAGATACCCTGTGTTTGTGAATTGGGAAAATACTGTTAAAATGTTCATACTGTGCACCCAAAGCTTTATATAGATTCAACACAATCCCAATCAGAATTCCAATGACAGTTTTTCACAGAAATAGAAAAAACAATTATAAAACTCATATACAACCACAAAAGACCTCAAATATTGTCTTTTTGTTTTCTGGATTCTGTTATGTTCCCTATTTTTTCTGACGGGGAATGAATTTACTTATAAATTAGCTTAGTCTTTTAAGGAGGGTTTTCAAGCTTTGTTTAGGCAGGCCTAGAGTAGCCTATACTCTAGGACTAGTTTGACTGTACTGTTAAGGCATGACTTTTGTGGGGTCTTTACTGAGTGCACCTGGTGTTCAAGGAGGTCTTTTGGCTAATTGGTCAGACAATCATGTGTAGGTTCAGATAGTGTTTTAGCTTACAGGTCTCAAGTAGTTCTTTTCTCTGATGTTTGTTGTTTTTCTAGCTTCATGCAGTCTTACCTTATACATGTCACAGCTTAATGTTTGGAAGAAGATTTAAAAGTACCTTTATTCAGGGTTTTTTAAAACTCTCTCCTACTCTTCCAAGCAAGTCCAAGTCACCTCTTCCTCCCTAATCTGTGATCTGCCTCCTCCACCTAGAAATATTCATTCATCCATTCAACAAATACTGATTTGCCAGCCATACTATTCTAGACGCTTGGAAATATTTATGTAAAAAATATACAAAACCTCTGAATTTTGTATGTAGATTACATTTGCATATGAGGGAGAAAATCAACAGAATAAAAGCAGAACAAATAATAAGATGTAAATTATACAGTATGTTAGAAAACAATAAGCTCTATAGAAAACCAGAGAGAGCAGGTTAAAAGGTATCAGGATATGGGAGAGTACAATTTAAATAGATGGTTAGAGTGGACCTTGTTAAAAATGTGACTTCTGAACAAGGAATTAAATGAGATAAGGGAATCAGCCTTGTGGATACCTAAGGGGAAACTGTGGGAAAAGACGAATGTTCTTGGAGTTTTGGAGGATCAGCAATGAGGTCACTGTGTCTAGAACTGAATGAGCTGTGTAACATGTCAGCCATTATAAAACCTTTGGCTTCTACTCTGAGTAGAATAGGAAGGCATTGCAGGGCTTTTAGTAGGTGACAGATACAATTTGACCTGCATTTTAAAAGAAACACTCTTGCTGCTCTACTCTAAATGGATAGTAGAAGTACAAACAGGAAATCAGGGAAACCAGTTATAGGTTCTTGAAGTAATCATGATCATTGGAAAAGTGTGGTGGCAATAGAGACTGCAATTAGTGGTGATTCTGGATAAATATTTTCAATGTAAAGTTCACAGAATCTTACAAAATAATGATTCTGACCATGAAAGCGAGATAAAGAGGAATCTTGGCTATCTCCCAGGTTTTGGGCTGAAAAACTGAAAAGATAGAGTAGCCCTCCAATGACAGAAGGCTATAGATAAAGCCAATTAATAGGAGAAATACCAGGAGTTGGGTTTTAGATTTAAGTATTAGGTCCCTAATGGATATTCAAATAAAGAAAAGTAGGAAAGTGAATATAGAGATCTGGATTTCAGAGAAGATGTCTGAGTTTAGGATACAAATTTGTGAGTCATTTGCATAGAAATTGTGTTTAAAGCCATTAGGTTCAATGATATCACCAGCGGTGAGACTGTAGATAGATATGAGAAAAATAACAAGAGCTAAGTCCTGGGGAAGCATAACATTAAGAAGTCAAAGAGACAAGCAACAAAGGAGCCTAAGAAGAAGAACCAGGTGAGATAGCAAAACAAAGAGAACGATATCTTGGAAGTTAAATGATGGAAATGTGTCACAGAGAAAGACATGCTCAAGTCTGCTAACTGCTGCCAATGAGTCAAGTATATGAGTACTAAATGCTGACCACTGGGTTTAGAAACATAAAGGGCACTGGAGACTTAGTAATAGAAGTTTTGATGGAGTGGGTGGAGGCCAATGTCTGATTGGAACTGATTCAAGGGGGAATAAGAGCAGAGGAACAGAAAACTCTAATTTATTCAGATTCATCAAGGAGTTCTAGGGCTACAGTGAGAAAATGGATGGACTAGGGGAAATGGCATGACTGGCCTGGCAACATTCTGGGTGCACTTGAGGTTCATGATCATAAATTTAAAGGGAGACCAGCCAGAGTCACTGTAAGTTTCCCACCAGTCACATGCTGCCCAAATGCAAGCAAGAATGAGGTACTATAGATTTCACCCTGATCCATGGGTTTGCCATAAAGATTTGGGATGGGATAATGATAGATCACAGTACTTAAGATGCCAAGGAGGTTCAAGAGTTCAGAGGATTAATGGATTGCAGGTCCCAGGCAAGGAGCTGTCCAGCCATGGCACAAAGTCCAACCTGGGTGGGCACCACATCCATCTAGGCTAATACTGGTATTTTAGAAATCTGATCTGGAAGGAAACATGTGGCAGACCTTATCCAGGTAACAGAGAAAAATGAACAAATATGGGTCAGCCAGGCAGCTGCTCAGGGTACCAATTTTTTATATGCATTAACACATTATTGGGGTACTAAAACATCACTGGAAATGGACATGTACCTGTAATCCTGAAATGAAAAAATAAATAAATAAATAAAGATTTTCCCCAAACTCTTCATAGAGGACTTCTAACGCGGTTGGAAAAAATACCCTTCACCTCTTGGAATTCACTTCACTGATGTAGCTTTAGCCTATATATCCTTGAATTGCAATTGTTAGTTTCTTACTATTCATTTTATGACTTGTCTTTTTAATATTGCCTCTTTCAGGCTGCATAGGGACATGGGTTTTTGAAGCACAGGTATTTTAATCAGAGCTCATTGTTTACAAGCGTCAAAAATTCATTTTAGCTAACTCTGGAAAAGATAAATTTATGAAAGAAACAAACAAAATAGGCCATCTTAGGGATACAGTAAGGATTCAGCTGGGCTTCATAGGAAGTGGGAATGGGAAGACCCTGAAGGTCTTCTCTGTTTTTCTCCTAGGTCATGGGCTGCTACCATCTGTTTCTTCTTGTCTGGTCTTTCTTTCAACAAACTTCCTCTGTTTGCAAATGAACCCACTCCAATTCCACCTTATTTGTCCTCACTCATCCAGTATAGACCTTATCAGGAACCAAGGTCTCTGTGTCTCTATATCAAAACTTTCAAGAGTGATTTTTTCTCTTGGGGTACTGGCCTGTCAATTGCTAAGTTGGACTAGATGGATGCCTACCAGCAGCTAATCAACCAGCTGTGGTCAGGGAAAGGTGAGGTATATATAACCATAGCTGCCCTAGCAATGACCCTTTCCAGAATGATGGACTGTAGATGGATAAACATGTCTATTGCAAGAAAAATCACAGTTCCCTTTTAGATATACTTTCTATTAATGCCAGTTGCATACTTTTTGCTTAAATAACTAGAGAAGAATGCAAGAGCCAGAATGATTCTGCCCCTAGCTACCTCTGTTTTCCCTGGTCGCTTAAGGATAAGTTTTTCAAATTAGGTTTTTCAAAAAATTAGTTTAGTATACAGACTCTGCTAAAGTTTTAGTTGATAAAGGCAACAGAGTTAAAATGAAACTGAATTTTACCAAAAAGCTAAACGAGTAACAAGGAATCTATGCAAGAAAAGGGAAGAAAGTGCCCGAGTGAGCATTTTAATTAACTCACATGTAATTTTAATTAAAAACATAATGTGTCAGGAAAATGAGTAATGCCTTAGGGCAAAAAAGTAGCTGGGTTTCCTGCTTAATCTTCTGCTTCATCTCTTTCATGGCACGTGTAAGTTATTGTTAAGGAAAGATTTTCTTCTGTTTCACAGTCAAAGAGAACCTCTGTTAACAAAATGAGTTGAATAAGATAAGAAAATTGTAGAAAAATACCGTGTGTGACGGTCTCATTTTCTTTCTTAGATAGGAGTTTCTCAATTCCTTTGTCTTGGTATTTCTTTTTGCAGAACACACCCTTTCAGGAAATCTGATAACTGGATCAAATCAAGGCCTCTAAACTCACTTTGGTCAAAATTTGTTATCTTTTTTGTGATTAAAATGATCATGAAGGGCTAACAATCCCTTTCCCCCACTTAGATGTTAAGCATCCAAGAGTACCTGACTCCACAGAAATAACCCTGACTTGGAGCCATGTGATTTGGGGTTGTATCTCACCTCTTTATACAAACTGACTTTAAAGCTTTCTGGAATTTACTTCTGTATCAGTCGTGGAGAATAATGCATGCATCCTAGGGTTAGAGTGAGAAGTAAGTGGTATCATGAATATGGAAATACTCATCTCTCTCGCTTAAGAATTTTATTCTTATGTAACACAAATTGTTTTGTTGCAGCTATTGTTTATAACTCACCATTGCCTCTGAAGTGGGATTGATCTTGGTAATGGCAACATAAATAGAGGAGGATGGGAGCCCAGCCTCCTTGTGATGGAAGAATAGAGTGGAAAACTTTGGTGAGGGCAAGCAAGGAAGACAAAGTTTTGGCAAAAAAACATGCCTAATGAGCATTTTAAAAAAATTTACTGTTGGACGTCTGATCTCCCTGATAAAATCTTCAGATAATTTTTTGATTTGTGGGGTGGTGAATTCTTTATGGAGATTGCATAGAGTTACAAAGTCCTATCCCAAGTCAAGTTGAGGAGACAGCTGACTTCTAAGTTTCACTTGGATTGTGACAACAGCTTGACCCATCTAACAAAAAGAACTCTCTGTCATGATACTCTGCTAATCCCAGTGACAGTTCTAGTTGACTGTCAGGGCCAAAGAAGAGGCTGTGTCTTTAATTCTTGCTTTTTACAATTACCCTTGGTTTCCTGGAGAGTCAAGTGCCCCTCTTCCATCACCTCTAGAAGCAAAATTATGGGAGGTGTGATACTCAACATTAATGATAGCCACCATGTTACCCAACTGGTCTCCAGACCTTGCCCAAAACCTTGTGGTTACATCAGGAGGCAAATCTATGTCATATCTGTGCAACTCTGTTACTTCAGAAATGGCTGAGGCCTGAGGCTGAACTAGGGTGAACTTTTTAAAATTTTATTTTATTTTATTTTTGAGACAGAGTCTCGCTCTGTCGTCCAGGCTGGAGTGCAGTGGTGTGATCTCGGCTCACTGCAAGCTCTGCCTCCCGGGTTCATGCCATTCTCTTGCCTCAGCCTCCTGAGTAGCTGGGACTACAGGCACCCGCCACCATGCCTAGCTAATTTTTTGTATTTTTAGTAGAGACAGGGTTTCACCGTGTTAGCCAGGATGGTCTCAATCTCCTGACCTCGTGATCCGCCCACCTGGGCCTCCCAAAGTGCTTGGATTACAGGCATGAGCCACCGGGCCCGGCTGGGTGAACTTAATTAAAACTACAAATGATAGGGGCAGGAGGCACAGAAATTCTAGACAGAGAAAGGCGGGTCCCTGGCAAAGCCCCACCCTCAAGCCTGGAGCTACAGCCCAAAGTGAGAACACACATTCCTGTTTTCCCGCTCGAATGTTGCCTTTTCTAAAACTACCCATGGCCCTGATGAGAACCACTTTCATTGGCAATAAAATCCTCCATATTCACCACCCTTCAGTTTGTTTATGTGACCTGATTCTTCCTGGATGACAAACAAAAGTTTGGATGCCATGGGTGTGGATGCTAAAGGCTGTCGCACTGACCCTCTGCCCTCGCGAAAAGGCAGAGGGCCCACTGAGCTGTTTAACACTTCAGCCGTAAGTGGACAGCAAAGCTAACAGAGCACTGTCACACATGCCGTCTGGAGCTTCAGGAGTCATGGGTACCTCCTTAGACACTGCCACAGGGCTGCAGAGTTTTGTTCCCGTCAGTGCCTAAATGTCTTGCTCTGGCTCCTGCACCTGTTCTCCTGCGTGCTCTTCCTCGCGCAACGGTTTGAGAGCTGTGGGCTGAGTAAGCAAGGCAACCCTGTCGTGAGGCCTGCAAAGGGATCAAGGAAAATTTCTTGTCTCATTAAGACCGCCAATACAGATATAAACAAGAGCAAAAGCTGGGCAGGAGTGTTAAGCTCTAACAAGTCAGAAGTGGTGTCCACACTGTGAAGGTCAAGAAATCCAGAAGCCACTAGTAAGTCAGGCCACTGAATTTGCAATATGGCCCCTGAAAAGTAATAACACGTGAGAAGCCATTGTGGCAGGGGCAGAGGTGGGGAGTGGGCAGTAGGAAGTGGGGGGTGGGCCCTAGAGGAATTACGTGGTTTCCAGGGTTCAATTTGTATGTGCCTTTGCGAGCGAATCATAGTACAGCCTATGGGTGGGTTAGTTTTGCATAAAGGGCCAGCAGCAGACAGTCAAGTATGCCCTACCATGTTGTACTTGTAGACCTGGTCTGGTGAGAAAGATCACAGACTCACTGGCTCTCCCTGGACTCAAGATCTCCTAGATGACAGATACAATCCCTTGAGGTGACCCTTTTCCTTACCCATCCTCTGGCCTCTCACAAAGTAATAAAGTCATCACTCTGTCATATCCCTTGGTAAAACAAATTCTATTTTTAATGAGATTTGAGGGTTTATTGCTCACGTTGGGATTTTATTGTGGTTGTATTTTCACCTAAATATACTGGACAGATAACAAATAAAAATAGACCTCTTGGAGACTTATTTGTATAAATTTTCCCAAAATGCCACAAATGGGAGATAAAAGTTTAGACTTGAACTGGTTGCATGCTGAGAAGATAGGATTTAATTTTACATTGCATTTCCTGCTATTGTAATCATTCACCCCAGATTTGCCCCAATCCTGCTCAGCTGCTTTTCTGAAGCCAGGTGGAGCTTCCATTTCATTCTGAGAACTGTTAATTGGTGGCAGCTCACTCTCCTCCGGGTAAAGATAAAGAAATGTGAATACAATAGAGTCATTAGTCATACTTTCTAAAGTGTGTTTTCCAACGTGGCCAATTTACAGTCTTGGGATTTATATCTTCTTGGTTCCCAATCCAAGCACCAATTTTCAAGTCCACTGGCTAGAACAAGAAGTTTTCACTGAATGTTAAAAGCCACCAATCATGGCAAAGAAAAACCATGAAGTTTCAAAGTTTTCTTCATAGAAATGACAGCAATGCTTTTCTGTCAGCATGGTGACTTTGGTACAGCACACGTCCATGCACAGTATGGAGCAAATTTATGCTGAGTCCTTTCTGAGAAAATGTTTAGCCTGGAGGTTATGGCTTGGTTGCCTGGAGACCCAGGTAATCTTGTGATTTCTTCTTTCATGTCTGTTTCTTGTAGCAGCTCAGAGAAGCCAGATAGTTCAACAGAAGAATTCTGCTCACCTTGCCCTTCTTTGTCTTTATCTGATACCTGCCAAACCCTTCTTTTGCAAAGAACCCTATTCTACCCCAACCAGGGGTAGACATTTTATTTTAAATAGGAAACTTTTCATTTACCAAAACAGCCTTTAACTCATTTTGCCCTTATGCTAATCAGAAGTATAAAGCGATTAAATATTGTGCAGCCTCAATATTGCAAGGCATATACATAAAGGGCGGAATTTGGCATTAGTAATGAGCTGCTCTCTCTCATTCACAGTTTCTACAAAATCTTCACTTCCAGAAATCCTTTGGTTTTTCTCCCTGTGCCTCCTTTCTATAGCCCAAATATCAATAGGGAGCCCATCACTATTAAAATAAAACAATGGAAACCTTCACTACTAACTCCAAAATTCATTCTTTCTGCTGTTTCCATCATGGCTTTTGGGAAGCAATCAGGGAGAATTAAGGCATACACTCCATTGTGTAGTAAACAGGGACCTGGAAACCTCACAGGTAGATGAGGAGGGTGAATACCTGGGAGCTGTGACCTGTACTTGGCCACTTGCCTTAATTTCCTACAGTGTTTAATCTGTTAGCTTAGATGAATTTGGTTCTGGTTACAATGCAAAGATCTTTTAGTTTTCAATTTTTACACTACATTGTAACTAAATTCTTACAATTTTCTGGGCTCGGCTTTTGGTGGAAGGCAAAAGGAAAGTTTTCCAGGCTCAGTTGAAACAGTGAGTAGAGCCTGTCATAAGAAATGGTAAAAATTGTGAAGATGGGGATCATCTGACTTCACATTCATCCCAGTGTTTGCTATGAGCAGCCTGGAATCAGGAATTTGCTAGGAACCTGCCAGCTGAAGGAAGGCTTGGCATTTCCTCAGTTTCCTCAACTCAGGCCCAGGATGTCTCCCAAGGACACCCATGGCTTCACCCAGGCTTCTAGTCTCCTACGGCAGACAAAGCGGCATTGTTTACTAAGCATCTGATTTCTTTTCCTCATGCTAAAGAGGATGTTGGTGAGTGGATGACTGTTTGTCCTTCCCTGGAAGCTACAAAAATAACTAAACTGTCCTGACTGCCTGGGACAGCCTTTTGGAGAAAGGGAGGCTTACAGGGAAAAGTCTGCACTCTAGAAACTCAGAATATTCAGGGTGCCTTGGGTATGGATTCTTGTTACTTCAGTCCTATTTTTGCCATGGCAATGGGCATAAAATCATTTTCCGACACACAGGGGAGTTTCTACTTTCACTGGATGTAAAGTAATTTTTATTAGATTATTATCATTTTAATGGGTGCTAATCAGTTGGTAAACATACGGGCAAAGCTTATACCAACACCTGTTCTCGGCTGGTATGGAGATCTCTTTGCAGCGCTCCACATACATAGGCTTAGTTCATTAAAAACTAAATAGTATATTAATAATTGACTTCCTTGGAAACATATTGGCCCCAATGCTGTGTGTTCTGTTTTAATTTTCCTTGTAGAGGCACTGAAAGCACAGGAAGTGTCTCGTACAGGGTATTTTAACCAAGTAATCATGGTTATTACTGAAAACAACAGCTCGGATGCTTTTTCGCTGGCTTCCAGGGACTCATGAAAAATTCCCTTTTTTTTCCTTTACAAGACTATTTATTTCATTTAGCTTTTAAAGCCTATCTCTATCCTGTCTTAACTGCAGGATCTCGCTTTCTGAAGCCAAAATACAACCTTGTTTTGTTGTTGTTGTTTGTTTGTTTGTTTTGGCAAACAAAGAGAAGCCAGAATCTTACCTACCTAACCCAATTTACTGAATAGACGTTTCCAATTTGGATTCAACATTATTTTTTAATATAATTTTTTCATTGATAGTTCATTTGACATTTATTTAAACTGTAGGAATCAGGATAAAGTGAGGAAATCAAATTGAGAAATAAAGTCAAATAAGGCAGGTAAAATAAGGTAAACATTTTTTAATATAGGAAGTCATTAAATATGTTTTACTGGGGTTCCCATTGGGAAGCTCAATATAATAATAAGTTAATGCTAATAATCATTTATCGAGGGCTACTAAGTGATACAAATTATGTCAGGTGCATTGCTTGAACAAATAAAAAAGGCTGTAAGGTGACTATTATCATCTCTATTTTTTTTTTCTTTTTTGAAACAGGGTCTTGCTCTGTCACACAGGCTGGAGTGCAGTGATGAGTGAGATCATCGCTCACTGCAGCCTCAAACTCCTGGCCTCAAGCAACCTTTCTGCTTCTGTCTCATAGAGCACTAGGATTACAGCTGTGAGGCACTGCACCTGGCCTTTCCATTTTTAGGATGAGTACTCTTAAGTTCAGTGTCTTAACCTTTTCAAACTACTAAATGCCAAAGACAGGATTTAACCTAGGGCTTAATCTCATTTTCTTCTGCTACTCTGTCCTATTTTCTCTCCCTGATAATAATTACATTTATTAAGCATCTACTATGTGTGCTAGGTATTATACAGATATCATTTTTTATCTTTATAGCAACCCTATGAGATAGCTATTTTAATCTGTCTTTAGCAGGAAAAAAAAATGAGGTGTAGAGAAATCCAATTTCTTGTCCAGATTTTTATAGTTAGGAAAAGGCAGGATAGATTTTCAAATCTGGATCTACCTCAAACCAAAATTTGAGTTGCTTCCAGTCAGCATCATGGTGAATTGGTGATGAAGGAGAAAGCATCTCTAAGATTGATATTTTAGCTCATTGCTAATGATAAATTAAGTCATTAAGAAATAAGCCAGGCAAGGCAGTGGCTAACACCTGTAATCCCAGCACTTTGGGATGAAGAAGCAGGAGGATTTCTTGAGGCAGGAGTTCAAGACAAGCCTGAGCAACATAGCAAGACCCGGTCTCTACAAAAAAAAGTTAAAACTGAGCCAGGAGTGGTGGCACATGCCTGTATTCTCAGCTCCTTGGGAAGCTGAGGTTGGAGGATCACTTGAGCTCAGGAAGTCAAGGCTGCAATGAAGTATGATTATGCCATTACACTTCAGCCTGGATGACAGAGCAAGACTTTGCCAAGAAAGAAAAAGGAAGAAGGAAAGAAAGAAAGAAAGAAAGAAAGAAAGAAAGAAAGAAAGAAAGAAAGAAAGAAAGAAAGAAAGAAGGAAGGAAGGAAGGAAGGGAGGAAAAAGAGAGAGAGGAAGGAAAGAAGGAAGGAAGGGAAAGAGAGAGAGAGACAAACAGAGAGACATAGAGAAAGAGAGAAAGAAAGAGAGAGAGAGAAACCAAGTATAGCATACTTTATTACTGTATCTGAATTTCACAGATTTAGTACATTAAACAGGACTTTGCAGTTTATGGATACATCATACTGTACCCAACATCTTATAGCTACATGCAATGCTTAAATCTTATATTTCATCTTTCTCCTGGCTCTGTTAACCTTAGTGATTTGGTCACTATTTATTTGAATATTGGGTAACCTACTCAACATCACAAAATGAGCAGAGAAGCTGGATTTCAAACCTGAGGTCTTGATTCTTAACACCAGTTGATTCCATAGTGCAACTAATCTCTATCATCTCTATTGGCTATTTGGTCTTTTTATATTGTAAGAAGAAATCAATGCCATAGAAATATAAAAACCAACCTCTACTCCTTCAGAATATATGTTTTCAAGGAGATATTTGTCAAAATATTATTTTCAAACTCTGAAGATATTAAAGAATAACAATGTAATTCTGTTTTCTTATTTTGTTTACAAGACTTGTGGTGCTGTGTGTGGGTGGCAGGGAGTAGGTAGAATTCACGGGATATGAGGTCCTTTAAAATAGATGAGTACCATTCTAGCTACAGGAGTTACATTATTTCAGTCCCTATCTCATTTTCTAAGCCTTAGCCTCGCCGTTAGAATGTGTAGCTCTGCCCAGTTGCCAGAGGCAATCATAATGTCCAAAGAACTGTATTCACATAACTTTAGCTCTCCCATGTTAGAGTAGTGAGCAGCCACCAAATCAAGGTACTCCAGGGTCCCAGGGCTGACCAGCGGTCCTCTTACCACCTTTTCAGTCCCAACTCTCCCCACCCACATGTACCCAGTGGTAAGGCTTGCGGCTTTGGTTCCTGCTTCTAAGTCTCACTTTTGCTTCAACAGTTCAGGATTTGTCTTTGAGCACTCATTGAGTAACTCGAGCTGCTGCTCTACAGTTGAATCTGGATGGTGACTGCCTTTTATTGATTCTCATTCATGGACCACACTTCCTTGTTGGGACCTTGCTGCCACTTCTACAAACTGCAATGTTCCTTGTTGCCTGAGTTATGACTGAGCTTGCTATATCCCTTGGACACTTTCTTTGGCCGCTTAGTAGAACCTCCATAGTTGTCTGTCAAACCTGTTCAGTTCTAGTGAGCCTCATTTACTGTCTCTCTTTGCCGAAGTATGCCCCAATGGCACATCATGTCTCAGTCTCAAGATAGAAAAATAATGCTGCCAGTCTCATTCTATCAGCCCCAAGCAATTACACCACCAGTATGAGTCCCATTGTAGTTATTTTTAAAATACAATTCATTTTCTTATTTTCTATTATCTTCAGTTTTCCCTGAGGTATTCATCAAAATGAAAATGAACTAGTTAAAGTCTCTGAAGGAAAACTCTACATTTTGAGCCTGATATAGCAGCTTAGTTCTCCAGTTACATTTCCACAGAAGAAACTTACATCCAAGTACTGAATTTATGACAGCACCCACCCAAGAGAATTATAATAGGTTGAGGCTGCCAATTTATTGCTGCTGGTAAGAAGGTGTGAGCGTGTTGTTGCCCCTCTAGGCTAGAGCTCAATGAACAAAATAATCTTTCTCTGTCTTCACAGAATTTGTGTGGCTGGCAATATTCTATTTATTTAATTACTTCTCAGGATTTCTCAGGGGAAGATAGAGTTGAAAGCCCTGAAGTTGTCTCACAAGATGTGAATAATTCTTAGTAAGTATGTTTAAACAGAAAGAAGAACCTAACTTCAGCATTTTGTAGCTTCAGCTGTCAGTGCAGTAGATGTCTGCCCCACATCCAACCCACAGCTGTTTGATGACCACACACTATGTACAAGGTATTACATTAACTGCCGAGAAAGACCTGTGCCTTGTTCAGGAGGAGCAAAGTTACACTGATTTGAAACACAGTCCACCAAAAACAAAGTCGGCTTCAAATCACCATCATTCTCCAAAGTAATATGGTGGGTGTTTTCCAGGTGGACTGCAAACCTTTTGAGGGAGGGGTTTCAATCTTCAGTTTTTGAAACCCTGTGATATGGTTAGGCTTTGTGTCCCCACCCAAATCTCATCTTGAACTGTAATCCCCATAATCCCCACATGTCAAGGGAGACATCAGGTGGAGGTAATTGAATCATGGGGAGAGTTTCCACCATGCTGTTTTCATGATAGTGAGTTCTTGTGAGATCTGATGGTTTCATAAGGCGTTCTTCTTTGCTCAGCACTTCTCCTTCCTGCTGCCTGTGAAGGAAGTGCCTTGCTTCCCCTTCATCTTTTGCCAAGATTGTAAATTTCCTGAGACCTCCCCAGCCATGCTGAACTGTGAGTCAATTAAACCTGTTTTCTTTACAAATCACCCAGTCTCGGGCAGTTCCTTATAGCAGTATGAAAATGGACCAATACACCCTGCTGTCTCAAATGCCAAGCACAGTACTTTACACAGTCAGCAATAAGCATTTCACATGTGTGAATGCAGCTAACATTCTTCAAACTTCTTTCTAAATAATATTTTCCAGATAATTTCAAAATTGCAATTAATTATAAGGTTGGATTTAGAGTTTAGTGAGTTGAAGAGAGTTTTCCAGTCATTGCCAATCGATTTTATGTTTAAATGGTGACATCTTTGCTCACTGTGCCTATATTATCTATTACTTTTACACTATTTAATGTCTTATATACATGAAGAGGAGGCGATTTTTACAAAATTATAATTAGTTGATCGGTTTTTTTATGGGTACCTTCTTCCATATAAGATTTGAAGAAAAGCATACCATAAAATGGTAAAATAAATGATAAAATAAGGAGGGAAAATATAAATTAGAAAAGGAGGTACAGACTAGGAGGATGTATCTGGCTGAGCTATCTGAAAGTCAAACTGTAAAAGGAGGCATAGTCAATTTCACAATTGTTATAATCCACAAAAAGAAATTTGACTAGATTTTCAGGGAAATAAAAAGTCTCTCTCAGGATGCTATAGTCTGAATGTTTGTGTTCCCCAAAAATGTATATGTTAAAATATACATATATTTTTTAGATGGACTCTCACACTGTAGCCCAGACTGGAGTGCAATGGCTTTATCTCGGCTGACTGCAACCTCCGCCTCCCCGGTTCAACTGATTCTCCCGCCTCAGCCCCCCGAGTAGCTGGGATTACAGGCATGCACCGCCATGCCCAGCTAATTTTTGTAGTTTTAGCAGAGACAGGGTTTCACCATGTTGGCCAGGCTGATCTTGAACTCCTGACCTCAAGTGATGCACCCACCTCGGCCTCCCAAAGTGCTGGGATTACAGGTGTGAGCCACAGTGCCCAGCTTATATGTTGAAATCTTAACCTCCAAGGTGAGGAGTATTAGGACGTAGGACTTCTGGGAGGTGATCAGGTCACAAGGGTAGAGTCCTCATCAAAGGGATTCATGCCCTTATAAAAGAGGCCCCAGGCCAGGTGCGGTGGCTCACGCCTGTAATCCTAGCACTTTGGGAGGCCGAAGAGGGCGGATCACGAGGTCAGGAGATCGAGACGATCCTGGCTAACACGGTGAAACCCCATCTCTACTAAAAATGCAAAAAATTAGCCAGGTGTGGTGGCGGGCTACTCAGGAGGCTGAGGCAGGAGAAAGGTGTGAACCCTGGAGGCGGAGCTTGCAGTGAGCCGAGATCACGCCACTGCACTCCAGCCTGGGCGACAGAGCAAGACTCCGTCTCAAACAAGTAATAATAAAAATAAAAATAAAAAAGAGGCCCCAAAGAGACCTCTTTGCCCTTCTGCCATCTGAGGACACAGAGAGAAGGCTCCATCTATGAACCAGGCCCTCACCAGATACTGAATCTGCCAACATCTTGCTCTTCCCAGTCTCCAGAATTGTAAGAAATAAATTTCTGTTGTTAATAAGCTACCCAGTTGATGGCACTTTGTAAGAGACAGCACAGACAGACTAAGACAAAAGATTTGAGAAGGGATCTAGATGTCACATAAGTTAGGTTTCTTGCCCCTCAACTTCGTTTGCATACCATACCCTCTTCTTTGTTTTGATGTCTGTGTCCCGTTGGAAGCCAGTTTTGAGTGTGCAGCCACCCACCTCCCAGTCTAGCTTATGCTGGGTACCATCAGTTAGGTTCTAGTGTTGCTAGGAGCTGGCCTGGCATTCATAGCTAGGCCTTGGTGTTCTCTAGTTAAACATAACAATTTTACAGAACACCAATTTCAATTAAAGCCACTCTGTAACCATAATAGATCAAGACAAAAACAAGCACACACCAAAGTTATGTCTCAACACAGACAAAACAGGAAAAATGTCAAACTTCCAAAATAATTGAATATATTTATATCATAACTATTATATATAACTACAGCTTCCTTAGCAATTATAGCTTTATCCTTGGTCCTGATGGTTATGATGGGGTCTTCTTAATCTAAACTCCTGCTTCTTCCAGGGCAAACACCTGTTCCCTCCATGTTTTCTCATAATAATATAATTGCTATACATATTTCTCTAAGGAATACTAGGGACAGTTTGAAATTTCAGTGGCCACTTTAGAGAGTTTTTAACACAAAAAGGATTAAGTTGAAATTAGTTTAGAACAAAAAGCAAAAAAAATTCTCATGAAGAGTTTACTTCATTTAACAGAGGGGACATATTCTTTGTTGTTTTATTTTGTTTGTTTTATTTTATTTTATTTTTATTTTTATTTTTTATTATACTTTAAGTTTTAGGGTACATGTGCACAACGTGCAGGTTTGTTACATATGTATACATGTGCCATGTTGGTGTGCTGCACCCATTAAGTCATCATTTAAGATTAGGTATATCTCCTAATGCTCCTAATGCGATCCCTCCCCACTCCCCCCATCCCACAACAGTCCCCGGTGTGTGATGTTCCCCTTCCTGTGTCCATGCGTTCTCATTGTTCAATTCCCACCTGTGAGTGAGAACATGTGGTGTTTGGTTTTTTGTCCTTGCGATAGTTTGCTGAGAATGATGGTTTCCAGCTTCATCCATGTCCCTACAAAGGACATGAACTCATCATTTTTTATGCCTGCATAGTATTCCATGGTGTATATGTGCCACATTTTCTTAATCCAGTCTATCATTGTTGGACATTTGGCTTGGTTCCAAGTCTTTGCTATTGTGAATAGTGCCACAATAAACATACATGTGCATGTGTCTTTATAGCAGCATGTTTTATAGTCCTTTGGGTATATACCCAGTAATGGGATGGCTGGGTCAAATGGTATTTCTAGTTCTAGATCCCTGAGGAATCACCACACTGACTTCCACAATGGTTGAACTAGTTTACAGTCCCACCAACGGTGTAAAACTGTTCCTATTTTTCCACATCCTCTCCAGCACCTGTTGTTTCCTGACTTTTTAATGATCGCAGAGGGGACATATTCTTCTCTGTTTTTTTTTTATTGTTGTTGTTTTTTGTTTTGTGTTTATTTTTTTACTTTGGGGATTAGTAAATTCTGGCTTTTAAGTAGTAAGTGTTGATGAAATTGTCACAAGCCCAAGCTATATCGAAATCAGTTGTAATGCCACTATCTTTTGTATTTATATCAGACTGTTTTTCTACATCTAAACTTTCTCTACTCTTAGAGGAAACATACTGTATATTAACCTTCTATCCTGTAACCTTGCTATAATTTCTTATTAGTTTCAGGAGTTCTTTTTGTTGTTGATTCTTTGGAATTTTCTACACAGACAATCATGTCATAGAATTACTTTTTACAGCAATAATTTCATATTTTTATAAAGTTGACTCCCTCTCATTTGTTTTCTGTTTCTTGTTGATCCTCTTGCAGTGGGCTCAAGTGTTGTATCTGTATAAAATGTCAAGTGATGCCAATCACCTCCAAGTGAGCAGTTCATCTCTCCAGCAAATGGCATATGATAGTAAAAAGTGGTCTCTTGCAGTTCCTTGCGTATTTTGTACTGTCTTTAGTGCAATACTCTAACCTTGAATGACACCATGCAACCCATATGAAGTACCACTAGTGATATCAACTGGAAGTGCTCTCATGAAGCAGAGAATATAACAATAAAAATTGAATTACTTGATGTGTCTCATAGATTGAGGTCTGCAGCTGTGGTTGACTGTTGTTTCAAGATAAATAAATCCAGCCTAAGGACTACAATTTTTTTTAAGGAAGGAATTCATAAAGCTATCACTGGGAATACACCAGCAAAAAATGCAGTGAAAGTCTTGAACTTTTTTAAAAATAGCTTTTTATCTCATTTTGAAAATGCAGCTTTTATTTGCGTGCCAAATTACTATAAGAAAGGCATATATTTATCTATAGACTAATATGATTTGAGGAAAAATGAAGTCATTATATGACAACTTAAAGCAAAAGGAAGGTAAAGGATCTAAAGCTGGGGAATTTAATGCCAGCAAAGGATGGTTAGATCTATTTTAGAAAGAGGTTTGGCTTTTTAAAGTCAATATAACAAGAGAAGTATCTTCTACTGACCAAGAAGCAGCAGACAAGTTTCCAGATGTCAATAAAAAAACCATCAAAGAGAAAGGAGATCTTACTGAACAAGGTTTTAATGCAGATGAAAGTGCTCTATTCTAGAAAAAAAATACCATGAATGTTTCTTAGTAAGAAAGAGAAGTGAGCATGAGGATTTAAGGCAGGAAGGGACAGGCTAACTCTACTGATTTGTGCAAATGCAGTTGGGCCTTTATTTACAAATTCCTTTATTTATAAAACTATTAACCCCCAAGCCTTCAAGGGAAAAGATAATTACCGGCTGCCAGTCTCTTTTGTTACAACAAGAAGGTCTCAATAATGAGAACTCTTTCTTTGAATCGGTTTCATCTTTTAATTTGTTTCATTGATGACTTGTGCTTGAAGTCTAGAAGTACCCTGTCAGTAAGAAACTGCCTTTTAAAGTTCTTTTCATATTGGACAATGCTTCTGGCCACCCACAACTCCATGAGTTCAACATCAAAGACATCAAAGTGGTCTACTTGCCCTTAAACACATTTCTAATTCAGCTTCTAGATTAGGGGATGATAAGGACCTTTAAGGCTCATTACAAATGGTACTCTATGAAAAGAATTGCCAACACCATGAAAGAGAATCCTGATAGAACATTATGAAAGTCTGGAAAGATTATTTCGTTGAAGAGGCCATAATTGTTGTAGAAGAAGCCATGAGTCTTTAAGCCTGAAACAACAAATTTCTGCTGAAGAAAACTGTGTGCACATGTTGTGCATGACTTCACAGGATTTATGACAGAGCCAATCAAGAAAATCATGAAAGAGATTTTGGATATGACCAAAAGGGGTGGGTGTGGTGGTAAAGAGAAATTCAAGAGCTAATAAACACCAGAGCAGAGGAACTAACAGAAAATGACTTGATGGAGATGAGTGTTTCTGAACCAGTGCCAAATCATGAGGAAGAAAACATAGAGGAAGCAGTGCCAGAAAATAAATTGACATTAGACAATCTGGCAGAAGGATTCTGATTATTCAAGATTGCTTCTAACTTTTTTATAACATGGACCCTTCCATGATACAGGTGGTGAGACTAAAGCAAACTATGAAAGGAAGATTGGTACTATACAGAAACATTTTTGGAGAAATGAAAAAGCAAAAAAGACAGGAATTACGATGAATTTCTGGAAATTTTCACCAAGTATGCCTGTTTCTCCTGCCTTTCCTTCCACCTCCTCAACTTGTTCTGCTTTTGCCATCCCTTCGACAGCAAGATCAACCCTTCCTCTTCCTCCTTCTCCTCAGCCTACTTAATGTGAAAATGACAAGGATGAAGAACTTTATGGTGATCCATTTCCACTTAATGAATAGTAAATATACTTTCTCTTCTTTATGATTTTCCTAATAACATTTTCTTTTCTCTAGCTTACTTTATTGTAAGAATACAGTATATAACACATATAACATATGGAATGTGTGTTAATTAACTATATTATTGGTAAGGTAAACAGTAGGCTATTACTAGTTAAGTTTTTAGAGAGTCAAAAGTTACATGCAGATTTTTGACTGCATGGGATGCGGCGGGGGTCAGTGTCACTAATCCCCACATTATTCGAGGGTCAACTGTAATTTCCATCTTGATTGAACCCTATTTCAAGCTCATATGACTAACAATGCAATGAACTCATATGATACCTCAGGCTTTAACATTAATAACTCTGAGTGTCATTTCTATGACATCCACCTGAGCAGTTTAGTTTCTTCATGATCTGAAACTTAGAATTTTGATTTTCTGAAGAAGGCACTGGAGAAAAACCACCCTTGAGACTTCATGGAAAGGAAATGACCAGGTACTATTAGCAACTAATACAGCACTGAAGCTCCAAGGTGTTGATCATTAAGTTACCATCTTAAAGACATACATCACTTACTCCTGGCTATTGGACATCCTAACGGATCTTAAACTGAGGATTCTTAGGAATTCCATACATAAGTAGTCAGTCCTCATCCAAAACTTTGTAAGAAGCTGCTGAGTGCAAAAGTATATAGCTTCTATGCAGGGCAATAGAATAACATTAAATTTCTGTTTCTGTGGCACTCTTTCTTTTTTAATCTTTACTCAATCACTAATGTTCCCTATTATACTTTGACATCCTCTATTAACTATTTAATAACTAAAATTTTTCTCAATATCTCTCTTATCTTTGTCATGTTACTTTTAACTTCTTATAATCTTCTTCCATGCTTTTTAAATTGATAGATCTGCTCTAAATTTGACTTATTGCTAACAAAATTTATTAACTATTAATTAATGATTAAACACCTTCTGCTCTTGGATGACACAGCATAAGGATAGATTCTTTGTTACAGGTCCCTTCTGATACTTAAGCTTCTCTGACATCATTTCATCCCAATTTTTCAGTTTTACAATAATTGGAACTAGGCCTCATGTAAACTGAAGGCTCTTATTGAAGTCACTACAATCTTGTCAGGAATGCTAGCTTATCAGAAATGAAAATTAATCCCCACTCATACCAGGTTGGTATACCATGACCTACCCTATATATTCATTCTAAATGTTAGGCACTTTCAAATATTTAAAACTAGCCACAAATGTTATATATAATTAGTCTTTCCTAACACCTTAACATGCCTCAAGTTTCCCTATGCTGTGCATTCATCCTTGCAATAAGCAAAAACCCCAGCTTAACTGTGAACGTGTTCTTGGTGATCTTTGGTTGGAGGGCATTGATACTAGGTCAATAAAATAACAGTTCCTGATTTAAGACGTATATAATCCAGTTGTATAATAGGAAAAACCAACTAACTGATCTCTCCTACTACACATTCAATGCTCAACACAGAACACATCTGTAACCAAAATGTGTGGAGTCCCCACATCAAGCAATTCTCTGACAACAGCTAGGTGTCCTGCAATTTAACTCAATTCTGACTGGAGACAGTGTCAGATCCCATGAGGTAAGAGCTCAGTTTCAAATCCTGCCCCATTTCAAATGCTGCTATGGTTTGAATGTTTGACCCCAAAGTTCATGTGTTGGCAACTTCATTCCCACGGTAGCAGTGTTGGGAGGTAGGGCCTAATGAGAGGAGACGATTAGATTATGAGGTTCTGCCCTCATGAATGAATTAATGCTATCATCACAGGAATAGGCTCCTTATAAAAGGATGAGTTCAGCTCCCTTTTATCTTTCTCTCTTGCCCTCTCTTTGTCCTTCCATCTTCTGCCATGAAATAACAGAGGACAAAGCCCATACCAGGGCCTCTTGGACTTTCTAGCCTCCAGAACTGTGAGAAATAAATTTATATTAATTATCAATTACCCAGTTTGTGGTATTCTGTTATAGTAGCACAAAACAGACTAAGACAGATGACAGTCACAAGGTCCAGGTTATAACCTTTGTTTCTAACTAACCAGCTATAAATTGGGGTTCCCACAAACTCCTCCTTGAGTTACACAGTTTGCTAGCATCTAGCATGACCCACCATACTAGAGAAACATTTTACTTATGTTTATAGTTTATTATAAAGGATATTACAAATGCTACAGATGAACATCCAGATGGAAGAGATGTATAGTGCAAGGTATGAGGGAAGGAGCACGGAGCTTCCTCTCCTCTCCAGGAATGACACCCTCCACATGTTCAGCAATCTGGAAGCTTTTCAAACTTCATACTTCTGATCATGGCTTGGTCTTTCTGGTAACCAGTCCTCACTCGGTAGCCCATTAAGAGACACCTCATTAGAACGAAAGATGCTCCAATCATCCAGAACGTATGAAGGGATTTGGAAGTTCTTTGTGAGAAACCAAGGTCAAAGATCAAATATGAAAACAAAAGATTCAGCCAACACTCTTCTTGCTCAGAAAATTTGAAGAATTTGAGGCGCTTTGTGCCAGAATCCAGAGGCAGAGTCAAAATGTATATTTCCCATTATATCATAATATCATACCAGTGTGGTGACAGACAACTTTTTCTCAACATTTGTTATATTAAATGGTAGGTAATTAATACATTAAAAAGCAGCATCACTATAGAGAAGAAATCAATTTGTTCTGTTGCTGGAGAAGGCCCTGTGACAGTTTCATAAATGAGGAGATATTTGAGGTGGACTTTGAAGGATGAAGATAAAAAGTAACAGAATGAAGGATAGCACTAATAAAGAGGAAGGAACATAATAGAAGGGAATGACATGAGCAATGATATCGTAGTATGAAAGTTAATAGATTTTTCAGTGATACAAAATAATCAGGTGAAACTTGGCCTGGAAAAGAAAACAGTGGAATTTGGACTCTAGTGTGCATATGGTAGGGGGCCATTGAAGACCTGTAAGTATGGCGGTATATAATCAGATTGCACTTTGGAAGATACCCTGGTGAGAAAGTGAGGGACTAGAGCAGCCTAAGGGAGAGACTAATGGCAACTGCAAAACTATTGCAAGTATCCAGAAGAGAAATCATGGCTTGAGATCAGGCAGGAAGTGGTAAGAGAACTGAGTGGACAGATTCAAGATGAACCATTTTTGAATTTCAGTACACATTACTGAACTCAGTGACCAACAGGATACACAGATTGAAGGTACAGAGAAGACCTTCAGAATGACTCTAGCATGAGGTATGGGGAAGTGTTTGGGAATTCTGAAGGAGATGAAGATTCAAAGAGGAAGATAATACGTCCAAATTTGGATTGCTGTCCATGTGGAGCATTCTGTTAGGGGTATCAAGACCTCTGTAAACATGGACTCGAAGCTTAGAAGTGAAGTCTAATCTGGAGAAAAAGATGTGGAGGGTAGGATGAAGATCAGGATGGATCTACCATCATGAAGAGATGGTAGATGATTCTGGAGAATCCCATCAGTTAAGGGGCCAGCAGATGAAATAATGTTTACAGAGATGAGACAAGAATGAGGAGATAAAAAGAACACAGTACAGTGGCTAATGCCTATAATCCCAGCACTTTGGGAGGCTGAGGTGGGTGGATCACCTGAGGTCAGGAGTTTGAGACCAGCCTGACCAACATGGTGAAACCCGTTCTCTACTAAAAATACCAAAAAATTAGCTAGGGATGGTGGTGGGCGACTGTAATCCCAGCTACTTGGGAGGCTGAGGCAAGAGGAAGAGGTTGCAGTGAGCCAAGATCCTGTCATTACACTCCAGCCTGGGCAACAAGTGTGAAACTCCATCTAAAACAAACAAACAAACAAAAACAGTAAGCACAATAAATATTCTGAATAAATAAATAAGAGTTATAATTTTGAATTACAGGTCTTTTCTTTCAAAATATTCCTTCTTTCTTTGGTTTTGGTAAAATCTCAACTGTGCTTTTTCCTCTCAAAGTATTCCTTCTTTCTTTGATTTTGATAAAATTTCCTTAACTGCTTTTTCTGCTACCACTGATTAATATAAAAATCTTTCTATGATCAGTGTCAGACTCCTAGGCTTCTCCTCTCTGAGAAATACAACAAAGTAAATATACTCAATCCTATTTCTATTTCTTAAATTACTTTGCTTGCATTGTACTGCCTATGTAGTCAAGTAGCCCCAGAATATTTGAAATACATTAACAGAGAAACAGGAAATAGTTAATGGCTGCTCCTGCAGCAGCTCAGTAAATTAGAATAATCAAATGCATCTTGGGGTAAACTCATGTGCACATAGCTGTAAACAGTAATCTCTATTCTTTTGAAAGCACAAATCACTTATTATGCCAATTCCTAATCATTCTAATTTCAAGTTGTAGATTAGAATAAGTCATAATGACAGAATTTGTACTTTCTAATTAGAGTTTATTTTTTAAAAAGCACAAAAATAAAATGGTGAATTACTACAAAGGAGAGAAAGTCTTATCATCAATTAATCAGAGAAAAAGAGAACCTAAAACATGTCCAAATCAAACAGAGATACAAAGTTTTAGTCATTCAGGGAAGTTCACAAAGCACATATCTTTCCTCCCAGAATCCCACAGAATTGTGTATAATAGAGGCAGAGGTAAGACAGCACCATGAGTTGCTGAGGAAGAGGAATTTGGTGGGTTGGCCACGCTTTGAAAAGGCCTCCATTTTGGGTGTATGCCAGGTTTCCCCAGCACCCAGTACACACAATTACTGCATTTGCATGTGTAAATTGGGTAATGGCGTGCCTATCAGATTTGTATGTGAAAATGCTATCAGCATATGCACTATTGGTTGTGTGCCCACTAAAAGAGGACTTTTAATGGGGTTGCATTAGTTGGGGAGAAAAATTTCTAAGAAGTTGACACCAGGTTCTACGTCCCTGGATCCACTGTAGATGCCCCTATGGATAACTGGCGCCCCTGATAATTACTTTTTTGTTGTATACTCCCTCAAATTCTATCCAGGGGAGGAAATTCATCAGAGCATCAGTTGACCAATTCTAATTAGCACAGAGCAAAATTATACCCAAGTTACTCTTGGCAGTGCCTATCAGAGCCGAATGAACAGACTGCCACACAACCAATCCATTCATCTTGGCCATCTTAACAATCAACATGGATCTCTCTATAAAATTGACTTTGTCTTTTTTCCCTGTTAAGACATAATATTCCTCAAACATATTTTCTGATACATCGTTTTACTTTCTGAAGACTTTAGTGCTTTTCAATTGCCTCATATGATGACTCACACCTGTAATCCCGGCACTTTGGGAGGCCAAGGCAGGCAGATCACGAGGTCAGGAGTTCTAGACAAGCATGGCCAAGATGCTGAAACCCTGTCTCTACTAAAAATACAAAAATTAGCTGGGCATGGTGGCACGTGCCTGTAATCCCGATCCCTACTACTCGGGAGGCTGAGGCAGGAGAATTGCTTGAACCAGGACCCAGGAGGCAGAGGTTGTAGTGAGCCAAGATTGCACCACCGCACTCCAGCCTGGGCTACAGAGCGAGGCTCCATGTCAAAAAAAATAAAAAATAAAGAAATAGACAAAACTGTTGCTCTTCCACACCCCACAAAATAGCACAACACGATGCTCATTTTTTCAGCCTATCTCAGTGGATTTCTTCTTCCAGAAGTTTCTGTGCTCATTTATTAGAACCCTAGAATGTAATGAACCACAGTTTGAGTATTCACCCAAGAAACACAGCAACCATATTTCCTGGATCAAAAATCGGTACACATGATATTGGGATAATGGGACTGAATACTTCAAATTGGAATTCACTAAAAAACCTGGGATGTTGGGCTGTTGTAGCAAAAAAGTGCCTTATTCTGGGGGTAGCTTCCTTCTCTGTAACTATACTTCCCCTGACCCACCGAAAAGAAAATAAAACCTCAATGTAAAACAACTGTCATAATATATCCCCTTAGGACTCTGTTTTCTGCCAGGCTCAGTGGCTCATGCCTGTAATTCCAGTGACTCAGGAGGCTGAAGTGGGAGGATAACTTGAGCCAAGGAGTTTGAGGCTACAGTGAGCTATGATTGCACCACACCACTACACACCTGCTTGGGTGGCTGAAGGAGGCCCTGTCTCTAAAAAATAAATAAATGAATAAATAATAATAGGAATAAAAATAAATAACTAGAATTCTGCTTTCTGTTGTCTAAAGTAACAGTTTATGCGCAAATGGCTCATACCACCTCTGTATTTTCTCTCTTGATATAATCTTTTGTGAAAATGCGAAAACCCAAGAAGTTGTATACCATTTGGTCTTTTCACCCATTCATCTTTCTATCAATTTTTCTCAAAGTTTGTTCTGAGTAACATCTAATAAGAAATGTCTAGAGAACTCATGAGAAACGCAGATCCATGCCTTATTCCAGTTTTGAGAAATGAGGCCTGGAAATCTACAATTTTACAAGTTCCTCAAGTGATTTTTTTTTTTTTTTTTTTTTTTGCAGACTAAAGTGTTCATCTTGTGTACAGTTTTATGTATTTGTCTTCTTCCATTTAGCTGTGAGGATGCTCAGTACTGAGTTGCAATCTAACTATTAAAGACATACATTGCATATCCCTCCTATTAATACAGACAGAATCATTATACCGGTTTGTTGTAATAAGAATAAAATCTTAGCAAGAAAATACAACATAAATATTTAAAATAAATGCCATAACATAAGATATATTTCAATCCAGGGAGATCACTTTCTTACTTAATCTACCTGATTTTCCTACAGATATTTTCAAGACGTGGCAACCCAAGACCCAAGATCATCTCTACTTCAGGTTTTACCATGTAATGGGCACTCTCAAGTTTATTCCTGCCCTAAAAATGCATGCAGCTGGTGATAAGAAGAGACTGATTTATGATCACTCAATATTGAAAAGGTGTAGCATTCCATTTCACAAATAGTATCCTGCTAGATTAGAAAATACCATGAACACATTGGAGGATCCTCAGTCCAGGAACCATAAACCACTGGTGCTTTTCCCCCACATTTTAATTTAGCTATCTGTTTTGGATTACATAAATAAAAATGAGCCTGTATTTTCTTTATAAAATAAATCAGTCTCTCTACATAGGGATCACTAGTTAGATTGAACATTAGGGCTTATATAAAATTGCATCCTTAAAAGACAAGAAAACATTTCTCAATAAGAAAGAAGCTGCTCGCAGTGACCTTCATGTTGAACAGTAGGGGGTCAACACAGGCACTAAATCATTTTGATTCACAGATGAGATCAACATATTCATATTTGTTTGCCAAATGTGTATTTTAATTTAAGCTTCCTCTGATTGATGCGTGTAATTTATGCTGCCTAGAACTAAGGCGTCATATTTTTCTTTTTTCCTAACTAACAGGGGGAGACTTTCTTGGAAACAGATAAAGGAAAGAGTCCAGTAATTTGTAGCAATGTGACTGCAGCCACACATGCTCCAGAATTAATGTTCTTCATTAGGGTGAGTAGGATCAGCTGTATGTATACATCAGGTTTTTAATTAACTCAGTCCCCACAACAGGACTCATGATTCAAACTGTTAGCATTTTTTTCTTAAATCACAAAATTAAAAAAAAAAATTGGGTGGCACATCTTTTTCACACACACAAAAAGCAGGGGGGGTGGATATTCAAAGAAATGAAAGGCTCTTTGTATTATACTGAGAGTGCTCAGAAGATCTTTATAATCCTGTGTTAATCAGATAAAGGAGAGCTTAGCATTGAATGATTCCAATGAGATGCTGAAAACTCAACCATTGTGACAATTTTTCCTCTGTATAATGGACAGGATTTCAGCTTATTTGTCCTATTGCCTTTAAAACTAACATCTTGAATTTCTTAGATATTTTTCACTGCCTTGCTCTTGTGGAACTGACCTGGTGATATTTTAATAAGATACTACCAGTTTAAGGAAACTTCAGTAAGGCAACATGAGGAGCTTAAGAGAGGGGTGAGGGAAGAAACTTTTTATAGCAGCTTCATTCTCTGAGATCATATTAACATAAATTTGACAGTTAATCTCCATATTGCAAAAAGGCTGCCCAGACTTACTTAATTAAACTTAGAACAAATATGTTTCTTTATTTGCCAGGTACAGTTTTTATCTTAAAAATACCCACTTCCAATTATGACTCAAGACTGTGGTTAGGGCAGCAGCATGGGGCAGTGTTTGGTGAGGGCAGGACAGACTGAGTGATGTGCAGTTCAGGAGACGGCTGGGCTTCAGGACAGCACACCTGACCCCATGCTCCTGAAGAGATTCTATGAAAGATGCTGATGACTTGTAAAAGTTTATTTGCTTTAGATTTTAAACGATAAAATCAAATTTGATTGATAGAGATGTTATTCTCAAATCCATTTAAAATCCATTCTTCAATTAAATGTGTTGAATAAATATCCAAACTATTAACCTGAAGAACTAGCTCAAAGAGTATACATGAAAAGAAATGGACCAGGTCCAATGGCTCACAGAATCCTAACACTTTGGGAGGCCAAGGCAGGAGGACTGCTTGAGCCCAAGAGTTTGAGACCAACATGGCAAGACCCTGTCTCCACAAAAAGAAAGAATAAAAAATAAATAAACATGGAGGAATGAGCAAGGCCTTTGACATCCAAAGACCCTGAATTTGTGCTTTACATCTGTTCCATATTGAACTGCAAATTACTTAGCCCTTTGTGAATCTCAGGTTCTTCTGCTAACTGAATTTAAGAATATCTCAATTTTTAGTAAGAATAAAATATGATGATTTATTTATTCTATAAATATTTATGAGGTGCTCTTGGTGCCAGTCCCTCTTCTAGGCAATGGTGAATAAGACAATATCCCTGCCTTCACCCAGCTTCCATTCTCGTAGAGGTAATAGTAGTAAGAGGATTCTGTAAGGCCGGCAGGTTTAAGTTCCGTGAAGCAATATCATAGAATATGAGGTTAAAGGGTGGCGGCAATGGGAAGGTGGTATTTAGGCAGAGGATGAGGAAAGATCTCTCTAGGATGTGATATCTGAGAAGATTAGAATGAAGTAAAGCAGCAAAGCTTGCAAATTTTGGGAGAAGAGAGCTCCAGGAAGAGGGAGCAGTAAGTTCAAAATTCCTGAACAGGCACTGACTTTGGTAAATTAAGTAGTAGTCGGGGCATCAGAGGGCTTGAGTGGGATGAAATGAGGACGACCCAAAGCTGGCTCCAGGTCAACTGTCTTTCCTCATTTCCTAACACCAACCCTCTTAGAATTCATGGACTCCTTTACATTTCAGTCTGACTCTGTGGTGGGATGCCATTGAAGGACTGAAGGCAGGGAAGTGACAGGATTGGTTTCTGCTTTAGAAACGTCACTCTGACTGCTATGTGGAGAATAGACTGTAACAGCGCCGGCATGGAATGGGAACAATGTAAGAGACTATTGCTGTTTTCCAGGTAAGACATTATGGTGGCTTAGAATGTATAATAAGTAGAGAAGAAATAAAAGTGGTTAGATTCAGGACATATTTTGAAGGTAGAACTGATGGGATTTGCTAGTGGATTGCATCCCCATCCTCTTGAACAAACTAAGCAAATATAGAATACATTTACCCAAAGCCACTCAACCATAAAATAAAGCAAGAGAAAAGCCAAATAATTTTAGGAATGCAGCAAACAAGCCAGCCAGCCTCCTTAAGAGAGGCAACAGCATGGTTGGAAAGCATATATGAACTATAGTGGTGCCACAGCAGCATACAGGTGATAAGAAAGCCTCAACCTTTGTCAACTGCTTTAAAATAATAAAGTACAATGAGAACATTTGGGAAATCCTGGCAGGGGTTCTTATGTGTGCACCTACTCATTGCTATAATATATGCTACATTCCATATTAAACAAACAAAAGCAGACACTTAAAAGTAGAGAAAATGGCATGAAATAAGTATGATAGTGGAAGTGTTCTACTCTACTGGTAGAAAAGGCCAGACCCACTCAGAGGAGTTTTCTCACCAACAGAGGACAATCTGCCAGATGGTCAAGCCCAAGAGGACAAGATTGTGCATTCTTCTTCATATCATCAGGTCTTACTTCATGATGGGACCTGATGATATGATTTCAACAAATTACCATTTGTTGAAATAAACAGAACTAAAATGTATAAGCACTTTAGGAATAGATCATAAAATAACTGTCAGGTATCTAGCCTCTTCAAGCAGCATTGTGGGTTGTCATGGGATTTGAGGTGACTGCCATTCACCAGTTACAGATCCAAAATGTTTGAAGTCTTTTTATTTCTCTCAATAAAATATCCGTCTGTCATATCATACACCAGGTGCTTGCACAATTTGGCACTGCTGCCAATCAACTGGAATTCCTAGTTTCCAAGTTTCTCAGTGCAGCGAAAAGCCACTGCAAGTGTCACTTGCCTACGGTGTAACTTGGACCCTGTATGCCAGAAACACCTCCAACACGTGGTTCCCATTGTAATGATCCTGGGTGTCTGTCAAAAGTGAAGAGCAGAAGGTTGTAACCCTGAGGAAGGAGGACAGACTGCAAAGATTTGCTAGAGGAAAGCAAGTGTCTTCCCTTCGTGACATGAGTGGGGTGGTCATGAACTTGGCTGTCACACAGGTGTATCTAAGACTCATGGGCCTGTCTTCCAACACACTGGAAACAGACAGGCAAAGGCTAGTGTTGCTGAGTTGTAGTTTTTCTGCTGCTTGCTCCCCTTACAATATACTCTAGCCTCTAATATTCTTCCATGATTGAGTTTCAAGCTCATAGGAGAATCTCCACCAGTTTCTCCATCATACAGCAGAATGACTGTGCAGTTTTTGGATCCTCTTTCGGAGATAAAGAGGGAAATTTTACCCCATAGCTTAAATCCCATTAAGCCATTGTGTCCTGAGAATACCAAAGAGGACAAGCAGAATATAAAAATCAGGAATAGATGATCTTTTTCCTTAGAACAGCATCCAAGATAATAAATTTATTAATTTCTCACCCATTTGTGTCATGTGACATCAAAACACTAATCATACTCTGGACAACTAATACCTTGCACTTTTTTTTTTTTTGAGACAGAGTCTTGCTCTGTTGCCCGGGCTGGAATGAAGTGGTGAAATCTTGGCTCACTGCAACCTCTGCCTCTGGGTTCAAGCAATTCTCCTGCCTCAGCCTCCCAAGTAGCTGGGACTACAGGCATGCACCACCATGCCCGGCTGATTTTTATATTTTTAGTAGAGAGGGTTTTGCCACGTTGGCCAGGCTGGTCTCGAACTCCTGACCTCAGGTGATCCACCTGCCTTGGCCTCCCAAAGTGCTAGGATTACAGATGTGAGCCACTACGCCTGGCCATATCTTGCACTTTTATAGCATGAACTACTTTATATTTGACAGTGAAATTTTGTATGCATTTACTTGCTTGATAAATGTAGATGGGATAGATACTACTGCAGTTTTATAGAAATAAAATATGCTCATCGAGGTTAAATAACATGTCCAGGGATACATAATATGTAATGAGCCAGGACTCTGATGTGAATCCTTACCAGAACTTCAGACCAATATCTGACTAAGTACAGAAACTGTGCAGGGCTTCATTACATCCATTTGCTGTTGCTTACTATTTACATCAAATTACTATATGCATCAGTCTGGAATCTTAGTACCTAAAATCAGTTTTAGCTAATTAAACAGAAAGCCACTTTATTCAAAGGCTCTTGGGTGGTGCTCAGAATTTCCTAGAGAACTAGAGAAACAGCTGACTCGATGTTCCTAAAATCCTGATGATAGAGACTGTCGTCACATCTATTAGTGGTTACATTCCCTGGCTGTTAAATATTTACTTTATGAATGGTTTGTTCACAAAAATATTTAACTATTATTCATGGGCTAATAGTTTAGTATAATCACTATTAAATACGTAGTGAACCTAAAGACAGAGAGCTCAAAGATAGGTCTTTTCCCTTTAAGTCCTTCATATCAGTCTACACAAAGCAGAAGGTGTCGTGGATCTGATTTTGAGTCCCAAATCAACACATAATGCATATGTGATTTTGAGTCTCTCAATTCCTTAAATTTTCTATTTACATCAAAGAGCTGATTGCTCATTCAGTATTTATTGAGGGGTTGATTTTAATACTGTATAAATGATTTGTAGACTACAAAGTTCAATGACAATTGTTATCACATAATTTAGTGCTTAATTATATCCTGACATTTATAACTGTTTCATTTTTCTGGTTTTTCCTCATGGACTGCAAGTTTCTTTATCATAGTCCATTCCTCTTAGTAGTATGCAAGCACAGTGCTAGTCCATATTGGGCTCAGAATACACTGCACGTTGAAGTCCCAGGTTGATCTGCATGAAGCACAGCTCTGACATTGATTCTCAGCTGCAAAATGCCATTCTTAGATGCAAAAAGCCAAATAAGTCTTTTCATTGCTGAGCCACATCTGTACTCCTTAGACCGTAACTTGGGACCTTCATAATCTGGCTTTAACTTTCCTGTCTTACTCTTTTACTCTACTTCACTGAACTTCGACTTTCTCTGGCCAAATTATCTTAAAATTACTCACCCCCTGCAAATAATGCCTTACATTATCTTGCCATCATGCCTGTCCTACTTATCCTGTTTCTTTCCTATGGAAACACCTCTATCTTGTTGAATCTCCACATTTCAAAACCCAGCTAAAATACTAACTAAATTATATTACTCTAAGTAGGCACAATGCCTTTGTCTTCTGAACAAATAGCAATTTTTACGTCTACAGTAGTTTTACCGTTACACAGTCATCTTTCATTAGGTTCCTTAGTCATCTCAGCATGGTAAGCACAGTGAGTTGAATTGCTTGTGTTAGAGTAACAGGATGTTCACGGCTAACTCATAAATGAGAAATAACAGGTTATTCATACCTTGTGGTTCTACAGATTTTTAGTTCTTAAAGCTTGTTGTATTTTGTATTATGAAAACTTTGATGCATTATTACTTATAGTTCATTGAAAAATTAAATATCAGGCTATAATAAAATTGGGTAGTAATGATGAAAACAGAATTAGAAACCAGGTTCCTTAGATATAAACTTAATATTACTCATTCAGGTTTTTGCTACATTTCTATAAATTAAAAAGTTAAAATAGTAGTAATTGCAGATAAATTAATACTCACTGTTGATCTGGTTTGTAAGTTACTATAGAGCTCTAACATTTTGTGATTGACACACACCATTTCTTTTTTTTCTGACATCGTGTGGTATTCTAGCTAATCAGGTTTCAAACTATACTTTACTATTGGCAATGACTCTGAGAAGCTGTTTACATTTTATTAATAAAAAGGAGTTTTACAAGCAGCTAAACTATTTTGCTACACAAATTTCACATAATATGACTGCTTGCGATACAGTCCAAGAGTGAAGTAGGATGGATCACAGAACACTAAGGCTGGGCTCTTATGGAAATTTTACTTTTGAGTTGATAAAAAGGGGATTGTCTTCATTAGTTATTGCCTCATATTCCTATTCCTGTACATAAAAGGGGAAACAATCTGTGATACTTACGACTGATGTAATAAAACAAGATACTACAGTAAACCTACCCTTTACCTACAGACCATGCTGTGAAGCTCTTTTTGCAATTGAAAACCAGGTTACATATTCCCTTTGTTTAAGAAAATTAGGGACTCCATTTGCAGCCATCAAAACAGATATTATCAACACAAGTATGGGAAAAGGATTATCACTTTGGAACTATGATTTCATATATGTTTCTAGTCACCAATACTAGGGAATGTTGTCAAATATTTCTGAGAAAGCTCACACTGTCTCCGTAGGTTGATTAGATGAGCTTTCATACATTGGAAACCTGACTACTTTCCAACAACTTGATTTCACAAATGGAAAAACAGCATCTGTTTTCCTGCAGCTTCACATATGGCGATCATTGTTGCTAAGACAAGCTGAAGCAGGTAGTCCGTGTGACGGTGCCCCTCTGGAGTGCTACGGTCTCCTGGGACCAGATTACACTGGTCTGCTGTGAGGGGCTCTGACTCCCTGGGGCAGTGGAAAGTGCATATTTAATCAACATATGCAAAGCATTTGTATGAACAGCAAATTACGGAGAAAATTATCAAATGCAATATTTAGAACCTCTCTGTTTGTATTTTCAGTGGGCTAATTTGGATAGGTGTACTTTATGCCATACTCTGCTAGTTTGAATACTTAAGAAAAAAAATCAGCCAGTTGCTTGCAGAGGCCAAGGAGTTCAAATGGTTGTATACATGCACCAAGGGGGGTGGTACTTGTTACAGGAGAATATGACTTTCTCACATTAGCCAACAAAGAAAAAATGAAAAAATAGAAATTGATGTTGGACAGAGATGGGAAATACATTTTGCATATAAAGAGACTAGATGCCTATAGAATTTCTTAAGGGCATCTCTGTCCCTCCAGAAGCTCTGATTGCATTTTATAATCTTTAATGTATATATTGTATATAAGATTCCATAATCAATGGTTCGTCTTTTGGGGGGTGGGAGGAGTCTTAAAGCTAAACCACAAGCCCCCTCAGCTTCCCTAGGATCAATGTTTCTCTTTTAAAGGTCAAGAGATTGGCAGCAGTAGACATTAAATTCCAGAATACATCCACCAGCCAGGTATATTGCAAACAGATGTTCTTTTTCTGAAATTCCTGTGCCAGTGGCCTTAACCCTGATTTGGAAGGACAACTCAATCAACTACAGAAAGGAAAGCCTTCAGGGATTCTGGAGAAGTCTTGGATTTCTCCTGAATAAGTTATTATTAAACAAATAGTAGTTTATCAGGAACTGTTTCTTCAATAGACCTCTGTCACAGGCTGAGAAAAGATTGGAATTGGAACATCTGAAAGCGGTCAGTCTTTAATTATTTAAATAAAAGCCAAGATTCCTTAATTGCCAATACATTTTTTAGATCAACTTTATTCTAAAAAATACCCAGGAAGGCATTGATAAATTGGGAGCATTTTAGAAGGCTAAACAGTAACCATCTTTTGCCATATGAGAAGCAGGGAAGATACAAGAAAAAGGCAGAAATAGAATACAAGTTAGAAGCAGCATATCAGGTCAAAGGCTAAAAAAGGATACAAGTGAAAAGATGTTAGAAAGAGGACACAGCAGAGGCTGCTGTCCCTTAGCAGAAACTGCAAAACTAGATTCCTACATAAAGATCAAAAGGAAGGCCAGGCGAGGTGGCTCATACTTGTAACCCTAGCACTTTGGGAGGCCGAGGCGGGCAGATTGCCTGAGTTCAGGAGTTTGAGACCAGCCTGGGCAACACGATGAAACACCGTCTCTACTAAAATACAAAACATTAGCCAGGCATGGCGGCGTGCACCTGTCGTCCCAGCTATGCGGGAGGCTGAGGCAGGAGAATCACTTGAACCCAGGAGACGGACGTTGCAGAGAGCCAAGATCATGCCACTGCACTCCAGCCTGGGCGACAGAGTGACACTCTGTCTCAAAAAAAAAAAAAAAAAAAAAAAGGGGGGGCCAATGGTCTGTGACAGAAACATTTGTGTTTTAGGACTGGCACCTCTGAAGTACAGGATCTGAACAGCGTTGGATGTTGGACTTAACATGACTCTAAGACTAGCACGCTGCCCTTGGAACCTGGACTACATCCTTCATAAAAGGCAGTTCTCTGTGATTACTATTCAGGAGGCTCCCACACATGTACTTAAGCTGCTAGCGAGGTTTCCAAGCCCAGCTGGCTCTCATCTCAGATCACACATGAGGCTCCTGTCCTGGGTAATTCGCTTCATCAGTTCGACCTCTTCATGCTGATGGCCCATGATACTCCCAGATTTTACTCGTACTTTCCCATGCTTGCCTCTGGTGACTTGCCCATATCTTTAGGCTTTTACCAAAGCTTGTTTTGGAGTTTACTGTGTTCCTAGCTAGCCTGAGTCCTGACAGAATAGGGAAGCACTACATATGCAGATTCCATTTCAACTCTGTACCTAACTAGCAATGCAACCTTGGGAAGTAATTTTCTTAATCTCCTTTGGCGTCACCATTCTCAACCGTAACATAAGGAAATTTGGCTTAAGCAGTAAAGTGCCTCAGAGACCTAGTGAAAGAATTGTTGCCGTGTACCTTTCCAACCAGATTTAGCTGAATAATGTTTTGGATTTCCATGTAAAATTTTGTTTGGAAAAAAAGACTTTGGTCAGTAAACAAGGGTTTGCAAGCCTCTGAATAAGAAGGTCACCAAACTCAGTTATAGAATCAATAATGCAGTCCTTTATCCAGTCATTTATTCTCATAATCAAGCTTCATTTGAAAATTGAGGATCTGACATCCCAAAACATTGCCTGATGAAAATGCTTAAGATCAAGATGGACTGCAATCAGCTGGAGAGCTGAGAATACACATTTCAGTATCATGCATAGTTTTTATCATGGGGTAAGTTATACTGCAGCCATTTCATACAATTCAAGAACCATTCATAGCACTCCTGTTTTATACTGACACCTTCTTGTTTTGGGAATGCAACCATGTGAGGCATGCTCTAACAGACCCAGAGGTTGACTGTTGACAGAATGAAGACATGAATATGACTAAAAGAAAGGGGTAATCGCAGAGAAAAATTTCAGCAAAGTTGGCATAGGATACAGACTGGTGACCCACTTAATGGTGTAGTGTATTTTATTAGTTATCTAAGTTTCAGTGAAAATTAAAACCTAAGATTGACTATTTTGATTTTGCTTAAGAAAAATTTCCCTTTCTTGGCTTTTTCAAGCTTGGGGAAAATTGTGTTTTATTTCACCTCTTAAACAACCTTCATGGTGGAGACTGAAGTAGTAGCTGACCTGTGAACTACTCACAAAATTTGCAAAGAAGCAAGGGAGAAGTTTCAATGTCGACAGTGTTCTACAGGCTGCTGAAATATTTCCCTTTGTTCCTCTCCAACTCAGCCTTGAAGCACTTTTGTAACAACTGTGTCCAAATGTCTAGTAGTCCATTCTGGTAATTTTCACTGCATCGCTAAGCATACCCCCAAAGAAAGCTTACCAGGTCCAGAAAGTCCTGACAGTCTATTTGTTTTTCAGCCAAATGATTCCCAGTGACAGTAGCCTCTGAAGCCAACTTCTAGCTCTCCCCTAGCTTCCTAATCTGAGAAGTAGATATAATATTAGTTCCTAAGTGATGAGCTGTCTGAGAATATAATAAAGGCAAACACTGAGAATGTCTATTTATTGTATTGAGAGCTTTACAATGAGCACTACTTCTATTATTATCAAATATTTTTTAGAAATCTTAGCTCAGTAAGAGACACAATGCCTACACGGAAGCTTCTCATATCTGCCTTAGGAAACACATTGAAATGACTATGGGACCATCTGGGTGAAAAGTGATCTTTCCAGAGTGGGAAAGAGCAAGGGCTTGAGAGCAAATATGCTTAGGTATTGGCCCTCCTTCCACTACTGGCAAGAATCACCAGAGAGGCTATGAAATGCAGACTCAAAGACCCCACCTTATACCTACACCATCGGTGTCTCTGGAGGGACAGCCTGGGAGATTGTTACACACAGTGGTCTTATGCACACCCAGCCACCTAGGTGTTGGGCACCAGCTCTGCCCTTTACCAGCTTCTAACTTGTGATCTTAGGCCTCTTACTCAATCTCTTCAAAACCTTAGTTTCTTCACCTATAAGATGGGACTAATTCCTTCCATGCACATTGTGGAAATGAAATGAGACAAGGCATGGGAAACGCTCAGCTGGCACAGAGGAAATATTTGACACATGATAGGTATTAGCTTCTTGAAAATGTGTCCCTATATTGTGTTAAATCATCAGAATGCAAGGAAAAATACTTGGGCAGCACAAATGTATGCAATGAGTTTCATAGAGAATGAGCATCCAGATAACTCTTTTCTCTGAACCAACAGTTTTCCTGCAGGGAGCTGGGAAGACATGGACCCCATAGTAAACAAAGCACAGTTACTGGGGAGATTGTATCGAAGCCCTTGATGGTGTTGGGGAAGAAAAACAAGACGTTGAGTACTACTGCCCTAATGGACTTGTATGATTCTTTTCTTTTTCAGACAATATCATCCAACTTCTAACCCTCAACTCAGTCATTGCTTTTCTCTTCTACTCTTAGGCAACTTGTTGCCAAATTATAGTAACTCACTCACCCTAGATAGCTGGTTCATTTCTCTCCTTTTTCTCTAATGTCTTTTGATATCGATTGAAATGTAAAATTTTGGTCTGTCTTATTTCATATGTATTATATTCACTTAAATTACTTTAATCCATTTTATATAAGAATAAATAAAAATAGGTAAGAAATAAAGTCATAAAGTGTTTAGAAAATAATTTGTGTCTTTTCTCTAGGCAAGCTGAAGTGAGAGTGAGAAGAACAAAAACATTTATGGAAAAACATTTATATTCAAGCTCAACAGTCAAAGGGAAATGAAGCTTGTAATTTAACAATCAGGAAAAATAAACACATCAGGACAAAAAGCTTTTGATAAGAGAATATAAAATATCAAATTTAAAAAAGCTACTAGTCAGACCAAGCTTTTCTTATCATGATGACTATACCTAAATATTGCCAAATACATAAAGGTGGAAATTCTAGCTAACAATTTTTAATTACTCTTTTCTAAGTGATGCCAAATGTATATTAACAAATTGCTGAATGATTGACTGAATGTTTTGGTTTTCATCTGTATGTTTGGTGTCATGTAGCTAAATACTCAATCTAAAGAGTAGCATATTAGCAAATTGAAAAGCAAAGCAGAAACTTACTGAAGAAATGATGAAGGATCTTTAATCTTGGCTTCACAGAGAAATACCATGAAGAAATTTCCAAATTAAAACACCAATATAGACCTGTTAGCATCACTTTTAACTCTAGGTTTTGCTTTTTCTGCACTGCTGGGTCTTTCTTAAACTCAATATTCCTATTTTACACACTTAAATTTTAACATTATTTATGTATTTTATTAATCAAATAAACCTCAAACTCTTTATGGAGAGGTTTACATACAAGGTTTCTGTAAAACTGGGGTCTCTCTTTCAGAAAGGCATAAACAGCAAAATAATGCTACAGTTTTGGACAAGGACTGCAAAAATAAAAGACAGTATTTAAATAGGCGCATGCGTGTAGGAAGGATGGCTGGTCCCACCGTGCTGTTCCAAGCTGAAATATATGTATGAATGAACATTAGGACTGGCATCTCTTCTTTGAAGCAGTGAGATTTTTCCTTGGGGGGAAAAAGGGGAAGTACTAGGAAAAATAGTAAAATTCCTCTTTTATCTTTCCCTTATATCCATCTCTCTTCTTTCCTTATCTTTTTTTATCATTGCAGCCTGCTACATGCATAATACACAGAATGTTAGGTAGAGATTAATAGGTGTTCCCAGTGTCAGAGGGTAAAGGGGCCTTCTCACTTCTCAGTTCTTGGTGTCATACTTTTTTTTTTTTTTTTTTTTTTTGTATAGGGATATTGAGGATCAGCAAAAACACTTGCATGTGAACTTTTTTTTTCACCAATTAAATGAGATGCAATGAAAATCTTTCAAAGTGTGCTTGAGCATTCAGAAAAACAGAGTACCTAGAAACTCCACTGGCACACAGCACTTCAAAACTAAAGAGAATTTGTATGCACTGGGCAACAATATGCAAAGTCAATTCCCAATCCTCGGTGCCAATAGATGATGCAGACTATCACAAACTGTGGATGATCTAACAGCCATTTGTGCTTGGCATTGATAGGCTTTTGTGATTTCATTTTGCCAGAAATTTTCCTGTTAGTTTAGGAAAAATGAATGCATTATTTCTTGAGCATACAGGAATGATGCACATGAATAACAGGTTGAGGAAGGATGATCCAAAGCATGTAATCTGGCCACTATCAAAAGTCAGCCATTAAATCTTGGATGAAGGGGACCTAGACAGGAAATCAGTAGCTATTAGATACCTGTATTGAACTGTGTATTTTACATTGAACATATAGAAAAATCCACAAAATCACCCTAGGTAATATTAACCCTGTTTTGTAGATGAGAAAATTGATCTTCAAAAGGACAATTAACATATTTCTACAATTTCTTAGACTTTATGTCAATGGGGAGGCTTCTGTTTGTTTATGGCTGTTGTTTGCATTTATTGCTTATACAAGGTGTCAAGTTCTGTGCCATTTTTTCCTATATCCTTTTGTCTTTCAACTCTATAGTTGCCTCAGAGTGAGCCCTGTGAAAACTCCTAGGGCTTCAGGGAGCAGAGCTACAAACCACAAAAGCAAGCCATTCTGCCTCTCTAATAGAAATATTTTCACCACTATTCTGTAAGTTTATGTACTTGAAGTATGAAATAGTACATAATTTAAGTAATTTAGTTCTCATTTTATGTGATTATCTTATAAAAGATATATAGTAATTATAATAATCATTGATGAAAATACTAACTAACCTTTATTGAGCACTTGCCATGCCCTGGAAAGTAATTCCATGATTTACATACTTCTTAATTCTTATTTTACATATTAGAAATTGTAGCACAAAAGAAATAAGTCTAAACTTAGAGTTTTTAAAAATACCAACATTTGAAG
Organism: Homo sapiens; assembly: GCF_000001405.40. NCBI lineage: Eukaryota > Metazoa > Chordata > Mammalia > Primates > Hominidae > Homo > Homo sapiens. Next base: position 64,982,583 of record NC_000008.11, on the reverse strand, counting down.
TCGACATAAATTTTGTGCCTTACAAAAGAAGATAGCCTATTTATATGTTTTATAATAACAGGCACTTTGGTTTTATTTTTGTCACATTGTTCTGTGACTGTTGGTTTTAGTTTTTGCACATGCCTTGTTTGTCTTCTAAGCAGTTTTACTAGACATTTTAGTTTGGTTCAGTTTCTTTCCTTTGACTTTTTTTCATCTTCACTTTGTTACTCTCTTATGTGTAAAAAATAAGTTCTGATTTAAATCTACATTATTTTTAATATTTTAAAACACATTTATATTTATATGTTCTTTACTTCCAAGTTATTATAGATATGAGAATTAAAAACCAGAATATATTTGTCTTAAAAAGTACATATTACATTCTTTAAGTATATGTTTAACTTTTATATTAAGCTTTATATCATATTGACAATAATTACTTATGCAACTGTTAAACTGTTTTTACATTCAGTTCCCAGGTACTCTCCCTGACTCTGCCATAACGCCCCTATTGTTATTATTTAATATCTATTTATATTTGGGTAAGTTGGAGGGTACCTTCAGGTACCTTCACATAATATCTGTTAGAAGAGTACATGGATTTTTATTTGATGAACTCTTACATGTCTGATATCTTTGCTGCTACATATGTACATTTAATTTACTCAGTAACTTTATCAACACTTTGTAAATATCAACTGATTTTATTCCCACACATGAGCCACAATTAAGATCTGAGGCTAACCTGATTTGATTGTTTTATAGGTAAGCCGTTTTGCTGAATGCTTAGAGAATATCTTTATTTTCTTTACATTGTTAACATTTCAGTAAGAAATATTTTGATAAACATTGTTTCTCATTAATTTTACCAATTTCATGATGGGGGCTTTTAATGTGCATACTCTTGTCTTCCTTTAGCTCAGAAAACATTTTCAGTATTATGCCATAATTGCTGATATTTCATCTTTCCTTCTTCAGAAACATTATTTATATATTGAATCTACAGCCTATACATTAAAAAAGTGTTCCATCATTTTCCTTTTTTTAAATTTTGTTTTTAATAGACAAATCACAATTATACATGTTTATGATGTGATGTTTTGTATAATAATCAAATCAAGGTAATTAGCACATCCTCACCTCATTTATCATCTCTTTGTAATGAGGACATTAAAGATTCTCTTTTCTAGCTATTTTGAAATATACAATACATTATTAATTATAGTCACCCTACTGTGCAATAAACACCAGAACGTATTTCTCCTGTCCAACTGTAACTTTGAACGTGTTAACCAACCCCTCCCCATTCTTCCTCACTACCTTCTCCAGCCTCTGGTAACCACTGTTGTACTCTCTACTTTTGTGAAATCAACTTCTTTAGATTCCACGAGTCATATCATGTGGTATTTGTCCTTCCATGCTTGGTTTATTTCACTTAGCAATGTCCTCTAGGTTCATCCGCATTGTCACAAATGACAAGATTTCATGCTTTTTTGTGGCTAAATAGTATTCCCTTGTGTATATACACCACACTTTTTTTGTCCATTCATTTATTGAAAGATACCTAAGTTGATTCGATATCTTGGCTATTGTGACTAGTGCTGCAATAAACTTGGGAGTGCAGATAATCACTTTGACATACTGATTTCATTTCCTTTGGATATATATCCAAAAGTGGGATTGCTGAATCATATGGTAGTTCTATTTTTAATTTTTTGAGGAACCTCCATACTCTTTTACTTAATGGCTGTAATAATCTACATTCCCATCAATAGTATATAAGAGTTCCCCTGGACCCCTTCATTACACCTTATACAAAATTAACTGAAAATGGAATAAAGACTTAAATGTAAAACCCAAAACCATAAAAACCATAGAAGAAAACCTAGGTAATACCATTCAGGACATAGGCATGGGCAAAGACTTCATGATGAAAACACAAAAGCAATTGCAACAAAAGCCAAAATTGACAAATGGCATCTAATTAAACTAAAGAGCTTCTGCACAGCAAAACAAACTATCATCCGAGTGAACAAACAACCTACAGAATGGGAGAAAAATTTTGCAATTTTCTGACAGAGGTCAAATACCCAGAATTTACAAGGAACTTAAACAAACTTACAAGAAAAAAGCAACCCCATCAAAAAGTGGGCAAAGGATATGAACAGACATTTCTCAAAAGAAGACACTTACGTGGCCAAAAAACATACGAAAAAAAGCTCATCATCACTGATCATTAGAGAAATGCAAATCAAAACCACAATAGATACCATTGCACACCAGTGAGAATGGCAATTATGAAAAAGTCAAGAAACAATAGATGGTGAGACTGTGGAGAAATAGGAACACTTTTACACTGTTGGTAGGAATGTAAATTAGTTCAACCATTAGGGAGGACAGTATGGTTATTCCTCAAGGATCTAGAACCAGAAATATGATTTGACCCAGCAATCCCATTACTTGGTATATACACAAAGGAATATAAATCATTATACTATAAAGATACATGCACATGTATGTTTTTTGCAGCACTATTTTTAACAGCAAAGTCATGGAACCAACCCAAATGCCCACCAGTGATAGACTGGATAAAGAAACTATGGTACACATACACTATGGAATACTATGCAACCATAAAAAGGAATGAGATCACGTCCTTTGCAGGGACATGGATGAAGCTGAAAGCCATCATCCTCAGCAAACTAACATGGGAACAGAAAACCAAACACCACATGTTCTCACTCATAAGTGGGAGTAGAACAATGAGAACATATGGACATAGGGAGGGGAACAATACACACTGGGGCATGTTGTGTGGTGGAGGGTGAGGGGAGGGAACTTAGAGGACAGGTCAATAGGTGCAGCAGATCACCACGGCACATGTATACCTATGTAACAAACCTGCACGTTCTGCACATGTATCCTGGAACTTAAAGTAAAATTAAAAATAAAAAGACAGAAAGGAACATTTTAATTTCTTTGAACATTTCTGCTGAGTTCTGAGAAACCTTTTCAAGTTTATCCTCCATATTACTGGGTATATTTTCTGCATTGACAATTCTGCTTTTAAAATTTGCAATGAAAATTTTATATTTCTTCAACTTAATCATTACTTTTAAAATACATTTATACTATATATATAAATTTAGCATATTTTATAGTTTATATACATATAACATATACATTTTAAGGCAATGTTTTAATTTTTCCAAGCTCTGTTTAATTTCATCCTGCAACACATTAGCTAGTTTCCTTTGCATCTCAGCCCATTGACTTCTCAGGTATTCTTTTACTTATGTGTTGCTAAATAATTGACTGTAGCACACAGAGGGATTAAAAAATGAATGCAAGTGAGCTCAGTTAAATTAATGCAAGAGACAGAAGAGCTATTTAGAATTAAATGTTACTGTGATAGCTCAGTCTTTACAAGACAACTTGAGAATCTCTTGTATTCTAGATAAGGGTAAAGTTAATTGAGTAGGAAGAGAAGAGAAAGATGCATTTAGAGGCTTTTAAAGAACTGCACAAGAATACAAAACCATTAAGTAAAATCTAGATTATGCCTTGGCACTAGAATTGATGTGGATATGCCCAATATCCCATAAATAATTTAGAAGAACTACAGAGATGAATGCCCCACAGTTAGTCTGATGGGGCCACCAAGCAAACAGAACTTGGAAATTAATGTCAACATGATCTCATTTGCTTCATAGGTTGACAAGACCTAAGGGCAGAGGGGTTATACTAGTAATCATGGCACTACGACACATTCAATTAAATTATTACCAAACACTCTTATTGCATTGCTTTAGCAATCCTTACACCAAAATTCCCAACCTCGATCTCTTTCTATGGAGATCAAATAGACCTAGAATGAATGGTCTTAGACGTTGGGATTTGAACATCAGCCTCCACTATAGCCCCATAGCTGGGTGATTTTCCATTTCAAAAACATCTATTTTCAGCTCATTTCCCTTTCTATGTTTATCATTCTTCTATGTGGGAAACTGGACAAATCTGTAAAATAGATGTCAAAGTTCTCACTTTTCTCCCTCTGCTTATTGTGACCATTTGTGTTCCTTTTGGAGTATTTTCTAATCTAAGCCGGGACTTAAAACAACTGGAAAACACACATAGTCTCTGAAAATTATTGATTCTCTCCTTTCCCTTCACATTCTTGTTCCTGTTAAGCCTCTTCAGATACTAGGAAGAAAATAACTCACTTCTCCAGAACTTTCACAGCTACAGTGCCCCCTTGTGCAACTTGATAAGGGCTAGGATGGCAGGGATCCAAGAAAAAGAAAAAAAGGCTCAAATAGGGTTATTTCAGGGTTTTTGTTTCCAAATATATAGAGGAGCCAAAATGCATTTTCACACACAGCAGGTTTTTTTCTTCTTCTTTCATTGCCTATATAAAGGAAAACACTTTGTTTTTAAGAGGGGAAATCCACCTCTGAGATTATGGAACACTGACACAGCATCATTCATCTTGGCAAAAGTTGACTGAGCAGATGATGTAGATCCACTTAACTTGGACTCAATCAAAGGTTTTGCTATTTTCATTTCACAGGCCAGATGTAGCTCATCATCGGTTGGAATCAATTCCAGAAGAGGTGTTAGAGTCTGTTGGTCCAAGAGAAAGTCTGATCCAGGCACCAAAAAGAGCCATGAGGAAAATGGATACTATCTCCACTGATCTCCCAACAATTTAGGTAGTCCAATATTCAGTTCATATTAAGCAGTGGGATAACCTAGAAGTGATGCTATTTTAGTGAGTTTATAAGTTATTAAATTCACAGTCATTGTGAAATCATCTTCCGTGTTCTATTTCTGTAAATATAATGTTATATCTGAATGGATGGGGAAACTGAATAATTAATAATACATACACTTGGATCTTCAACAAATCAGAAAACCTGGAAAACAATTCCATGCTAGAGATGCATCTAATTGGGCTACTTGAGTCATCTGTGTTGACTACAATCTGACCAACAAATGCTTTATAATTTGTTACCACAGCTCTTACATTTCAAATGAAAACAAATGCTCAGTTTATTTAATAGAATACAATGAGTCAGTAATTTCTGATTGAAATAAATTTATAAATTTTTTAGAATCTTTATAGTAATCTTAATGTGCATTGCACTAGATAGTTCTCATTCCCATAAATATAGGCACTCTAATTTGAATTTCTCCAAACATCCTTCAAAAACCATGTAGATCAATAACGAGCAAAGAAGACAAACAGATGATGTAAAACTAATATTTAAAATATAATTCAAAGTTTTTCAAAATAAAAAAGCTCTGAACATACACAATTACCAATATAAGTTCTAAGATGTATATATACACTCACACATCTATATACATGTATACATATATACACACATATATACACACTTATGTGTATACATACACACTTATGTGTATACATATATACACTTATGTGTATATATGTAAATATGTGTGAGTGTATATATATATATACACACACACACACACACATATATATATATATAAAATATATATATATACACACACATATCTCCCACCATGTACCTGGAAAAATTTCCTCAGCATAATGAACTCTGAGACATAGCATAATGAAACTATTAGACTTTAAAGATAAACAGCCAGAAAATCTCTTGTCTATCAAGGAAAATGAACAAGACATTTACAAAGGAAAGGAAATGAAACTGGCATCAAATTCTCAAATGGAACTTAAAAGCAAGAAAATAAATAAAATTTTCAAATAATTTGTGACAGCTGTGAAGTAGGGATTATATTACCTAGTCAAGCTGTCTTTTATGTGTCAGTGTACATAAAACAGTGTTAAACATGCCAGAAGTTAGAATATTATACTTAGAAGTCTTCGCTAAAGAATCTTTAAGAGGATAAGCTTCATCCAACCAAAAGATGACTGGGGAAACTTCAAAGTATGTATTATGAGGGCTGAATATATTTAGTTATATATCTAAGACTAAAACAAAGCTAAGGATAAGGATGGAAAAATGCTTTATTTTCTGCAAAACAGAAATGACACATTTTATAATGGGTGGAGAAGAGAGATAGATTAAAAATAAAATTATCACACAATAATAGGTGAAGGTCAAAGAATAATATTTAAAGCTGATAAAAAATAGTAGAAAACAAATTGAGGAAAACAGGGCTAAAGATATTAGAAAAGAGTTTTAGAATAAAGTTAACCACTAAAGTTTAAAATGGTCTAAATACAAGAAAACAAAACAAAAATAACCTGGTTAAAGAAATATAAAAAATATAATATAAGATAATATGACAACTGAACCCAAACTTATAAGTCATATCAATAATTGTAAGTGGGCTTAACTCACCTTTAAAACAAAGATTTTTAAACAGGCTCTCAAAGCAAAATAGAACTATTCTACATATAAGTGACACTTATAAAGAAACACGCTAAAGCTAAAAACAAAGTGATAGGAAAATATATACCATTCAAAAGCAAACTATTAAGAAGCAGGTTCTGAGATTTTCATAACAGACAAGGTAGAATTCAGGCCACAAGCATTAAACAAGACAAATAACACTTTGCAATGCAAAGGCTTATAATAACATATGGCAATTGACTCAAAACAACAGACAATTTTATAAAGCAGAAGCTATGGGAGTTTCATGGAGAAATGGTTACTAATAATTGTAAAACTTAAAATACCACTCTCTATTTAAAATAGGTCAAGTACATTTTAAATAATAAGTAGGTATACAGAAGAATGAAAAGCAATATAATAAATAATGTAAATATTATGTTGTATATAAAAATTAACAGTGAGAAAACAGAGAATATATCTTCTTTGCAAGAATATATAGAACTTGTGTACATATTTCAGAAAGGTATTAAATTCTATGTCAAAATTATTTAAACAACATTCTGGGTTTACAATATAATAAAACTAGAAATCAATAACCAAAATTTAAAAATTTCTTCATTTAGAAATTTTAAACTCTCTAAATAACTCTTGGTAAAGAGAAAGCACCCTGTAATCCCAGCACTTTGGGAGGCCGAGGCGGGCGGATCACGAGGTCAGGAGATCGAGACCATCCCGGCTAAAACGGTGAAACCCCGTCTCTACTAAAAATACAAAAAATTAGCCGGGCGTAGTGGCGGGCGCCTGTAGTCCCAGCTACTTGGGAGGCTGAGGCAGGAGAATGGCGTGAACCCGGGAGGCGGAGCTTGCAGTGAGCCGAGATCCCGCCACTGCACTCCAGCCTGGACGACAGAGCGAGACTCCGTCTCAAAAAAAAAAAAAAAAAAAAAAGAGAGAGAAAGCACAACCAATATTGTAGAATTTCTAAAATATTTTTATTATAAAAACATTTCATCTCAGTAAACATTGATTTTTAAATGATACTTAAAACATTGTTTAATCTTAAATTTAAGGTTATAAGAAAATATAGTAGAAAAACTAGAATGCTCTTAAATTTTCTAAATTATAAGAAGGACTCTATTATAAAAGATTACAAAAGAAAGCAACTTTAATGATTGAAAGCCTAATATAAAAAATGGGATTTATATCCAAACAAATCTGACATATCAATAAATATAAATGTAAATTGGACAAATTCCTAGAAACATACAACCTACCAGGAATGAATCAAGAAGAAACAGAAAATCTGTGAAGACCAATAACGGGTAAGGAGATTATATTAGTAATTTAAAAAAAAATCTCACCAAAAAAAGCCCAAGACCTGATGATTTAATGGCTAACTTCTACTAAATATTTAAAGAAGAACCAACAGCAAACCTTCTAAAATTCGTCAAAACATTAAAGAGAAGGAAAAACTTCCCAACTCGTTTTACAAGCCAGCATTACCCTAATATGAAAGACATTAATAGAAACTATAAGAAAATAAAATTACATGTCAACATCCCTGATGAATAGAGATGCAAAAATCAATAAGATGCTAGCAAACCAAATTCAACAGCACTTTGAAAGGATCCTTCACTATAATCAAATAGAATTAATCACTGTAATGCAAGGATGGTTCAACATACATAAATCAATAAATGTAATATACTATATTAACTGAATGAAGGACAAAACATCATTTTAATAGATGCAGAAAGGGCATTTGACAAAATTCAATATTTTTAATAACAAAAACTCTCAATAAATGTAGGTATGCAAGGAATGAAGGAACACAATAAAGGCTATATATCATAAACCCAGGACTAATATACTCAACAGTGAAAAGTTGAAAGCTTTGTCTCTAAGATAAGAAACAAGACAAGTATGCCCACTCTCATTATTACTATTTTAAATAGTACTAGAAATTCTAGCCAGAGCAATTAGGCAAGAAAAAGTAATTAAAAGTCATCTAAAGCAGAAAGGAAGAAGTTAAATTGTCTCTGCAGATGGCATAATCTTATATGTAGAAAACCCTGAAGACACCACTAAAAAACTACTAGAACTATAAACAAATTCAGTAATATTGTAAGATACAAAACATTAAAAACTCAGTAGCATTTCTATACCCTAAGAGTGAATTATCTAAAAAAGAAATCAAGTAAACTATTTACAATGGCATAAAAATAATAAATAAAATCCTTAGAAGTAAATTTAGCCAAGGAGGTGAAAGATCTCTACACGTAAAACTATGAAACATCAATGAAAGAAATTAAAAAATTACTCAAAAAAGGGAGAGCCCACTGAGCCTAGTACCAGCATAGACTTCACAGCCTATGTCTTGGCACCATGAATCATGCTTCCCAAGCCTCTTCACTTGCACCAATATCAGCCTTCCCTCAAACTATGAGATGCTCAAGAAAAAGCATGAGGCAGCCATGTTGGAGGTACCCCCACAGCTTGCTGCCGTAAAGTCCACCATTTTCAACATCCACAGTAAGACCTCTGTGTCCACCATGTTGCCTGGTCCCTGTTCAACACACTCTTCATCAATTGCTGCTTCCTGAGACTTGTCACATAAAATTAACCCATGAAGTCTAGGGACCAAAAGATGGCAGGCCATGTGACTGGGCCCAGACTTATATCTCCATTGATAAGTGTGTGAACATCAGTGACCTGTTCTTTGGCATCCTTCTGACCACTAGATTCATCAGATTTTGGGTCACTGATTTAGTGATGATCTTCTCAGCAATTTCACAGGTGATAGGGAATCTCTTAGGCTACTATTAGCTGCTTTTGGACTTCAACCCATGTCTTCCACTGTCTACTGCTGGCCTTGCATCTTGTACTTCTTAACTTTCCCCCTTAACCCCACATCTTTACACAACAGTTTATACACACATCTGTCTACAATGGAATTTAATAAAATGTACATGTTTATAAAGAAAAAAGATACTGTAGAAGATACAAATTTAAAGATAATCTATGTTCATGGATTGAACAAATATTGTTAAAATGTCCATACTACCCAAAATGATCTGCAGATTCAATGTAATTTCTATGAAATTTCCAGTGGAATTTTTCACAGAAATTGAAAAACAATTATAAAATTCATATGGAACCACAAAGAATCTTGAATAGACAAAGTAATCTTGAATAAAAAGTATAAAGCTACCAGCATCATACTACATAATCTCAAAATACACTGCAAAGCTAGAGTAATCTAAAAAGCATAGTACTGACATAAAAAATAGACTCACAGACCAACAGAACAGGACAGAGAGCCCACAAATAAATCCGTGACTTTATAGTCAATTGATTTTTGACAAAGGTGCTGAGGACACAATGGGGAAAGTATTGTCTCTTCAATAAATGGTGATGGGAACATTAGATATCCATGTGCAGAATAATGAAATTGTACCCTTAGTTCACACTATATACAAAACTCAAAATAAATTACAGACTTACATCTGAAACCTAAAACTTTAAATTGACAAAATATTTTTTAAAAGCTTCTTGACATTTGTCTTGGCAAAGATTTTTGAAATATAACCCTAAAAGCACAGGGAACAAATACAAAAATAGGCAAATGGGATTGTGTCAAACTAAAAAGCCTCTGTGAAGCAAAGGGAAAAAATCAACAGAATAAAGAGACAATCTGTGTATGGGAGAAAATATCTGCGAACCATACGTCTGATAGAGGTTAATATTGAAAATACATAAGGAACACAACTCAGTTGTAAGAAAACAAATAACCCAATGAAAAAATGGACAAAGGACCTAAATAGATATCTCTCAAATAAAGATATACAAATGGCCAGCAGGTGTATGAAAGACAATGCTTAACCTCAATAAACATTAGGGAAATGTAAATTAAAACTAGAATAAAATAACACTTCACACTTTAAAGGATGGATATTATCAAATAGACAAAAGATAATAAGTATTGAAAGAATGTGGAAAAAGGAAACCCTTGTATGCTGTTGATGGGAATGTAAATTAGTACAGCCATTATGGAGTATGAAGGTGCCTCAAAAAATTAAACATAGAACTACCATATGATTCAGTACTATCACTTCTGGGTGTATATTAAAAAAATCAGTATCTCAAAGACATATTTGTATTCTCATGTTCACTGCAGCATAATTCACAATAACCAGAAGAGGGAATCAACCTAAATTTTCACTGACAGATGAAAATGTGGTATATATACAATGGAATATTATTCAGCCTTTAAAAAGAAGGAAATCCTGGAATTTATGCAATAGATAAAGAAAATGTGATATATATGCAATTGAATATTATTCAGCATTAAAGAGAAAGAAATCTTGTCACTTGGGACAAAATAGATGAACCTTAAGGACATTATGCTAAGTGAAATAAGCTAGGTACAGAGAGACAAATACTGCATTTCACTTATATGTGGAATCTTAAAAAAGTTGAACTCATAAAAGAAGAGAGTAGAATGGTGGTTGATAGGGGCTGGTGGAGATGGGGGACAATGGAGAGATGTTGATTTATGGGCTCAAAGTTTCATTTAGACAAGATCAATAAGCTCTGAATATCTATTGTACAGCATAGGGACTATAGTAAATAGTAATGTATTGTATACTGGAAAATGGCAAAGAGATTAGATTTAAATTTCTCTTCAAAAACTGACAAGTATGTGAGATAATGGATTTAAATAATTCGATTTAATCATTTCACAATGTATACATATATCAAAACAACACGTTGTACTCCATATATATAAGTAGTATTTATTTGTCAATTACACCTTAATAAAACTAAACACATGTAAATGGAATAAACTCTCTAATCAGATCACTAAAGAAACAAAACTATTTAATATGCAAGAAACACTTGAAACAAAATGTCAAAAACTGATTTAACATAAAAGAATAGAGAAAGCATACCAAACCAATGCAAACTAAAAGAAACCATGCAATATAGTATTAATAGAAAACAAGGTTGGATTTATTTACTAAAGATTCATGCATAAACATATATATATTAAATATTTACTGTGTATCAAGGACTCTTAAGTGCTGGAAGCATAGAGCCTCACAAAAGAACAAACAAACACACAAAATAGACAGTACCTGTAAAGTAAGGAACATAAATATATGGCAGACAAAAATCAAAATAATAGATAAAAATCAGAGTGAATAAAATTTTTAAAGAGATATGTATTTTTAATAAAAACAATATGAGAATCCAATGAGATATCTAGTAGATAAATTAATATGCAGAAGTTGATATTTAGACATAAAACAATACCCTACAGATACGTATAAAAAATTATCTTATTTTGGTAACCACAAAGACAAAATGTGTCAGAAAAATTCTTGCTAAGAAATATGTAGTCCAAGACAATTTAAAAACTAAAGTACATGAATAAGGCTTGAATAAATTAAAAGCCCTATTTTTTAATATGATGACTGAATCTTGTAAGGGTCAATTATCCCTAAAATAATTTAAAAATTAAAAAATTGAAATAAAAAATACCAACAGATAATGTTAGGAACTAGATAGACTGATTCTAAACTTCATATAAAAATAAATATGCAGGAATAGCCAAAAAACTCTAATGAGCCAGTGAAATAGACCTCAGACACGTTAAAATATGTGATAAACCTACAGAAAGTAAAGTAGTTTCATACTGGCACATGAATTGGTAAGGACATCAATAAAACAGAGGAGAGTCCAGAAATATATCCAAATATATAACAGAAATTTGATATTCATTTTATACAAGTGGTAACAAGATGTATTAGTAAGTAAAAGGTGCTTATTCATACCTTAAAATACTCTAATACTTTTAATGCATTAAAAATAAATAAAATGAGACACCTCTTACTTCTTATATAAAAATATATTCTGAATGGGTTTAAATTTTAAACATTAAAGTTAAAACTTAAAACTGCTTTTAAAAATTATGGGGATTAGTATTGCCTTTTGAGTCAGACACAGTTCCCAGAAGACAGAAATAAGAACTTTCATTAAAATGTTTACATTAAAAATAAAAATCCGTACATTAAAAAAAGTCAAAATGACAGTGAAAAATTTGGACTAAAACTCTTTTTTATATATAAGAATCATTAATATAAGAAAATGTCTTACTTGCACAAAACTAATAAATTAAAGAAAAAAGAAATTCCTCAGTGTAAAGAAATGAAAATACAGATGATTTTGAAACGTTTAACTTTCATTTAAATAAATGTAATTTTTTAAAGCTACAATTTTGTCATCTATTATTTTAGGAAAGATAAGACATGTATTAATACACAGTGTTGGTAAGAATACAAGGAGGCAATTAGTATTATAAACTGATATAAAAATTAGACTTTATATGATATATAGTATGTGAATAAAAATATACTTGAAACATAACTTTTACCTCTATTTAGAAGGTGGAAATCTGCAAGAAACCATTGTTCTTGTAGTAAGAAACACAAACACAATTATCTGAAAAGCCCCCAAATCATAGATTTTGTTTATGTACAAAAGAACCAAGAACACAAATAAGCCTTTGGAGTGAACTAAATGCCAGAAAAGAATGACCCCTTTATAGGAAAAAAGATATCTACTATTGTCCTTGTCTGTGGAAGAGTAGAAAGAGACGGATCTCAATAAACAATGACAACAAGGAAAAGTTGCAAGCATCCAAAGAAAAATGACACACCATATAAAGAGGAACAACAACATCAATGGCCATTCACTTTTTATCAGAAACAATGGAGATGAAAAGACAAAGAAACACCATCTTTAAAGTGTTGAAATATAAAAATTGTCAAACTAGAATTCTAAAATCAGTGAAAATACTATTCAGAAATCAAGATGAAAAAAAGATGACTCAGAGAAACAAAAGCTGAGAGAATTTGACTGCAGCAAACCTATTCCACATAATACATGGCAGACAGAAATTAAAATAGTAGATGAAAATCAAAGTGAATAAAATTTTAGAAGTGACAAGATTATTTTTAATAAAAATGACATGATCAGTGAGATAGCTAATACATGAACAAATATGCAAAAGTCAATATTTTAATATAAAACAATATCCTATTGATATATATAAAGAAATTGTCTTATTTTGGTAGCTACAAAGACATCTACTGTATCGTACTGTATCATATTGTATTGACCCCCTATAAAGGGGTCAAACTCTACTGCACTACAATAGATGCTAAAAGAAGTTCTTAAGCATGACAGAAAATGATATGAGATAGAGCCCTGGATTTACAGGAAGAAATAAATACTTCTAGATAAGGTAATATCTGGAGCCATAAAATTCTGTTATATATATTTTTAACTGCTTTAAAAGATTATTAACTATTTAAAGCAGTATATTTTACATCTTTGTTGTCATAATCTTGTACCTACTCTGACATGTTTTGGCTGTGTCCCCACCCAAATCTCAATTTGAATTGTATCTCTAAGAATTCCCACATGCTGTGGGACAGACCCAGGGGGAGGTAATTGAATCATGGGGGCTGGTCTTTCCTGTGTTAGTCTCATGGTAGCAAATAAGTCTCATGAGATCTGATGGGTTTATCAGGGGTTTCCACTTTTGCTTCCTCATTTTCTCTTGCCACCACCATGTAAGAAGTGCCTTTTGCCTCCTGCCATGATTCTGAGTCCTCCCCAGCCATATGGAACTGTAAGACCCCTTTTTCTTCCCAGTCTTAGTTATGTCTATTAGAAGTGTGAAAAAAGACTAATACAGTAAATTGGTACCAGTGTAGCGGGGTGTTGCTGAAAAGGTACCCAAAAATGTGGAAACAACTTTGGGCTTTGGAACTGGGTGACAGGCAGAGGTTGGAAAAGTTTGGAGGGCTCAGAAGAAGGCTTCTGTGGGAAAGCTTGGAACTTCCTAGGGACTTGTTGAATGGCTTTGCCCAAAATGCTGATAGCAATATGGACAATAAGGTCCAGGCTGAGATGGTCTCAGACGGAGATGAAGAACTTGTTGGAACTGGAGCAAAGGTGACTCTTGTTATGTTTTCACAGAGACTAGCAATATTTGTGGAAGTAGAGATTTGTGGAACTTTGAATTTAAGAGAGATGATTTAGGGTATCTGGAAGAATTTTCTAAGCAGGAAAATAATCAAGAGCTGACTTGAGTACTGTTAAAGTCATTTTGTTTTATAAGGGAAGCAGGGCATAAAAGTTTGGAAAATTTGCAGCCTGACTATGCAATAGAAAAGAAAAACCCATTTTCTGGGGAGAAATTCAAGCCAGCTGCAGAAATTTGCATAAGTAGCAAGGAGCCTAATATTAATCTCCAAGACCATGGGGAAAATGTCTCCAGGCCATGCCAGAGACCTTCAAGGCAGCCTCTCCCATCACAGGCCCTGAGGCCCAGGAGGAAAAAATGGTTTCGTGTGCTGGGTCCAGGGTCCCTGTGCTGTGTGCAGCCTAGGGACTTGGTGCCCTATGTCCCAGGTGCTTCAGCCATGGCTGAAAGGGGCCAATGTACAGCTCAGGCTGTGGCTTCAAGGGAAGCCTTGGCAGCTTCCATGTGGTGCTGAGCCTGTGGGTGCACAGAAGTCAAGAATTGGGGTTTGGGAACCTCCACCTAGATTTCAGAAGATGTATGGAAATGCCTGGATGTGCAGGCAAAAGTTTGCTGCAGGGGCTGGGCCCTCATGGAGAACCTCTGCTAGGGAAGTGCAGAAGGGAGGTGTGCAGTCAGATCCCCCACACAGAGTCCCTACTGGGTCACTGCCTAGTGGAGCTGTGAGAAGAGGGCCACCATCCTCCAGAACCCAGAATAGTAGATCCACTGACAGCTGTGTGCCTAAAAAAGCCACAGACATTCAACACCAGCCCATGAAAGCAGCTGGGAGGGAGGCTGTACCTTGCAAAGCTACAGGGATGGAGCCGCCCAAGGCCATGGGAACCCACCTCTCGCACCAGCATGACCTGGATGTGAGACCTAGAGTCAAGGGAGATCATTTTGCAACTTTAAAATTTGACAGCCTCGCCTGATTTCCGACGTGCATGGGCCCTGTAACCCTTTTGTTTTGGCCAATTTATCTCATTTGGAATGGCTATATTTACCCAATACCTGTACCCCCATTGTATCTAGGAAGTAACTAGCTTACTTTTGATTTTACAGCTCATAGACTGAAGGGACTTTCCTTGTCTCAGATGAGACTTTGCACTGTGGACTTTTGGGTCAATGTTGAAATGAGTTAAGACTTTCAGGAACTGTTGGAAAGGTGTGATTGATTTTGAAATGTGAGGGCATGAGATTTGGAGGGGCCAGGGGTGGAATAATATGGTTTGGCTCTGTGTCTCCACCGCAATCTCATCTTGAATTGTATCCCCCAGAATTCCTACGTGTTGTGGAAGGGACCCAGTGGGAGGTAATTGAATCATGGGGGCCAGTCTTTCCAGTGCTATTCTTATGATAGTGAATAAGTCTCATGAAATCTGATGGGTTTATCAGGAGTTTCTGCTTTTGCTTTTTCTCCACTTTCTCTTGCCACCACCATGTAAGAAGTAACTTTCACCTCCTGCCATGAATCTGAGGCATCCCTAGCCATGTGAAACTGTAAGTCCAATTAAACCTCTTTTTCTTCCCAGTCTCAGGTATGTCTTTATCAGCAGCATAAAAACAGACTAATACATACTCTTATAAAAATAAACTATAATATGTATTTATTTTAGAGTACACTCAGAGAGACTATATAACTCTATAACATATATGTATAAATGCATTATGTGGATTATAATATGAAATATTTATATATTAACATATGTAACATACTTATATTAAAATTGTATCAATATCACAATAGAAGATAAAGTATACTAATATTATTTTATATTGTTTTGTGTTTTATAAAATTCATAAATACAGAAAGATTAGAGAAATTATTTGAAGGTAGATCATGATACTTTAATGTCTAGAGTGACCATCAAAACAGGCAAAGAAATATAGCTTAGAAGTCACTACGGAAGACAACCAGGAATACTAATAAATTACCATTCAACAAAAAGAGAATAAGAACAGAGAACAAATAGGACAATTACATGTAAATGCATTATTGTAAATGAATTAAGCAGTTCAATTAAAAGACAAAGATGGTAGTATCAAAGAATAATACCAACCCAAATGTTATTTAAAAGAAGCATACTTTAAATACGAAAACATGTAATATAAAAGGGCAAAAGAAAACATATCATGCAAACCTAGAACGTTATAGCATGGCTTTAATAATATCAAATAAAGTAGACTTTAAGATGAAGAAAATTGCCAGAGATAAGGAGGAAAATGTTACAATAATACCAGAGAACAATTTATCTAAAAATTAAACAATCTAAAATGTATATGCCACTAACACCAGAGCTTCAAAATACATAAAGCAAAAATGGAAAAAACTAATTGAAAAAATGAAAGGTCAACAGTAACAGCTGGAAATTTTAGTATTCTTCTCACAGTAATTAATAGAACAAGTAGACAACAAAAATTCATTATGGACAGGGAAGACCTGAACAACCTTAATAATTGCCTTGAAACAATTGACATTTATAGAATACTCTATCCAATACTACCAAATACACATTTGTTACAAAAAGTACGTGTAACATTCCACAAAATAGGCCATGTATTAGGCCATAAAGCAAGTTTCACTATTAAAAGATTAAATTATACATATAATTTCTGACATAATATAATTAAATTAGAAATCAATACCAATCAGATATCCAGAATAGTCCCAAATATTTTAAAATAAAACACTATATGTCAAAATAATTCAAACACAAATGGAAAACTAGAACTATTTTGAACTAAATAGCTAAAGTCTAATATGGAGCTAAAATTTATGGAGCTAAAGTAGTTCATAGCAAAGCATCAGGGCACAGGCCGGCATCACACCTGCTATCTAATGCCAAAGGGAAATTTTCAAAAGTCACGAGGAAGAACAGTTATCATAACCCCTGGGCTCAAGCTATTTGTTTGGTTAAATAGAAACTTGTCAGTCTGTGGACTTTGACCTTTTGGATACTACTGATTGAAAATATTTACTCAAGCTGGGAGATACTGGTAGCCCACAGAAAGAGAGTTGGCGTTGGCTGGGCTCCTTGGGGTTGTTATTAATGCAGCTGCTCTCAACAAAGCCACTTCATGTGTGTGGCCCTGATCCAGACCCTACCTAGCTCCTTTCATTACTTCCTTCATTCTCCCTTTCTCCATCCTCAGCCTAGAGAATTTTAAATTCTGGATGACAGGGAAGCCTTGCTCTTTAGATAATTTCCATAATCCTAAAGAATTTTTCAGGGATAGAATCTTTTAGTTCTGCTTGTTGTTGTTATACTACTTTACTGAAGCAAAGGAAACAGCTGACAGAATTGGCTTGGGAGACTGAAAGGAAATGTCAAACCAACTTTCTTACTTAGGGTTCTCTAAATTAGACATCATGATTTTAACCACTGTATTAGTCAAGATGGCATAGGATATGCTGTAGTAACTCTCAAAAACTAAATGTTAATATCTGAACCTAGCAACAGTTTATTTCTCACTCAGCCTATTATAGATTAGGCAGATGTTCTCTATGAAATGATTCAGTGAACATCTATGTTCATAAGAAATATTTGTCTGCAGTTTTAATGTCTTTAATTTTGATCTTAGGGTAATGCTAGCCTCATAGAATGGGTTGGGAAGTGTTCTCTCTGCATCTATTTTCTGGATGAGATTACAGAGAATTGGTCTAAATTATTTGTTAAATGTTCAGTAGGATTCTCTAGTGAAAAAAAAAGTGGGACTGTTGATTTTTTTGGATGAGCATTAGTTCTTGATTTAATATTTTTAATAGATATAGTCCTACTCAGATTATCTACTCTTTTCTGAATTTTGGTACCATGTGATCTTTAAAAATATGTTTATTTAATATAAATTATCACATTTGTTGGTATACAATTGTTTGTTGCATTATTTTATTGTCCCATTAATATTAATGGGATTAGTAATAACACCTTTTATTTTTAATATTTATAAGCTTATCTTTTTTCTTGGTTACTGTGAATAAAGTTTCATCAATTTTGTTGACATTTTCAAAGAGATAGCCTTTAAAAAATTTAATCGTGGTAAAACACACATAACTTACAATGTACCCTCTTAAGGACTTTTAAATACACAATTTAGTGTCATTAAGTACATTTACATTGTTGTACAACCATCACCACCATCCATCTCTGGAATTATTTTTGTTTTGCAGAACTGAAACTCTATATCCATTAAACAATAACTACATTCATTCCTGTCCCCCATTCCTGGCAAACACCATTCCACTTTCTGTCTCTATGAATTTGACTACTCATGTAGGTGGAATCACACCTAATAGGACTGGTAACATTCAACAAAATAGGCCATGTATTAGGCCATAAAGCAAATTTCACTATTAAAGTATTTCATTATATGTATATACCATGTTTATCCATTCATCTGCTGATGGACATTTAAGTAGATTATAGCTTTTGACTACTGTGAATAAAGCTGCTATGAGTAAGGGTGTAAATATCACTTTCAGACCCTGCTTTCAATTCTGGTATATAACCAGAAGTGACATTGCCAGATCATATGGTAATTATATGTTTAATTTTTCTGAAAAAAAATTGCCATACTATTTTCCATACTAGCTGCACTGCTTTACATTCCCACCAACAGTACTCAAGGGTTTTGATTTCTACGCATCATTACCAACACTTGTTATTTTCTAGGTTTTGTGTAGTAGCCATCCTAATGGGTATGGAGTTGGAATCTTGTTGTTTTGATATGCATTTTCCTAATGTTTAGTGATGCTGAGCAACTTTTCAGGTAATAATTGGCTATTTGTATATCTTTTTTGGAGAAGTGTCTGTTTACCTAAGTCCTTTGCCCTATTTCCAGTCATGCTGTTATGTGTTTTCATTGTTGTTGAGTTGCGGGAGATTTTTCTTTTTTTTTTCGGGGGGTAGACTGAGTTTCGCTCTCGTTGCCCAGGCTGGAATGCAACCGCAGGATCTCGGCTCACCACAACCTCCACCTCCCAGGTTCAAGCAATTCTCCTGCCTCAGCCTTCCAAGTAGCTGGGATTACAGGCATGAGCCATCATGCCTGTCTAATTTTGTATTTTCAGTAGAGATGGGGTTTCTCCATGTTGGTCAGGCTGGTCTCGAACTCCTGACCTCAGGTGATCCACCATCTCGGCTTCCCAAAGTGCTGGGATTACAGGCGTGAGCCACTGTGCCCAGCTGAGTTACAGGAGTTCTAAAAATGTATTGTGGATACTAACCCTTCATCCTATATATTATTTTCAAATATTATCTTCCATTATATGGGTTGTTTTTTATTCTGTTGATTGTATATTTTGATTAAATTTTTATTTAGTCTATCCATTCTTTTCTTATATCACATTTGCTTTGGGTATCATATCCAAGATATTATTGCCAAGTCCAATGTCAGTTTTTTTCCTACATGTTCTCATGGAGTTTTATAGTTTTAGATTTTACATTCAGGTTCTTGATCCATTTTGTACATGGCATAAATTGAGGATTCAACTTCATTTTTTAAAAATATGGATATCCAGTTTTTCCAGTACCATTTGTCAAAGAGACTCCTTTCTCCATTGAACACCCTTGGCACTCTTGTGAAAAATGACTTAACCATATGTTAGAGGTTTTATTTTGAGGTTCTGTATTCTAATTCACTGGTCTATACATCTGTCTTTATGCCAGTACCACACTGTTTTGATTACTGTAGCTTTGTAATAAGTTTGTAAATCAGAAAATGTGAAACATAACTTTTTTTTTTCAAGATTGTTTTGGTTTACAGGGTTCCTTGTATTTCCCTATGAATTTCAGAATCAATTTTTCTATTTCTGAAAAAAATACCATTAGAACTGTCATAGAGATGGCATTGAATCTATATTACTTTGTGTGCTATTGATATCTTAACAGTATTAAGTTTTCTAATACATGAACATAGATGAATTTCAATTATTTGTGTCATCTTTAATTTCTTTCAGAAGAGTTTTGCAGTTTTCAGTGTAAAGTCTTTTGCCTCCTCCGTTAAGTTTATTCTTAGATATTTTATTCTTTCTGATGGTAGCATAATTGGAATTATTGTCTTAATTTTCTTTTTTGATTGTCTATTGTTAGTTCATGGAAACATAACTAACTTTGTGTGCTGCTTTTTATCCTACAGCTTTACTGAATTTATTAGTTTTAACAGTTTGGGGGTTCTTTTGTGGAATCTTTAGGGTTTTCTACATATAAGATAATGTCATCTGTGAACAGACATAATTTAAGGATGCCTTTTCTTATCCTTACCCAATTGCTCAGGCTAGGACTTTCAGGGTTATGTTGAATAGAAGTATCAGAAGCAGGTATCTTGGTCTTGCTTCTGATATCAGAGAAAAAACTTCTACCCTTTCACTATTGAGTATGATATTAACTGTGTGCTTTTCATATAGAATATTTATTATGTTGAGGTAATTTCCTCCTATTTCTTTTTTTTAATTATTATTATACTTCAAGTTTTAGGATACATGTGCACAATGTCCAGGTTTGTTACATATGTATACATGGGCCATGTTGGTGTGCTGCACCCATTAACTCGTCATTTAGCATTAGGTATATCTCCTAATGCTATCCCTCCCCCCTCCCCACACCCCACAACAGGCCCCAGTGTGTGATGTTCCCCTTCCTGTGTCCATGTGTTCTCATTGTTCGATTCCCACCTATGAGTGAGGACATGCAGTGTTTGTTTTTTTGTCTTTGCGATAGTTTGCTGAGAGTGATGGTTTCCAGCTTCATCCATGTCCCTACAAAGGACATGAACTCATCATTTTTTATGCCTGCATAGTATTCCATGGTGTATATGTGCCACATTTTCTAAATCCAGTCTGTCATTGTTGGACATTTGGGTTGGTTCCAAGTCTTGGCTATTGTGAATAGTGCTGCAATAAACATATGTGTGCATGTGTTTTAAAGAGCATGATTTATAATCCTTTGGGTATATATCCAGTAATGGGATGGCTGGGTCAAATGACATTTCTAGTTCTAGATCCCTGAGGAATTGCCACACTGACTTCCACAATGGTTGAACTAGTTTACAGTCCCACCAACAGTGTAAAAGTGTTCCTATTTCTCCACATCCTCTCCAGCACCTGTTGTTTCCTGACTTTTTAATGATTGCCATTCTAACTGGTGTGAGATGGTATCACATTGTGGTTTTGATTTGCATTTCTCTGACAGCCAGTGATGATGAGCATTTTTTCATGTGTTGTTTGGCTACATAAACGTCTTCTTTTGAGAAGTGTCTGCTCATATCCTTCACCCACTTTTTGATAGGGTTGTTTGTTTTTTCCTTGTAAATTTGTTTGAGTTCATTTTAGATTCTGGATATTAGCCCTTTGTCAGATGAGTAGGTTGCAAAAATTTTCTCCCATTCTGTAGGCTGCCTGTTCACTCTGATGGCAGTTTCTTTTGCTGTGCAGAAGCTCTTTAGTTTAATTAGATCCCATTTGTCAATTTTGGCTTTTGTTGCCATTGCTTTAGGTGTTTTAGGCATGAAGTCCTTGCCCATGCCTATGTCCTGAATGGTATTGCCTAGGTATTCTTCCAGGGCTTTTATGGTTTTAGGTCTAACATGTAAGTCTTTAATCCATCTTGAATTAATTTTTGTATAAGGTGTAAGGAAGGGATCCAGTTTCAGCTTTCTACATATGGCTAGCCTGTTTTCCCAGCTCCATTTATTAAATAGGGAATCCTTTCCCCATTGCTTGTTTTCGTCAGGTTTGTCAAAGATCAGATAGTTGTAGATATGCGGCATTATTTCTGAGGGCTCTGCTCTGTTCCATTGGTCTATATCTCTGTTTTGGTACCAGTACCATGGTGTTTTGGTTACTGTAGCCTTGTAGTATAGTTTGAAGTCAGGTAGTGTGATGCCTCCAGCTTTGTTCTTTTGGCTTAGGATTGACTTGGCAATGTGGGCTCTTTTTTGGTTCCACATGAACTTTAAAGTAGTTTTTTCCAATTCTGTGAAGAAAGTCATTGGTAGCTTGATGGGGATGGCATTGAATCTATAAATTACCTTGGGCAGTATGGCCATTTTCATGATATTGATTCTTCCTATCCATGAGCATGGAATGTTCTTCCTTTTGTTTGTATCCTCTTTTATTTCATTGAGCAGTGGTTTGTAGTTCTCCTTGAAGAAGTCCTTCACGTCCCTTGTAAGTTGGATTCCTAGGTATTTTATTCTCTTTGAAGCAATTGTGAATGGGAGTTCACTCATG
This sequence comes from Homo sapiens, assembly GCF_000001405.40. Classification (NCBI taxonomy): domain Eukaryota; kingdom Metazoa; phylum Chordata; class Mammalia; order Primates; family Hominidae; genus Homo; species Homo sapiens. Next base: position 64,959,929 of record NC_000008.11, on the reverse strand, counting down.
ATTTGGCTCTCTGTTTGTCTGTTATTGTTGTATAAGAATGCTTATGATTTTTGCACATTGATTTTGTACCCTGAGACTTTGCTGAAGTTGCTTATCACCTTAAGGAGATTTTGGGCTGAGACGATGGGGTTTTCTAGATATACAATCATGTCATCTGCAAACAGGGACAATTTGACTTCCTCTTTTCCTAATTGAATGCCCTTTATTTCCTTCTCCTGCCTGATTGCCCTGGCCAGAACTTCCAACACTATGTTGAATAGGAGTGGTGAGAGAGGGCATCCCTGTGTTGTGCCAGTTTTCAAAGGGAATGCTTCCAGTGTTTGTCCATTCAGTATGATATTGGCTGTGGGTTTGTCATAGATAGCTCTTATTATTTTGAGATACGTCCCATCAATACCTAATTTATTGAGAGTTTTTAGAATGAAGGGTTGTTGAATTTTGTCAAAGGCCTTTTCTGCATCTATTGAGATAATCACATGGTTTTTGTCTTTGGTTCTGTTTATATGCTGGATTATGTTTATTGATTTTCATATGTTGAACCAGCCTTGCATCCCAGGGATGAAGCCCACTTGATCATGGTGGATAAGCTTTTTGATGTGTTGCTGGATTCGGTTTGCTAGTATTTTATTGAGGATTTTTGCATCAATATTCATCAAGGATATTGGTCTAAAATTCTTTTTTTTTGTTGTGTCTCTGCCAGGCTTTGGTATCAGGATGATGCTGGCCTCATAAAATGAGTTAAGGAGGATTCCCTCTTTTTCTATTTATTGGAATAGTTTCAGAAGGAATGGTACCAGCTCCTCCTTGTACCTCTGGTGGAATTTGGCTGTGAATCCATCTGGTCCTGGACTTTTTTTGGTTGGTAAACTATTAATTATTGCCTCGTTTTCAGAGCCTGTTATTGGTCTATTCAGAGATTCAACTTCTTCCTGGTTTAGTCTTGGGAGGTTGTATGTTTCAAGGAATTTATCCGTTTCTTCTAGATTTTCTAGTTTATTTGCATAGAGGTGTTTATAGTATTCTCTGATGGTAGTTTGTATTTCTGTGGGATGGGTGGTGATCTCCCCTTTGTCACTTTTTATTGCATCTATTTGATCTTCTCTCTTTTCTTCTTTGTTAGTCTTGATAGCGGTCTATCAATTTTGTTGATCTTTTCAAAAATCCAGCTCCTGGATTCATTGATTTTTTGAAGGGTTTTTTTGTATCTCTATTTCCTTCAGTTCTGCTCTGATCTTAGTTATTTCTTGCCTTCTGCTAGCTTTTGAATGTGTTTGCTCTTGCTTCTCTAGTTCTTTTAATTGTGATGTTAGGGTGTCAATTTTAGTTCTTTCCTGCTTTCTCTTGTGGGCATTTAGTGCTGAAAATTTTCCTCTACACACTGCTTTGAATGTGTCCCAGAGATTCTGGTATGTTGTGTCTTTGTTCTCGTTGGATTCAAAGAACATCTTTATTTCTGCCTTCATTTCATTATGTACCCACTAGTCATTCAGGAGCAGGTTGTTCAGTTTCCATGTAGTTGAGTGGTTTGAGGTGAGTTTCTTAATCCTGAGTTCTAGTTTGATTGCACTGTGGTCTGAGAGACAGTTTGTTGTAATTTCTGTTCTTTTACATTTGCTGAGGAGTGTTTTACTTCCAACTACGTGGTCATTTTTGGAATAGGTGTGGTGTGGTGCTGAAAAGAATGTATATTCTGTTGATTTGGGGTGGAGAGTTCTGTAGATGTCTATTAGTTCCGCTTGGTGCAGAGCTGAGTTCAAGTCCTGGATATCCTTGTTAACTTTCTGTCTCGTTGATCTGTCTAATGTTGACAGTGGGGTGTTAAAGTCTCCCATTATTATTTTGTGGGAGTCTAAGTCTCTTTGTAGGTCTCTAAGGACTTGCTTTATGAATCTGGCTGCTCCTGTATTGGGTGCATATATATTTAGGATAGTTAGTTCATCTTGTTGAATTGATCAATTTACCATTATGTAATGCCCTTGTTTGTCTCTTTTGATCTTTGTTGGCTTAAAGTTTGTTTTATCAGAGACTAGGAATGCAACCCCTGCCTTTTTTTGTTTTCCATTTGCTTGGTAGATCTTCCTCCATCCCTTTATTTTGAGCCTATGTGTGTCTCTGCAGGTGAGATGGGTTTCCTGAATACAGCACACTGATGGGTCTTGAATCTTTATCCAATTTGCCAGTCTGTGCCTTTTAATTGGAGCATTTAGTCCATTTACATTTAAGGTTAGTATTGTTATGTGTGAATTTGATCCTGTCATTATGATGTTAGCTGGTTATTTTGCTCATTAGTTGATGCAGTCTCTTCCTAGCCTTGAAGGTCTTTACAATTTGGCATGTTTTTGCAGTGGCTGGTACCGGTTGTTCCTTTCCATGTTTAGTGCTTCCTTCAGGAGCTCTTTTAGGGCAGGCCTGGTGGTGACAAAATCTCTCAGCATTTGCTTGTGTGTAAAGTATTTTATTTCTCCTTCACTTATGAAGCTTAGTTTGGCTGGATATGAAATTCTGGGTTGAAAATTATTTTCTTTAAGAATGTTGAATATCGGCCCCCACTCTCTTCTGGCTTGTAGAGTTTCTGCCAAGAGATCAGCTGTTAGTCTGATGGGCTTCCCTTTGTGGGTAACCCGACCTTTCTCTCTGGCTGCCCTTAACACTTTTTCCTTCATTTCAACTTTGGTGAATCTGACAATTATGTGTCTTGGAGTTGCTCTTCTCGAGGAGTATCTTTGTGGCATTATCTGTGCTTCCTGAATTTGAATGTTGGCCTGCCTTGCTAGATTGGGGAAGTTCTCCTGGATAATATCCTGCAGAGAGTCTTCCAACTTGGTTCCTTTCTCCGTGTCACTTTCGGGTACACTAGTGAGACGTAGATTTGGTCTTTTCACATAGTCCCATATTTCTTGGAGGCTTTGTTCATTTCTTTTTATTCTTTTTTCTCTAAACTTCTCTTCACGCTTCATTTCATTCATTTCGTCTTCCGTTGCTGATACCCTTTCTTCCAGTTGATCGCAACAGTTACTGAGGCTTGTGCATTCGTCACGTAGTTCTGGTGCCTTGGTTTTCAGCTGCATCAGGTCCTTTAAGGACTTCTCTGCATTGGTTATTCTAGTTATCCATTCATCTAATCTTTTTTCAAAGTTTTTAACTTCTTTGCCATTGGTTTGAACTTCCTCCTTTAGCTTGGAGTAGTTTGATCTTCTGAAGCCTTTCTCTCTCAACTCGTCAATGTCATTCTCTGTCCAGCTTTGTTCCATTGCTGGTGAGGAGCTGTGTTCCTTTGGAGGAGGAGAGGCGCTCTGATTTTTAGAGTTTCCGGTTTTTCTGCTCTGTTTTTTCCCCATCTTTGTGGTTTTACCTACCTTCGGTCTTTGATGATGGTGACGTACAGATGGGTTTTTGGTGTGGATGTCCTTTCTGTTTGTTAGTTTTCCTTCTAACAGTCAGGACCCTCAGCTGAAGGTCTGTTGGAATTTACTGGAGGTCCATTCCAGACCCTGTTTGCCTGGGTGTCAGCAGTGGTGGCTGCAGAACAGCAGATATTGGTGAACCGCAAATGGTGCTGCCTGATCATTCCTCTGGAAGTTTTGTCTCAGAGGAGTACCTGGCCGTGTGAGGTGTCAGTCTGCCCCTACTGGGGGATGCCTCCCAGTTAGGCTACTTGGGGGTCAGGGACCCACTTGAGGAGGCAGTCTGCCCGTTCTCAGATCTCAACTGCATGCTGGGAGAACCACTACTCTCTTCAAAGCTGTCAGACAGGGACATTTAAGACTGCAGAGGTTATTGCTTTCTTTTGTTTGTCTGTGCCCTGCCCCCAGAGGTGGAGCCTACAGAGGCAGGCAGGCCTCCTTGAGCTGTGGTGGGCTCCCCCCAGTTCGAGCTTCCTGGCCGCTTTGTTTACCTACTCAAGCCTGAGCAATGGCGGGCGCCCCTCCCCCAGCCTTGCAGTTTGATCTCAGACTGCTGTGCTAGCAATGAGCGAGGCTCTGTGGGCATAGGACCCTCCAAGCCAGGTGTGGGATATAATCTCCTGGTGTGCCGTTTGTTAAGCCCGTTGGAAGAGCGCAGTATTAGGGTGGGAGTGACCTGATTTTCCAGGTGCCCTCTGTCATCACTTTCTTTGACTAGGAAACGGAATTTCCTGACCCCTTGCACTTCCTGGGTGAGGCGATGCCTCGCCCTGCTTTGGCTCACACACGGTGCACTGCACCCACTGTCCTGCACCTGCTGTCCAGCACTCCCCCGTGATATGAACCCGGTACCTCAGTTGGAAATGCAGAAATCACCCATCTTCTGCATCGCTCACGCTGGGAGCTATAGACTGGAGCTGTTCCTATTCGGCTATCTTGGCTCAGTTTCCTCCTATTTCTGGTGTGAAGTGTTTTTATCATGAAAGAGAGTTACATTTTGTCAGATGTATTTTCTACATTTCTCAGTGTATCAATTGAGATGATCATGTGGGGTTTTCTTTGCCTTCATTCTCCTAATGTAATTTATTACATTGATTAATTTTTATATGTTAAAGCATCCTTCCATACCATGAATAGATAACAGTTATTAATGGTATATGATACTTTTAATGTGATGCTGAATTCTGTGAGTATTATTTGAGGTTATTTCATCAATATTCGTAGGTGTTATTGGTCTGCAGTTTTATTTTCTTGCAGGGTCTTTGGCTTTTGTATCAGGGTAATATTGGCCTCATAGAATAAGTTGGAAAATATTTCCTCATCATCAATTTCTTGAAAGACTTTGAGGAGTGAGGAGGACTTGTGTAAATTCTTCATTAAATGATTGCTAACATTTATAGTGAAGTCATCTGGTCCTGGCTTTTATTTGTTAGGAGGTTTTTGATTACTGACTCAATCTCCTTTACTAGTTTTAAGTCTGTTCAGACTTTTTCTTTATTCGTGGTTCAGTGTTGATAGGTTATATGTTTCATGGAATTTGTCAATTTCATCTAGGTTTCCCAATTTGTTGGTCAACAATTGTTCACAATAGTCTCTTATAATCCTTGTTTCCCTTTATAAAACCAGTATTAATGGGTCCTTTTTCATTTCTGATCTTATTTGTGTCTTTTTTTCTTAATTGATCTAGCTAAAAGTTAGCCAATTTTGTTTATGGTTTTGAAGAACTAAGTCTGGTTTCATTAATTATCTGTACTATTTTTCTATTCTCTATTGGCCTGTACTCTAATCTTTATTATTTTCTTCTTCCTGCTACCTTTGGGTTTAAGTTTGCTCTTCTTTATCTAGTTCCTTAAAATGTAAATTTACATTGCAATTTGGGATCTTTCTTCTTATTAAATGTAAGTATTGCATCTATAAATTTTCCTATTAGCACTGCTTTCTCTAAATTCCATAAGTATTGGTATATTGTATTTACATTTTCATTTGTCTTAAGATATTTTTAAATTTCTCATAATTGTTTTTACCCACTGGTTTTTTGAAAGTATATTGTTTAATTTCCACCTGTTTATGGGGTTTTCAGTTTTCCTTCTGCTATTGATTTTTATTTTGATTGCATCGTGATCAGAATAATACTTTGATTGATTTCAGCTTTCAAAAATTTATCTGGACTTGTTCATCACCTAACTTATGGTCTCCCTGGAGAATCTTCCACGTGCACTTGAGAAAAAGGTATATTTTGCTGCTGCTGTGTAGAGTGTTCCGTATATATCTGTTACTTCCAATTAATCTATACAGTTGTCCTGTATTTTTATATTGATCATTCTGGTTGTGATATTCATTATCAAATCTAGGGTACTGAACTCTTCTACGATTACTGTGGAACTGTCTATTTCCCCTTCCAATTCTTTTTTTTTTTTTTTTTTAAGATGGAGTCTCTTTCTGTAGCTGGGCTGGAGTGCAGTGGTGCAGTCTCAGCTTACTGCAACCTCTGCCTCCTGCATTCCAGTGATTCTCCTGCCTCAGCCTCCCGAGTAGCTGGGACTACAGGCACATGCCACCACGCCCAGCTAATTTTTGTATTTTTAGTAGAGACAGGGTTTCACCATGTTGGCCAGGCTGGCCTCGATCTCTTGACCTCATGATCTGTCCACCTCAGCCTCCCAAAGTGCTGGGATTACAGGTGTGAGCCACCGTGCCCAGCCTTCCCCTTCCAATTCTGTTAGTGTTTGCTTTATGTATTTAAGAGCTCTGATATTTGGTGCATGTATGTTTATAATTTTTTCATTCTATTACATCCTGTTTTTCCTTCTAACAGTTTCCACTTGAAGTCTATTTTTCTGATATAGCCACTCATGCTCTCATTCCATGAAATATTTTTTAATCTTTTTGCTTTAAATCTGCTTGTGTCCTTAGGTCTAAACTGAGTCTTTTATAGACATCATGTAGTTGGATCCTGTTTTTATAATCCATTCTGCCAATCGGTAACTTTTGATTGGGGATTATAATCAATTTATAGTTAAATTAGGTAACTTAAAGACAAGGACCTACAAATTTCACTTTTATTGTTTTCTCAATGTCTTATACCTTTTCGTCAGCTTATAACTTCCATTACTGTTTTTGTTTTAAAGTCAGTGTTTAGTGCGTGTTGGGGTCTTTCATTAATTTTGAAAATTTTTCAACTACTATATTTTTCAGTATTAGTTCTGACTCTTTTACCTTTCTCCTTCAAGCTCACAATTATATAAGTGTTAGATCTTTTTCACTGTTTTATATGTCACTTACGTTTTAGTTCTTTCTTCAACTGTCATATCTGCTGTTAGACTAATTACTACATTCTTAACTTTCATTATTGCATTTCAGTTCTAGAATTCCTTTTTTTTTATTTTTTCAGATAGAGTCTTGCTCTGTCACCCATGCTGGAGTGCAGTGGCATGATCTCAGCTCACTGCAACCTTTGACTCCCGGATTCAAGTGATTCTCCTGTCTCAGCCTCCTGAGTAGCTGAGATTACAGGTGCCCACCACCAAGCCCAGCTAATTTTTATATTTTTAGTAGAGATGGGGTTTCCTCATGTTGGCCAGGCTGGTCTCGAGCTTCTGACCTCAGGTGATCTGCCTGCCTCAGCCTCCCAAAGTGCTGGGATTACAAGCATGAGCCACCACGCCTGGCCTAATTATTTTTATATAATTTCCTATTTTCTGCTTATTTGCTTATCCATTTTTCCATTATCTCTGGGTTTTTCTTTCTTGTGGGCTTTTTTCCCTTCATAATTTTGTCTTATGTCTCTCAATATTTTGGCTTGAGTTGGATTTTGTATATTAAAAGGTTTTAGTAATAATTGGAAGCTTTGTGTCTTCCTCTTCAGGGGGTGTAATTATTTTTTTTTAAATAGGCTTTATTTTTATAACAGTTTATTTTTTTGAAGTGTGTAAGGTCTCTGTCTAGAGTCACTATTTTATATCTGGATAACTGTTTGTTCCTGTGTCATTGAAAAGACTATTTAAAAAAAAAACTGTATTGTCTTTGCTTGTCTGTCAAAGATCAGTTGTGGGTCTATTTGTGTGAGACCATCTCCTGGTTTTCCATTCTGTTCCATTTATTTATCTATTCTTTCACTAATGCCACACTGTCTTAATTATCATACTGTCTTAATTAACTAACTTCATAAGTCTTGAAGTCAGGTAATGTCTTCCAATTTTGCTCTCCTTCAATATTATGTGGGCTATACTGGTACTTTTGCTTCTCTATATAAACTTTAGGATCAGTTTGGTAATATCCACAAAGTAACTTTCTGAGATTAAATTAAGTCTATAAATAAAGTTGGGAAGACAGTTCTTCTTTTGACAATATTGAGTCTTCCCTATTCATTAACATGAAATATCTCTCCATTTATATTTTTCTTTGATTTAATCAGGGTTATATAATTTTCCTCATCTAAATCTTATATCTATTTTGTGAGATTTATACCTAAGTATTTTATTTTTGAAGGATCCTAATGTAAAGGGTATTATATTTTTAACTTCAAATTCCAGCATTCATTGCTCATATATAGGAAAGAGATTGACTTTTTAATATTGGTCTTATATTTTACAGCATTGTTATAATTATTTATGAATTCCAGGAGATTTTTGTTGTTCTTGATTTTGTCAGATTTTCTACGTAGATAGTCATTTAATACCCAACAAAGACAGTTTTAGTTTTTACTTTTTAATTGCATATATTTTATTTCATTTTTCTTGTTTCATTTTATTGGTTATGACTTTCAGTATAGAGCTTCCAGTGTAACTTGACAGAAGTAGTGAGAGGAGACTTCCTTGCCTTGTTCCTGATCTTAGTGAGACAGTTTTTAGCTTTTTGCTTTATAGCTTTTGTGTCCTCCATTTCCTCCCTTAATGTTTTCCTTTGTGTTTAGTAATATTTTTCTAGTGACATGTTCTTTTCTCATTTCCTTTTGTTTATATTTATAGATATTTTATTTGTGGCTACCATGAGTGTTATATATAATATCCTAAAGTTACAAAAATCTATTTTAAACAAATACCAACTTAACTTCAATCACATACAAAAACTATTTCTCTACAGCTCCCTCCTACTTTGTTATTGATGTTACACATTACATCTTTATATATTGCATATTCATTAACATAGATTTATAACTATTTTTATGATTTTGTCTTTTAAATCCTATAAAACAAAAGGTAACATTATGAATGAAAATTACAATAGTATACGTTTTTATATTTGTTCATGTACTTACCTTTACTGGATAACTATATCTTTATGTGGCCTTGAGTTACTGTCTAGCATCTTTTCATTTCAACTTGAAGAAGTCTAGAATTTCTCATAGGTCAGGTCTAGTGGTAATGAACTCCCTCAGGTTTTATCTGAAAATGGGATAATTGTCCTCATTTTTAAAATGATAGTTTTGCCTTATATATAATTTATGGCTGACCATTTTTTTCTTTCTCCTCTTTATATCATCTCACTACATTCTAGCCTGCAAGATTCCTGCCAAGAAATCCACAGATAGTCTTATTAAGAATCTATTGTACATGTTGAATAACTTGTCTCTTACTGCTTTTAATATTCTCTGTCTTTGACTTTTAATCGTTTGATTATAATGTGTTTCAATGTGGGTGCCTGATATGGTTTGGTTCTGTGTCCCCACCCAAATCTCATGTTGAATTGTAATCCCCAGTGTTACAGGTGTGGCCTGGTTGGAGGTGATTGTATCATGGGAGTGGAGTTCTCTTAAATCGTTTACCACCATCCCTTTGGTGCTGTTCTCGTGATAGAGTTCTTACAAGATCTGGTTGCTTATAAGTGTGTGGTACCTCCACCCTCTCTCTCTTCCTTTTGCTTTGGCCACGTAAGATGGGCCCATTTCCCCTGCCACCATGATTGTAAATTTCCTGAGGCCTCCACAGAAGCAGATGCTGCTATACTTTCTGTACAGCCTGCAGAACCGTGAGCCAATTAAACTTCTTCTCTTTATAAATTACCCAGAGTCAGGTATTTCTTTATTGCAGTGCAAGAACAGGCTAATACAGAAAATTGGTACCAAGGATTGAGGCATTGCTATAAAGATACCTGAAAAAGTGAAGGCAACTTTGGAACTGGGTAATCAGCAGAGGTTGGAAGAATGTGGAGGGCTCAGAAGAAGACAGAAAGATGAGGGAAAATGTGGAACTTCCTAGAGACTTAAGTTGTTGTGACCAAAATGCTGATAGTGATATGGAAAATGAAGTCCAGGCTGAGGAGGTCTGAAATAGAAATGAGGAACTTATTGGGAACTGGATCAAAGGCCACTTTTGTTATGCATTAGCAAAGATATTTGCTGCATTGTGCCCCTGTCATAGAGATCTGTGGGACTCAACTTGAGAGTGATGATTTAGGGTATCTGGTGGAAGAAATTTCTAAGCAGCAAAGTATTCAAGATGTAGATTCGTTGCTTCTAATGTCCTATGCTTATAAGCAGGAGCAAAGAAATGATCTGCAACAAAAACTTACATTTAAAAGAGAAGTAGAGCATAAAAGTTTGGAAAACTTGCAGCCCAGCCATATGGTAGAAAAGAAAAGTCCATTTTCAACAGAGGGGAGTTAAGCAGGCTGCAGAAACTTGCATTAGACAAAAAGGAGCCAAGTGTTAACATCCAAGACAATGGGGAAAATGCCTTGAAGGCATTTTAGAAACTTTCACAGCAGCCCCTCCCATCACAGGCCCAGAGGGAGGGAAGAATTGCTTCATAGGCCTGTTTCAGGGCCCCACCACCCTGTACAACCTCAGGACACTGCTCCCTGTATCCCAGCTACTCCAGCTCTACCCTTCACTCAAAGGGGCCCAAGTACAGCTCAGACCACTGCTTCAGAGGGTGCAATTGTAAACCTTGGTGGCTTCCATGTGGTGTTAAGCCAGCAGGTGTGCAGAGTGCAAGAGTGGAGGCTTGGGAGCCTCTGCCTAGGTTTCAGAGCGTGTATGGCAAAGCCTGGATGTCCAGGAAGAAGCCTAATACATGGTTAGAGCCCTCATGGAGAAACTCTACTAGGGAAGTGAGGAGGGAAATGTGGGGTTGGAGCCCCCACAGAGAGTCCCCACTGGAGGACTACCTAGTGGAACTGTGTGACGAGGGCTACTGTCCTCCAGAACCTGGAACAGTAGAGCCACCAACAGCTTGCACCATGCACAAGGAAAAGTCACAAGCACTCAACATCAGCCTATGAGAGCATCCATGGGGGCTGAACCCTGAAAAAGCACAGGGGTGCAGCTGCCCAATGCCTTGGGTGTCCACCCCTCACACCAGTGTGTCCTGGATGTGGACATGGAGTCAAAGGAAATTATTTGGGAGCTTTAAGTTTTAATGACTGCCATTCCAGGTTTCAGACTTTCATGGGGCCTGTAGCCCCTTTCTTTTGACCAATTTCTCCCTTTGGAACAGTAAGTAGTATTTACCCAATGCCTATACCTCCATTGTATCTTGGAGGTAACTAACTCCTTTTTTATTTTACAGGCTCATAGGTGGAAGGGACTAGCCTTGCCTCAGATGAGACTTTGTACTTTTGAGTTAATGTCGGAGTGAGTTAAGACTTTGGGGGACTGTTAGGAAGGCATAATTGCACTTTACAATGTGAGATGGACATGAGATTTGGGAGGGGCCAGGGTGGAATAATGTGGTTTGGATCTGTGTCCCCACCCAAATTTCATGTTTAATTAGAATCCCCAATGTTGGAGGTGGGGCCTGGTGTGAGGTGATTAGATCATGGGGATAGATCCTTCATGAATGATTTAGCACCATCCCTTTGGTGCTATTCTCATGATACAGTTCTCAAGATCTTGTTGTTTAAAAGTGTCTGTCGCCTCCCCCAGCTCTGTGTTTTTTCTGCTCCTGACAAGTAAGACGTGCCTCCTTCCCCTTCCACCATGATTCTAAGTTTCCTGAGGCTTCCCTAGAAGCAGAAGCCTGCACAGCCTGCAGAAACTTGAGCCAATTAAACCTCTTTTTTAAATAAATTACCTAGTCTCAGGTATTTCTTTATAGCAGTGTAAGAACAGACTAATACAGTGCCTTTGGGTTTATCCTACTTGAAGTTCATGGAGCATCTTGTTTTTTGTATATCCGTGTGCTTTCTCAAATTTGGAAGGGTTTTCAGCCATTGTTTCTTCAACTGTGTTCTTTGCCCTTTCTCTCTCTTTTCCCCTGAAAATATTATAATTTGCATATTGATTCACTTGATGTTCTTCTACAAGTCTTTTAGGCTCTGCTATTCTTTTTCATTATTATTTTTCTTTTTTCTCCTCAGATACAATAATTTCAAATAACCTGTCTTCAGTTTGCTGATTCTCTTTTTGCCTGTTCTAGTCTCCTATTGCCTGTTCTAGTCTCCTATTGCCTCTTTTTGCCTGTTCTAGTCTCCCATGGAACTCTTCTAGTGAATTTTTTAACTCAATTAGTGTATCTTTTAGCTCTAGGATTTCTGTTCTTTTGATTTTTATAATTTTTATTTCCTTATTGATATTCTCATTTTGTTCATATGTCATTTGTCTAATTTCCTTAGTTCTGTTTTTCTCTAATTTCTGGAGCATATTTAAGATTGTTGTTTTAAAATTTTCATCTAGTAAGTCTGAAGCCGTGTTTCTTTAGAGTCATTTTCTTGAGATATATTTTGGTCCTTTGAACAGAACAAATTGTTCTGTTTCTTTGTATGCCTTGTGATCCGTTGTTAAAAATGGGGCATATGAAAAAGTAGTTACCTTCCTCATTTTGGTAGACTGGCTCCATGCAGGGAAGAGCTTCCCTAATTAGATAAGCATGAAGGCTAAGGTCTTCTCAAGCCTTCCTAGGCATGCTTTCTCCTTCCAATTATATCATATACACAGCTTATTTTAAATGTTTTAATATCCCTAATCATCTCACTTCTGCTGCTTCAAATGGTTTTAGATGTTTTGCTTTATTCCTCTACTCATAGTGTCTTGCTCCAAGGTACCTGTGGTTCTACAATCCCTCTACACCTGTGATACACCATAGTGTCTACCACTTTCTGTGGCCTTCAACATGATATCCAAACTATCTCTGTGTTTCAGTCTGAGCCCTGAGTTAGGCAAGAAAGAAACCAGACCCTCATACCACTTCTAGCTAGGCCGGGGTGTTGCAAACAAGTAACAAACATTCTTTTCTCTCTGTCTCAATGGAAGAACAGGGAATTCAGCAGCTTTCTCACAAGTAAGCAGTGCTACACTGGGGATGGCAGTGGGGAGGCAAGGATCACCAAAAATACCACAGAATTTCCTATCCTGTTTAGTGTCTGATTAAAAAAAGTGGAACCAGTAAAGCCTGTTTGCTTAATTGCTACACATCCTTGACTTATTTCTAGAGCTCTCATTAAGCTATACTAGTTAGTCTGTTGTTTATTTGATGTTTCCTTGAGGAAATGAGGGCCTGGAATTCCTAGTTTAGCATTTTGTACATATACTGTTATTTTTAGTGGGAAAAATAATTTTGTAAACATTATTGTATTGAACTAATTGTTGACAAACATAAGTGTTGTAAATACCAGAGTTGTGTAGTATCCTTCACTCCCTTTCCCTATAGTATTTTACATAACTGTAGTACAATTATCAAGATTCATGGTACAGTTATCAAGATCAGAATTAAAATTGGTACAATATTAACTATAAACTTATTTCAATTTTGTCATTTCCCCCACTAGTGATATTTTCTGTTCCAAGATCTTATTTAGTTTCCAAATTTATGTTTACTTCCCATTTCTCGTTAGGTTCTTCCAATGTGAATGTTTTCTCAATCTTTGCTTTTCTTTCAGGACTGTGAGGCCATTAAAGAGTACGGATCAATTCTTTTATAGAATGTCACTCAATTTAGGTTTAATCTGGTATTTTCTCATAATTGGCTTATAGTTTTATGTTTCTGGAAATAATACTGTGAAAGATAATGTGTTCTTCTCAGTGAATCGGATGCATCATATCAAGGGGCTCATAGTGCTGACATTCCTTGTTTCTGGTGATGTTTAACTTGGTTATTTGGTTAAATTGCTGTCTGCTGGAGTTTCTCTATAGTAAAGTTACTATCTCTTTGTAATTAATAAACATCATGAAGGAGATACTTTGAAGCTATGCAAATCTTTTTTTCTCTTCAAAATTTACCACTAATTTTGCATCCATTGGTGATCTTGTCTAACAATTATTGTGTTTCCTCACAGTAATTTTTTATTTTCCTGTTTTTCTGCATTTTGTAACTGAAATCCATCTGAAAGGGCTGTGACTTCCCCATTTATTTTTTCACTAAATTATTTATTGATATCAGTATAGACTCATTTATTTTATTCTGTGGGTTAAAACTCAAAGTACTTTTTAATATAAATGTTTTATTTACAATTAGATGTTTTTTAAAATCATTTTTAATTTAGGAGAAAAAATAAATGGACCTTTTAGAACTTTGTGAACATACTATAGGATTTCCCTTAAAGTTCATTAAATAGTCTTTCCTTGTTTTAAAACTTCTATTTTATAGGAATAAAATTCCTAGGATCTTAAGGGAGTAGATATGCTTTTTTATGTAGCACTATTTGGGGAGGAAAAATACAGAAGGAATTTCTTCCTTCAAAAGACATTTTCTTTTGCTTCTAAAGATGATTTTTTTTTCCTGGAAAGAAGAAACTGTAAACCAAAAGAGAATTTGACCATAATCATTCTGACATCATTGAGGGACTATAAACATAACTATTTATAGTTTTTTAATTTAAAACAAAATATCTGGTTTGAAGTAGATTAAATGAGAGTAAACTCCTATACCTTAGTTTTTAGTTTCTTAATTTTTGCTTTGTGTTCTTATTGTTTTACGTACATTTGCTAGTAATGTGGTTAATTGTTTTATATTTTTTATTATAAATGACTACACATATAAACTAGTTGGCTGCAAATTTGGTTCCAATTCACCTCTTCCCTCCTTAACTTGTTTCCATTTCATCTATCATATATGCCTTTAAGGTATCTATCTATCTAGCTATCTATCTATCTGTCTATCCATTCTGAATGCAGACCCTAGCTGTGACTTACTTTGATCAATGGAATGTTTACAACTGTAATGAAAGCAGAGGCCTGAAAAGTGTTTTACCAACAGAGTTTGCTCTTTTTTATGCACCTCAGCCATTGTAATGGAATATACTTGGCTATCCTGCTGGAGGATGGAAGGCATATGAAGCAAAGCCAACTTACTTCAGTGGAACCAGTAAAGTCTATCCTAGATTAGCCTGCAGTCAGCCAACCCTTACATATAAGGGATCCCAGAGAGCCACATAACCAACCCTTACCTGATTGCAGTGAGATGAGCTACCTTAGCCAAAATCAGCTGAGACTACCCTAGATCAGCTGAGCCCAGCTCAGCTCAGCTGAATTATCACAGATTTGTGAGTGAAATAAATGTCTTTTGGGGCATAGCACTAAGCTTTGGGGTTGCTTGTTATATAGCAATAATATGACACTAGATAAATGATAGGTATACATGTTTTTATTTATACACATGGTATATGTTAATACTAAAAAACCCTTCTGATGTCACTGTACCTGGAAATTCCAAGGAAGAGTCTATAAATTCAGACATTTAGAAAGTAAAATGTGAAGCAGATTTACATAATTCCCAGGAAATGTCCTGGAGAATGAGTGTCTTCAAATATCTCTCAGATTTATTCTTGTTGTCTTGTACTAAAATATTTTATTTTTATTGTAAATTTTCTGTAAAATTTCTGTAAAAATTCAGAAATTTATTTGTATTTAGTCTTCTAGATTAATTTACAAATTAATCAATAATAACATACTGATTTTAAAATGATCAAAAATATACAATAAGGCTTTTTTTGATATTTCACATTGTATTTTGTTATCAAATCATTTTTACTACCAAGAGGAAAAATGTTTTGTTCTTCTAGTTTGCATATATACAGTACATATGTCAAAATCTGTAAGTTTATTATTCTAATAACTGGAAAGTTGTGATCAATTTTTAAGCCTAAGTTCCATGGATGCCTTTTTCAACAAATATGTTAGTGTAAAATGTGAAAATTTGGAAAGATAATCTGAATAATTAGTTATGTTACCATCTTAGCTTCCCTCATTATTCTTTCCTTCTTAAAAAATGCTGCATGCAATGGAAAAGACAGTCTGGAAGCATGAAATGTTCTTTCCTTCAACCAATCAGTCAAGCTTCTAAATGTAAAAGAATTATGAAAAATGGCAAATTTTAGCCATACTGGCTAAATAGTTGTGTTATTTTCAGTGTCTTAGATAACAGACTTCAGAATGTATGGTTTTCTTGTGGAAAAAAAACCTGTATAATCCAATACATAAACTTAATGCTACCAATAATAAATTCTGTGATAGTAATTCCAGATTGTATTCAAAGTTTGAAGATAACATATTTAAATGTTAAAAAAATATAACTTCAAGATATTTTTAAAATAGTCTTCAAATATTAATTACATCTTTATCAAATTCCTTCTTCCACCTACTTCAGATCTTACATAGAGCAGTATAGCTGTTTTAAATAAGAAGCAACAGAGAAGAAAAAAGTAGCATTTTATTAAGTCCACATTATTGAACTGCTAAAATAGTCTACTTTAGAACAGATGTTGACTTCTATCCGTAGTGGCAACACTATAGGATGCTCCCCTAACAACCAATCTGTTGATACAGCTGGGAATTGATCACTAACTGCCACACCCTAAAGGCAGGCCCATTAACAGTTATTTGGAAGAACAAATAAATAAAGAGCCTCAATGACAAGTTCATGTTTTAGTCACAATTTACAATCAAGAGACTTTCCTGAGTCTCAGTGGCCTAGAGTCATAGTAATAATGAGGCTAGAATAAGCAGAACCCAAAACAGAGGCTGGTTTGTCTCCTAAAGGCAGGGCTAGGCAGAGTGGGAAATTTAAGCAACAAAAAGTAAGCCACAACCTTACCAAAAAAGATGGTGACAATTAGCCAGAGATGAGAAAGATTATAAAGAATTTTCTGATAAATTAATACAAATGTACATATTTTTAAAACTATATAGTTTTTACTGGAAGAGAAGCTACCAGGAAAATATAAAGTAACTCAGATATATCCTGAAGGAGCTAAGCCCTACACTAGAAAATAAAAATATATATGTAAAACATTAAAAGTGAGTGTTATGTTGAGAATTAGCATTGGATTATAAGTGTAATAGGCATTTGAAAGGAAAAGCAAACAGGTAAGGCTTGTTGGAGGAAGTGACACTTCCCATAGGCTGAGGTTGACAAGAACCTAAGCAGACAGAGTTATTATTTTGGGCTATAAGTTGCAGTGGCCCACATATAACGGGCCAGGCATATTGCTAGACTTAACCAAATATGCTTTCCTGTGGGGATGTACAAGGATCATAAGAATGGAGCATACAATGCACCTAATAATGACTTTCCTGTCCTTCTATTTGGATATTTCTAAGTGTTACTGGAGAAAAAATTATGGACTCCAGACTTGGATAATTAGATCTCAGGCAGTTTGACCAAACTGAAGGAATGGAATAAATGACTAAGCAAGGGTTTTATATAAACTCATGGGGTATAAGTTGGGGTAAAACAACATACCATAGGAACCTCAGAACCTGAGGACAAACCGATTTCATCAAGCAATAAGAGTGAAAGGTGATGGTTAAATATAAATAGAAGTAAGATCTCATTATTCTTGTTTGGGAGTAAAAATAGAAAAATGTTAGTTCACTCTGTAAGAAGAGCTGAGTAGACAGGTGATATGGTTTAGCTCTGTATCCCAACTCAAACATCAGGTTGCATTGTAATCTCCATGTCGAAGGTGGGACTTGGTGGAAAGTAAATGGATCATGGGGGCTGATTCTCCCTTTGCTGTTCTCATGATAGTGAGTGAGTTCTCACAAGATTTGATGGTTTAAAAATGTGTGGCACTTCCCCTTTTGTGCTCTTTCTTTCTTTCTCTCTCTCTCTCTTTCACCACCATGTGAGGAAGGTCATTGCTTCTCTGTTATCTTTTGCCGTGACTGTTTTCTGAGACCTCTCAGTCATGCTTCTTGTTGAGCCTGTGAAATTATAAGTCAATTAAACCTATTTTATTCATAAATTACCCAGTCTTAGGTAGTTCTTTATAGCAGTGTTAAGACCGACTAATACAGAAAATTGGTACCAGGAGTGGGGCACTGCTATAAAGACACCTGAAAATGTGGAAGCAACTTTGGAACTGGGTAATGGGCAGAGGTTGGAACAGTTTGGAGGGCTCAGAAGAAGACAGGAAGATGTGGTTACGTTTGGATCTTCCTAGAAACTTGAGTAGTTTTGAACAAATCTGATAGTGATCTGGACAGTGAAATCCAGGCTGAGGTGGTCTCAGATAGAGATGAGGAACTTATTGGGAACTGGAGCAAAGGTCACTCTTGCTATGCTTCAGCAAAGAGACTGGTGGCATTCTGCCTCTGCTTTAGGAAACTGTGGAACTTTGAATTTGAGAGAGATGACTTAGGGTATCTGGTGAAAGAAATTTCTAAGCAGCAAACCATTCAGGATGTGGCCTGGATCCTCCTAACAGTGCATAGTCATACGTGTTCACAAAAAGACGGTCTGAAATTGGAACTTATATTTAAAAAGGAAGCCGAGTATGAAAGTTTCAAAAATTTTCAGCCTGGCCATGTGATGGAAAAGAGAAACCCATTTTCTGGAGAGAAATTCAATCTGGCTGCAGAAATTTGCATAAATAAAGAGAAGCTGAATGTTAATAGCCAAGACCATGGGGAAAATATCTCTGGGGCATGTCAGAAACCTTCGCAGCAGCCTCTCCCATCACAGGCCTAGAGGCTTAGGAGGAAAAAATGCCTTTGTGGGCCAGGCCTAGAGCCACGCTGCTGTGTGCAGCCTTGAACATGGCACCCTGCATCCCAGGCACTCCAGGTCCAGTTGTGGCTAAAAGTGGCAAAGGTACAGCTTGGGTCATGATTTCAGAAGGTGCAGGCCCCAATCCTTGGTGACTTGCACATAGTGTTGGGCCTGTGGGTGTGCTGTAGGCAAAAGGTGAGGTTTAGGAACCCCCACCTAGATTTCAGAGGATGTTTGGAGAAGCCTGGATGTTCAAGGAGAAGTCTGCTTCAGGGGCGGAGCCCTCATGGAGAACCTCTGCTAGGGCAGTGTGGAGGGGAAGTGTGGTGTTAGAGCCCCCACACAGAGTCCTCACTGGAGCACTGCCTAGTGGGGTTGTGACAAGAGGCCCACCATCCTCCAGATCCAAGAATGGTAGATCCACCAACAGTTTGCACTGTGCACCTTGAAAAGCCACAGGCACTCAACACCAGCCCATAAAAGCAATTGTGGCTATACCCTGTGGAGCCACAGGGGTGGAGCTGCCCAAGGCCTTTGGAGACAATTATTGCATCAACATAGTTGTCCCTGGATGTGAGACATGGAGTCAAATGAGATTATTTTGGAGCTTTAAGATTTAGTGACTGCCCTGCCAGGTTTTGAACTTGCATGGGGCCTGTAGTCCCTTTGTTTGGGCCAATTTCTTCCATTTGGAATGTGAGCATTTACTCAATACCTGTACTCCCATTGTATTTTGGAAGTAACTAACTTGTTTTTTATTTTACAGGCGCGTAAATGGAAAAGACTTACTTTGTATCAGGTAAAACTTTGGACTATGGACTTTTGAGTTAATGCTGAAATGAGTTAAGATTTTGGGGGACTGTTGGAAGGCATGACTGGTTTTGAAATGTGAGAAGGACATGAGATTTAGGAGGATCCAGGGGCAGAATGATATGGTTTATATCTGTGTCCCCACCCAAATCTCATGTTGAATTGTAATGCCCAGTTTGGGGGAAGAGACCTTGTGGGAGGTGATTGGATCATAGGAGCTGATTTCCCCCTTTCTGTTTTTGTGAGAGTGAGTGAGTTCTCATGAGATCTGATGGTTTAAAAGTGTGTGGCACTTCCCCCTTTGCCCTCGTGCTCTCTTGCATTCTCTCTCTCTTTCTTTTGCCACCATGGGAAGAAAGTCCTTGCTTCCCTCTTGCTTTCTGTCATGATTTTAAGTTTCCTGAGGCCTCCCAGCCATGTTTCCTGTTAAAACTGTATAACTGAGTCAATTAAAGCCTTCTTCTTCATAAATTACCCATAAACTACACATTCTTCATAAACTACATGAGAACTACCCAGTCTCATGTAGTTCTTTATAGTAGTGTGAAAATGTACTAGTACAACAGTTAAGGTAAAAATGAGAGAAAATAGAGAATAAGGTGAGTCTAATTTATGAGAGCTTTGTACATTTTCTAATATAAATGAATGGTAAATAAACAGAGGTTGAAATGTACAAGATAATTGAAATGGGGTTTAGAGACACAACCAAGATAAATCCTTGCTCTTGGATTTAAGAATTGAGGTCTTTCAGTGAATCACATATGCCTTTATAATTCTCATTTTCTTCTTCTGTACGTGGGGAAACATTTACTTGCTTTATAAAGTAGATATGAGAAGTCAGTGGAAAGAGATATATAAAGCACCTTCTGTAGTTTGTGATACATAGTAAATAATCAGCGAATAGTCACCAGCTAATATAAAATCACTATTAATTTTAGATGATGTAAAAGGCAAACATTTAGGTTACAACTGTGCCAATTCCTTTTTTTTTTTTTTGCCAGAAAGAATGGCCAGGTTCACTGCCTTGATTATTATCATATGACTTCCATTATAGCTATTCTAAAAAAAAAAGAGAGACCAAGTAAGGTACTCATGGTGACTGAATGACATATTTTCAAGGAACATGGGTCTGTATATGATTTTCCTAAAATGAAAGCTGTTTTCTAGCTGATCACGGCTAAAACCCCTTTATGTATGTTTTGAATTGTTTATATTCTCTGTGAAGCAATGAAAATTATAATTTCTTTTTCTCCCTTTATGTTTTTTCTTTTTTTGGTGGGGGGGGCTAAAATGTTTATTAAAACTGTAACTGCAGAAAAAATTTTAATGAGTGGCAGTTAATAGTCTACATATAAAAACAAGGTAAGTCTCAAAGGAAAGTTTCTTTTATTATTATTATTATTATACTTTAAGTTTTAGGGTACATGTGCACAATGTGCAGGTTAGTTACATATGTATACATGTGCCATGCTGGTGTGCTGCACCCATTAACTCGTCATTTAGCATTAGGTATATCTCCTAATGCTATCCCTCCCCCCTCCCCCCAGCCCACAACAGTCCCCAGAGTGTGATGTTCCCCTTCCTGTGTCCATGTGTTCTCATTGTTCAATTCCCATCTATGAGTGAGAACATGCGGTGTTTGGCTTTTTGTCCTTGCGATAGTTTACTGAGAATGATGATTTCCAATTTTATCCATGTCCCTACAAAGGACATGAACTCAAAGAGAAATAGATGTTGGTCAAAAATATATAAAATTTTAATTAGACAGGAGAAATAGGTTCAAGAGATGTATTGTACAACATGGTGACTATGGTTAACAATATACTCTATTCTTGATAAACTCTAAGAGAATGAATGTGAAGTGTTCTCACCACAGAAATAACTATGTGAGATAATCAATATGTTAATTAACTGGATTTAGTCATTCTACAATGTATATATACTTCAAAACATCATGGACATGGTGAATACATACAATTTTAATAAATAAATATTTATTTATTTATTAATAAATAAATAAATAAAATCAATTCTTCCACTGTTACAAAAAAAGGAAATTAGGCCATTTCATAATGAAGAAAGGAGCTATATATCTAAGCTTATAAAAGGAATTCCCTAAGGTCTGAGATACAAATGCCATATGCTCCAGGGTTTTTAAACAAAGCAAGACACAGATTCTGAATGACAGTTGTGTTATCACTTGGGGGAGTGGGGTGTATCCTAGTCTTCCAACCCAACTGTCAACAGACACAACGTTTGTGGCATTAACCAGTTCTGGGTGCCTTGTTGAACAACATACATCGTTAGCTAAAGAGGGTTTGGTTGGGTTGTTATACTTCAACTGTAATTTTTTATACATAACAGATACTTTATGTGGCACAAAGGGTTATTTAGACACATACATGACATTCGATAATATCCAGCTACAATGGAGAGGTAATCCATCTCACAGAACTGAGCAGAATAAACCCACAGAATGAATTTATTCACTATCAGATCATATCCAAGAGTTGTTTCCACTTTGCGTGGTAATAGGAATGATAATTAGGAACTCCAGATATTCTGGTTCTACTATGGTCCAATTATTTGAATTCAAGATGGACTGGCTTGTTTCTAGGTTTTCCTTGTCCATTTGGTCCACTGGATCTTTTTCATGATGACTTCTGGGGTTAGTTTGGCATCATTTTCTCTGCCTTAGAAATGAGAAAGCTATAGTGCTGAATATTAATAGTAGTGATGATAGTTAACATTTACTGAGTGCTGTATGATTGGCACTGTTACAAGTACTTTCACATATTTAATCCACACAATAAATCTATATGGCAGGTACTATTATTATCTCCATTGTAGTGATATAGAAACTTAAGTATTAAAAATTTAACTAACTTGCTAAGAACCCACACTAAAAAGTGGTATAGATGTGATATGCATCAGAGAATCTGACTCCAGAGTCCAATTTCTTAAGCAGTATATGACACTTCCTCTCCAAGGGATATATGGAGTCACTGTCAAGTGAAGGCTAGGTGGTAAAACTTTCAGACCAAGTCTATAATTATTCAACCAATTCTCAGGGACCTACTATGTAAAAGCTGCTATACTAGGTGCTAAAGAGACTATAAATGATAAAGACATGGTCCTTGCCTTAAAAAACTGAAGACAAGGCAAGAAGAGCAAAGAAGTTGAGAGGAGGAGTGAATATCCTGTATATTAACCATGGAAGGTGAATTGGGCTACAAAGTGAACTGAGAAGCAGTTCTCAATAATTGACTATTCCACCATTGTCCCCTACTCCACATTCTTATAAGGGATCTTTTCTCAGTTATTTTGGGCTAGGAATAGAGAAAGCAGCCAAGAAATCAGCCCTTTTTACTCTCTAACCAAAGCGATCCTTCTGACATTTGAAAGTCAGGATGTGAGGTAAAACAATAGATGGTAATTCAGA
The DNA here is from genome assembly GCF_000001405.40 of Homo sapiens. Classification (NCBI taxonomy): domain Eukaryota; kingdom Metazoa; phylum Chordata; class Mammalia; order Primates; family Hominidae; genus Homo; species Homo sapiens. Next base: position 64,937,406 of record NC_000008.11, on the reverse strand, counting down.
GACTGGGAAAGGAGATTAAAGTCTCCAATTCATCCCCACCCCTTCTATTCAGTTGAGCTGCACCTACACTCAAGGAAGTAAAATAATTTGCTTTCATCCATCAAGTGAGGCTCAATGGTCTTAATATGAATTTTTACTGTCTTTCCCCACTACATATAAGCAAAATCAGTGCCTACTAAAGTATGATTTTTAAAGTAAATTTTGCTTAGTATTCATTTTAAAGTATGATATACATTCATACCTATTTTATTTTCTCTTTTTTATATGCCTTTCTCTTTCCCTTGACTCTGAACCTCTAAAGTCAGAGACTATACTGTATTTATATTGTTTGTGATCAGAACAGTGCTTGGCTTATCTAACAGATTAATTATAGTCCACAATATTTTACAAATTTAAAGTGTTTAATCATCTGTTCACACCTTATATAATTCTTAACTCTTTAGTTACATCACTATTTGTAGTCCCATAAATAAGAGTGATGACAACACTAAGACGTTGTTCTGTTAAAATAAACTTCTTATAAGAAGTAGAAAAAAAATTGTGTTCAGCTGGAAAAAGGAATTACTAAATTATGTATCTTTTACTTTGAGTAAAAAATGAGTTTTAAATGATTTATTTCTTGACCAGCTCTTCAAAGTCAGAAGCTTTCAGCCAGCATATCACTATAATGATAATACAATATACTAAATCAGTAGAATAAAGGATAAAAGCGACATGATCAATGGGCACAGGAGAAGATTATTGCATTAGTCACAATAGCTAAGATATGGAAACAACCTAAGCATCTATCAACAGATGAATAAATAAAATGTGGTATGCATACACAATGGAATATTATTTAGCCATAAAAAGAATGCAACTCTGTCATTTGCAGCAACGTGGACAGAACCAGAGGACATTATGTTAATGGGAGCTAAAACAATTGATTTCATGGAGATAGAGTAGAATGGTGGTTACCAGAGGTGGGGAAGGGTGGGAAGGGGTTAGTTAACTAGTACAAAAATACAGTTACATGGAAGGAATAAGTTTTAATGTTCAATAGCACAGTAGGGTGACTGTAGTTAACAATAATACATTATATGTTTCAAAACAGCTAAAAGAGAAGATTTGGAAAGTTCCCAACAAAGAAATGGTAAGTGTTTGAGATGATGGATATCTTAACTTCTCCGATTTGATCATTATACATTGTATTCATGTGTCAAAATATCAAATGTACTCCATAAATATGTACAACTATTATGTATCAATAACAAAAACTTTGTTAAATGAAAAAAGCCAGATACAAAAAGGTCCCATGTTATATGATTCCATTTATATGAACTATCCAGAAGAGGGGAATCCATAGAGACAGAAAGACCGGTAGTTGCCAGGGGATAGGAGGAATGGGATCAACTGCTAAGTGGCTACATATTTCCTTTTAGGGCAATGAAGAGGTTTTGGAATTGGATAGCAGTGGCAGTTGCACAAAATTGTAAATGTACTCAATGCTACTGGATTTTTCACTTTAGAAAAGTTAATTTTATGTTAGTTATTTTCATCTCAAAAAAAGCTAAAATAAAAAATTCAATATTCCTCCATGATAAAATCATGAAGGAAACTAGGAATAGAAGGGAAGTCCTCAATTTAATAAACAAAAGCTACTAAAAAACCATAGCTAACATCACACTTAACAGTGAAGCACTAAATGCTTTTCTTCTAAGGTCAGGAATAAGGAAAGGATATATACTCTCATGACTCCTTTTCAAAATTGTACTAGAGATTCTAGGCAGTACAACAGGCAAGAAAAATACATAAAAGGCATTCAGATAGGAAAGAAAGAAATGAGTCTATCTCTATTTGAAGATAAAGTGATTTGTATATAGAAAAACCTAAAAAATACACTAAAAGTATGAGCTAACAATCAAGCTTGACAAGTATGCAGGATACAAGATCAATATAAAAAATGAGTTATATTTCTACGCCATAGCAATAAACAAACTAAAAATAAAATTTAGGACACAATTCTACTTATGATAGCATTTGTAATAGCATAAAAAGAATAAAATACTTTGGAATAAATTTAATAAGTTATATAAAATGTATACTCTGAAAATTAGAAAATATTGTTGAAAGAAATTAAAGGAGACCTAAAGAGATGAAAGATATCCCTGAGCTCGTATATTGGAAGGTATAATATTGTTAAAGGGAAATACAGATTCGACACAATTCTCACTAAAATTGATCTATAGATTCAACACAAAAAGTAAAATTCCAACTGACTTATTTGCAGAAATTGATAAACTGAACTAAGATTCACATGCAAATGCTAAGTACCCAGAATAGGCAAAACAGTTCTTGAAAAAGAATAAAATGGGAGGATTCACACTTAGTACAAAGCTGCAGCAACCAAGACAGTGCAGTACTGGCATAGGATAAGACATACAGATCAATGGAATAGAATCAAGTTCATAAATATTTTACATTCACAGTCAATTGATTTTCAACAAGAATTCTAGGGCAATTACATGGGGGGAAAAGAATAATCTTTCAACAAATGGTGAGGGGACAAGTGGATACCCACATGCAAAATAATGAACTCAAAATTAACAAAAAAACAGAATGTAAGAGTTACAACTATAAAATTTTTAGAAGCAAACATGGGCATATATTTTTGAGATCTTAGATTAGGCAGTTATTTTTTTAGATATGACACAAAAAGTGTAAGCAATGAAAGAGAATGTACCTAAAGTGAACATAAAAATTAAGAACTTTCAGCCTTCAAAAAACACACCATAGAGAAAGTGAAAAGATAACTCATAGGATTGGAAAACATTTTTGCAAATCTTGTAAGGTAAGGTACTTGTAGATGTTGGAACTTTCCTACATTGCTGGTGTAAATGTAAAATAGTGCAGCCACTTTGGAAAACAGTCTGGCAGTTCCTCAAATGATTCAGTATAGAGTTACCAAAGGACCCAGGAGTATATACCCGAGGGAAAAGCAAACATATTCACACTAAAGCTGGTACATGAATGCCCATAGCCACATTATTTGTAATAGTTAAAAAGTGGAAAGAACTCAAATGTTCATCAACTGATGGATGAATAAATAAAATGTGATCTATCCACAGAATATATTATTTGGCAGCAAAAAGAAATAAACTACCAATACATGTTATAATGTGGATGGACCTTGAAAACATTATACTAGGTAAAATAACCAGCCACAAGGGGACCACATATTGTAGTGTATTAAATGTCCAGAATTGAAAAATCTGTAGAGACATAAAATACATCAGTGGTTGTCTGTGGCTGGAGCTGGGGAGGACTGAAGGAGTTTCGAATGATGACTAGGTGAAATTGAGCCTTGTTTGGGGGCAATTAAAATGTTTCAAAATTGATTGTGATAAAGCAGAAACAATTCTGTGGATATACTACAAGTCATTTAAATGTAAAAGGAAAAAAGAAAAAAAGAAAAGCAGTGGGGTGAGGGGCAGACCTAGCAGCAGACTGGGCTTTGGGAAGCCAGGTAGAGAGACCTCAAGACCAAATAGAAATCTAAATAATTTGATTCAAATCTGAAGTTGCCAAACACTATAATTTTCCATTTGACATTAGCATTAGCTACAATCCTTGTGGACTTTTAAAATTATTAGCTCACTTTGGGAATATTTCTGTGCTGCGAAGTTAGCTACATGTCTCATTAGCTTGTCATATGGACAGGAAAAATAATTTCAAATTGGCTCAGATTTCTTTCTAAGACTATATACTACTATCCAATTTTGTAATTTCAAAAACCAATAAAAAGCAAAGATCTTCCAATAACAAAATTTATTGGCAAAACCAGCATGCCATATTTGATGAATACACTCAGATTCACTACTTAGGTACTCCAGGAGTTTTAGTAAATGAATTTATCTTTGTAAGAGAATAGTACTCCTAGAGGAGTAAATAGGGAGTCAGTTTAGCTTGAAGGAAATAGCATGCATGATCTGGCTGGAACAATAAGTTATTAGAAAAATAACAGGAGCCTCCCAGTCAAGATGATATTATACTTATTAATAAGACAAACCATTCAATTTTTTAAATGGGCAAAAGAGTTTAATAGATACTTCACTACAGAAGATACACAGAAACCATACAATCACATGAAACTATTCAACATCATTAATCATTAGGGAATGAGCTACCATTTAATGCCCATTAAAAAGGCTATAATCAAAAATACATACAATAACAAATGCTGGTAGAAATGTAGAGAAAGAGGAACCCCTATATATTGCTGTATGCTATAGTCACTTAGAAAAACAGTTTAAAAGTTTCTTAAACATACCATGCACTTTCCATAGAAAAGCAACTTAAATTGCTGGAAATCTGTTCTAGAGAATACAAGCATATGTTCACACAAAGACATGTACAAGAATGATCATGACAGCATTATTCATAACAGTAAAAAGCTAGAAATAATCCAAACATCCATCAACTAGTGAAGATATAAACAGAATGCAATATAACCATTACAATGGAATTCATAATAAAAAGGAACAAATTTGATACATGAAACGATATTGATTAACCTCAAAAATATGATGCTAAGAGAAAAACCAGACCCCAAAGACTATATTTTTAATTATTTTATTAATATAAAATTTCTGAAAAAGCTAACATCTGAAGAGTCAGAAGTCAGATCAACAGTTACTTAGAAGGGCAATAAAGCAAGAAGTAAGGCAATTAGGCATGAGGAAACCTTTTGGGACAATGGAAATGTTACAAAATTGGATTGTGATGATAATTACACAGCTGTATAAATTTTCTAAAACTCATCAACTATACACTTAAAATGGGTGAATTTTATAATATGAAAGTTATACCTCAATGAAACTGTTAAAAACTTTAAATGGCATTTAGGATTCATACTTTAAATCCCCAATACCCCCATATAAATGCCCAGTAGTAACAGGTAAAACGTAAAGAAGATTTAAAAAATTACTACTAAGGCAATTCTGTGGATCAAGAATAAAACAGTAAGAGAAGGCAGCAAGCGGGGCCAAAGTTGTCGACAAGTGTGGTCCAGATTTAGAACTGATATTGGCTAGGAAGTTTATCTCTTATAACAAGAAATAATAGTAGATCACATGAGAAGAAACTAAAGCCAAGCTCACTGTTCAAAATCAGGCAGTACAATAGGGTTTTCCTACTCATAAGCAAAGGCCAAGTTTGGAGGAGAAAAGAATGTGTGAGGAAGTTGAAACTGACGGTTATCTGGTATTATTGTTTATATATATGAAGCTTTATACTTTGACAACTTTGATACTAGCAATATTCAATATTAACACAAGATAAAAGTCCAAGACAGCTATGATAAGATCTAGTTATGAACTAAGACCTCAGAAGCCAAGTGGAAATATTATAAAACAACTGCAGAAAGAAAATGTGTGTGTGTGTGTGTGTGGGTGTGTGTGTATAGTGGTAGGGGGGATCAAACTGCCAACTAAAGAAGCATCTCCAAAATAATTATTTATCCAAAAATATTTGACACTCTCTCTCTCTCTCTCTCTCTCTCCAGCCCATGTAAACATGACCTTGGGAGAAGTATATACCACATCAATGAAAATAATAACATTGTCTTTACAAAGGATTTTTAAATACATGGAATTTTAAAAGAGTTATGTGAAGGCCTAACACCCATTCAAAATAATTAGACACCATAAGAGTAAAATTAAGTTCAGGGGCTGCTGACAAGATGGCCGAATAGGAACAGGTCCGGTCTGCAGCTTCCAGTGAGATCAATGCAGAATGATTTCTGCATTTCCAACTGAGGTACACAGTTCATCTCATTGGGACTGGTTGGACAGTGGGTATAGCCCACAGAGGGCAAGCCAAAGCAGGGTGTGGTGTCGCCTCACAAGAGAAGCACAAGGGGTCAGGGGATTTCCCTTTCCTAGCCAAGGGAAGCCATGAGAGACTGTACCGGGAAAAACAAGGCACTCTGGCTCAGATACTGCGCTTTTCCCACAGTCTTCACAACCGGCAAACCAGGAGATTCCCTCTGGTGACTGGCTCAGCGGGTCCTACCCCCACAGAGCCCAGCAAGCTAAGAGCTACTTGCTTGAAATTCTCGCTGCTAGCACAGGAGTCTGAGGTCGACCTGGGATGCTCAAGCTTGGTGGGGGGAGGGGCGTCTGTCATTGCTGAGGCTTGAGTAGGTAGTTTTACCCTCACAGTGTAAACAAAGCTGCTGAGAAGTTCAAACTGGGCAGAGCCCAACGCTGCTCAGCAGGGACACTGTGCTCTCTAGATTCCTCATCTCTGGGCAGGGCATCTCTGAAAAAAAGGCAGCAGTCCCAGTCAGGGGCTTACAGATAAAACCCCCATCTCCCTGGGACAAAGCACCTGGGGGAAGGGGCAGCTGTGGGGCAGCTTCAGCAGACTTAAACATCCCTGGCCTGGGAGCTCTGAAGAGAGCAGTGGATCTCCTAGCACAGCATTCATATTCTGATAAGGGACAGGCTGCCTCTTCAAGTGGGTCCCTGACCCCCATGTATCCTAACTGGGAGACACCTCCCAGTAGGGGCTGACAGATACCTCATACAGGAGAGCTCTTGCTGGCATCTGCTGGGTGCCCCTCTGAGACAAAGCTTCCAGAGGAAGGAACAGGCAACAATCTTTGCTGTTCTGCAGCTGCTGCTGGTGATATACAGGCAAACAGGGTCTGGAGTGGAACTCCAGCAAACTCCAGCAGACCTGCAGCAGAGGGGCCCAACTATTAGAAGGAAAACTAACAAACAGAAAGGAATAGCATCAACATCAGCAGAACTTAGAGACCTCATCCAAAGGTCTCTGACAAAGACCAAAGGTAGATAAATCCATGAAGATGGCAAGAAACCAGCACAAAAAGGCTGAAAATTCCGAAAACCAAAATGCCTCTTCCCCTCCAAAGGATCACAACTCCTTGCCAGAAGGGAACAAAACTGGATGGAGAATGACTTTGACAGATTGAACAGAAGTAGGTTTCAGAAAGTGGGTAATAAACTCCTCTGAGCTAAAGCAGTGTATTCTAACCCAATGCAAGGAAGCTAAGAACCTTGAAAAAAGGTTATATGAATTGCTAAGTAGAATAACCAGTTTAGAGAAGAACATAAATGACCTGATGAAGCTGAAAAACACAGCACGATAACTTCGTGAAGCATACACAAGCATCAATAGCAGAATCGATCAAGCAGAAGAAAGAATATCAGAGATTGAAGATCAACTCAATGAAATAAAGTAAGAAGACCACGTTAGAAAAAAAAAAGAGTGAAAACAAATGAACAAAGCCTCCAAGAAATATGAAACTATGTGAAAAGACCAAATCTATGTTTGATTGGTGTACCTGAAAGTGACTGGGAGAATGAAACAAGTTGGAAACACTCTTCAGGCTATTATCCAGGGAACTTCCCCCACCTAGCAAGAAAGGCCAACATTCAAATTCAGGAAATACAGAGAATGACACAAAGATATTGCTTGAGAAAAACAACCCCAAGACACATAATCATCAGATTCACCAAGGTTGAAATGAAGGAAAAAATGTTAAGGGCAGCCAGGGAGAAAGGTCAGGTTACCTACAAAGGGAAGTGCATCAGACTAACAGCGGATCTCTCAGCAGAAACCCTACAAGCCAGAAGAGAGTGGGGGCCAATATTCAATATTCTTAAAGAAAAGAATTTTCAACCCAGCATTCCATATCCAGCAAAACTGAACTTCATAATTGAAGGAGAAATAAAATCCTTTACAGACAAGCAAATGCGGAGAGATTTTGTCACCACCAGGCCTGCCTTCCAAGAACTCCTGAAGGAAGCACTAAACATGGAAGGGAACAACTGGTACCAGCCACTGCTAAAACATACCAAATTGTAAAGACCATCAACACTATGAAGAAACTACATCAACTAATGGGCAAAATAACCAGCTAGCATCATAATGACAGGATCAAATTCATACATAACAATATTAATCTTAAATGTAAATGGGGTAAATGCCTCAATTAAAATACAGAGGCTGGCAAATTGGATAAAGAGTCAAGACCATTGGTGTGTTGTATTCAGGAGACCCATCTCACGTGCTCAAAATAAAGGGATGGAGGAATATTTACCAAGCAAATGGAAAGCAAAAAAAGCAAGGATTGCAATTCTAGTCTCTGATAAAACAGACTTTAAGCCAACAAAGATCAAAAGAGACAAAGAAGGCTATTGCATAATGGTAAAGGGATCAATTCAACAAGAAGCGCTAACTATCCTAAATATATACGCACCCAATACAGGAGCACCCAGATTCATAAAGCAAGTTCTTAGAGATCTACAAAGAGACTTAGACTCCCACACAATAATAGTGGGAGGCTTTAACACCCCACTGTCAATATTAGACAGATCAACGAGACATAAAATTAACAAGGATATCCAGGACTTGAACTCGACTCTGGAACAAGCAGACCTAATAAACATCTACAGAACTCTCCTTTCCAAATCAACAGAATATACATTCTTCTCAGTACCACATCACACTTATTCTAAAATTGACCACATAGTTGGAAGTAAAGCACTCCTCAGCAAATGCAAAAGAATGGAAATTATAACAAACAGTCCCTCAGACCACAGTGCAATCAAATTGGAACTCAGGATTAAGAAACTCACCAAAACTGCACAATTACATGGAAACTGAACAACCTGCTCCTGAATGACTACTGGGTAAATAACGAAATGAAGGCAGAAATAAAGCTGTTCTTTGAAACCAATGAGAACAAATACACAATCTACCACATTCTCTGGGACACATATAAAGCAGTGTGTAGAAGGAAATTTATAGCATGAAATACCCTCAAGAGAAAGGAAGAAAGATCTAAAATCAACACCCTAACATCACAATTAGAAGAACTAGAGAAGCAAGGGCAAACAAATTCAAAAGCTAGCAGAAGACAAGAAATAACTAAGATCAGAGCAGAAATGAAGGAGATAGAGACATGAAAACCCTTCAAAAAAAATCAGTGAATCTAGGATCTGGTTATTTGAAAAGATCAACAAAATAAATAGACCACTAGCCATACTAATAAAGAATAAAAGAGAGAAGAATCAAATAGACATAATAAAAAATGATAAAAGGGATATCACCACCAATCCAACAGAAATACAAACTACCATCAGAGAATACTATAAACACCTCTACATAAATAAACTAGAAAATCTAGAAGAAATGGATACATTCCTGGACACATACACCCTCCCAAGACTAAACCAGGAAGAAATTGAATCCCTGAATAGACCAACAACAAGTTCTGAAATCAAGGCAGTAATTAATAGGCTACCACCAACAACAACAAAAAGTCCAGGGCCAGGCAGATTCACAGCCGAATTCTACCAGAGGTACAAAGAGGAGCTACTACCATTCCTTCTGAAACTATTCCAAACAATTGGAAAAGAGGGAATCCTTCCTAACTTATGTTATGAGGCCAATATCATCCGGATATCAAAACCAGGCAGAGATTCAACAAAAAAGGAAAATGTTAGGCCAATATCCCTCATGTACATCGATGTGAAAATCCTCGATAAAATACTGGCAAACTGAATCCAGCAGCACATCAAAAAGCTTATGCACCATGATCAAGTCAGCTGCATCCTGGGATGCAAGGCTGGTTCAACATATGCAAATCAATAAATGTAATCCATCACATAAACAGGTCCAATGGCAAAAACCATATGATTATCTCAATAGATGCAGAAAAGGCATTCGACAAAATTAAACAGTCCTTCATGCTAAAAACTCTCAATAAACTAGGTATTGATGGAACAGATCTCAAAATAATAAGAGCTGTTTATGACAAACCTGCAGGCAATATCATGGGCAAAAACTGGAAGCATTCCCTTTGAAAACTGGCACAAGATAAGGATGCCCTCTCTCACCACTTGTATTCAACATAGTATTGGAAGTTCTGGCCAGGGCAATCAGGCAAGAGAAAGAAATAAAGGGTATTCAAGTGAGAAAAGAGGAATTCAAATTGTCTTTATTTGCAGATGACATGATTATATATTTGGAAAACCCCATCATCTCAGCCCAAAATCTTCTAAAGCTGATAAGCAACTTCAGGAAAGTCTCAGGATACAAAAATATCAATGTGAAAAAATCACAAGCATTCCTATATACCAATAACAGACAAATCATGAGTGAACTCCCATTCACAATTGCTACAAAGAGGATAAAATACCTAAAGCTGATAAGCAACTTCAGAAAAGTCTCAGGATACAAAAATATCAATGTGAAAAAATTACAAGCATTCCTATACTCCAATAACAGACAAATCATGAGTGAACTCCCATTCACAATTGCTACAAAGAGAATAAAACACCTAGGAATACAACTTACCAGGCATGTGAAGGACCTCTTCAAGGAGAAATACAAACCACTGCTCAATGAAATAAGACAGGGCACAAACAAATGGAAAAATATTCCATGCTCATGGATAGGAAGAATCAATATTGTGAAAAATGGCCATACTACCCAAAGTCATTTATAGATTCAATGCTATCCCCATCAAGCTACCATTGACTTTCTTCAGAGAATTGAAAAAATACTTTAAATTTCATATGGAACCAAAAAAGAGCCCACATAGCCAAGACAATCCTAAGCAAAAGACCAAAGCTGGAGGCATCATGCTACCTGACTTCAAACTATACTACAAGGCTACAGTAACCAAAACAGCGTGGTACTGGTACCAAAACAGAGATATAGACCAATGGAACAGAATGGAGGCCTCATAAATAACACACATCTACAACCATCTGATCTTTGACAAACCTGACAAAAACAAGCAATGGGGAAAAGATTCCCTATTTAATAAATGGTGTTGGGAAAACTGGCTAATCATATGCAGAAAGCTGAAACTGGATCCCTTCCTTACACCTTATACAAAAATTAATTCAAGATGGATTAAAGACTTAAATGTTAGACCTAAAACCATAAAAATCCTAGAAGAAAACCTAGGCAATACCATTCAGGACATAGGCATGGACAAAGTCTTCATGACTAAAACATCAAAAGCAATGGCAACAAAAGCCAAAATAGACAAATGGGATCTAATTAAACTAAAGAGCTTCTGCACAGCAAAAGAAACTATCATCAGAGTGAACAGGCAATCTACAGAATGGGAGAAAATTTTTACAATCTATCCATCTGACAAAGTGCTAATATGCAGAATCTACAAAGAACTTAAACAAATTTACAAGAAAAAAACAACCCCATCAAAAAGTGGGTGAAGGATATGAATAGACACTTCTCAAAACAAGACATTTATGCAACCAATGGACATATTAAAAAATTCTCATCATCACAGATCATTAGAGAAACAAAAATCAAAAACACAATATGATACCATCTCATGCCAGTTAGAATGGCGATCATTAAAAAGTCTGGAAACAACAGATGATGGAGAGGATGTGGAGAAATAGGAATGCTTTTACACTATTGGTGGGAGTGTAAATTAGTTCAACCATTGTGGAAGTCAGTGTGGCAATTCCCCAAGGATCTAGAACTAGAAATACCATTTGACCCAGCTATCCCATTACTGGGTATATACCCAAAGGATTATAAATCATTCTAATCTAAAGACACATGCACACGTATGTTTATTGTGGCACTGTTCACAATAGCAAAGACTTGGAACCAACCCAAACGCCCATTAATGATAGACTGGATAAAGAAAATGTGGCAAATATACACCATGGAATACTATGCAGCCATAAAAAGGATGAGTTCATGTCCTTTGCAGGGACATGGATGAAGCTGGAAACCATCATTCTCAGCAAACTAACACAAGAACAGAAAACCCAACACTGTATGTTCTCACTCATAAGTGGGAGTTGAACAATGAGAATACACGGACACAGGGAGGAGAACATCACACAGTGGGACCTGTCAGGGGGTGGGGGGATAGGGGAGGGATAGCATTAAGTGAAATACCTAATGTAGATGACGGGTTGATTGGTGCAGCAAACCACCATGGCACATGTATACCTATGTAACGAACCTCCACATTCTGCACATGTACCCCAGAACTTAAAGTATAATTTTAAAAAAGAGTAAAATTGATAGAAATAAAACAAAAATGAGTGGATGTGGAAGAGAATCAATTAAAATTGAAATTTAAAAAAATTAATAAACAGTCAACTTATTGGGAATGGTTAAAGTGAGAAGATGATAAAGAAAGTCACCCATAATGCATACAGGGATAAAAATGAGATAAAAAACAATTAAAACCTGTGGAGTTCATGTAAGAGAATCCAATACATGTACTGGGGGATCTCCAGATTAAGAGAATAGAGAGAATGGCAGAGAAATAGTATTCAAAAGTTGGTAGCATAGTTAGTAATGAATAAAAATAACTTATATTTCCCATTCTGCATTATGCCAAATATTTTAGCTAAGAAAACAAAACAAGAAAATCTGGGTGATGTTAATAACCTTCTTGAAATATATAATATCTGACTCGAAAAAAAAGAATAATGTTGTGACCATTAAGGAAACTCAATCAATAGTTAATCTATTAAAAATGCATCTTATCCAATTAGTTGCACATGAGTTTTCTACTAAATGTCCAAGGGATGTATAATTCTATCTTATTTTATAAGACCAGTATGAAAAATACATTATGAGTTTCACTTACGTAAAATTCAATCACAGTCAAAACTAATCTACAGTGATAGAAGGCAAAACAGTGGTTTGTGAGGGCCACGGATGGAGAAGACTAAAATGCCAGAAATCAGGGCATAATGGAAACTCCTGTGATGATGAAAATCTTCTAAAATTGTGATTTATGAACACATTTTAATGTATTTGTCTGTATGTTACATTTTATCATAAAAATATCTGGAAGCACTTCCAGAATGGTAATATGAAGAACTTTATGGACCCTCTCTGCAGCAAACAGCAAAATAACCATAATTGCTCAAAGGATTATTTGTAAAAGCGAACACACAACTTACAGTGTCTAGAAATTATGTTAAGGGTTTACAGAAAATGGAGAAAAACATATTCAAGAAAATCTACTAAATCTTGTTAAGGCCCACGAGAGTTTTTACCACTTCAGGTATGACCTACCCTCCTTCCCCCAACTACACAGCTCAAAATGATGGATTATTTACTCGTGACTGGTGTGGCCAAGAAGATGAGGTTCTTTTCCACCCCAGGTCCCAATCTATGACAATAATTTCTCCCCAGAAGGGGTAGGCCAACAGGATTTCTTATTCCTCATACTCCATCTTGCTGAAACTGTAAGCCAGTTAAGTATGGCTGATATAGCTCAGCTTTCCCCTCTACTGAGTCTTAAATTGCAGGGTAAAACATTACTCTAGGTATGTCAGGTCATGGATACTAGGCCCTGATCATCATTGTTCCAGTTCACTCATAGAACCCAGATACCATGCCTGGAGAGGCAAACAGAGAAGACCAGGGACACCCTAACTCAATGCAACACTTGTAAAGCACAGGCATTATTCTGAAAGAGATATGCTGCTGTCCTCACCCTCAGACCTAAAAATAGCAAATCTTGAAAGCAGAAAGAAAACTCTCCTCATGCACAAGGAAGCTTCAGTAAGTTTAACCACTGACATATCATCAAAAACTATGGAAGACAGAAGGCAGTGGGATGACAATGTTCAAAGTGCTGAGAGAAGAGAAAACTTGTCAAGTAAGAATAATACGTTCAGCAAAGCTAATCTTAAGAAAGTAAAACAGGCCGGGTGCAGTGGCTCACACTTGTAATCCCAGAACTTTGGGAGACCGAGGCAGGCAGATCATGAGGTCAGGAGATCAAGACCATGGTGAAACCCTGTCTCTACTGAAAATACAAAAAATTAGCCGAGTGTGGTGGCGGGCGCCTATAGTCCCAGCTGCTCAGAGAGGCTGAGGCAGGAGAATGGCATGAATCCGGGAGGCAGAGCTTGCAGTGAGCCGAGATCGCACCACTGCACTCCAGCCTGGGCGATAGAGCGAGACTCCGTCTCAAAAAAGAAAAAAGAAAGTAAAACAAAGACATTTCAAATAAACAGAAACAGATATTTCATGCTAGCAAACTCACTGTAAGAGATACTAAAGGAATTTTTTAGACCAAGAGCAAGTTACAATAGAAAATAATTCCAATTCACATTTAAAAAGCACTGGCAAAGATAATTATGTGTTTATAAAAGAGTAATAATGAATATTTATCCTCCTTTATGTCTTTAAATAATTTAAAATAAATTGCTTAAAACAATATGTACATAATTTTGTATATAATTATATGTATTGTTGAGCCATAACATATTTAAAAACCCAATATATTTAAAAATATATTATACCTAGGAAGTAGTTGGAGCAAAGGTGTATTGCAATAAAGAAATTATACCAGCTGGTAACTCATATCTATAGGAACAAAAGCTAACAAATACAATACCAAAAAAAAATGGACAGGTCAATATTCTTGATGAATATAGATGCAAAAATTCAACAAAATTCTAGAAAACCAAATTCAACAACACACTAAAAGAATCATTCCCTATGATCCAGTGAAATTTATCCCTGGAATGCAGGAATATTTCAACTTACAAAATCAATAGATGTGATATACCACATTAAAAGAATGAAGAACAGAAATTATACGATCATCTCAATGGATGTAGAAAAGCCATTTGACAATATTCAGCAGCCTGCCAAAATAAAAACTCAACAAATTAGGCATAAAAGGAACATACCTAAAAACAATAAAGGCTATATATCACAAGCCAATAGCTAACATTCTACTCAACAATGAAAAACTGAAAGGTCTTCTTCAAAGATCACAAACAAGATAAGGAGTCCTACTTTTGCCACGAAGTCCTAGCCAGAGCAATTTAATTAAAAAAAAAGAGGACAAAAGAAAAAGCCATTTAAATAGGAAAGAAAGATGCTAAATTGCCTGTTACAGATGAAATAATTTATTAGAAAATTAAAGACTCCACCAAAAAAAACCTGTTGAATAAGCAAATTCAGTAAAACTGCAGGATATAAAATCAACACACAAAAATTAGCAGCATTTCTATACAATAACAACAAACTATGCTCCCAAAATCAAGAGTATAATCCTATTCACAATAGTTAGAAAAAATTAAAATATTTAGGAATAAATATAACCAAAGAGGCAAAATATCTATACACTGAAAACTGTAAAACAATGATAAAAGAAATGGAAGAAGAAACAAATAGAAATATATCCTGTGTCTGTGTATTGGAAGAATTAACATTGTTAAAATGTCCTTGTGACTCAAAGTGTTCTACAGATTCAATGCCATCTCTATAAAAATTTCAATGACATTTTTCATAGAAATAGAAAAGGCAATCCTAAAATTTATACGGAACCACAAGAGACCCCAACGAGCCAAAGCTATCTTGAGCAAAAATAAAGTTGGAAGCATCACACTACCTGATTTCAAAATATACTACAAAGCTATACTAATCAAATCAGCATGGTACTGATATATAAAGAAACAGCATAGTGTTGTGTATAAAGACACACACAGACTGATGGAAGTGAGAGTCTACAAATAAATTCATGCATATGCAGGCAGTTGATTTTTTTGACAAGGATTCCAAGAATACACAATGTGGCAAAAAAACGTCTTCTATAAAGATATTGGGACAACTACATTGCAGAATAATGAAAATAGACCCTTATCTTACACCATATACAAAAATTAACTGAAAATGGATTGTAGACTTAAATGTAAGACCTGACACTGTAAAGCTGCTAGAAGACATACAGGAAAAACTTCATGACAATGGTCTGGGCTATGATTTTTTTTTCAACCTGACCTCAAAAGCACAGGCAACAAAAGCAAAAATAGATAAATGAGATTGTATCAAACTAAAAAGCTTCTGCACCGCAAAGGAAACAATCAACAGAGTAAAGAGACAACCAACAGAATAAAAGAAAATATTTGCACATCATAATCCGATGAGGGGTTAATATACAAAACATACAAGTAACTCAAACAATTCAGCAGCAAGAAAACAACCTGATTTAAAAATTGGCAAAGGAACTGAATAAACATTTCTCAAAAGAAAACATACAAAGAGACAGTAGGTATATGAAAAAATGCTCAACATCACTAATAGGGAAATGCAAATTAAAACCACAATGAGCTATCGCCTCACAGCTGTTAAGATGGCTATTTTCAACAAGACACTAAGTTTTGATAAAGATGTGTATAAATGAGAATCCTTGTATACTGAGGATGTAAATTAGTACATCATTGTGGAAAACAGTATAAAGATTTTACAAAAAGTTAAACATATAACTACCATATGATTCAGCAATCCCTCTACTAGCCATATAGCCAAAGAATACGAAATAATTATGTTAGAGAGATACCTGCACTCCTGTGTTCATATATGGGATCAACTTAAATGTCTATCAACAGATGAATGGGTAAAGAAAATGTGCAATAAACACACAATGGAGTACTGTTCAGTCCTAAAAAAAGAAGAAAGTCCTGTCACTTGGGACAGTGTAAATAGACCTGGAAGACATTATGTGAGGTGAAAGAAGTCAGGCACAGAAAGAGAAATATTGCATGATGTCACTTACATGCGGAATCTGAGCAATGTCAAACTCACAGAAGCAGGCAGTAGAATAGCTGTTATCAGGGGCTTTGGGGAGGATGAGTAAGACTAGGGAGATGTCGGCCAAAGAATATAAAATTTCAGACAGGAGGAATAAGGTCAAGAGATCTACTGTACAACATGTGAGGAATAAGGTCAAGAGATCTACTGTACAACATGGTGACTATAGTTAACAACAATGTATACTCGAAAATTGCCGAGAGTAGATTTCAAGTGTCCTCACCACACACACACAAATGGTAAGTATGTGAGATAATAAATATGTTAATTAGCCTGATTTAGCTATTCCACAATGTAGACATGTATTAAAACATTATATTGCACACCATAAATATATACAATATTTATTTGTCAATAAAAATTACATATAAAGGCCGGGTGCGGTGGCTCATGCTTGTAATCCCAGCACTTTGGGAGGCTGAGGCGGGTGGATCACGAGGTCAGGAGATCGAGACCATCCTGGCTAACACAGTGAAACCCCGTCTCTACTAAAAATACAAAAAATTAGCCGGGCGAGGTGGCGGGCGCCTGTAGTCCCAGCTACTTGGGAGGCTGAGGCAGGAGAATGGCATGAACCCCGGGGGGCGGAGCCTGCAGTGAGCCGAGATCGCACCACTGCACTCCAGCCTGGGTGACAGCGAGACTCGGTCTCAGACAAAAAAAAAAAAAAAAAAAGATTACATATAAAGATAAAATAAAAAATAAAAAACTTAAAAGTGTGAAGACAAAATTAAGAATTAGAATGATACAGTATGATACTATTTATGCAAAATTTTAAACACAAAAATACTTCATAATTTTGAATACATACATATATAAGTAGTAAAAATATGAAATTAAGGCCATTAAAAATACACAACAACTTTAGGGTAGTGGTTAGGGAAGGTAATGCACTACCTAAATACCACTTAATGTATATATAGTGATGATATTTTTTTGTTGGAATTTATCTGATAAATCTTTATCATTTAATTTTCAAATATTTTGTCATTTTGAAATTGTGTCACTCGTAAATGGTATATAGCTAGATTTTGTTGTATTTTAAACAAATCTAGTAATTTCTATCAAATAAAAAGCCAGAAACCCCCTAGACATCAGAACTCTTCTTCAGGGTGGCCTCAGCTGCACAGCTGCTCATGGAGCTGCCTGAGAAGACTGCCAGGAGCCAGATGTGGTTCCGGGGGCAAGAAGGGTATTATCTCATGATGCTTTCCATCCCTAAGACATTGATAAGGAGTGCGTTCATGAAACTTCCACCACATAATGCTTTACATAAGACATGCTTGGTAAAAGGTAAATGAATAGAATAAGAGATGTCTATTAGAATCTTATTTATTTAATCATAGCACATGTAATTTAATACAGATCAAATCATGGGCTTCTAGCATTGAACACATCTTTTTCCATAATGTGGAAAGAATAATATATAGAATTATTTAACCTGATATTTATTCATTCAGCATGTATTTACTTAGTACTTACTGGGTGCAAGACACTGTGCTAGGCACTAAGTGATGTAGCACTGACTTGATTTTGATCTTCAGGAGTTTACATCTCTCCAGAGTTGATAAAGTTACACAAATATCTTATACGTCACCTTACATTTGTACAGCGCTTTTGAAGTCATTAGTGCTTTTTCACATACTATTCTACTTAATCCTCATCATGCTCTGAGATACTTTTTATTTTCCAAGAAAAGCACACATCAGGTAAGTCACATGGCTAGCAAGTAGCCAAGAGATTTAAGTCCACGTTGATCTGCCTTCAAATCTCAATGTCCAGTCCCACCAGGCTGCAAGACATCCCCTTTGTAGTGACACTAGATGGCTCACTAGTCCCTGAATAGCCCATTATCTGCTTTCTCTTCATTTTTGTGCTTTGCAGCCGTCTGGGCTTACAATCCCCCTATAATACCTATCTCTTTCTCCTCCTTCAAGCCCTGTGAAAAGCACTCAGATCTCATAAGTGAGAATCAGGTGCTATACTCTCTAATTTTCAACAACTTTCTGGGTATTTCTCCTAGGTTACTGATTGAATTTCAAGGAGAAGCAAATAAACTTTTATTCAGCATAACTAAGTTTTGGACACACAGTAATGCTGTGAGGTATTATTATCATGTTAAAAGTAATTTAAGGCAGTAATTTAAAATGCAGGTTCTAGAAACTGGCTTCACATGTTCCAGTCCTGAATCCATTTACTAGCCAAGTTATGTTGTGAGACGATAAAAACACTCAAGTTCAAGGGCTTTTGAAAGGATCACATTAAATATTGCAAAGGAGAGATGCATAGTAAATGCTCAAGACATGTTAACTATTATTAGTTAACATGTAAAGAGACTGAGGCTAAATAAATTTAAGTTATTTAACCCTCCTAAGGCTAGTAGGGTAATAAGTGGTAGAGACTGGATTGAAAACAGATCAAACTCCAAAGCCCATATTCCTTTCTTGAGATCAGTAGTATCCAACCTTTAAAATCACATTTTTATATCAGTAGGAAAAAAAGGGCAGGCTCTCCTAATATTAATTACAAGTTTTATCTGTAATACTAATATAATATATTGTGTACATTATTAACACATAATATAAATGAATATAAAATGTAAATATAATACAAGTTATACTTACACTTTATTTGCTCCAGGTTATTCTCTTTGAAAGGCTGCCTTTTTGTGAGTGCTTGTCTAATTCTAGTTGGTATCCTTAACCCTAGCATATAATATAATATTTTGCCTATAGTAGATGCTCAATAAATGTGCATAAGAGTGGGTATAAGGTTTTACTCTATGCTGAAAAAAATAAAACTTAGTCACTGCTGTCACATACTGACATGAGTGCAAATGTGTTCAAAAGTGGCATCCTTGAATTGATTTTTAATATATCTGCTAGTTTCAGCTGCTAAAGGTCAAGCTTCAGTCATCTTCCTCAGAGCATTAGTTAAAAGAGAGAGTTTGCTATAGAGTGTGAACAGCTGGCATCCCAAAAGGGCCATTTGCAAGGAGAAGGAGAAAGGTCCTCAAAGGCATACACATCCCATTCAAAATTGTTTGCTTAATTCTCCTATCTGTAATTCCACAGAAAACAAATGCTGCTACTGTCTCTTTAAAAACACTAGATCTGTTGGGGACTTTAAGGTTGTTTAATAAGCGTGAGTCTCATTTTTTTCTGATAAATGCAGTGAACTGTAGGTGTAGATCTTCAACCTGGAGGGGATTGCCTGTGGACTGGATGGAAGTGTGTGTTTTATTTCCTTCTGCACCAGATGAGAGGGTATAAAAGCAGTCACCTGTCAACCCACTCCAGCAATGAAATTCAGCAGCCTATTGTCCCAATCACTGCTCTCAATCACTCTAAACGGTCTCCAGAGACAATCATTATTATAGGACATGTTCCTAAGAGTAGATAAATGGAACTCCACCTGCCAGCCTGCATAGGGAAAGATGGACATTCTTGGCCAAAAATATGAAAGGGCCTGGAGCTTTATTGACATTTACATCAAAAATAGTTAGCAATGAAAGCAGCTGTTGTGGCATGCTTTCACCACGACTTGTTTGGAATATGCTGTGAATTGAAATACAGACCTCCTGACAAGCAATTTACCTTCTGTCAGTCTCCATGTGCTTGCAGCATTACTGGGTACTCGCTGTGATAGGCCACTTAAAGCTGCACATGTGTACAGTTTGGATGAAAGATTAACTACAATTTAAGGCAGGAAGTAACGAATTGTGGAGTGTCATTCATAATGGCCTACATTGTCATCTGCAGGGTGACACCATAGCAAGAAGGTGCCTCTGTTGTGTCTGCCTTATGGAATCAGATGTCATTCATTCTAATGAAGATCTGACTACAATTCTCATAAGCAGACAGCAAGACAGCTCAGGACTGGAAGCATTAATCTGCCTTGTTTGTTGACATTACAGCGATTACTAAAATGCCATTATGCAAGAAATTCTTTCAGAAGCCATTCAGTAGGGGCAATTGTAATACAATGTATAACAGCCTGGAACAAAGGATGTGCCAGGAGTTAATTTCTATATTTATTCTTCTTAGTTGATTCAGTACATTGAATTCCCCCCCTTATAAAATTTCTACTTGATGAAATATTATGACGTTTCCTGAGTAAAGTACTGATTGCTTTGTGTGAGTAAGATCTAGAATTCCTGTCTCTTCAATGCAAAGTTCTGTATATTTCAAGTTTTGGTGGGAATTTCAGACAATGATGTAGCATTTGTTACGACTGATGAGTAAATACTTAGCTGCTCTTTTCCTAAAACTATTGTCCCAAGCCGTGCTATCTGCAGCTCTAGAAACAATATTTAGGTGCATGATTTAGTCATATAAGGAGAATAAGTAACTGAAGTTGTTTTCCCTCCCTTGGCTAAGGAGTTCATCATTTTCAATTTGACAAGCTCCTCAACAGTGTAAGGTCAATGAGCAACTGCCAAAGGTGGTGTTTCTACAGAAATCAAACTCCTATGAGTCATTCATTACACATTTATTTTAAAAGGAAGACAGAGGGTTTCATTTCCCTCCCTAAGTTTGAGAGCTGCTCTCTGTTTCTTTTCTCTTTTATTAACATTTGATTCTTTGGGTTCCTCAGGGTAGTAGCTGATGAGGATGTGATTCACAACAGTTTAGTTTTTCATAACTCAGGTAGAAAGAAGGTGTTTAGTACAATGATGCCTCAAATATCCAATGCATTTGCTCATAAGATTGTGTATCTATGACTCCTGCAGTTGGTGGTCAATCCTTGAACCATCCAGGTATAGCTCATTCTATCTTTTCACCCTCGTTCGCCACTAGAATCACATGCTGTATTTATACTTCCGCTTCAGATACAAGTGTGGTCTAAAGCCTTAGTAAGCTTGGGAATCTAAGCTTCCAAGATGCTCCTGCTAGCCAAACTGCTCTAGGAATCTAAAACTACCAGCAAAGCAAGTTTTCTACCCCCTGCTTTGTTTAAAACAAACAAACAAAAGGTGGTTATTATCACTGATCCCTGATAGATGCTGAAAGAACCAACTAAACCTACTTTAGAAATATATTCCTGTTAATAACAATTCCAAATATATTCCTATGAGTAAAAAGATACACCATGCATTTCAGAGAACATAGATTCACAGAATCATTTGTTGTGATTGGCTCTTGGGCCTTTGGCGGCTAATGCTGGCTTAGCACGGAAAATTTATGTGAGCTGAGTTCTAACAGGCCTGTGTGTATTAAAGCAGAGGCAATACCGCGGATGACTTTTGCTTTCAGTGAAACTGCCTTAATTGAGTCTTTTTGTGTCTTCCAGCCAACAAATAGCTGAAGGAAATCACCAGCAGCTGTCTAGCTCCTGGCAGAGGTGGGCTTTGAGGCAGCCATGCAAATTAGTATGTTCCTACAGCCCCTCCCAAAACACAAAGGGACGGCAAACATCGAAGTTTCTATTAGTGGCTTACTTTTGCATCTCTACAAACTCAAGCCTATTTCTAATTCCTATTGCTGCTGTTAACAATTTACCCCAAACTTGGTGGCTTAAAACACACATTTATTATGGTTCTGCAGGTCATAAGTGCAAAATGGGTCTTACCTGCCTAAAATCAAGTTGTCAGCAGGATTTCATTTCTTCTGGAGGCTCCAGGGCAGAATATCTTACTTGCCTTTTCCAGCTTCTATAGGCTGCCTGCGTTCCGTGGCTTGTGGCCCCTTCCTCCCATATTCAGCAGCCCAACACTACTCTCTAACTCTGACCCTCCTGCCTCTTTCTTTCCCTAATAAGGACTCCTGTGATTGCTTTGGGCCCACCTGGTTAACTCCCCATCCACAAATCTTTAACATAATCACATCTGCAAAGTACCTTTCACGTGTGAGGCAACATAGTCACAGGTTCTGGGGATTAGAATATGGAAGTCTTTGAGGGGCCATTATTCTGTTTGCCATACCTGCTTTATACAAATCCTTTCTGTGTTCATTGCCGTGTTTTTTTCCCTTGCCACCTTCAGAGGTAGTCATGGCAGGCAAGACTACCACTTCTACTTGGTGAGTGAGGAGGCTAAGGCTTGGAAACGTGGGCGATTTGCCCAGCTCCACACTGCTTGAGGCAGAATCAGACACCTGAGATTGTAAAGAGAGTGAAATCACTTTTTTTTCCCCAACTTACATACATATTTTATTCTCACATGTTTGCTCACAAGTCAATATCTAATATTCACAATACATTTCTTCACAGAAACGTTAACTTTCCTGGCCAGCCCAAAAAATCTCTTCAAAGAATAATACAGCTGAACATAACAACAAGGGTTTGAAAAAGTTAAGTCTCTACATAAGTAAATCAGACCAGAGTCAATGTAATTTTTAATAAATCTGGAAGATCCAGTAATACTTCTCCAGAATCATAAGAGGCCTTCTTTGGGAGTATGTATTACTGCTTAAAGAGCAGGAAGTGTGGAAAGAGACAACTGAAAACTATGTGAGGTAATATGTAAGACTTATAAAAAATTGCATTTTACTTTAAAAAATGAATACATCATCACTGAAAAAAATTCAATAAAACAAAATAAAATTCCCCCATTTTACCTCAATAAAACAGCACTTTCCCTAGATAACCATGATTACTTCATGTGTATCTGCCAGTAAAAATAAAACTGATTTGGCATCTTTCCCACAAATAGTCTCATACTGTACATATCATTTCATAACTTGCTTTTTTAATTTAACATTTAGCTTTAAAGAATTCTTAAAATTACCTGCCAATCAGTATTTTTAAAATAGAATAAGTATTCTATTTTGAAATCACTTGTTAAAACTCTCTTCCTTTTATATTTTTATACCTGTATAAACAGAACTGGGCTGCTAGAAGTCTTGAAGGGAGGACTTCGCTCCCCTGGGTGATATTGTGTTCCAGCCCAGGCTCTCTCCCATGCCAGCCTCTTGAGTCTCTGCTTTCTTTGGGCTTAACAGAGACCAAGTTATCATTTCCTTTCTCAAACCTCCTGTCTGCTCATCCTCTTAGGCTCATCCTCCCAGAAGCACCCATACTCTTTTTTTTTCTTTTTATTATACTTTAAGTTTCAGTGTACATGTCCACAATGTGCAGATTTGTTACATATATACACATGTGCCATGTTGGTGTGGTGCACCCATTAACTCGTCATTTAACATTAGGTACATCTCCTAATGCTATCCCTCCCCACTCTCCCGACCCCACAACAGGCCCTGATGTGTGATGTTCTCCTTCCTGTGTCCGTGTGTTCTCATTGTTCGATTCCCACCTACGAGTGAGAACATGTGGTGTTTGGTTTTTTGTCCTTGCGATAGTTTGCTGAGAATGATGGTTTCCAGCTTCATCCATGTCCCTACAAAGGACATGAACTCATCATTTTTTATGGCTGCATAGTAATCCATGGTGTATATGTGCCACATTTTCTTAATCCAGTCTATCATTGTTGGACATTTGGGTTGGTTCCAAGTCTTTGCTATTGTGAATAGTGCCGCAATAAACATATGTCTGCATGTGTCTTTATAGCAGCATGATTTATAATCCTTTGGGTATATACCCAGTAATGGGATGGCTGGGTCAAATGGTATTTCTACTTCTAGATCCCTGAGGAATCACCACACTGACTTCCACAGTGGTTGAACTAGTTTACAGTCCCACCAACAGTGTAAAAGTGTTCCTATTTCTCCACATCCTCTCCAGCACCTGTTGTTTCCTGACTTTTTAATGATCGCCATTCTAACTGGTGTGAGATGGAACCTCATTGTGATTTTGATTTGCATTTCTCTGATGGCCAGTGATGATGAGCATTTTGTCATGTGTCTTTTGGCTGCATAAATGTCCTCTTTTGAGAAGTGTCTGTTCATATGCTTCACCCACTTTTTGATGGGGTTGTTTGTTTTTTTTCTCGTAAATTTGTTTGAGTTCCTTGTAGATTCTGGATATTAGCCCTTTGTCAGATGAGTAGATTGCAAAAATTTTCTCCCATTCTATAGGTTGCCTGTTCACTCTGATGGTAGTTTCTTTTGCTGTGCAGAAGCTCTTTAGTTTAATTAGATCCCATTTGTCAATTTTGGCTTTTGTTGCCATTGCTTTTGATATTTTAGACATGAAGTCCTTGTCCATGCCTATGTCCTGAATGGTACTGCCTAGGTTTTCTTCTAGGATTTTTATGGTTTTAGGTCTAACGTTTAAGTCTTTAATCCATCTTGAATTAATTTTTGTATAAGGTGTAAGGAAGGGATCTAGTTTCAGCTTTCTACATATGGCTAGCCTGTTTTCCCAGCACCATTTATTAAATAGGGAATCCTTTCCCCATTGCTTGTTTTTGTCAGGTTTGTCAAAGATCAGATAGTTGTAGATATGCGGCATTATTTCTGAGGCCTCTGTTCTGTTCCATTGGTCTATATCTCTGTTTTGGTACCAGTACCATGCTGTTTTGGTTACTGTAGCCTTGTAGTATAGTTTGAAGTCAGGTAGTGTGATGCCTCCAGCTTTGTTCTTTTGGCTTAGGATTGACTTGGCAATGTGGGCTCTTTTTTGGTTCCATATGAACTTTAAAGTAGTTTTTTCCAATTCTGTGAAGAAAGTCATTGATAGCTTGATGGGGGTGGCATTGAATCTATAAATTACCTTGGGCAGTATGGCCATGTTCACGATATTGATTCTTCCTACCCATGAGCATGGAATGTTCTTCCATTTGTTTGTATCCTCTTTTATTTCCTTGAGCAGTGGTTTGTAGTTCTCCTTGAAGAGGTCCTTCACATCCCTTGTAAGTTGGATTTCTAGGAATTTTATTGTCTTTGAAGCAATTGTGAATGGGAGTTCACTCATGATTTGGCTCTCTGTTTGTCTGTTATTGTTGTATAAGAATGCTTGTGATTTTTGCACATTGATTTTGTATCCTGAGACTTGGCTGAAGTTCTTTATCAGCTTCAGGAGATTTTGGGCTGAGATGATGGGGTTTTGTAGATACACAATCATGTCATCTGCAAACAGGGACAATTTGACTTCCTCTTTTCCTAATTGAACACCCTTTATTTCTTTCTCCTGCCTGATTGCCCTGGACGGACCGAATTCTACCAGAGGTACAAGGAGGAGCTGGTACCATTCCTTCTGAAACTATTCCAATCAATACAAAAAGAGGGAATCCTCCCTAACTCATTTTATGAGGCCAGCATCATCCTGATACCAAAGCCTGGCAGAGACACAACAAAAAAAGAGAATTCTAGACCAATATCCCTGATGAACATCGATGCAAAAATCCTCAATAAAACACTGGCAAACCAAATCCAGCAGCACATCAAAAAGCTTATCCACCATGATCAAGTGGGCTTCATCCCTGGGATGCAAGGCTGGTTCAACATACGCAAATCAATAAACGTAATCCAGCATATAAACAGAACCAACGACAAAAACCACATGATTACCTCAATAGATGCAGAAAAGACCTTTGACAAAATTCAAAAGCCCTTCATCCTAAAAACTCTCAATAAATTAGGTATTGATGGGACATATCTCAAAATAATAAGAGCTATTTATGACAAACCCACAGCCAATATCATACTGAATGGGCAAAAACTGGAAGCATTCCCTTTGAAAACTGGCACAAGACAGGGATGCCCTCTCTCACCACTCCTATTCAACATACTCTTAAAGAATACTTCAGTTCAGATCAATAAATATCTTAAAAACAAATATTATTTATGGGGCACTGCATTAGGTTGAGCTTTTGGTAGACTGGAGATCAACAAATGGTCATGAGATGACAATGCCCATAGTACAGTAGTATGACCTGGATTCAAATGGCAACAAATTCTTTTTAATCCAGGTGACCTTTTCCAGGTTACTTTGTGCTTCTCTGAACCTCAACATCCTTATCTTAATGATTGACTAGGATGACATATGATAGTACCATGCTAGTGTCAATCTAAATAACCAACAGAGAAACAAGCTCCCTAAAAGAAGGAGATATTTATTTGGATTAAAGCATTGCAATGGGAATATGCATGCCATAGTAAACTATGTGTATATTCCGGGAGGCAAAGGAAGACAAAGGTTTTTATGGGAAAACATTAAGGAGAATTACATAATTGTTGAAATAATTATTATCCTTGGCTACAAAAATCAATAACAAGGGTGATGCCAGTCTGAGATTAGACATGCAGTTGCTGGGCAGATGTCCTTGTAGAAGTATTTTTTTGTTTAAGATTGTGATGGCCTTTGTGCAATGTTGTGTTTTTTTTACAATCTTTGGCAATAATTTTGTTATCAGGCATACAAGCATAAGGGTCTTCTTTTTGTGGCCTTCCTGGCTCTATTTGCCACAGTTTTCTTAATATTAGTGGCACCGTGGCATGTGGAATGTTTCATATATGTTCATTCCCTCCCCTTTTTCCTTGTTGCCCTAAAAGAAAAAGAGAACAGCTGAATTAAGAACTCAAATTAGGGACATTTGCACATTAATAAAATGGGGGTGGGAAACTTTTATTAGGTGATATTTAACACCAAGAATGAAACTAAAAACTTGAAATCTTTAGCAATATGGCAGGTGCAGAGGTGTTTCTAAGTGAGCACCTTTCAGCTGTTTGTCAAATCTCATATTTAGGTGTAGACACCAGATTGCAGGGAATTATAGTCATTCTAATAAATTACATAGGAGATTACTGCAGATATGTGATAAAAATTACAAGCTAATACAAACCTCTTTTCCTAACACTAGAGAATTAAGAGGATATGACAAACAGTAAACTAAAAGCCCTTGGCTATCTGCTTCATTCCACCAAAAACCCATTCATTCATGATTTGCCCATTCATTCATTTATTTGCAATTTCTTGAATGTTTACTTTGTGCCACTACATGAACCTAGGAATGCCATGACTAATAAAACTTAGTAGTTTTCCAACATGGCATAGACAAGCAATAACAATGGATGCAAATGAGTGCTATGGTAAAAATAAGATGTTTTGGAAGCAAAGTGGAAGGTCATCCATTCCAGTCATCAAGAGAAAAGAGTCAGGGATGTCTTACTGGAAAGGAAATATCTGATATGACAGCTTAATAATACATAGAAATTACCCAGGTAAGGAAAGAGAAGAACTAGGGTACTCCAGGCAAAACCAGAGAATTCAAAGACTTGAAGAAGAGAGCACATGACATGTTTGAAAACAACAATATGTTCTTGTGGCTAGAGCAGTTCTTAAAACTCTAGGAATCTTGCTGTCCTTCTCTGCCTCCTCCACCTCAATGACACTTTAGAATAGCAAATGTGGACCTCCTGCCCCAAGAGATTCACACCACCTATACTCTCCCAAGGAGGACACATAACTGTTTTTCTTTCAGAGAAGATTCCCTAAATGCTTTCCAACTGATCTATAAATATTTCTCCCCTTAGAAGCACTGACCACTTTCCCACACCTCTGTACCATATTTTGAGGAAAACGGCCTCATGCTTCAGTCCGTACCAGAGTGCCTACAATCTTATTCTATAAGAGTAGAAAACATGGATTGAAAAATGCAGTGGGCAGGCCCCCATATGGCTACATGAGATTAAGCAGAGAGGACTCCAGCCCTTCATTTTTTGTCCCACAGGCTTGGAAATGCTTATGGCTATACTTCTACTGAGTGGACACTGCTTTGGGAGTCATGCAGAAAACTGCCCCTTACCTCCCTGTCACCATCTATACTTTCACTATAACAGAAGTAGGTTACCAACTTCTATAAGACAGTCAGCTAAGAGGCAGGAATTTGTTTTTTTTTTTTAATTAAAAATATTTAATTGAAAAATAAAAATTATGTATATGCAAGATATACAACATGATCATTTATATACATATCCTTAGTGTAATCATGATTATCACAATCAAATTAATTAACATACCTATCACCAATCATGCTGTACATTAGATCTTCAGAAGTATTCATCTGTTTTTGTGGCATATTTTTCTTTTAACACGTTAAAACTAAAGCCTACATTTTGCAACTTGAGTATGAGTCCTTTTGTTGATATGTCAGTGAAATAAAATAAATAACTCGTGCCTGTTTTTATACAGTGGTTCTTAGTAGGTGAAAGACCTTATATTTTTAATTCTAGGGTCTCTGAAGTGGATCATTTATTCAGATTCTTTTTTTTAACTCTATTTATTCTAAAAATCCATATTTCCCCCTCATTTTATCATCTCTGCAATCTGGATGACTCTTAAAATCAGTCTTCTCACAGTTGTCTGACAGGTAGCATTTGTGGCCTAGGTCTGTGAAAATCTTCCATTGACCACTTTACATAAAATTTCTTTTTAAACCAGCATTGAAGCATAGTCAATTAAAGAAAATAGAGGTATATCATCTTGCAAACTAAAATCCAAAGAAATTATGGTCTAAAATTTACCCTCCCCAATTTTGTATTGGCTCAGTCTCAGCTAAATGGTTATGGATGCTTGAGCTTCAAGATCTTATTTTCTTTTTTATTCCCAGAACTATTTGTCATAAAACTGAAAGTTTGTACCCTTTGATCAACATCTTTCCATATCCCCATCCATATCCCCATAATGGTAGTTACCAGGCCTTGGTAACTACCATTGTTCTGTCCGCTTCTAATTGTTTGACCTTTTTAGATTTCACATATACGTGAGATCATACAATATACTTTCTTTTCTATGTGTGGCTTATTTCACTTAGCATAACATCCTGCAGTTTCATTCATGTTGTTGCAAATGGCAGACCTCCTTCTTTTTATGGCTGCATAATATTCCATCATGTATATATACCAGGAATTAGGTGTTGTACATCATCTGTTTTCACCCCAGAGAAGTATTCCCTACACACAGATAGAAACAGATCAAGATGCCAGGTAGTGGTACATGCTGGGGATTTTGAGTCTTTTATGTGCTGAAGGAGCAAAAGCAAGATAAATAGGAAGACTCTTTCCTTAATTTCAGGTAGCCTTATGGTTTGTCCATTGAGAGCATAAGAGCCAAAAAAAGGGAATGCAGCAAGGTCTCCCCTCAATGCAGCAGAGCCATGTTAGATAAAAGCGTGGTGAACTCCAGGAGTTAAGTTACCTAGAGGCTGAGCATATAACTCTAATTCTCAACTGTGGATCAGAGAATTGGGTTAACAAACTCCCAACAGACAGAGAATAAAACGGCTGCAAACCTAGCTAATCAATTCCTTGTTGGTAAAGATCAGATCTATACCTTGCTGGTAAAGATCAGAGCTATCCCCTGCATGAATGAAAATGGAAAAATTAAACACACACACACACACACACACACACACACACACACACACACACTCAAATGAAATAAACAGACCAAAGGCAAGGGGTTGAAAATAACTCTACAGAACAAAGGGAATGGAAAGACTCAGAGGAAGATGAGAACTCTGAATGTGATTTACTATAGCTATAAGAAAAAAAAATCACAAAGCAGAAATCAGAAAAAAAAAATGGTTTCTTGATGAAGTGTTAAAAAAAAAAAAAAGGAAGGGGGTTAGGGCAAGGAATGAGCAAAACTAATAAATTAAAAGACAGTTAAGAGCTGGGGTCCCCATCCCCTGGGCCGTGGCCTGTTAGAAACCAGGCCGCACAGCAGGAGGTGAGCAGTAGGCAAGCAAGGAAAATGTCATCTTTGTTTACAACCACTTCCCATTGCTCATGTTACCACCTGAGCTCCGCCTCCTATCAGATCAGCGGTGGCATTGGATTCTCATAGGAGCATGAACCCTATTGTGAACGGCACATGCAAGGGATCTAGGTTATGCGCTCCTTAAGAGAATCTAATACCTGGTGGTGATCTGTCACTGTCTCCCATCACCTCCAGGTGGGACTGTCTAGTTGCAAGAAAACAAGCTCAGGCTCCCACTGATACTGCATTATGGTGAGTTGTATAATTATTTTATTATATATAACAATGTGATAATAATAGAAATAAAGCACACGATAAATGCAATGTACTGGATTCATCCCCCAGACCACCCCAGCCTCCCTGGTCCATGCAAAAATTGTCTTCTATTAAACTGGTTCCTGGTGCAAAAAGGTTGGGGACTGCTGGTTAAGAGAATATCAAACAGTTACAATGTGTGTTTTCATCTGGATTCTCCTTTTACTAACAAATAAATTGTTCAATAAAATGGATTTTGACCTCAGGGTTGGGAGCTGCAGTTGTAATACCCACAAAAGAAGAGGAGAGTCATCAGCTGTGTGAAGCATTGAGGTGGGGCCGAGCTTTCTGCATATTCAAGAGACAGAAAACAAACAAACAAACAAACAAAACAAAACAAAAAAAACCTGGTCTTTGAATAAGGAGTAGGAAACCCCACTAGAAATTTGGGAAATGGCAAGGGAGCTGGCTAATTCGGAGGGTAGAGTTGGGATGTGTTAAAAACAAAGTAAATAAAAAATAATACTCTAAAACAATATCAGAACACAGATGTGGGATAATTATCTTAAGGACAAATAGAAATGTTGATTAACTTTTCAATTTTCTTGCTATGCATGTTAAAATTTAATGGTTAATACTAAGAGAATGGAAAGGTAATGTGTAACTTCCAAAGAGGAGCCAACTGCCTAGTAGAGGAAAATAAAGAAAATCTAGGTAATCCCACAAGTCTAGTAGTGGGCAGGGAAAAAGGAAGCAGAGATAAACCATGGTTAGTAGAAACTTAAAAAAAAAAAAAAGATATGAGTAAGTGTCCCTTAAAAGCACAGACTCAGAAATATAAAACAAAAAGAAACCCCAATCCAGCAGTAAATTGCTACAATATATATGAAACATAAATCAGTACATGGAATGTTTGGAAGTAAAGGGATTAAATAAGATATTCCAGGCAAATTACTAAACAAAAGGAAACTGATGGGTTGATAATAGCAGAAGTCATAGAATTTAACATGATATGATAAAAGAAATACTCCACCAAGAGAATATGACAATCATAACCTGCATTAATTGCAACCTTGCCTCTTATATACAAAGAAAATTTGTCAAAATAATGAGTAATCAGCAAATTTGCAATTATAGTGGTAAATTTTCCAAGAGCCAAATTAGTAAGGATATAGATTTAAACAGCGGAAACAAGTTTAATCCAATTGTAAACTAAAAATAAATTCTAAGCCACCCGACCAACTGAACAGAAACCCTCATGGGCCAAGGGGACCCCAGAGAAACCTGAAAAACAGAGTTCCTTTGGCCATGACAGGAAGGAGGGTTTAGGCACCACTAACCGACATTAATGTTAAAATAAAGATCATAAGACAGACGAAACAGACTCTGTGGCAATGAGATACCAAATTATAGATAGGACCTAATGCTGTGGAAAGCAAGGGTTATGTCATGCCCTACAAATCATAAGATCTCTCTAAACAGGATTTTTTTTACCCCCAGTATAATAAGGCTTACTTTCCAACATGATTCTGGTATACCATCACATGACACCCTACAAATCATAAGATCTCGTTAAACAGGTTTTTTTTTTCTTTTTATTATTATTAACCCAGTATAATATGGCTTAATTTCCAACCCGACTCTGGTATACCAGCACATGACAGATAGTAGGGCTCTTTGTCTTAAGCATTCCTTTCTTCTGATTTTAAGTCTTTGGACAAAGTTTAACTTTTCCAGTCATTTACCAACTGAAGAATCCCTAAAACCCACCTATGACTTGTAAGCCTCTGCTTTGAGATATCTCAGCTTCTCAAACCAATGTATACCTTCCGTGTATTGACTTATGACTTTATCTGCAATTCCTGCTTCCTTGAAGTGTATAAAACCAAACTATAACCAAACCACCTCAGCTTATTTTCTCAGGACCTCTAGAGACTATGTATCCCCAGGCCATAGTCACTCATATTGGCTTAGAATAAATCTTTTAAAAATATTTTACAGAGTTTGATCTTTCCATTAACACAATGGATTATTCTAAAGACGTTGCTAGCCTGGGCAACAAAGCAAGACCCTCTCTCTACAAAACAATTTTTTTAAAAAAATTACCCAGGCATGGTGGCAAGTGCCTATAATGCCAGCTACTCGAGGGGCTGAGGAGGAAGGATGCTTAAGTTCAGGAGTTCGAGTTTACAGTGGACTGTGATCACATCACTGCACTCTAGCCTGAACAACAGAGTGAGATTGTCTCTCAAATATAAAGAAAGAAAGACACTGTTGCATTCCTAAAATAGAGACAATTTTTTTTCAGCAGAGTTGGAATAATTACAAAAATTGGCCTGGTATATGGCCCCAAAAGGATGTCTAAAAATTCTAAAAGGCTGGAAATCAATAATGAAAGTATGTTCCCCAAAACCATCTATTTGGGAAATAAAGCAAATCTATATGATTCCGAGTTAAAAGGGAAAAATTACAATAGAAATTTCAAAATATTCAGATGATGTTAGCCAGTCACAAAGGAAGATAAAACTATTTCATTGCCAGATGTGGTGACTCAAGCCTGTAATATCAGCAGTTTGGGAGATTGAGATGAGAGGATCTCTTGAGGCCAGCAGTTTGAGACAAGCCTGGGCAATGCAGCAAGACCCTGTCTCAACAAAATAGAAATAAAAATTTAAAAATTAGCTGGGCTTGGTTGTGCACAACTGTAGCCTCAGCTACTATGGACGCTAAGGCAGGAGGATCGCATGAGCCCAGGAGGTCGAGGTGCAGTGAGCTATGATTGAACCACTGCATTCCAGCCTGGGCAAAAGAGAGAGACCCTATCACCCAAAAATTAAATAAATAAATAAATAAATAAGTAAATAAGTAAATAAATACTATTTTGGCCAGGCATGGTAGCTCACGCTTGTAATCCCAGCACTTTGGGAAGCCAAGGCGGGCGGATCACAAAGTCAAGAGATCGAGACCATCCTGGCCAACATGGTGAAACCCCGTCTTTACTAAAAATACAAAAATCAGCTGGGCATGGTAGTAGATGCCTGTAATCCCAGCTACTTGGGAGGCTGAGGCAGGAGAATTGCTTCAACCCGGGACATGGAGTTTGCAGTGAGCCGAGATTGCAGCACTGCACTCCAGCCTGGCAACAGAGTGAGACTCCATCTCCAAAGAAAGAAAAAAAAAATACAATTTCCTTGTACATGGTTATTTTATGAGTCTAGTGCTTTCCTGAGTTTTAGTTTGTTCTGAGTCTCAGTGTTTCCTCAGGTGTCCAGACCCTCCGGCCTGGCCGTTCTGTTCTCCAACCTCTCCATGCACTAAGGAAGCTCTGAGGATTGTTCCCTTTGCAGGTCCCATCGTCATTTGTCCCACTCAGCAGAGGATCATGCTGTGTATGCTCAGATTTTTGTTCAGCAACCAACTCCAGGACCCTGGGAGTCTCTGGAGCTCTTTCTCCTCACTCCCCCACTAACCCTCTGGTCGTCTGCTTCACAGATTCCAGTTCTCTGAACCTTCCCTAACCCCAATGTCTGTCTCGCCTACTCAGCCAGTGTTGTGTGGGATCCCTGCCCTGCACACTAAGTCAGGAAATTGCCTTTGGACAGAAAGCCAGGGAAGCTGTTCTCAGAGACCACAGCCCTGCACAGCTGTTGTGAAATGTCTGAAAATAGTTTCATATATTTTTGTCCAGTTTTTAGTTATTTCCAACAGAAAGACTGGACTTGTCTCAGTTACTCCCTCATAGCCAGAAGCAGAAATGAGAACCATATAATTTTTAGCATTGTTTCCCCATTCACTATGTGAGCGTGAAAAGGCCCTTCTTGTGATCTGTATTATTGAGGGTTCTCCAGAGGAACTTGATCTGGGATCCATGATCAGCCATCTGCAAACTGAAGAACCAGGAAAGCCAGTGGTATCATGTGAAGGCCCAAGAG
This sequence comes from Homo sapiens, assembly GCF_000001405.40. Lineage (NCBI taxonomy): Eukaryota > Metazoa > Chordata > Mammalia > Primates > Hominidae > Homo > Homo sapiens. The sequence continues at coordinate 64,902,985 of NC_000008.11, read as the reverse complement.
CCAGAGGGCTGATGATGTAGATTCCAGTCCAGGTCCTAAGATCTGAGAATCTGGAGTACTGAGAACAGAAAATCAATGACCTACTTCAAGCAGTCAAGCAGAGTGTGAATTCAACCTTCTTTCTCCTTTTTATTCTATTGAGGTCCTCAATGGATTGGAGGATGCCCACCCACATTGAGAAGGGCCATCTGCTTTACTCCATCCTCCAATCCAAATGCTAATCTTTTCAGGAAACACATTCACAGACACACTCAGAAATCATGTTTAACCAGCTCCCACAGCCCATTCAAGTTGACACATGAAATTAACCAACTTGATTTCCAAACACATCTTCTCAGACCACACCTAATCTCTCCATATAAAAATAATGAGTCCACAATTCCACCTAACATGATACAACTATCCTTCATCCAACCAAAACACACTAACCCTTTCCCTAGAAAATAAGGTAAAGTCCATTCAGATAAGTCTGAATGCCTCTTCCCCAAATTTCTCTGTCACCAGTTTTCCAGTCATGTTGCTTTCAAGTCCCTGACCAACCAGTCAAACCACTGGCTACAGCCACTTGTCTTTCTAAGTAAAATGAATAACCAGGCTCGCTGCTCAAAGTCCTGTGTATGGAGAGGGTTTCCCTTCACCGCTGTCCTTTTGGGATGTCTTAGACAGGACCTGTAGTGCTGCAGCTCTTCACTTTCAGGTGGTGCCCACATATTTGCCAGGACGATCTGTAAACCAGGCAGTTTTCTGTCAACTTATTTTAAGAAACTCCCCATGAGGCCATAGGTGGAGGCTGGGAAAGAAAAGGTGGTTTAGCAGAAGTGAGGACCATGAGCATTTGGGCCACTTCTTCATGAAATATATTTGTGCCTTCAGCACCTGCCCAGGCTAATGTGTGTGCCACTTCCATTTGATGATGCAGTGCTGCTATACACACCGAACTTTATGGCTTGGTGGGTCAGATAACACCAAGTTCATGATAGGAGGCTGAATGGTAACCTGACGGCCCAAAGTTAAGCATTCGATTTCTACTAAGGTCCAGTAGCAGGGCAAGTGCTATCTCTCAAAAGAAGAATAGTGATCTGCAGAGAATGGCAGAGCTTTGCTCAAAAATCCTGAGGGCCTGCACTTCAATTCACCTATAGAGCCTTCCCATAGGCCATTAAACAGCATCATTAACTGACTTCACTACTTCAAGACTCAGTGGATCCACTGGATCACATGGCCCAAGTGGCAGAGCAGCTTGCATAGCAGCCTAGACCTGTTGCAGAGTCTTTTCCTGTTGTAGTGCCCACTCAAAACTAGCAGATTTTTTTAGACACTTCATAAATGGATTAGCTAAACACATCCAAATGAGAAATGTGTTGCCTCCAAAATCCAGAGATCCAAGAGTCATTATGCCTTTTTCTTTACTGTAGAAAGGGCCAGATGCAACAACTTATCCTTTACCTTAGAAAAGATATCTCAGCATGGCCCACACCAGTGGACCCCTAGACATTTCACTGAGACAGGAGGCTCCTGAAATTTTTCCAGATTTATTTTTCACCCTCTAGCTCATCAATGTCTTAACAATAAGTCTGTAATAATTCCTACTTCTTGCTCAATAGGTACACTCAGCATAATGTCATCTATGTAATGGATGAGTGTGATGTCTTGTAGAAGGGAAAGGCAATCAAGATCCCTGCAAACTTATGACATAGTATTGGAGAGTTGATATACCCCTAAGAGGACAGTGAAGGTGATTGCTGGCTTTGCCAGCTAAGAGAAAACTGATTCCGGTGGGTCTTATTGACAAGTATAGAAAAAAAGGCATTTGCTTGATCAATACCTGTGTAACAGGTACCAGGGGATGTGTTAATTTGCATAAGCAATGAAACCACATTTAGTACAGCAGCTGCAATTAGGGTCACCATCTCGTAGAGCTTATAGTAACCCACTGTCATTCTTTAAGGCCTATCTTTTCTCTGCACAGGACAAACAGGTGAGTTGAATGGAGGTGTGGTGGAAATCATCATCTCCATATCCTTTAAGACTTTGATGCTGGTAATAATCTCTGCAATCTCCCCAGGAATGCAGTGTTACTTTTGGTTAACTATTTTCCTAAGTAGTTCTAGTGACTTCTACTTGGCATTTCCCACCAACTGCTGAGTTTATTCCAATTACTCATTTCAGAACTGGGGAATTAACCATAAGATGCACGTGGGGACTCACCAGGCCCACTGTAAAAGACAATTTAGCTAAATCTTCACTATCACTTGACCTCCATAAGCCACTACTCAATCAGGTAGACCACAGTAATGTTTTAGGTCTCCTGGAATTAGTGTCAGTTCACAGACAGTGTCTGCTAGTCCTTGAAAGTTCTGATTATTTTTTTTTACTCAATGCACAGTTACCCTCATAAAGGCTGTAGGTCTTTTTGGGGAAGGTTGGGATAAATATTAATAGTATATTTTTTGGTGCTGTAGCAAGATCATTCCTTAAGGGGATCTAGCCTCTCCATCGTTTAAGGGATTCTGGGTCTGTATAGTGGTTTAAGTCTGGAAATTGATTGGGGGAATATTACTGTCTGCTTTTATTATACAGATTAGACTTTCACTCACTTGACCTAGAACATTTCTGCTTACATAGATCAAATAAGAATTTAGTAAGCTTCCTATGCATTTAATTTCTAGGAACACCATAAACATGTAGTCAATGCTGTAGGCCTGCAAGAGTCAGATTATTCTAATTTCTGTCCTGAATTTGCTGTCCAGTATGATAACCAAATCCACCTGACTTTGGTAGCTGAGTGCTGCTACTTGGCCCTTGTCACCCCATGATCCAGTTTCTCCAACTCCATTTAAGTTTCTCAATTCAGTGGCTGCAGTTCCTATTGTATGGTCTGGCCTATAGGGAAGAGTGATCACTGAACTCTTCACGGATGCTAGGGCTCTGCTCACAAATTTATTTCTCACAGTATTGGTGATGGACGTGTCTTCTGGATCCTTGCAGCATGGGTTAATAGGTCTTAAATGACAAATACCACTCTAACATTCCAATCTAGAAGTCTTTAAATCCCTTCTCATTAGACCCAGGCAGATTTGGTATTTCCAGTTTGCTCACTGTGGGCCACCTTTCGGTCCATGTTTCAGCCAAACAATTAGAGGGCCAACTGTTAGAACCCTTTCTAGCTCCCCAAGCTTCAATAGTAAATGAAGAACCTCTGCTTAGTGGGCTCATATCAATAAATTCAGCTTCATCCATCTTTATGTTCTTCCCACCATTATCCCACACCATTAACATCCATTTCCACATATATGCCCAAAATTTCTGTCTGTATAAATTAGAAAATCAAGTAATTCCTTTGGAGTATAACACATCTCCTTGTGGGTCATACATTGTGCCTCACCTTTAGGGAGCAGCTAGAACTTGAGCCTTCTTATAGGTCTAGAAGAAAAAAGGGGTGCTGTGGGTGGATCTTGAGGGGGAATCACCATTGTCTTACATGACAACTGCCACTGGAAAGGCCATTATAGTTTCCTTAGGCAATGTAGGGTTAAACCACTCACAGAGGTGGAAAGACCAACACCACTAGGTGTGGGAAGACCTCTTCCACTAGCAAAGAAGATGAATCAGAATTTAAGGGCTCAATATCCCCACCTTCATCAGGGTCTTCCCACATGTCTCCAACCCAATTTACAGCATCCCATTCTTTCCTAATCAATACTCTTACTTTAACAGTAGACACTCTGTGAGGCTGTAAGTTCAACTCATATTATAATTCAGCCAGTTGCAGAATGAGATTCTCTACATTTGATTTTCAGTAATCTCAGCCCTGCAACTACTGGGGATAAAGGTCTCCTTTAGGGCCCACATAGAAACCTTCTGGGTATTCATATGGTGCTTGAGGTACGAATTCAAATTTCTGAGCTCATCCTTTCTTTCATCACTTTATCCAACAATATTAGGGGCAACTGAGCAATGTTATTACATCCCTTGGTTAGGAGCTACTTTGCATATTTCTGTTACTGGTTTGCATAATGAACTATCAGTACTCACTTTACTACTACAAAATAGAGTCAGTAGCATCTTTAAATCTAATCAGATCAGAGAGGCAATTGCAGAAACCTCAGAATCAATTTAGAAAACCCATTCTTAAAATTCTATTCTTTGGAACCACTTTTGATATCAAAGTCTGCATTAGTCATGCTTCTCTAGAAAAACAGAAAATATATATCCGTATGCAATTATTGTCATGATGAAGTATTGGATTATGATTACAGAGACTGATAGGGTACACAATCTGCAGTCTGTAAGTTGGTGACACAGGAAGGTCAGTGTTCAAGTTTAAAGGTCTGAGAGGTCTGAGAGGTGGAGGGGAAATGGTATAAATTCCAGTCTCAGTCTGAAGTTCTGAGAACCAGGGGTGCTGAGGATAGAGGATCAATGTGCTAGCTCAGGTAGTCAGGCAGAGAGAGAATTCAGTCTGCTTCCACCTTTTCATTCTATTCAGGCCCTCAATAGATTGGATGATGTCCACACACATTGGAGAAGGCCATCTGCTTTACTCTACCCACCAATTCAAATGCTAATTTTATTCAGAAATATCCTCAAAGATACACCCAGAAATAATGTTTACCTAGATATATGGGTATCTCATGGCCCAGTCAAGTTGACACATAAAATTAACCATTACATGATAATTTTCTCTTTCTTTCTTGTTTTTCCCCTATGGTTTCAAGACAACTTGAAATTTCATTTCTAATTAAACTCTAGTTAAACTATAAGTTCAAGATGACTAAAATATTTAAAATGAAAAAGCTAAACAGGCTGAAAATAAGAGATAATGTCATTCAACTCATTTAAGATGAGTATGAAGTGTGTCAACATCCACATAACCCCAAATGCCTTACTTCTATCACTACAAAGCAAAAAGAAATTCTAGGAGACTGAGGCACTGGGTGGCCCAATAACTCCTTTACCCCATCCTTTCCCCAAAAGTCATATGTGGCAAATTTAATGGATACTTGAAAATGATAATCTTCTCCATTGATTGTGCTCACAATTATCTTTCCTTTTAATTTTCATCTAAACAGCAACAATAAAACTTACATGGTCACAGGACTACCTCAACCAAGTTACTACAATTTACATAGCTGAGTTCCTATTATGCCTCAGTCTTTTTGTTATTACTATCCAACTCTTTCATTTGGGTACGGGTACAATTTGGCTTTTCCCATGCTGGGGCAGTGACCTATAAATGGAGTATAAGTGGCCTAGAAACCCTTGTCATGGGCCACTAGATGCTATTCTACTATCCCCAAGTTCCTGCACAAATGCAGGTTTTCTCATGGGGCCTCCGTAACTCCTCCCCTTCACCTCTCTCAATCAGCCCTACTTACTCCCATAGCCCCTGAAGGATAAAACATTTCATTATAAGAAAAACTCCCTTGAAACCCCTTTCCCTCCCCTCTGATTTCCATTGAATAAATGAATGGAAATTCATTATTCAATGAATAATAGGGGATCCTTCCTTTGCTGCTGCCTAACATATTACACAGCTGATCAGTTAGCAAATGTGCTAATCATTCCCCTTCCAGATAGATCAGGCCTTTCCTCTTGGAGATTTATTACATGGTCAATGTATTAGATAAGAAAATGCCTGTGCTGATGAAGGAGTGTGTGCCCGTAATCCTCTGGCTAAATGTTAAGCTTATGGTCCCATCCCTATAAACTTTATAAATTTTTAACTCCCCTATTTAAAGTATATAAACTTCCCTGAACTTTATTCAGGGAAGAAAGGAGGGGGAGAAGCTAAAATAAATCCAGCTTGCAGCAAATTCAGCATGAGTTCAGCCTGTTCTCTGACCTGCTTCCTCATAGCTGTTTAGTGCTGATTGCCTCAGAATCATATAGATCCTGTTAAAAGTTCCCCTTAACTGCTCCGTAGATAACAACTTGAACATTATAGAATGCTAAGTTTTTCATCTGAGATATTCTTTCAGGCTCTGCATACCTGTGAAACTACTGATGTCAGTTGGTCCGAAGGACCCCATGAGAAGCTGACTCACCAAAGAATGCAGTTATCACATCCTGCTAATTTCATACCCCTTACACCAACCAATCAATGACCCCAATTTTCCATCCCTTCACCTCCTAGAATTCCCTTAGAAGCTCCAGCCCAGAACTTTCCAGGGAGATAGATTTGAGAGTCTCCTCCTATCTCCTTACTCAGTGCCCTAAGATATTAAACTCTTTTTCTGCTGTAAACCCTGCTGTCTCAGTGTAATTGATCTGTTACTGCTCAGTGAACATATGAGCCTGTTGGTTTGATATCACTATTCTCATCTATTAGTTTCATGAAAATCATTTGAAGTAAGCAATAAGCATAAGCATAATTGTACCAATGAAAAGGTAAATAAGTAAAGAGAGAAGCTAAATGCTTGAGATATTTTTGGTTGAGTTTATGATAGTCTATATTACAAGTTAAGTCCAAACTTGGTACCAGTGAAAATTTTCTGTTTTGCTTGCATATATTATATTTTGTTTTATTTTAGTTGGGAAAGTAGCATTTTGTATGTTTTAGGTTGAAGATGATTTAAATATGAATAATTGTTATTTATTGAATGTTAAGAAATTATCTGGGCTGGGCACAGTGGTTCACACCTCAATTCTAGCACTTTAGGAGGCCAAGGTGGGAGGATCACTTGAGGGCAGGGTGAGACCAGCCTGGGCAACATAGTGGGATCCCATCTCTACAAAAAAAAATTTTTTTAATAATAAATAAAAAATAAGAAATTATCAGAAATCATTTTCTTGCATTTTTTAACTAAAAGATTCAATTTGAACATACTATTCTCTATGCCCTCATGTTATTTTCAAATTTTATGACAAGATCAAAACAATATGCAGCCTATATTCATCCACTCTTCATGGCATAACATAGAAAAAGAGATTATGCAGATAGACTATTTTAAAATATAATGGCTACCAAGATTTTTTAAAGATAATAATTTACTTATTTATGAAAATGGCAAATAGAATCTTCTAAACTATACAATTTTTCTGTTATGAGATTCCCAAAGAAACTCCATAATAACATTTGCAAATGTTTCCATAAGAAGGAAAAGTTTATGAAACGTGTTTAAATATTTATGGAATGTTAAAAATGAGGCATTAATTGGCAAACAACTTAATTAAAATGCTTTCTCAAGTAATTAGCAACAAATACGTCCCTATCTGTTTTGCATGCCATTTGTCTTGTTGTGTTTGTTAAGCTGGCCTGTCAGTCAAACTTTGCTTCAGGTAATTTTTTAGCTCTGTGGGGAAAATCTTCAAAAATTACATCTGAATTTAAAATATTTTGATTATCATTTTTATCTAACAAATTCTCGTTTTCGCTTCGTCTTCTATACGTCCCGGTAAACCACCACCTTGGGAATTTAGGGCCTGAAGATGAAATTTTGCATCAAGGCATTACTGAGTTTCCACAGACACTCTCCAGAGAACAAACTGAATCAATCTAGAATCAACAAACAGTGTAGTTAATTAATGAGAAGACCATAAGGGAGCTTTTTTAAACAATGTTGACGGCTGCTGCCTCAGGACCAATAGCACCAGAAGTTATTGCTGGTTTGAAAGAAGTGACTCTTAGGGTTCCCCCAAGGCACCTTTTGCTTACATTAGCTGTTTACCACAACTTTTCCTTTTATTTGCACCCTAGGGGGAGTATACTTATTTCCTAAATTACTTTTTAAGTGATGCTTATTTCTGCCAGTAGCCTGAGGTACACAGTGAAGGTACCACAGAGTAAACAAAAACAGAAACCGAGTCTGAAAGAATACTGGGAAAGTCTGTAGAAAAAGATACCCATACTGAACAGTTGTTTTCTAAGCTGCTAGTCCTGAGATGGCACGTGAAGCCTGGAGGCTTCTACCCTCTGGTCTAACTAAGAGGAGGGCAAGACTGTTTGGGGAGATTCAATGGGGTGATGCTGTCAGGTGTGAATTGTTAGACGTAAATATTTATTTTGGGCAAGAAACCTCTTTAAAACTAAGACAGCTAGAAATACTGGACCTTACAATAAAGTTTTGCTGCATCTTGGTATTAATATTTAAAGGCATTGATCCACGAAACAGCTGTTCCCAAAATGGAAGCTCTATAAAGACAAGCCCTTGTCTTTCCTTCACTGACTCTTCCCAGCTCTGGAAACAGTGCCTGGCACATGGTAGGCACTCAAGAAATACTGCTGAATGAATGATTGAATGACAGGACTAACGTGAATGGAAATTGGTAAAATAAAATCTTAAATCTTCCAGTATTTCCACCAGTAGCTGAGAGGCACCTAAAGAAATCCATATTTTTTGAAATCCGTAGTTTTTCTAGTTGTGTGTCATGAATATCAAATGCATGGGCCAAGAAATAAGACTTATAAATTTCAGTTATTTGATAAGTATTTATAGAAAACCTACTGGATGTCATGCATTATGCTAGACTTGGAGATCCAACTGGGATTAAAAGACAGACCCAGTTCCTTCCTGAGTTTGTAGTCTGATGGAGAAATTAGATCTTAGTCTATTAATTATACCAGTATATAATTTTTAAAATGTGAAAAGTGTCTTGAAAACAATACTGGGTTCTACAAAAGCATAGAAAAATGTTCAGCGAATATGAGTGGCCACGTAAGGCCATTTTGTTTTGTGATGAAGATATTTGAAATACAGGAAGAACAAATTAAGAAAGATGTAAAGTTTAGGGGTTTACAAACTAAGATATTTATCTCAGCATCTTTTCTTGTGAATTAAAATCTCATCCAAACCTCTGAAATACAGAGTTTGTCAAGATGTCAGCTTCTTCAAACTATGCTGTGCAGTTCCAAAACTTTCAAAACTTCTACACCCACATAAGACTATTTTAGTAGAACAAGTAGGCACTAAATTCAGTGTCTTAATTCTCTTTCTTATAATTAAGATTTTTAAGTATCTTAGCAAGAGGAGAAGATTAATCATTTAATGAATAACAAAATATAGTTTCTAAATGTTTTGGTTGCAAAAAATATGATTTAGTATTAATAGCAATAATATAATAGAAAAATGGATATTTGTCAACTACTTTCTCTGGACCAAGAACTATGCTATATTCTTATATTTATTTTTATATTCAATTATATGTTAACATTTTTATTAAACTGCCAAATTTGGGCTTACCTTCTAGTCAAGATTTCTGTTCTCAACTTCTCATTTTAGTTTTTTTACCTGAGAATCAATAAGATGAAATATTACAAATCATGCTGGTGAACATTTTTTAAAATTTAGGGTAGCACTTGCCTCTCTTTTTATTTTTATTTATATTTATCACTGTGTGTCCAATACAAAAACAGGGCTGGCACATAAAGTTGCTCCATTGTTGAAAGTGGTAAATGAATAAATGAATAAGTCAGATATTTGGAAATACGTTGATTTTTACTGTTTGAGTATGTATATGCATGCTGGGAGATGGGGGAGAGGAAGATAGACTATGAGTACCCTCATGCATAATTCTTCCCAGCTCCTTTATTAGAGGTTATATAGGTTATTTGCCACCTAATAAAATTAAATTTTATCTGATAAAAGCTGCCACGGTTTGTTAAGAGGTATATTTTTTAGATTCATGGGGTCATGAGGGTTGGACAAAACAAAAAGACAAAAACAAGAGCAGCTTGGAATTCTAGGCATGGTGGACACAGTGGAATGTTAGGGAGCCTATGTGATAGGAGAGCAAACTTCTGCTAGTAGAGTATGCATATGGGGGAGGGAGGAAAGTGGCTCTACATAAGTTACTCTATTTTATTCCACCTTTTATGCCTCAATTTGGAAATACTCTAGGGCTTATGTCTTGGTAAACATGATTCTTCTCTTCACTTTGATAATCACATATCCTCCTAATCTCTTCCACAAATTTGGGAAATTCCAATAATAAGGCAAGTTGCCTAAACTAATGTGCCATTAAGGTCACACCTGAATCAAATAAAACAAAAATAGTAAGAGCAAGAAAGTCACAGACCTCCATAGAATAATTTATGTATTAAAGTAAGTGTTTTGGGAGATGAAAACTCACCTACTTTGTCCCCAAGGAGTCTGATGTGTACCATTCAGTGGTCACAAAACTGAAGCCCATAGAGAAACAATAAGTGTATCACAGAGAAGGAGACTTTTAGGGGAAGGAGGAAAGGTTGAGGCATTTGTAAAATAAATTTTAAGGTTATAATATTTAGGAAATGCATTCAATGATATATTGACTGAAACACGCACTAAGATACAAAAGATGATGGAATTGCATAAAATGAAGACTGTAAAATAATAGAAAGGATACAAAATGTATTAAGAGAAATATCCATTGCTTTAGGAGGCTGAGGCTGGATCACTTGAGGCCAGGAGTTTCAAGACTAGCCTGGGCAACACAGGGAGACCTTATCTCTACAAAAACAAAAGAAATTAGCTGCCCATGGTGGTGGGTGCTCATAGTCCTAGCTACTTGGGAGGATGAGGCTAGAGGATCACTTGAACCCAGGGGTTCTAGGAGTTCAAGGTTACAATGGGCTATGATCGCACCACTGCATTCCAGCCTGAGTAACAGAGCAAGGCATCCTGTCTCAAAGAGAGAAAGAGAGAGAGAGAGAGAGAGAAGGAAGGAAGGAAGGAAGGAAGGAAGGAAGGAAGGAAGGAAGGAAGGAAGGAAGGAAGGAAGGAAAGAAGGAAGGAATGATGGAAAGGAAGGAAGGAAGCAAGCAAACTTTGGCTCCATTTATACAAACCAGTTATTCTTTGGCAAAGGGAAAAATTAATGTAAGACTGGGGAGCTATAAAAATGGACAAGAAGCAACTATGCTTCAACAACAACATAATAAGTAATCTTTTTGTGAAACTAGTAATGAGTAAACAGGACCCTTTCTTCCAGTCACAAATCGCAGAACAAAGGATTAAGTAGTTGCAGATGCTTAAATGGACTAATTAGCTTTCAGTCACAGTATATCTTGGTACATAATATTTAGTCTAAAAAAATAATAAAACAATATCCAGATACCAGAGATTATTAAAAGACTAAAACAGAAGTTTTTAATGCAATAATCATAATCTTTACAAAAAGAAGGTAAGTTTTGATAGCCTGTGTAAATATTAGTAGTTCAAAAACCTTAATTTTTTTTTTTTTTTTGAGATGGAATCTCTCTCTGTCACCAGGCTGGAGTGCAGTGGTGCGATCTCGGCTCACTGCAACCTCCGACTCCCTGGTTCAAGCGATTCTCCTGCCTCAGCCTCCTGAGTAGCTGGGATTACAGGCATGTATCACCATGCCCAGCTAATTTTTGTATTTTTAGTAGAGATGGGGTTTCACCATGTTGGCCAGGATGGTCTTGAACTCCTGACCTCATGATCTGCCCACCTCAGCCTCCCAAAGTGCTGGGATTACAGGCATGAGCCACCGCGCCTGGCCAAGAACCCTTAATCTTAAAATAGAAGTTCCCTAGGAAGCTCACAGAGTTTCACCTAAGAAGTTCATACAGCAAGGAGAATCCCAATGTAAGTGAAATTCAAAAAAAAAAATCAGTCTGGTTCTACACCAATCTGTAGGTGTATTCTCGATTATAAATGCCACATTGAAGAGCCTGGGATTCTGGAACAAATCCGGATTATTATACTTATAGGTTGGATTATATCTGACCTAAACCCATAAGATTCCCTTTAGCTTCACAGCAGGATGTGAATGGTGTGATTTGCACCAAATTAGATTCCCAGATAGCCTCTTTCTTTGTGGGTGACTTGCTCTTTACTAGAATTCTATTGTTGAGGGTTGGCCAGAATTTAGCCAACCTCCATGGTGTCAAGGGCATCTGGGCATTTGCCCCAACATGGTCAACATGTTGTCAGATCCAGAGATATATGTGCACAGAACGGAAAGTTTTGGTCTCACAGATCATTGGAAATACCTCCTAAGAAGAGAAGTGTCAGTTTGGATTAAATGGTTTCCAGTTAAACAGATGGGGTACCAGCCTCCTGGGTTTAAAACTGGCAGAACATTTTAGGGCACTCAATAAAAGAATCAACAGTGTTTAAAGAGAAAGCAGAAACACTAGGGTCAAAAAATATGACATATTTTTGCATGCCAATAAAAAAGTTGACAAATCTGCAAGTTAAACGTGCCAATAAATTTTATTCCTTGACAATGTAAAATTAAATAATGAAGATTATGACTATCTTTTTTATTTCAAAAAATTTTTCCTAGAGACAATCAAATTAGAAAAATTCTCAATTTTGTAGGAAACTTTTTGTTTTCTATTGTTTAGAATTGGGATTATCCATGACAAATGTTGGTTTCTTTCTCCTATCAGTCAACCAAGTCTCAGGCTACAAGTAATGTTTAATGAAGATTAGGTTCAGTATAATACAATAAGCATGTACTGACTAGTTAACATGCTACAGGTACTGTGTTAGCTTCAAAACATTAATAACTCTCAGTTTCTGCCTTCAAGCATTTATTATCCATGACATTCATTCTCCCCTCTCCCTTTTTTTTTCCTGCTTCCACATTCTATAAGGGAAAGACATTCCAGAAGTGAGTTCCAAACTGGAGGTATTACCACCTTAAGGGTCTCAAAGACTATGGATCCTCACATCCCCCCAGTCCCCTATTTGAATATCACTGATGTAGTAAAAGGGTACCAGCTTACAATCCAATAGATATAACAGAGAATTTCACATGCTATTGAGAAATCTGCATCAAGTGCAATGGAGGAAAGACAATAAGTTCAGTTTTATGTGTTTTTTCTCAGCTTCTTTTGAAATATCCACATAGACTGTCCAGCATTCTGTGTGTTTGGAGTTCAGGAGAGAATTTTACGTCACAGATACAGATCTCAGGATGATCCACATATGGGTGGATGCAGCCATACATTCAGGTGAGCGTGGGTGTGTAAAGGGCATACTGAGGAAACACAGGTGGCAAAGGAGTCCAAAAAGTGAGTATGTGGTAAAAGTCAAGGGATAAAAGTATTTCCCCAAGAGAGTTAAATGGTCTTAAATGCAGAAAAGATCAAGTAATATAAATCCTGACAAGAAATAGTTGGGTGTGATAATTTAATTGTAACTGGTAACTTTTCCCTGAGTAGATTCCATAGCAAGGTGAGGAAGGAGCCCAGATTTTAGGGGGAGAGATAGAAAAAAAAGGTGACTATGAGGAACTTGTGAATTTAAAGATGATCTTTTGTGTAACTTGACTACAAAAATCCAAAAAGTTTAAGTAAGGAATTAGGGAGGGGAGTTATTTTTTGGTTTCCTTGCATTTGTTTCCTTTTATTTGATTAAAGTTATCATTAGTAAGATTATAGGCTTATTGGAAAGAGTTAGTTAAGAATAGGAGTTTGAAAGTGGGGAATAGAGAAATCCAGGAAAGAAGAAACCACACTTTACAGAAATCCCCTCTATGATAAAAAAGAAACTCATGAAACAGAGCAAAAACAAAGAAAAAAGACTTTATGTGCGCCAAAACTTTAGAACAACCTTGACTTCTTAAGACAACTACAAGATATATCACATTTTGGAACTAAAATGTTTAATGACTCAGTAGTGTAGAAACTGCCCAGCCAATGAATTAAAACCCATCAAAAATATACAAACATCTTAACCTTTATGTATCAAATAACCTTGCATTGTAATACACAAAGCAAAAGCTGTTATGACTATAATGAGAACTGAACAAAGCCACAGTGATAATAGAACTCTTTGAAAAACTCTTCTAGAATTCCATAGCTCAGATAATCAACAAATAGATAAACACACACATGATTTAAATAACTGGCTTGATTCTATATACGTGAAATATTTCCAAAACTTATGTACTAAAAAGTGAATCACCTTATTAGAAAAATTAGAAAGGTTTATAAAGAATAAATTTGTAACAGAAGAAATAAAAATAGATAATATAAATAAGAAACATACCCAACTTTACAATTAATCAAATAACTGCAAAATAAAATATAAAATGCAAAATTAAATAATCATTGCTATCAGATGAAAAAGATTAAAAACAATGATGCCCAATGATGGTGAGAATATAGGACACTATGAAGTCATTTACATTATTGGCATGGGTATAAATTGGCAGTTATCTGGAGATAATTTAACAATAAAACTAATTTTAAATGTTTATACACTTTGGTCAGAGATTTTACCTTTAATATTTTCTTCGGAAAATGGCAGTTTAAAGGTGTATGTACAAGGATGTTCTCTGCAGTGATGTGAAAAGATCCGTGAATGGAAATCAATGGGAGAGTTTAAAAATAAAATGGCAACTAAGCAAATATTAAAGAGAATAAATCAACCCTTTATGTGCTGACATGGAAAATGTTAATAATAGATTAGGTAAAGAAAGCCAGTTGAATGAAGAATAATAAATTATAATCCTGTTAAATAAATTAAAATATACATATGTATACATGTAGCAGATAATAGGCTGTGGGGGTTTTTTAATTGAAGTAATCTACCTTTATTTGAAGGCTTATTTAAGTATTTCTCTTAGGCAAATATGGAGCTTTTTATAATTCAGGTAAGGTTATCATTTCCTGGTAAACAAACCTTTCCACAAGAAGGAAAGAAAGTAATCAACTTTTGCTACTTCAGATCTGAAGTTACCTAAACCTAATGAGATGGATTAGAGTTGTCTCCTGAAGGTCCATGGCAGGGAAAGCTCCTGAAATAAAATTACTTCAAGAAAATAATGAATACCGTCTCATGACCAGGGCTGAAAACCTGAGATTTGTAGAGGAGAATTTTTCTAATGGAGCTTTTAGGCAATCATGAAAGAACTTCAGACCTCACTGCACAAGTGTTTGTGCTCTGGGAAACCACAAAATATAAATGAAAGAGAAATGCAAAGCATTTATCCCAATTTTTTGAGTTCTCACTGCAAAAAAGTTAGTATGCCAGGTGCCTATGTTGTAACAGTGAATCAAAAATATAAACATTCTTGGCTTTATGGGGCTTACAGTTTAGTGCGGAGAAACAATCATTAAACAAATAAACATCTTTTATATTAGGTGATGTTAAGGGCTATGAAGTGAAACATTGTGAGGAGTACCAGAGAAGAAACGAAGTATTACTGTTTCATGCTTAGTAGTCAAAGAAGACTTGGTAAGGTGAATTTTAAGAAGATCCCCGAAGGAAGTGAAAAGAAAGTCATATGGATATCTGGAAAAGAGAATTCCAGATTGATGGGACGGCAGAGCCAAATGTGCTGAATGTGCTTCTTATATTTTGGGGCTCAGAAAACAGTATTCCAAAATATGGCTCTCTGACATGTTGAACTAAAGACGCAGTTCCACGGTCTCTTTCTGACCTTTCCCTGTATCCCTGTCTCTCTGTTTTTCTTATTTTCCCCCAAGTAAGAGGAACTCTCTCTGTCTCTCTGGAATTTCTTTATCTGACTAAGAAAACTTTCTTTCAAAAGAAATGCAACTGTCTTAAGACCCTCTCCTTAGGAATCTCATTAAATTACCAGAAAAGATTTAGCATGGAGAAGAGAAGAGAGTAGGAGTTGTCACCATGCCCAGAAACACTTTCATCTATTTTTCTGAGAGCAGCTCTAAGAGATTTCCTGGAAGGCTTTATCTGCCTAATAAGACAACTTTTGTTCACAGTGAACTTCCACCCCTTACCTTCTTGCTACCTTCCCCAGAGCTCAGAGGAACTTTGTCCCAAACCATTGCTCTTTGGGCTCACTCATTTTTCCTGAAAATTATTCACTCATTCGGCCCTTATGTCCTGTTGCCCTATGAAGACTGATATATAAGCATCCAGACCTCATTAGGTTATTGGATAATCATTCTGCTGTGATTCTCCCATGCTATAAGCACATTAAATAAATCTATAAACATTTTCTCTCATTAATCTGTCTATTGTCAGTTCATTTTCATATAAATGGAAAAGTTCTGAGTAGTTGAAGATGAGAGATAGTAAAGGACCAGGCTATGAGGGGTGCTGTAAGCCATTTTTAGAATTTGGCCTTTTACCCCACAAAAAAGAAGAGGTCACTGAAGGATCTTCAGTAAAGGAGAACATTAAGTTGAGTTTAGCATTGTGATACTAGGTTTTCAAAGGACAATAGTTGTCTGCACAGAGGCCTCTAACAGTCATATTCACAAGTTTATAGACAATGTCCTTTGAGAGGGCACTTCACAGAAGCAGAAAAAATAGCTATAGATGACTTTTAATGTAAATTATTAATTTTTATGTGTGCATGGGATGGCTTTCACTCTTCCATAAAGTTTTAATCTTTTGCAACAATCATATTGTGAGACAAAATAAAAAAGATACAATGACAAGCAAAATATTTTAAAAAGAAAAACATAACATCAAAAGGTAGCAATCTATGATCAAGATCACAGAAAAGAGGAAAGAAAATATGTAAAGAGTATAAGGGAAGGAGTTGTAATTTTAGGCGTATTGATAGGAGATTTGAGGAATTTCCGTTAAGATGTCCTTAATCTCTTCTGGAGCATATTAAAAAGATTAATTTGCTTACAAAACTTTCTAGATGTTGGAATTGGGGACTTGAAAAGATTGGCAAGCATTTGAAATAGCTGTAATGGGAAATGGTGTTGGGAAAACAGCTGAAATTGAGGACTGTAAAAATATAGTGTCAACATTGCTCATGTTTATGTGATGTCTTCCAGCAGTCCCCCAGCATCTCAGTAACGAGAGTAGAGAGGGCA
The DNA here is from genome assembly GCF_000001405.40 of Homo sapiens. Lineage (NCBI taxonomy): Eukaryota > Metazoa > Chordata > Mammalia > Primates > Hominidae > Homo > Homo sapiens. The sequence continues at coordinate 64,886,268 of NC_000008.11, read as the reverse complement.
GATGTTTGGATTAAACCAAGTTTCTAAATTGCAGTATGACATGGATCAGGTTCTGGGAAGCCATGATGTACTAATAGGGATGAAATTTGTCACCCCACCTTAAGCAACTACACAAGTAGACAAAATGCATGAAATGCAATTCTCAGATATTGTTGATAGCCCAAAACAATGATCCCTGAGGGAAAGAAATCAGGTGAGACCTATAGTTGCTCAAGCTAACTGCCCATAGAAACCTTTCAGACTGCAGTGCAAGAAGAAACCCAATCAGGGTCCAGAGGCCCGGATGAGTAGAGGAGGCATCATTGGGAGTTCAGGAAGGCCAAGGTGCTAGAATTTGTTGTGGGAAAAAAATAACTCAGAGAAACGAACTGCACAGAGATGTCTCCAGAGATCTTCAGGTGGTTTCTCTTGAATATTTGACTAAGAAGGGCTCTGTACATACATGGTGGGAGGAAAGTAGCAGAAGCTGAGGAAAGAACTACAAGAAAGAAAAGGAATAAGTACAACAATCCTTGGAATTGAAAATAGGATTGGGAAGATTCTACATTTCAATCAGTCAGAGTAGAAAGATCTCCACATGTAAGAGGAATCAAGTAGAATCTAGAAGGACATTGCCTTAGTAGAAAGGTTCTGAACATGCCCTATAAAAGCTTAAAAATTAGCTTCAAAAGAAACAAACTGATTCCAAGTAACTTCACTGTGTCCTAAAACAAAGCCCAACAATATTAAAAGAAATATAAATTATAAAATTCTCAATGCCTAATATCCAAAAAAGAAAACACCATTGATTCAAAGAAACAGGAAAATAAAACTCAAAAACAAGAGAAAAAATAAGCAATAGAAGTAGACAAATGGCACATTGAGAGAATCATCAAACACTATTTAACATTGTCAAATAACATTAAATCCATTATCACAAATATACTCCACATGCTTTAAAAAGCAGAAGAAATTATGAACATGATAAGAAGGGTAATGAAATATATTACAGACTTTGAGAGTGAAAAACACAATATATAAAATTAAAAATTCACTGGACAGAATTAAGACCATATTAGACACTGCAGAAGAAATAATCAGTGAACTATAAGACATAGAAATAGAAACTATCCTAAATAAGACTCAGAGAAAAATACCACTGAAAAATGAACAGAAAAAAAATGAACATCAGAGACCTGTGGAAATTGCCAAGTAAGTAATAAAGTGTAATTAAAACCCCAGAAGGAGAAGAAAAGGGGGACAGACAAAAGGAGAAGAAATAATCATAGAAAATTTTCCAAATTAAATGGAAATTATAAATTCACAGATCCAAAAATTCAATAAAGTTCCAGCCAAATGAAGATGAAAAAACTACAGCAAAATATATCACAATAATCAGAGAAACAGCAACAAAAAATCTTATAAGCACACAGAGGAGAAAAAAGATATCTTCATAGTATAAAGGACACAAATCCTGTCAATCTAAAATTCTGTGCCTATCAAAACTGCCTTTCGAAAATGAAGGCAAGACTTCTGGCTTCCACTTCAAATGTAGAAAGCTGAAGAGAGTCTTTCTAATTGAGGAGAATAAGAAACAGTAAAAAGACAATAATATACTAAACGAGAAAAAAGTCAATAATTTTTTGAATAATGAGAAAGCTAAGGTGACAGGATAGTGATCCAGCCTGAAGGCTAAGGAAAGGTAGGTGCTTCCAACAATAACAACTACAAAAATAGAATGCAAGACCTACCTATCTAGGGCATACCCAGGGTCCATACAAGCTAACAGGAAGAATCAAGCTAAAGTTTTTAACAAAATGCTAAATGCTGCAAGTGGACTAGTGTGATAGTGATATTATAGAATTTATGGGAGTCATAGACATAGGAAAAGACAAATTCACTGCTGGGCTCTTTTCTTCTTCATGGATCTCAGGAAGTACTCAAAAGAAAGATTGGGAACAGGGAGGGAAACTGAAGGAGGCCTTCCTTGTTGAGGTCTAGGGGAGGGGAGTAGAAGCTGCTGCAGAAAAGGCTAAAACCTGCCCCAATCTTTCTATCATTTCTCCCCAACACAAACACAAAATTCTTAAGCCACTGAGGGAAGAGCACATATCACCATGAGGACACATGTGAAGACCCATGAAAACCACAAAAAGGGAGCAGAGAAAAGAATGTTTCCACTCCTGGGGAAAAGGCAGGGAAATATCCTGGGCACAAGTCACTAGGGAACCCAGCAACTGGAGGAGGAACAGAATCCTGAGAAGGCCCCAAACCTGAGACTCAGATGCAACTTCCTAAGGTACATATTGGCCTTGGATGGAGCCTAAAACAGGACACCAGAGAATGCCCTCTGCCCACCAACATTGGGCTAGCAAATTGGCTCAGTTCAGCAGAAGTACCAGTGAGGGGCACTAGTGTTCATTGGGTTTGATGGTTTGAAGGACCTTCCTTAGGGGAGGCAATTTCAGTAGAGTGGTGGAGAGTGACAAAGAATATTCCAATGGATGATAAGAGTCAATGGAAGGTGGGAGGTAAAATAATGAGTCCAGGCTGTTTTTTGTGGAAGCTTAGTGTGAAGCTATCGTGCTAGAGAAAATAATATGTCAAGGAAAGTGGTTTACAGGCTTAGCCCAATTAGAAATGCTCTTTTGAATCCTGTAGTTCTGCCCTTGAAAAATTACAGTGTCATTTTTGGGTGTATGTAAATGATGTCTCCCCTTCCCCTGTGGAATCAGGACCTCTAAATTCATAGTTCTGCATTTAAATGATGCATTGTGATTTTAAAAGATGTAAACCTTTGATATGGTTTGGCTGTGTCCCCACCCAAATCTCATCTCAAATTGTAATCCCCATGTGTCGAAGGAGGGACCTGATAGGAGGTGATTGGATCATCGGGCTGGTTTCCCCCATGCTGTTCTCATGATAGTGAGGGAGTTCTCATGAGGGCTGATGGTTTTAAAAGTGTTTGGCAATTCCCTCTTCCCTCGCTCTCTCTCCTCCTGCTATGTAAGATGCGCCTTGCTTCCCCTTCACCATCCACCATGGTTTTAGTTTCCTAAGGCCTCCCCAGCCATGCACAACTGTGAATCAATGAAGCCTCTTTGGTTTATAAATTTCTCAGTCTCAGGTATTCTTTATAGCAGTGTAAAAATGAATGAATACAACCTTGTGATGCAAACTAAAGATAATGGCAAGAAAATAGTTATTTCTACATATTTGGTGGCATTGTACATTTCTACCCTATTTCAAGAAAACTTCAGTTCACATGTTAATCTTCAGGGTGAGTCTTATTAAAAAAAAAACTATGAGAAAAGCAAAAATTTTCACCAGTGCACTCATTCTTCATGGTCCTCATTTCTCACCCACTGAGCTGCTCAGGGGCCACCACATGGCCTCTGGCTATCCAATATCCTTTCCTGCAGCTCTGCATAGGTCTGACCCTTCTAGGTGAAACTCTCAACCATGGTTCTATCTCTCCATTCTCCCACCTATCAAGACTTACCTCAGTGGCTTGTTGGTCCTGAAAAGGCTGTATTAATAACACAGATAGGAAAATGAATTAATTCTATCCATATAAACATGTTAATGACCAATACAAGTGAAATGTTTTACCCATCCTCAAAGCACATGCAATTTATTAGAGGTTAATTGTTAACTGAATGGAGTTATTTTTTCATGGTAAAATGTTATACCTTGATGAAGACTTGAACTGGGAAGGTAAAAAATTTGAAAAATTTTTTTTTCTCTTTCTAAGGTTTTTAAGGATTTGGGGATTATAAAAGTTTCTCAATAAAGCAAAATGCTTTGGTAAGGAAGGCAGAAGACAGAACAACTTCCCTGGGCACAGCTAGATCTTTGATCTACTGCAACAGAAAGTGATTTTGTTATTTGGTTTTGTGTATATGTATATCTGTGTGTGTTTGCTTGTGGGTGTTTTTTTCTAAGTAGGTTGTTTCACAGATATTCTAGGAAAATAAAAAAGAATGAGTTTCTTTTTCAAACCACCAATAATGTTTTTTCATTAAATAACAGCATATATAATTTTCATCTGACATATTACTATGATGAGTACAAGTAGGAAAAATTCCCCTTTTGACTCAAAGCTAGAGGACATACTAAAAATTAATAAATGTTTAACATTTAGGGAATTTTAAAAAAATGCCTAAGAGATATTCACAATGAGTCTGCTAATTTTCAGAAGTAATACTTCACTTTGTTTACATGCGAAGTTTATAGCGAACATTTAAAAGAGATTTGTTTTTCTTTACTCTTTAATTGCCCTTCGGCTGGTATACCTGAAAAATCTATAAGAGGTCTTGGTATCACTCAGCCCTATCCTCAAGAAGTCCCACTCCAGGCAAAATAAAGCCTCTCTAAGTCTGATAGGAGAAAAATAGAGAACAAAGGTTTGATTCTTTTTCCTCTAAGGAAGAACAGTGACAGAGACAAATACACTTTTTTCAGATATTTTTTTACTGGCTCAACACAAACACAACTAGAAAAAGCATTTCTTTAAGAAACAAAATAAATGTTCTCTCTTTTTCACTGTCTGACTCTCTCTCTCTCCCCCTCCCCCTCCGTGTGTGTGTGTGTGTGTGTGTGTGTGTGTGTGTGTGTGTGTGTTTCTGGTTTTCATCTTTAAATATTTCCCATAATTTGCAAAATGATACACAGTGTTATGTTCTTCAGAGTGGGGAATCTGAAAAAAACAAAAAGACATGGTCCTTGCCTTTAGAGCAACAACACAGGTTTCCAGGATCTCGATTCTGCCCTTGTCATCTAGATTGTGATAGCCAAGTTAATTAGCCTCTCTTGTCCTCAATTTTCCTATTATTAGAAAAAAATAAGTTAAACGAGATCATTTTACTGCTCCTTCCAGCTTTAACATACTAAGATGTTTTGTTCTATTCTACTCCATTCCTATACCTCTGGTTCCATTAATTTAGGCCTTTGAGCCCCTTCTCAAATCTTATGTGGAATATGGAAGTCCTCAGGTATAAATTGGTATCAGATAGAGTGGTAACTTGGCCGTGCTAAGTTGGTAAATTTGTTCTGCCCCATATCTTCACCTAATTACACGTTGACCACTATCTTCTATGTGTACCATCTAGCTTAGTCGCATTTCATGCTCAACAACATTTACCAGCTCTTTTATTTTATTTTCAAATTTTATTTTAGATTCAGGATGTACATGTGCAGGTTGTTTCATGGGTATATTGCCTGATGCTGAGGTTTGGAGTATGATTGACTCCTTTACCCAAGTAGTAAGCAATAAAATTACCCAATGTTTATAATACCCAATAGTTTTTCAACCATTGCCTCCCCCACCTCCACTCCAGGAGTCTCCAGTGTCTACTGTTCCTGTCTCTATGTCTATGAGTATCCAATGTTTAGCTCCCATTTACAAGTGAGAACATGTGGTATTTGACCTCCAGCTGCATCCGCATTGCGCAAAAACATTACTTTGTTCTTTTATACAGCTGCGTTCTATTCCATGGTATATATGTCCTATATTTTCTTTATCCAAGCTGCTCAACTTTGATGACCAACTAGGTTGATTTCGTGCCCTTGTTATCATGAATAGTGCTGCAATGAACATATAACTGCATGAGTCTTTTTGGTAGAACAATTTATTTTCTTTTGGGTATATACCCAGTAATGGGATTGCAGGGTCAAATGGTCACTCTATTTTAAGTAATTTACAGATCCGCAAACTACTTTCCACAGTGGCTGAATTAATTTAGATTCCTACTGAGTGTATAAGTGTTGCCTTTTCTCCACAGCCTGGCCAGCATCTATAGTTTTTTGGGGTTTGTTTGTTTGTTTGTTTGTTTGTTTTTGTTTGTTTGTTTGTTTTTGAGATGGGGTCTCGCTGTTTTTGGCCCGGGCTGGGGTCGATCTCATTGAACAATGGCACGATCTCGGCTCACTGCAACCTCTACCTCTCGGATTCCAGCAATTCTCCTGCCTCAGCCGCCTGAGCAGCTGAGATTACAGGCACCTGCCCTCACGCCCGGCTAATTTTTGTATTTTTAGTAGAGACGAGGTTTCACCACGTTGGCCAGGCTGGTCTCCAACTCCTGACCTCAGGTGATCCACAGCCTTGGCCTCTCAAAGTGCTGGGATTACAGGCGTGAGCCACCGTGCCCCGCCTTTTGGCTTTTTTTTTTTTTTTTTTTTTTTTGAGACGGAGTCTCTGTCGCCCAGGCTGGAGTGCAGTGGCGCCACCTCGGCTCACTGCAACCTCTGCCTCCGGGTTCAAGCGATTCTCCTGCCTCAGCCTCTCCGAGCAGCTGGGATTACAGGCACCCACCGCCATGCCCAGCTAATTTTTGTACTTTTAGTAGAGACGGGGTTTCACCATGTTGGCCAGGATGATCTCGATCTCCTAACCTCGTGATCCACCCGCCTCGGCCTCCCAAAGTGTTGGGGTTACAGGCGTGAGCCACTGCGCCTGGGCCTTGGCTTTTTAATAAAAGCCACTGTGACTGGTGTGAGATGGTATCTCATCGTGATTTTTATTTACATTTCTCTGATGATTAGTGATGTTGAGCATTTTTTTTATGTTTGCTGGCCACTTGTATATCTTCTTTTGAGAAGTGTCTGTTTTGCCTGCTTTTTAATGGGATATTTTTCACTTATTGAATTATTTAATTTCCTTATGAATTCTGGATTTTAGACTTTTGTTGGATGCATAGTTTGCTAATATTCCCCCATTCTGTAGGTTGTCTGTTTACTCTGTTGATAGTTTATTTTGCTGTGCAGAAATTCTTTAGTTTAATAGGTCCCATTTATCAATTTTTGTTTTTTATTGCAATTGCTTTTGAGGACCTAGTCATAAATTCTTTCCTAAGGCTGATGTCCAGAATGGTGTTTCCTGGGTTTTCTTCTAGGATTCTTATAGTTTGAGGTCTTACATTTAAATCTTTAATTCATCTTGAGTTGATTTTTGTACATGGTGAAACATAGGGGTTCAGTTTCATTCTTCTGCATATGACTAGCCATCTATCCTAGCACCATTTATTGAATAGGGAGTCCTTTTCCCACTGCATTTTTGTTTTTGACTTCGTCAAAAATCAGATGGCTATAGGTGTGTGGCTTTATTTCTGGTTTTTCTTTTTTGTTTTGTTTTGGGTTTTGGGGGGACAGGGTCTTACTCTGTCACCCCGGCTGGAGTGCAGTGGCGTGATCACAGCTAACTGCAGCCTCAGTCTCCCAGGCTCAAGAAATTATCCCATCTCAACCTCCTGAGTAGGTAGGACTACAAGCACAAGCCACCACCCTCAGTTAATTTTTTTATTATTATTAATATTATTATTATTTGTACAGACAGGGTTTCACTATGTTGCTCAGGCTGCTCCCGAACTCCTGGGTTCAAGTGATCCTCCTACCTTGGCCTCCCAAAGTGCTGGGATTACTTCTTTGGTTTCTATTCTGTTCCATTGCTCTTTGTGTCTGTTTTTGTACCAGTACCAGGCTGTTTTGATTATTTATAGTATCGATTGAAGATGGATAATGTGATGCCTTCAGCTTTGTTCTTTTTGTTTAGGATGGTTTTGGTTATTCAGGCTCTTTTTGGTGCAATAGTTTTTTCTTATTCTTTGAAAAATGATGTTGGTAGTTTGGTAGGAATAGTTTAAAATCTGTAGATTGCTTTGTGTAGGATGGCCATTTTAATGATATTGATTCTTCCAATCCATGAGCATGGAATGTTTTTCTATTTATTTATATTATCTATGATTTCTTTTAGCAGTGTTTTGCAGTTCTCCTTGTAGAAATGTTTCACTGCCTTGGTTAGCTGTATTCTTAGGTGTTTTATTTTTTTGTGGCTACTATAAATGATATTTCATTTTTGATTTGGCTCTCTGCTTGGATGTTATTGTATAGAAATGCTACAAATTTTTGTGCATAGATTTTGTACCCTGAAAGTTTATTAAAGTTGCCTATCAGTTCTCGGAGCCTTTTGGCAGGGTCTTCTAGACATAGAATCATATTGTCAGGGAAGAGAAATAATTAAACTTCTTTTTCCATTTGGATGCCTTTTCTTTCCTTCTTTCTCTTGTCTGATAGCTCTGGCTAGGACTTCTAAGCTCTTTTAAAATTATATTAAAAAATAAGAAATTACTATTTGGTGATTTAATTTAAGCTTTGGAATTTGAGTATTTAGTTTACTATAAAATCTGTTTATATCTGACAGCTGTGTCTTGTCATATTTTCTGCGAAAGACTCTTCTACTTACACGGTTGTGCCAAGTGACAGTTGACAAGAAGGTTCTCAAATTAATGATCTAAGCTTCCATCTTAAGAAACCAGGAAAAGAGCAAACTAAACCCAAAGCAATCAGAATAAAGAAATAATAAAGATAAAAGAAGAAATTAATAAAACTAGTAATGAAATATAAGTAGGAAAAAATTAAGGTAACCAAAAACTGGTTCTTCTAAAAGATCAATAAAATTGATAGACATACAGCCAAAACGGCCAAGAAAAAAAGAGAAAACGCAAATTACCAATTAGAAAAATGAAAGTGGAAACATCTCCACCGACCTTATGAATATTATAAAGACAATAAGAAAACATTACAAAAAAATTGTTCCAAATTAGTTAAAAAACTTAGATTAAATGCCAACATTTCTTAAAAGATACAAACTACCAAAACTCATTCAAGAAAAGATAGATAACCTGAATATTCCTTTATCTTTTAAGGAATTGAACCCATAGTTTAAAATCCACTAGCAAAAAATATATTTAGGCTCAAATAGCTTCACTGGTGAATTCTATGAACAACTCATAGAAGAAATAATGCCAATATTATACAGCCTTTTCCAGAAAACAGAAAAGGTGGGGACACTTCCCATATCATTTTATGATGCCAACATCACTCTGGTAATAAAACCAGATAAAGATATTATTAGAACAACAGCAACAACAAACTCTAGACCAAATATCCCTTGTGAATAGTTATGCAAACATTCTCAATATATTTTTAAATTGAATCTATATATAAAAGATAATACATCATGACCAAGTGAAGTTTATTTCAGAAATGCAAAACTAGTTCACCATGTTCAGTCAACATAATTCACTATATCAACGGTCTATTTATCTAAATAGATGAATAAAAAGCATACCTTAGAGAAAGCATACCTAGAGAAATTATTAGTGTAGAAAAAAGGTATAAAATACATACCATATAAAATTATCTCAAAATGAATTATAGACATAACTGTAAAATTTAGTTCTTATCTAAACAATACCTAAAGTAAATTTAAAACTATATACATTTAAGAAAAAAATTTATTTAGGCACATATTTCTTATATAAGTCAACAATATCATAATCCCCAAAAGAACAATTGATAAGTTTGACATTATCAAAATTAACAACTTTAATTTATTGAAAGAATGAAAAAACAAGCCACAGAATAGATGAATATATTTATAAATCACATTACCTGATTAAGGACTTACATCAATAATACATATAAATGCTCAAACACCAAAAAATAGAAAACAAACCAGTTAAAAAAGAACAAAAGATTTGAACAGATACATCACAGAAGAAGAGATACAAGTGGCAAAAATACACATCAAAAGATGTTCAATATCAGTAGCCATTAGGAAAATGCATATTAAAATCACAAGAGATACCACTATGCACCTATTTGAATGACTAAAATTTTGAAGTACCAACAACAAAGCAACAATACTCAGTGCTGGTAACAATATGGACCAACAAGAACACTCAAACTTTGTTGATGGGGGTGCAAAATGGTAGAGCCAATTTGGAATACAGTTTGCAGTTTCTCATAAAGTTAAAGATATACTTATCACGTGATCAGGCAATTTCATTCCTATGTATTTACCAAAAAGAAATGAACACTTACGCTTATGTAAATTTTAGGCAAATAGAGCAGCTTCATTCATAATCACTAAATCTGGGGAAAATTCAAATGTCCTTCAGCTGGTGAATGGATAAACAAACTGTAGTACAACCATATAATTGCATATTACTCAGCAGTAAAAAGGAATGAATTATTGGTATGAGCAACAAGATGAATGAATTTCAAATGCATTATGGTAAATCCAAAGGTCATAAACTGCTTGACTCCGTTTATGTCATATTCTGGAAATGGCAAAACTATAAAGACAGGTATCTGGGAGAAGGAAGCAGGTTCATTACAAAGGGTCATGAGAGGAGTTTTGAGTTGGTAGAACAATTCTGTAACTTGACTGTGGTGGTGGCTGTGCGACTGAATGCATGCATCAAAGCTCATAGACCCACATACTTTCAAAGGTGAATTTGACTGTATGTAAATTGATCTCAGTAAATCTGACTGAGAAAACAGTAACTGAAGAAATCATTATAAATAAATGTGTACCTGTACGTCAACTTTTTCTGCACTTTAGAAATTTTTCAAATTAATCTCACAAAAAATACATGCCCCTTGACTATCACTCCCACTTCTGAGACCCTCTTTTACTGATATATAAAGTAGTAATGCATGGAGATATAAAAATTCGCATGTTTATTAGAGCATCGTTTGGATTAGGAAAAGTCACTAAATTAATGTATTAAAAATTTAAACGACAACCATTAGGAAAATATTAAATAGATAATAGATAATAGAAATATATAATAATCTATTTATTATTTATTATAAGTAATATATAATATAATTATATATAATACGATATATATATACCCTATGAATATTGTGCTTTTAAATTACAGAATAATGTGTAAAGGGTGATCTCATTTGGAGATTAAAGAAGAAAGAACAAAAGAGAAAAATGAGAGAAAAACAAAAATTATTAGTGCAGAAAAAAGGTATAAAATACATACCTGAATATATACAGTGGAATACTATTCAGCCCCCCCAAAAAAGAAAATTCTGTCATTTGTGATAACATGAATTAACCTGGGGGACATTATGCTACGTGAAACAAGCTGGACACAAAAGGACAAATAGTGCATGAGCTCACTTAAATGAGGAATCTAAAACAGTTGAACTCATAGAAGCAGAAAGTAGAATGGTGGTTACCAGAGGCTGGGGGGTGGAGTGAATGGGGAGATACTGGTTAAAGGGTACAAAGTTTTAATTAGACAGGAGGAATAAGTTTTTTTTGTTTGTTTGTTTTTGTTTTTTTGAGACGGAGTCTCGCTGTCACCCAGGCTGGAGTGCAGAGGCGCGATCTCTGCTCACTGCAAGCTCTGCCTCCCGGGTTGACGCCATTCTCCTGCCTCAGCCTCCCCAGTAGCTGGGACTACAGGCACCCACCACCACGCCTGGCTAATTTTTTGTATTTTTAGTAGAGACGGGGTTTCACGTGTTAGCCAGGATGGTCTCAATCTTCTGACCTCGTGATCCGCCCGCCTCGGCCTCCCAAAGTGCTGGGATTACAGGCATGAGCCACCGCTCCTGGCCGAGGAATAAGTTTTTGAGATCTATTACATAGCTGGTGCTATAGTTAATAATGTATTGCATGTTACAAAATTGCTGGGAGAATACAATTTCAAATATTCTTATTACAAAAATAAGTATTTCTGGTGGTGGATATGTTAGTGATTTAATCATTCCACATTTTATGCGTATATCATAACATCACTTTGTACTCCATAAATGTATACAATTAAAATTTTTTAACAACAAAGAAATACATACCTAATAACATTTGTCCCTTTAGGAAAGTTGATTTGATACTAATTTTCATATAAATATCCATATTATTTGACTTGACAATGGTCATAAATTGCTTTTGTGAAAGAATAAGATCCAATATATTCAAAGTAACTAAATGAAACATCTTTTCGTGTGCTATGCCAAATAGAGTTCCTATTAATGAGGTAACAAAAAACAACACATCTTGATATTCAGTACCAAAGGAGATATAATTTCTTAAACTCCTAGTAGCACCATGGTCAAGAACATAAACTTTTTTTTTTAGAAGGCAAACTTTTTTTTTTTATTTTACTTTAAGTTCTGGGACATCTGTGCAGAACGTGCAGATTTGTTACATAGGTATACATGCGCCATGGTGGTTTGCTGCACCTATCAACATGTCATCTAGGTTATAAGCCCCTCATGCATTAGGTATTTGTCCTAATGCTCTCCCTCCCCTTGCCCCCCACCCCCAGAAGAGGTCCCAATATGTGATGTTCCCCTCCCTCCCTGTGTCCATGTGTTCTCATTGTTCACCTCCCACTTATGAGTGAGAACATGTGGTGTTTGGTTTTCTGTTCTTGTGTTAGTTTGCTGAGAATGATGGCTTCCAGATTCATCCTGCAAATGACGTGAACTCATTTTTTATGGCTGTATAATATTTCTTGCTATATATGTGCCACATTTTCTTTATCCAGTCTATCATTGATGGGCACTTGGGTTGGTTCTAAGTCTTTGCTATTGTAAATAACACTGCAGTAAACATATGTGTACATGTGTCTTTATAGTAGAATGACTTTTGAGCTCAATCCCTCAGTTCAAATGCTGGTTTCACCATGACTAACTGTGTGACTTTAGACAAATCACCTAACTTCTCTGTGCCTTAATTTCTTGTTTATAAAATGGGGATAATAATAATAGTTTATGACTCATAGGATTTCTTTGAATATTACATGCACAAGAACATGAGAAGAGTTAAGTACAGCACCTGATACATAGTAAACATTCGGTAAATATTTGCTCTATTAAGAGTCTGGTGAAGTCTGAGATTTCAGCTCCTTCTAAAGTTAAAAAGATTAAATGATCATAATTCCTTCAACTAGACTATCAGAATCTAAGCAAGTCTCTGTCTTTCTCTATCATTCAAGGGAAATAAATAGTTTAAAAAATCCATACATAGAGTCTCCACAATGTCACTTTTAAAAATAAAATTCTAACAAAATCAGAGTACTGAAATTGTCTTTTCCCAAAAAAGGAAAATGTACCCTTTTACTCATAATATGATCTTGTATATTAATCCTGGCACTTTTCCCCTTTACTTCATCTTCTTATCCAAAATTGTGCCCAGGTGCAGAAAAGGGTTTGAGTTAGTAGAAGGGAATTCACTGCCATCTAAACTCCATATGGTCACAAGAGATACCAGAAAATGAAAGAAGTTTCAGTCAAAAAGACACTCGCAATAAAATTGAATTTTTAAAGCTACATCTGTCATATTATTTGTGCCACATGAATCATTTCGTTGCAATGAGGACAAAAGGAACTTGGTGCTAGGACTGCAGTGTGTGTATCCACGTGTGTACCTGCCTGTGTGCCTCTCTCACAGAAAGTATATTATGCCACTCAGATTTTGCCAAAGGTGAAGTTGGACCACATAATAAAATCTAGTGTTTCACAATCAAAACCTTGGAGTTTAGTCTCCATCAGAAGAAATCATTTGAACTTGGACTTGGCGCCTTTGTTGACATTTTTCTATGTCCATGAAAAAAGATGTTTCTATCTTTTCCAAATTCGCTCGTCCTCTTCTTCCTTCCTCCCCTTGTTTGTCACATTTAACAGGGAAACTTTGCCGACAATAAATGCAGCCAAGCCATGAAAAAAATAAATAAATAAAATAGAAAAGCTCTGCGACTCACATGGTGTGGCTACAGCAAAGCAGATCCTAGAGAGTTGGAATCATATCATCCTGAGCATCTGCACCACTCCTCCTTGGAGAGTGCATACTAATCATCTCTCTTCATGGTCAGTAACCACATAAGGACAACACCAGACGATGCCAGTGGTGTTGGTCCTGTAGCATTTATGTGCTTCCCTGAAAAGATAGTCATGCCAGATATTATTCGTCAACCTTGTCCTTGGTCTTCTCTCTTGATTGAGGCAGATGTTTATTTTTCCATCTGTACTATATGTCAGTGCAACTGCAGCCTTCATCTGGCAAAGGGTGCCTGTAATATTATGAGGCCATCACATAAGCTGCTGGAAAGATTATTCTGGTGAATAAAATCAGTTTATAGCTAAAAACATTTATTCTTCATTTTGATAAGCCCTTAACAAATGGAAATTTGCTTCCTTACTCTTTTGCCAAGCATAGGACCATGTTTATTTCTCGCTATATGGGTCACGAAGGATTCCCAGCTGTTAGCTAGAGTCAGTTGTGCATTGCTGCACTCAACAACATCTGTTTCACAAAAACAGTATCCAGCTTTTAGCACTCAAATGGAGGTTAGACCATATGCCGGCAGACCACTTAGTTTTTACCTTGGGAACTAACTTTGCCCTAGTCAAGGTAACAGAGGAAAAACTGAATATTTAAATGTTACCAGGCTTCAGTCACATCTTCATATGTGCTTGTCATTTCCCACTATATATAGTAAAATTAGTTCCAAGCATATACTGCAAGCTGTTCCTCTGTTTAATTATTAATTGGAAGAAAGTTTGCAAAACAGTTGAAATGTATTTCATGATAGACGCTGTTGTTGAAAGTAGTACCATAAGATGATTTTGCAAATAGAGCATTCAGTTAAAATGTCAATTAATATTAGCAATGGTCAAAAGCAAATCAGGCTTGTAGCACCTACATAAAGTGTGACATAATGGAAAGTTACAGAATATCAAATATCTTCTTACACTACAAAGTTGTCTTTATTGCTTGACTTTCCACTTGGTTCACTTATGCTAGTCATTCTAATTTTTTACAAGAAAATAAAAAGTAAAATATGTGCCTTTAGTTTGTTTTATGAGAAACTTAAACTAAAAAAACACAAATTCAAATGCATATTGGTTTTCAAATTTATATCTCTGTTAGCACAGTCTTCAAAATCCCTGCAAAAGATGCCTCACTTATGTCCTAGAAACCTAGAAATAGTTTATCAACACTGGTAATCTCATGAATTACTTTAGAATTTTTTCATGGATAAAGAATATTTTTAAAATAATACTAAAGAACATTGAAATTCTGTCTAGTTTTTTCAAATTCCTCAGTTTCAAAAATGATTACATGTTTGTCTGTAAGGAGCTTTCCAAGTGCTGTGATTTTAAGATCGTACATAACAATTATTCAGTCTATTTCTTTTTTAATTCCATAGGCAGAAGTATTAGTTTTTGAAGACCGTTTTGACACTATGAAAAATGCTAAGAGAAGAGATTTTTCTGAGTTGAAATTTTAATTGCAAGGCCCAGAACATCAAGAGGTTCTTATCTGAACCTGAATTAGGGAACATCTTATATCTCCTGATCTCATTTTCAAAGAAAGTAAAAAATGTGTTCATCGGAGGCTCTCCGTAGAGGCTTCAGAACAACCAAGCTAAAGACCATTCGGTATTGAGTATCTCTAAGTAATAGGTTGTTCTGATTCTCCATCTATGAATTTACATATAAGATTATAAATCCATCTCTGGATTAATCACATGACTAACAGCAGACATGAGATGAATTATTAACATGTGCAGATCATTGAAGTCCTTAGCTTTGGTTACCTTCTATTTTACAGAATTGTCTGCTTCAAAAGCTAAGTCCAGGTCAACCCTGGGCAGAAATGTGAATTTATCCAAGTTAATCTTTGGACCCTTCTATAGCTAAGCCCCTCTCCCTTTTTCTTGAAAACTTCTGAAATTATCTATTGCTTTAGTTACACCCAGAGGACTTCGCTTTCAACTAGCTATCAATAAAAGCTCTGAAACATTTGCTAAAAAAAATTCAAGCCTCCCCCAAACCTTCCAGAGGTAGGTTTTTTTTTTTTAAATTTATTTATTTTACTTATTTGTTTATTTTTAATTTTATTTATTTTATTTGTTTATTTATTTATTTATTTTTTGAGATGGAGTCTTTCTCTGTCGCCCAGACTGCAGTGCAGTGGCACAATCTCGGCTCACTGCAGGCTCCACCTCCCGGGTTCATGCCATTCTCCTGCCTCAGCCTCCTGAGTAGTTGGGATTACAGGTGCCCGCCACTATGCCTGGCTAACTTTTTTTGTATTTTTAGTAGAGATGGGGTTTCACCGTGTTAGCCAGGATGGTCTTAATCTCCTGACCTTGTGATCTGCCCGCCTTGGCCTCCCAAAGTCCTGGGATTACAGGCGTGAGCCACCGCGCCCGGCCTATATTCATTTTTTAATCTTTGACAGGTTATACATAGTGGTTATTCAAGTTATATTTACTAAATAATCAGAGATATACCCAATAATTTATGTTCAAGTATGTCCATCACAGGGTTATAATGGGAAAATCAGGAAATATCTAAACATCCAAAGATGAGGGAATGTGTAAGTCAATTATGGCATGACCATACTACAGGGTGCTGGGATTACAGATGTGAGCCATTGTGCCTGGCCTAGTAGTTTTGTTTAAACAGGTAAACGTGGGAAGCAGGAATGGTGAAGATGACAGTGAGAATGGTAATCAATAATGAATAACCTTGTCTATAAACTTGGCTCTGTCAGCAAGTACCAAGACAAACAAGTGTGAATGTTTGCTGCCCACATCTCAACAGCGTAGGTTATATATATAACAAACAGAAATCTTGACACAATAGTATTCAGTGGAACCAAGGCAGAAGGGGTCAGTAGACCTTACAATCGATTCAATCCAGGAAAAGAGAAATTAAAGCCATTTTCTCCATCTCTTTGAGGCCAGGGAGTCTTTGTTCTCTGCAGCAGTGCATGTGACATGCCAAAAGTACATGAACACACATGCCCGTGCACGGCAGGAAATGGCTGTACAAACCTTGACTCTATACAACTTCAGCCTTTAGTGCTGATGGTGTTTTGATTTCAGTTCCAAGGAGACAGAATCTGATTGGCCCAGGTGGAGTTATGTGTCCAACACTGGTCTATTCAGCTGTGGTCAGTGGGGCCATGACGATACAAAAATAACATGGAGGCTAGGCTTGCACTAGGAGTTGTAAGAAGTAAGTAGTTCTTATAAATGAGGTTGTAGGCCAGGAATGCATCAAAACAAGGGTCTCTTATGCACTCTTTCCTAGAGATGCTAATGAGTACTAAAGTGTCTAAAGTCACCTTTGGAAAGCAGCTAGGTGTAGTTGAGAATGCGGACTTCACAGCGGCCACTATTGAGGCTTGGAGCAGGCTCCAGCATTCTCCATATGACTTAAGTCAGTGTGCCTCACTCTCCTGTCTTATAAAATGGGATTGCATTTCTCATGGGTTTGCTGCGAGGATTGAGTTGCAAAGGTCTTAGTACAGTACCAAGCATATAGTTAAGAACTACATAAATGTATGTAAATGTTGCTTAGGAAAAATAATAAAAATAAAAACACTGTAGAAACTTCTGGGCCACGTAAATCCTACAAATGTTTCTTGATTGTTTTGGGTATAAGGGATACACCTCTTCCTTAAGGAAGCTATAATGCTGAGAGATTGAATCATGAATGGCTCTAGGGCCTGAGGAAAATCAGTCTGTGAAATAGATTTGTAACAGTAAGAGGAAAGAGCTAAAATACTTCTTGTCTCATTGTAAACATGACAGTATGGAACTCTGCCTTTGCATTTGTTCTAAGGCATTTTTAGTACCCCGTGGGCATTTGATAAACATTAATAATACTGAATGTTATTTAATTTTCCTTGCTGATAAAAAAACAAAAATCTTATGCCACCTAACAGAGCAGCCTTCACTAAATAGCAATGTATTTGGTTATTTTCCACTAATTAAGTATTGCAAGATTTTATGGGAAAAAAAGAGGAAATTGTCTCTCTCAAAGAGATTCTTATATTACCCAGATATGATTGTAACAAACATACAGAATCAAGGGTACAGTTTGCTGCCTGGTAAGGGAGTACATAGGGAAAGTTTATTTGGAAAAGAATATGATGTTGGGGGATGGGGATAGATTGGGAGTGAGGCTAAGAGAGGGAACAAAGTCTGTCCATATCACAGAGTGCAACTTAACAAGCATTATTCAAGTGCTTATACTACAATTGGCAAGTTTATAGGTAAATCTCTTTTTTATTTGCAATACATTAATGTTGCTTCTTGAGATGTCTATTTTGCACACAGGCCATACATTCTTGGCGGTCTGAGAATGTGTCATTTCATCAGTCTTGCTCCTCTTCCCCCATACACTTGAACACAGAAAGTAATCAATAAATATGTATAGAAGTGAACTTGATGTACAGCTTTATTGGAGTCCTAACCTAAGAGGCCTTAGAAGAAGGACATGCTGGAACATTAGCCGCAAACCAGAGGGGATGAGGAAGAAGTAGGGTTTATTTTCTAAAGCTGAGCTGGCCATAGAGACTACCCTCTGGAAGAGGTCTTACGAGCATGACAAAACCAAGCTTGATTCAGATCAACTGAACACATTCCAAAAGAATGTTAATTGTGAGGGGAGCATGGTAATGGGTTCCATTCCAAACCACTGTTCAACACCATATCATAGAGACTTAGATGCTTGTCATATGGGGGAGGATGCCAACAAAGTCAGGACTTTAAAAGCCTCTGGAGAGAAAGTGACCTGAGTTAGGCAGAATATCAGAGCCTCAGCCCAGGAAACGTGTTCAGGTTCAAATCCTATTCAAGGAATTGAAATGCTAATCAGAAAACATAGGAAAACTTCCAGTTTGGACAAATACTACAAGATTTGGGGATGATTAGGATTGGCGAATTCATGAGTGATGGGATTCATCCTGGCTTATCAGATACCAGGCTTGCAAGGATACACCAGCCTGCTAATGCGTTGTTGACCCGGATTCTGACCTGCTCAAGCATTAGGCAAGTCGGTTTCTAACTGCAGAACGAGAAGGGCTAAGGAAAACAATGGCTAATGCTATGTGAATCACAGAGGAAAGTATGAATTGGATTTCAGAGAAGTTAATGAACAGAATCAGAGATGACACATTCCTTAGCAAATGCAGGACAATAGGAAAAGGTAGAGTAGTGGAACACAAGCCAGGCTATCAAGGAGAACACTCGGTAGCTTGAGGATGACATTGTTTGTACTGTGGCTCATCTATTGGTTAGGAAGGAGGTAGAGAGAGGCAGAGAGAAAAATGGGAGGGGCACACCATTCACCTTGGGAGGAGAGAGAAGATGACCTCATGGCTTCCTATCTTGAGATCTGGATGGCAATCTCATGACTAGAGTATAACTCAAGCAAGATAAAACATAGTCTTTAATTTCTGTTTGGGTACTCATACTCAACTTAAGGCATTCTTTATATGATCAACTTCTGCTATGAAAAGAGGTCTCTAAATCATGGCACTTTTTAAAAAACTTTTAATTGTTATGGGTACCGTAGTAGGTGTGCACATTTATGGGACACATGAGATATTTTGATACAGGCATGCAAGGCATAATAATTACATCAGGGTAAATGGAGTATCCTTCTCTTCAAACATTTATCATTTCTTTGTGTTACAAATATTCCAATTATACTCTTTTAGTTATTTAAAAATGTATAATAAATTATTGTTGACTGTAGTCAGCCTGTTGTGCTATGAAATAGTAGTTCTTATTCATTCTATCTAACTATTTTTTTTAATCCATTAACTTTCCCAACTACCCTAACCCCCATTACCCTTCCCAGCCTCTGGTAACCATCCTTCTAGTCTCTATCTCCATGAGTTCAATCGTTTTAATTTGTAGCTCCCACAAATGAGTAAGAATATGCAGAGTTTGTCTTTCTGTGCCTGGCTTATTTCACTTGACATAATGTCTTCCAGTTCTACCTATGTTTTGCAAATGACAGGATTTCATTCTTTTTTTATGACTGAACAGTACTCCATTGTGTATATGCACCTTACTTTTTAATCCATTTATCTGTTGATAGGTCCCTTGGTTGCTTCCAAATCTTGGCTATTGTGAATAGTGCTGCAATAAACATGAGAGTGATGATATCTCTTCGATATACAGATTTCCTTTCTTTCGGGTATATACCAAGCCAATTCATGGTACTTTTTAGAAATGTTATAAAATCAGATGAGTTCATCTATTGAAAACATTTCAATTAAAGATGCAAGCAATGAACACATTGCAAAGAATTAACAGACTCTGTAGAAATTAAGCCTTTCTGGTTTCCAAAATGTTAGTTGGTTCTTGATGTAAATGAGTCCTGCAAATCTGTTTACTGAACTCAAGCAGCCTGGGGGAGGAAGGTGGTATTCTTAGGATTGTATTTTCACATAAATCAACAAGGATGTTCTCAAATAAACCACTTAGTTATCATACATTCATTGTCATATCAATTCATTTTTTAAATTAACAGTCAACTGTAATCAAAAAAAAGGATGAGAAACAAAACGCAATCTGAAATAACAACACTCACTAACCAGGCTTTTATAAGACACTCTGGGAAACATTAGTCTTTAGATGTTAATTGATAATAATCTTACTTCCCCAAATAAAAAGAATTTGCAAGTGTTTATCTTTGGGTAACTGAGAGAGAGTGAGAGTAGTTTCTTAAGAAACTCTAGCAAAACCACTTCTCTCCCTTTTATCATTAATCATGATTGTGCAAAGCTCTGAGTAAATTTAAATTGTGTTGTTGAGAAAGTAGAATTGGAACGTGTATTGGCTATATTCTTCAGTTCTACTTTCAAACTTGCAGAAAATCCTTCAAGTGTTCTTTGTATGTCTGTGATTCCTCTTCTCTCCATGATTCCCAAGGTATTTAGAGATGGAATGACCATTTAATGTGTGGTCCAAATCAGGAAACAGAATAAAAGGGGATGGCACTAAGAATCATTTAAGGAAAACTAACATAACTGGGATACAACATTACTCTATTCAGAGAGCACATTGAACTCATCTTGCTCTTATCTTATAAAATGGCCTATAAACTCCTTTCACATTATTTCAATCAAATTAAAGAATTTTCTCATTAGCCCCCATTTAAAAAATATATAGAGTAACAAAATACTGTCTTTAGGAACGATACAAATTCTGACCCATGAGCATGAAGACTGTTAAAGGCAATCATAGCAAACACATTCTTGAACCTTGGTACAGTCACCTGTTTCTCCCTTCATTTATTCATTCATGGGCTAGCTATTGAGACCTTCCTGGACTTGGGATGTATTGAATAGTGAGACCTACACTTAGCTGTCATATGAGGCTATTGTCTGGTAAGCAGACAATTGGAATGCAGGAACATAGGGCTGTGCTGAGGTCAGTTTATGGTACTGAAGAAGTACCTCAGAGGAGCATCAGACCCAGGCACGAGGGTGAGGGTGTTTGAGGGACAGTTTCCTGGAGAAGCAAAAACTTAGTGATGAGTTCATATCTAGGTGAAGGGAGGTATACCAGAATGGGAAGGGAAGGAGTGGGGACAGTATTTCAAGCAAGAACAGCATATATACAGGCCCTGAGGACAGGTTGATCAAGCAGAACTCAATGTAGTTCGGTGTACCTGGGGCATTAGTCAGTGAGGTAGTGGAGGATGATGTGAAGAGACTGTAGATTCTCAGAACTGTGAAGAAAAACTAGTTTGGAGTCCAAGGCCTAACATAGGCTAGAGATGGCAGGAGTTTGAATTAAGGAAGTAGTGATTAAAATGCCAGACCATCAGGACTCAAGGGAACTTCAAAATGCCATAATGTGTTCTTTACATTAGGCAGAAACAGAAAATATTCGTTCCCAGCTGTCTAGATCCTTTAAACCACACAGTTCTGCCTGAGAATTCTAATGTGTGTTCAGCTTCCATGGCAAGTGTCCTGTAGCCAGAGCACTGACGGATGGCACCTGACACTCCCCTGCTGTGGGGAGAAGCTGGCTCCCCTCTTCCTTACTTGAGCAGGTACCATGCACCTCACAGGGGCCTCCTGTCATCCCCGGTTCCCATGCAAAGTTGTAAGAAGGTTTCAGTTTATTTCCTACCTCTGCCATTTCTGTACCATTTTAAATGAAAAATAAATTTTGTTTAAAACAGAACAAAAAGTAGTTTCCTCGGATACCTAAAAACCCCCTAGAAAATGGAAGCAAAGGGAAGATGATGACCACTGTGAAGTTAACCCGGACATATAGGAGCAGATGTGAAAGAGGGGAATTTGATCAGTTCCATAAAAAAAATACTTCACCAGAAGGCCAGCATCATGCACCAACCGAAACCACGTAAACCCTGTGAGTTGCAAACTCTTCTCAGTGACAGACAGCTGAGGACCATGATACAACCTCTCAAGTGGCAGCTCCTCCCTCTTCCTTCCTTCCCTTCCCTCTGACTGCCCCTCTTTTTTCACATGGCCTTGACATTTTCCTGTAACATCCTGGCATAGTCTTCTGCCTTCAGCCTGTCACTTTCATTGTATATAGTCAAGTGGCAACTGAGAATTTTTTAATACCTGATGAAAATCATTAGCTGCTTATGAGTTCTATTAAACTAAGTTTGTGTAAGTGAGGTCGATCCTAGCAACACAGAAAGCAAAAGATTTCATGCTTCTTCATAAGAAATGCACATCTGCGCCGTGTACTAAAGTACAGCTTAGTTAAAGTGCAGTTAAGAACAAAACATTTAACTGACCGTTTACTGTGTATGGGTCCCTGTGCTAGACGCTGAGCTTCAAGGCTTGTTATTACTCCATTCCCACCTATGGGGAACTCATAGCATAGTAGGGGGATTACAAGAAGTCATCATGTATAGGGTAGGGAAAGCATTAAATGATGCTGTGTAGATGATTCAGAAAAACCTTTCTCATGAAAGTGAAAAGATTTCTGCTGTTTTTTTAGTATCAGATCCTCTTTCACTGACGTAGATATGAGTGTGTGTGTGTGCATGCGCACTTGGTAAAAAATATGATGGGAATTTTCTGAAGAAAGTGAGAAAATGAAACTATTTAGTGATTTATTAGTACTTTGGCTCTAAAGAGACCTTAAGTTCCCCTGATATTCTGAGGCTGATCAACTGTTTTCTCCATTTTGATCTGGGAGGAGGCTTGAAGGAGGCTTTGTAATCTGTTGTGAAATCATCTTTGTAGATTAATCATCCTTCGTTTGTCTGGGGTCATTGGTCCCAAGATAATCCGTTAAAGCTGGAAATCCTACCTTCAGGAAAAAAAAATTGTCATCCAAATTTTGTACAGAATTAGAGGAAACATTTTCTTCTCCAAAATTCTATGTAGAATTTACAGATTCCCTGATGCCTATCCACAGAATCCTGTTTAAGAACCCCTGGTCTTCCCTGGACTTCTCTCCAAGAAGACAGAGAGCTGATAGAAGAAATAATCACATTCACGTTTTATTCTTACTCTCTGGCAGAGGGTCTGACAAATTTTTTTTAACAAATAACAAATAGTAGTATGATAATATTGGTATTTATCTTATAACATTTATTAAGTGCTTACTAATTGCAAGATTCTTCTCTAAGCAAGGTAGAGTTAATTTGATGCTCACAGTAACCTTTGTGGTCAATTTTATGATCTTTCTTTTGCAGATGAGGAAACAGGTCAGAGAAGTTGTATAATTTCCTCCTGGCATAAGCTCAGATGTAATAAAGCAAGATTCATACCCAGACATTCTGATGCCAAAACCCATGCTCCTAATAACTACATTAGGGAAAAAATGAATTCGTTAATTAAAATCCTGTCCAAGTGTCTTAAACTTTAAAGTTCCAAGTTTATGATGTATCTTCTTTAAGTTCTTCTTTTGGACACTTACCTAAACTTAGCTAAGAGATAGTAACTCAGATTTTCTATGGTTCAAATTTAAAAGTAATAATTTATGCCATTCTACAGATAAGGAGAAAATGCCACCAAATCTTAGCTTTTCTAGTTTCATGGATTATCAGTACCAGTAACTTCCCTATAGGTTTTCTCATTCATTCTTTGTTAAGAACAAAAAAAAATCTGACCCGTGTTTACCAAGCAAAAGTTCCAAACACCCAGGATAAATTAGTCTTACCATGAAGTTGTCTGTAAAAGCGGATCACAGGTTCTTCCAAATGGACTATTTCCAACAGAGAAATGAACACTATTATGAGATCCTTGATTCCACTTTTCTTTTCAACTGGTATTTTTATTATGATTTGTTGCTGCCTTATTTTCGCCACTTTTAGTTCTTTATTTCATTTAAGTTCTCCCTAACCTATGAACTTGGTGAGCTCCCTATAAAGAAAGCAGGAAAGATAAAAAATAAGATTTTCCAGGTGGGTTCTCCCAAACTCTCGGCTCTCTCATTAGAATAAAGGTTTTACAGTTACATCTGCATGGTTCTTTTTAAAGAAGAAAAAAAAGGGTATATAAAAAGGAAAGCCAGAAAATAGTCCTCAATATGTCATCACTCTCCACATCATCCAGATGTGCAACGGCATTAGAGAATGGTACAAAGGCTCATGGTGAGAGCAAGTATGTGTGCACTAAAACAAAACGCTCTAAGTCCCTTTATAAAAGCATCAGCAGGCCTTTTCCTTCAAAAACTGAAGATGTCCTTACCTATAAATGCGTCATGCCAAAAGCTTTCATTCCATATATATATATAATATTTTGTTTGATACTTAATTAGTTTACAAGAATTAAAGAAAGCAAAACCCTAAACAATGATGTGATTCAACATGTTTCTAGTTGAAATAAGACAAGGATAAAAGTCCATTTCATTTCATGTTGCTGAAAAATTACTCTGGGAGTTATACTTTTATAAGTATCCCCTTCCAACTATTATATTTACTAACTAGACAAATGCTGTAAAATACTTTTTTATCTATAAGTATGAATGTCTGAATAGAATACTTAAGTAAATGAGCAATTAACTAAAATGATGACATGGACTCTAACTGGCTTCTACTTTCAGAATAATATTTCACATTATTTGTGGACTAAGAAAAATTAACGATGTATTATCAGCCCATGATTCTGTTTGTTTATTGTTGCTTTTTAATTTCATTTTACATTGTGGGGTACGTGTGCAGGATGTGCAGGTTTGTTACATAGGTAAACGTGTGCCATGGTGACTTACTGCATCTATCAACCAATCACCTAAGTATTAATCCCAGCATGCATTAGCTATTTTTCCTGATGCTCTCCTTTCCCCCACCACACACCCCCAAACAGTCCATAGGGTGTATGTTGTGCCTCTCTCTGTGTCCATGTGTTCTCATTGTTCAGCTTCCACTTATAAGTGAGAACATGCAGTGTTTGGTTTTCTGTTCCTGCATTAGTTTGCTGAGGATAATGGCTTCCAGCTCCATCCATGTCCCTGCAAAGGACATGATCTCATTCCTTTTTATTGCTGCATAGTATTCCGTGGTGTATATGTACCACATTTTCTTTATGAAGTCTATCATTAATGGACATTTGGGTTGATTCCATGTCTTTGCTACTGTGAATAGTGCTGCAGTGAACATATGTATGCATGTATCTTTATAACAAAATGATTTATATTCCTTTAGGTATATATTTAATAATGGATTTGCTGGGTCAAATGATATTTCTGGTTCTAGGTCTTTGAGGAATCACCACACTGTCTTCCACAATGGTTGAACTAATTTACCTTCCTCCCAACAGTGCAAAAGCATTCCTATTTTTCCACAGCTTTGCCAGCATCTGTTGTTTCTTGATTTTTTTCTGGCTGGTGTGATTTGGTATCTCACTGTGGTTTTGATTTGCATTTCTCTAATGATCAGTGATGTGGAGCTCTTCTTCATATGCTCCTTGGCTGCATAAATGTCTTCTTTTGAGAAGTGACTGTTTATGTCTTTGCTCACTTTTTAATGGGGCTGTTTGTTTTTTTCTTGTAAATTTGTTTAAGTTCCTTGTAGATTCTGGACATTAGACTTTCATCAGATGGATAGATTGCAAAAATTTTCTCCCATTCTGCAGGTTGTCTGTTTGCTCTGATGATAGTTTCTTTTGCTGTGCAGAAGCTCTTCAGTTTAATTATATCCCATTTGTCAATATTTGCTTTTGTTGCATTTGCTTTTGACATTTTCATCATGAAATTTTTACCCATTCCTATTTCCTGAATGGTATTGCCCAGATTTTCTTCTAGGGTTTTTGTACTTTTGGGATTTACACTTAAGTCTTTAAACCATCTTGAGTTAATTTTTATATAACACGTAAGGAAGGGGTTCCATTTCAATTTTCTGCATATGGCTAGGCAGCTCTTCCAGCACCATTTATTGAATAGGGAATCCTTTCCCAATTGCTTATTTTTGTCAGATTTGTCAAAGATCAGATGCTTGTAGATGTGTGGCCTTATTTCTGAGTTCTGTATTCTGTTCCATTGGTCTATGTGTCTGTTTTTGAAACAGTGCCATGCTGTTTTGGTTACTGTAGCCCTGTAGTATAGTTTGAAGTCAGGTAGCGTGATGCCTCCAGCTTTATTCTTTCTGCTTAGGATTGTCTTTGCTATACACAGCCCATGATGTTTTAAAGTCATCTTTCTTTTGGCCTCTTGTCTGATTCACTTGCTATGGAGTAGTAAGGAATGAAAAAACAGATGTCAAAAAACTATCCAAATGGAATGTTTCTTTATAAGTTTGAAAGTTGACATTTGAAATTTTATTCATATTGGATGAACCTCATGTGCAATTCCAAGGTAAATAATGTGAGAAATTGTGCTGGCTCCTGAAATAGTGTCATTATTTTATGTATTATGTATTATGTATATATTGATTTAAATCAATATCCTGAAGAAAAGAGGACAGTTTTCTATTTATTAGCTTTCCTGTGAGAATGAATTGACCATTCAAAAGACACTTCATATTATGTTTACATTAGTCAAGGTGTCAAGGTCATGCTTACAGAATTAAAGGAATCGTCCCCTAGAAGACCCACATATTGCTAAAAGTAGAAACAAAATAACTTGCTCCCAGAGCAAGCAGCTCAGCCGCAAACCCACCATGTATTCATCCATCTGGAGATGGTTACTGAGCACTATCCAAGGGCAGGCACCCTTCTGTGTATAAGAGATAGAGCAGGAGCAGCAAGGCAGACAAGCTCTGGTGGAACTTAGATGCTTGGTAAACAGGTTACCAGATAAACAAGGTATTAATAATTTCAGCAGGTGGTAAGTTCTACTTGGAAAATGACACTGGGAAATGGAATAGAGTGCCTGGGGGAGGTTAATCTGAATTGGGGCATCAGAAAAGTCCTCTAAGAAATGCAATTTGAGCTAGACCTATAGGTTTAGAATGAGCCAGCTCTGCAAAGCTCTGAAGGAAGAGCACTGCAGACAAAAGGCATAGCAAGTGCCCAGCCTGTGAGGCAGGAGGGAGTAGTATATCAGAGGAAAGTCAGACTGGAAGGAAGAGAGAACAAAAAGGAAAGCTGAATGGGGTTAGAAAGTGAAGCAAGAAATGTAAGCAAATCTGGCCAGGGTGTTGAGGTAGTCTAACAAAGATTTTCTTTGTAGACAATGAATGGAAGAGGAGATAGTGGGATGTGTAGATCTGGCATTGGGTCTCTCTGTCCCCGTAGGGTTCTTGAAGTTGAATTTAGTCCACCCTATACACAAACAGTCTGACAACAGGCCCTGATCTAATGTCTCTCACCCATCACTCACCTTTTTCTGTGTGCTTTTCCTCTAGCTTGTCCCACGGACCCCCATAAGCCCTTGGTTCTGCCACTCTGCAGTTCACTCTTGGGCTCCTTGGCACCTCTAGCTTTAACCAACAGTTCCTTCTGTAGCACTGTTTTGTCCTGGGTCTTTGTTCCCAACACTATCTGTTGAAAGAAATGTGTCTGCCCTCAGCCCAGGTCAAAAGGGACCTGGGTGGCTGAGCCCATCCACACAGCTCACTATGAAAGTAAGGCAGCTAAACAAAAGGAAGACAACACCCTCCCCATTTTAGCCTGGTGACAGCTGGATGGATGGAAGATCTATGGGCAGGAAGAGTGATTTCCATGAAACAGAGCCCAGAGCACCCAGAGAGGACAACACATGCCAAAAGCAAAGACCACGGCTGTAGCCTGATGTCAATGACCCTCTTCCTCCCAGGGGGTGGAATTTTGCTTTGGTGTACCAAGTCTCATATTTTCACTGTTGAGGCTGCTGTTTGAAGTCTCCACCAGCAGACTATAACCTGTAAGAACAACATTATACTCATTTTTTGTTGTTGTTGTTGTTTTTGAGACAGAGTCTGGCTCTGTCGCCCAGGCTGGAGTGCAGTGGCACAATCTCGGCTCACTGCAAGCTCCACCTCCTGGGTTCATGCCATTCTCCTGCCTCAGCCTCCTGAGTAGCTACGACTGCAGGCTGCCGCCACCACGACCGGCTAATTTTTCATATTTTTTAGTAGAAGTGGGGTTTCACCGTGTTAGCCAGGATGGTCTCAATCTCCTGATCTCGTGATCTGCCCGCCTCGGCCTCCCAGAGTGCTGGGATTGCGGGCATGAGTCACTGTGCCCAGCCTATACTCATTTTTTAATCTGACAGGTTATACATAGTGGTTATTCAAGTTATATTTAGTAAATAATCAGAGATACACCCAATAATTTATGTTCAAGGATGTCCATCACAGGGTTATAATGGGAAAATCAGAAAATATCTAAACATCCAAAGATGAGAGAATGTGTAAGTCAATTATGGCATCACCATAATACAGGGTTATTTTATATCATTAAAAATTATGTTTTAGGAAAACACATATTATATAGAAAAATATTCATGACAGACCCCTATATTTGAAAAAGGATATAAAAGTTGTGTACTAGAATAAAATTATAGGGGTGTGTGTGTGTGTGTGTGTGTGTGTGAGACAGAGAGAGAGAGAGAGAGATAGCACCATATCTTCTATTTTCCCTCCATATTTGCTCTTGACTTTATTCCATGGGGTGATGACAGCCTGGTTTGTCTGGGACACTCCCAGTTTATGCTCATTGTTCTGAAGTTATTGGCATTATTAGTAATTCACTCCTACTCACTCTCAAAAGTGTCCTTATTCTCTTAATAGATTTATAGATTTTAAAGTCACCCTCCAGCCCTGCATCTAGGGTGGCTGAGCTGTGAGGATTGCAGTAAGTGGTCTCTTGCCCTTTGGCTTCTGGCTAGGTTACTCCAGGAGAAGCAGGTGATTGACCCATAAGGGGAGGAGAGAGAGACTCCTTCAGAGTTCATTCCCCCAGCCTCCTCCCTGCAAAGCAATTCTGGACCTGCCATATATCTCCATGAATCAGGCAGCTGTCTTCACAGAGCTCCTCCATCTTCCATCCTGGGAACTTCTCCCTCCCTTCACACTCTCACGTTTTGGTACTAACAGGTTCCTTGCTGTTTACACTGTCCCTTCTTGTTTGTCTACAACCAGCTCACATCTTTATAAATAGTATCTTTCTAAAAAGTGTCCTTAAATTGTCCCAATGTGAGTGTACTGTCTGTTTTCTTCTGGGAACCTGGTTGATTGACACAGACAGCAAAAGAGAGAGTTACAAAGACAGAAAGAACAACAAAAGAGGTTGCCAAAATATTCTCAGTGTTTATGTCCATAGGGGCAAAAATTAAGTGATATTGGTAGGGGGCACTTTGTGTTTTTGTTTTGAATGTTTTCTAATTTTTCCTCATTTAGCATGTATTTAGTATTTAGCGAAATGTTGCAAAGTAAGGTGCACATTTGTTGAATAAACTAATGAGTGACTGAAGTACCCTTTTCCCACCTCTAGAATCAGAGTTCGTGTTCACACTCAATTCATATTCAAGCTAAAATGTGATATTTATTATCATATGTTCAGTTTAAAAAATATTATTATACTTGTCATTTATCAAAACATCACATGGCATTCTTTCTATGTGCGTTATTTAATTATTAGAATAACCAAGAGGTAGATGTTATTAATCCCATTTTATAGAAAAGAAAATGAAAACTCAGAGAAATGATATAACCTTCCCAAGTCCACTCACGTAATCAGAGGCAAAGCCAAGATTCTAGCCCACCGCATTACACTTTCTCTCATAAATAATATAGACATGAATATAGACAAGTTAACTGGAGCATGGCATAAAATACCTTTGAGAACAGACTGTTCTTTTGTTCTGAGAAAAAAAATTAACTGGCCTTTTGATCATGCAAATATAAAATAGGAAAAGATTATATTCTCTCTGTCTTTCATGAATGGGCTTTAGCTAGGAGATTTTTGATCTTGTTAGCGGTGACCACAGAGCTTGGATACATGGCCACACCCAAGGTGAAAGAGAAAAGCTGCCAATTCTGGATTCTTAGAGTCCTATCTACCAGGTAATGTGGTATGGTTTTTGTGCTGTAATTCCCATTTGTTATTTTTTTTAAATTTGAACATTTATTAGACATTTAGTGATATTGCAGAAACGTTGATCATTTTTTTAGGTGTGATAAGTTTGTGATTATGTTTTAAAAATCCCTATGTTGGGGAGATACATTCTGAAATCTTTACAGAAGAAATAACTCAATGCCTGAGATTTGTTTCAAAATAACACAGGAGGCAGCAGGACGGGTTGTGAGTTGTATGTGGTAAGACCTGCCCATGCTTGGTTCACAAGGTTCATTGTACTGTTCTGTGGGCTATTGCATACGTTTGACATTCTTGTTAATTCAAAAGAGTAAAAAGGGACCCGGCAAGGTCTGAGTTCCCACTCCCCTTTCAGTCCCGCTCAACTGCTCCCCACCCCCTGTCAGGTTAACCCCACAGTCTGGGGAGTGTCATGTACATGGTCTTCAGTGTATCTAGTTAAGGGGCATAGTTTGTTCTTGACCCAGCCGAAGAGAATAATCTGTGTCTGTTTCCTCACTTAGGTTAAGGTGAGGAAAGAGAAGACCAGCAGAGGTTATGGAACAGTGGTCCAGAGTGAGACCACCGGCCAGGGCAGGTGACCACCAGAACCAAACTTCAGAGCACGTACGCATCCCCAGGAATCCAGAGATATGTGGCAGCAGGGACAGCACTGGTGTAAGACTGGAGTGGGGTTCCTGTCATATTAATTTAAATATAAAAAGGAAATATGAACCCTGTGATCAGTTTTTATGAGTGTATGAATATAGGATACATATTTGTAATCTTAGCCAATTTCTTAAGTCAAAAGTTATGTACCATTAAGTTTATTTGATCATTGGGGTTGATAATGAGGCTGGATCTGATCTAGTCTGTTCTATTGATATGTCTGACTATTGCAACACCAGTAAGAAAAAAATAGGTGGAATTATTATTGCTTTATCATAGATGTAACTGCTTTTAGGGCAAATACCTATATTGCTTGCTTCTTATTCTCAAAATTGCCTTGGTAATTTGGGAGACGGTTTTGCTTACCACAAATTTTTAAATGATTACGTTATGTTCTAAAATTTTCTTTATTAGTATTTTCATTAGAATCATAATGATTTTCTGATTAATTTGGGGGTAGAATTCGCATATTAAAAATGGTAAATCCTCTAAATTCACAAAGTTTGTATTGCACTCAATTTATTCTACTCTTTCAACCTTGCCCAGTAAAAAATTTCAGTTTTCCTCAAATGCTTTCTACACATCTTTGGTAACTTAGTCTTAAATATTTCAAATTTTGTCATTAGGAATAGAATTATTCCTCATTGGTAGTAGGTGACAATTGCTAGTATACAGAATATATGTAGTATTTTTGTAATTCATAATATGCCACATTATTGAACATTCATTTTAGTTTTATTAGTTTTTACAGTTGAATCTCTTATGTTTTGCAGAATTAGAAATAATACAAATATGTATTAGCTCATTTCAAGTATCCTCATTGCATATTTTTCTTGTCTTATATTAAATAGAATTTTCAGAACAAAATCTAATAATTGTGTTGATAGTCAATATATTTCCCTTATTCTTAATTTATAGCAAATGACTCTAGTGATTACCCATGAGTAGAGAACAACAGTCTAAGATGATGATGCAAGGCTAATCTATCAGGGGGTATTGTCCTTTTTCTCAGACTTTATCCTATTTGAATTTGTTTTGAAAAACAACAACATTTTACCTTTGATGACAAAAAAGATCTCAATATGAGATGACTGGGAAGGTCCTGGAGAAGTAAAATTTTCTGATTTCATCAGCTACTCCCACATATCCCCACTGAAATTACCAACATCTTACATATTTATATCTATGCATTAAACTCAAACAAAAACACTATGGTTGTTTCTAGCCTTCCAAACAGTGCTGCAATACCTAAAAATATATGTTTGTCTTTTCATGTGTGTATGTGAGTATATTGATAGGTTACGAATTTAGCATTGTCCTAATTTGGGTCTTCATTTTTCCTCACCTAAAGTCAATACATGGCATCCCTTCCACCACCTTATCCTCAACAGCCTTGTCCAATTCAGCCTAGGTACCAATGTCACTGTTTTACCTTAAATGCAGATTTGACTGATTCACTACCCTGATGAAAACATTTAAACATTCATCCATGCACAGGGTTAATGTTAAGCTCCTGGATTCAGCATACAGAGCTCTAGGTGATCTGCTCCAGCATCTCGCCTTTGTGTCCCGCTTCGTCCCTACCTCCCACCTGCCCTTGTGCTTCCCAGCACTCACTCCATTGTTTCGCAGGCTATGCTTCTGCCCATGCTCTGCTCTGCCTGGAATGCCTTCACTTACTTCCGTTAGACTTGGCTGACATGGTACCTCCTTCAGGAAGCTTCTCCCGACTCCCTCCTCTTCTACGCTGGTCCTGTCAGGCTCACTTTATCTGTGGTCCTAAAGTGTATGACTATTTCTATCACTACATTTACATTGTTTTTATAAAGAAGTGTTATTGTATCTGTCAAATTCTTGAGGTAGCGGTGAGGTAGTGGCTATATCCTATTTTGTATTGTATTCTCTGTCCCTGGCACAGTGGTTGGCACGTGCGAAGAGATCAGGATACTTCTTTTAAACTGAAAAAAAAAATAAACAGAAACAAACATGTTTTTAAAATAAATTGCCTAGATTTATTTTCTCTTTTTAGGAGTTCTGTTGCCATTTATGCACCAGGTATCACATCTGAAGTTTTAAGATTTTATTTTACAACATATATTCCTGAATTTTTTTCTCTAAATTAAGTCTTAAAA
Organism: Homo sapiens; assembly: GCF_000001405.40. Taxonomy (NCBI): domain Eukaryota; kingdom Metazoa; phylum Chordata; class Mammalia; order Primates; family Hominidae; genus Homo; species Homo sapiens. The sequence goes on along the minus strand of NC_000008.11, from coordinate 64,853,439 downwards.
TGTTTCCCTGTTGACTAAATTCCTTGGGGAAATATTAAGTTTGTTTTAAGTTTATAATCAAATTGTGTAAAGGAAAATGAGTCTTGAACTCAATATTCATAATATTTAATATTAGATAATGATATTTAACCATTTAATTTAGTCACAACATGTTAATATAAAAAGAGTCAAATCCAATTGGGGCACTGTTTGATGAGTTCTAGCAAAAGAGGAGTATATAAATATCATTTATAAAGTATTTATTATGTATCATGCTCAGTGCCTTATATACCTAACTTAATCCCCAGAAAAACCTCTGTTAGTTGAGTGCCATTCTCATTTTTTTAAATGAGGAAACTGAGTCTCAGAGCGGTTCAATGATTCTTTTAATGAAATACTATTCCACTTCTTTTCATGAGCTAGATTTTCCAAATGAATGAGCTTGTCATATTTTCTACTTCCTCATTCTTACCTCTGAAAACATACATCCTTCACTTTAAGAACTTTTCTCTTTTTATTTCACTAGGAACCCTATTATAGAGACAAAAAGGCTAGCTTTTGCAGCCTACTATCAGATAGCAAGTAGCATATATTCTAACAGTTCCAAGCGTGCCTTTCCTAATGACAGGCAGACCCACTCTGATTCTAGAACTTCTTCAGTGTCAGTCACTGAAACAATCACTCTAAGAAATGCATTCGCTAGATCCTTCCTTTAACATACAAAAGGAAACATATGAAAACTATCTTTCCTAGATAGCTCCCCTAACCAGAGTTCAAATATTAGCAAACTTTATCAATCTGAAACATAGTCAAGCAGCAGAGAGCAACCCAAAGTGCTTTGAACAGTTCAGGCACAGGGAAGGAGTACTGATGTACATTCACTTTGCTACTCTATAAACTCCCTTCCTCACTCAAAGCACATTTATTCCTATTGTTTCAAAGCCCACTTCATATAAATAGTAGAAAATCACCATAGAGAAAAGCAGTCACTTCCCTCAGATGTGGTGGCATGCACAGGAAATGGCAATTGAAAGCAAGGGAAGAAAACAGGAAACTGCAAAGGCATGGAAAATGTTAATATCAATTAGTAATATGTTTAAAGAGACATTTGTCTAGGATCAACACAGTAGACAGTCTTTCAACCTAGTGTGTTCAAATAAGGATATTATGAGAACAAGAGCTTCTGACCAGTTCTCACTGCTTCAGCCCGGGATCCTGAACTCTGACCCTTGCAGGTAAATGATGTGTTGTCTAAATTGCAATTAAGCTGTTTAAGACCAAGTATAAAGTGGATTTGAACAGTCCTGCAGTAGTACAGGTAGAGTCACAGCAGATGACAAAAGCATTTTAATTAAAAAGGGAAGCAAATGGTCTCAAACCAAAGCTTGCAGTAAGCCAAGCTCTTGATGTTGACTTCACAGGTAAAGTTTTGAACATGGTTTACTTTCCTCCTTTCTCAAGTTTGCCTAAGGCAAAACAGCTTTTACTCCTTCGTTACTGCCTGCAATAAGTGTGTTGTGTTGTTTTAAAATAGCTGTTTGGTAAGGTGTATACATGTGTTTGAGTGTGTGTGTGATTAAGTAATTCTTTATTGTGGCAAGGAGCTACTATCACTGATGAATTGATTTCATTTAGCCAAATTAACTCTGTTAGTTACATGAAAGATTAGGCACTATTACCTTATACTGTTATGCAGAGAGCTACACAGAAGTACAGAAATGTACATCGAGGGCCAATTACATGTGAAGAACTACTGATAATTATGAGAGCTGGTTAATATTCCTGAATTATTAAGTCTGACAGCATAATCCTGCTTTCTGTGTTGCTTAGTCTATTGTACCAGATGCTTAATGCATAGTTAAATGTGGCAGTGTAGTAGAAGTTAATGCCATTCTGCAAAATAAAGAAAGTTACTGTGTGGAACACGAAACGCAGCATGCAGAAGTCAAAAGTTAGAACCGATTTTAAACAAAAGGGTGGCTGGAAATCTGAAAACTTATTAAACTTCAAGCATTTCTCTTATTTCCGCATGCAGTGGGGGATAGAGGGCGCAGTCGCCTTCCACCACAACTGCTGGTTAGAGATTGCCCCCTCTCCTATCCATGTTACTGTTTGGCAAAGGCCATTTATACAATGATATAATAATATGCCTTCCCTCGAATGCTGAAACTGCTGTGCATATCCCTTTTGACAGTTCATGTCCGAATATTCACTGGAACACTCCCACCTGCAAAGGCATTACTTTGGGGCCATGGATCATTTACCATCAAGCTGACATTCAACCCTGGTTCGGTGAGGATGATGATGAGTTTTGTTTTTTAAGTATTCAAAAACAATTTCCACAACGCAGCATCAGAGATAAGTGAGAACCATGCACTTGACTAAATGTTTGGTTTGTTTTTTTAAAAACGCTAGTTATAAAATTCATTGACATGAGGGAGAAAAATTCACAAGGGCCATTTATGCATGGTAACCTACAGATGATTATAAAAGTTGATTAATATTTTTGAATTTTTAACTCTGACAGTACAATCATTTTTTTTTGGTTCTTTTGCTGACTTCAGATGCTTCATGCAGAGTATAATGTGCTTCTAACATTTTCTGCTGTTTTCCTGGCTAGAACACATGGAAAGTACATGCTATCTGTGTGTGAATATGAAGACATATATAACATGTAAGACAAAACAGATGTCTTCTTCAGAATTTTCACTCTCATTTAAAGTGGGTGTAATCCCCCATAGAAAGAATAAGTAAGAGGAAATTTTCTATGATTGGGGATGGCATTTCATCTCTTAGATAATAAAATGTGTCACTTCTGTTAGTATAATTAGTTGCAGAAGTGATGAGATATTATGTACCAGATCCTACCCACACAAACTGAAATTTCAGTTGATATCAAGTCTGATAAGTTCAGTTTCTTAATACAATAGCTAGCATTTATTTAACTCTTACAATATGTTAAGGGCACTGTGTGAACCTTAATCTCCATGATACCCCTGTTAGGTGGTACTATCATTATTATAATAAATCATTATTCTTATTTTACAAATCTTTATTCCAACTGAGGTATGGACAAGTTAAGCATTTTGCCTAATATCACACAGATAGTTAGTGGTAGATTTGAGATTTGAACTTGGGGTATCTGGCTTCTGAGGCCACACTCTTAAAACACATACGAACACCATCACCATGGCCCGCCTGCTCCCAACACCCTAATTCTTCCCTTCCCCTTACCTCCAGCCTGTTATTTAGTACAAAAGTCATGGCTTTAGTTGATGGGGAGAGATAGAAAGCCTGCATCTTCTTGCTTATAGAAGATTGAGATAAAAAATGTGTAACCATAATAACAGGCAGACATTTTTGTATGCTCTTTAACAATGGTTTATATTTCATGGCATAAATGAAATATTTCAGGTAAACAGAATCTCTTGTTTACCAGACCACTCAATTCTACCATCATTTAATAGCTGGCTTAGTCAAAAAGTCATAGAATTTTAGTTTTAAAGAGCCTAAGCAATCAAGAAAGCAGAAAATGCTGAGACTAGAGATGTTTGTATTTGATGCCAGCTTATGGAGGTTAGTTTTTCAACAATGGCACCACTGGTTATATCAGCATTCATTTATTTTATCTTGAGATGAAATGAAAATAAAACTCCAAACAACTTGAATTTGTTTATCTACAAAGTTGGCCAGGTAAGGTGGCTCACACCTGTAATCCCAACACTTCAGGAGACTGAGGCAAGAAAATCACTTGAGGCCAAGAGTTTAAGACCACCAGCCTGGGCAACATAACAAAATCTCATTTTTACAAAAAAATTAGGAAATTATCTGGGAATGGTGGTGCGTGCCTGTAGTCCTAGCTACTCAGGAGCCTGAGGCAGGAGGATCATTTGAGCCCAGAAGGTTGAGGCTACAGTTAGCTATGATGTTGCCACTGCACTCCAGCCTGGCTGACAGAGCAAGGCCCTGTCTCAGAAAAAAAATTTAAAAGCCTGTCAAATTCCATGGTTTTAGACTACTTGATGTTTTATTTCCAAATTCTGGAAGATATTTTTAGGCAGAAAAATAAGATTTTATATTAGCAAACTATTTCAAAGAAAGAAGAATACTTCCTATGCATATATAAGGGGCTAATATATACCAATTATTGTTCAAAAATGCTGTAGTATGGTTTATATTATCACAACAACTGTCATCAGAATTTCTTTTAGGAATAGACATGTCTTTCCAAACAAAGAAAATCTTTGAGTTGTGGGGAGAAGGGAGTGGTGAATTACTGAAAGGAAGGAAGAGAGAATGTATGTTGAGAGACAATTAGCAGTTTATCTCAGAATTACCCTCCTTACCACCTTCCCTTATTGCCAGAATGGTCAGTAAAGTGTAATAAAACTCAGGAATATTCTATGCAAGGGACTGTTTAGTGAGTACGAGCAGCAAAGAAGGACTGAGTTTCCGGCTGAAGTTCACATGTTGCAAGCAGAGGCAACTTGAGCCAAAAAGTTGAAGAGACTGGGAGAATGCTTATTCTCTAAGAATCTGTAGAAATCTTGAAGATAGCTTTGGATTCCTAGAAGCTTGGGAATTGAGATGTTGAAGGCAATTTCAACTGTAACATAAGAGGTAGAGTAGCCCCAGTCTTATCAAATTGAGGTCCCCTTATTAACATTTGGAAGACGGTGCAATTTGGATAAACAGGAGTCTTTAGATTTGGAAGTTTAGGGCACACAGAGGAAATAAGCAAGAAGGGCAAGACTATTATTATTCAAGTTCTAAGCAGAAAAAGAAAATGAATAGATTTGGGATATTTGAGGATGCCTCTCTATGAGAACTCTTTTCCCTCCCCTCCTCTCCCCTTCCGTCCCCTCTTCTTTCTTTTGAGATGGAGTCTCACTCTGACGCCCAGGCTGGAGTGCAGTGGTGTGATCTCCACTCACTGCAACCTCCGCCTCCTGGGTTCAAGCGATTCTCCTGCCTCAGCCTCCTGAGTAGCTGGGATTACAGGTGTGTGCCACCACACCCAACTAATTTTTGTATTTTTAGTAGAGATGGGGTTTTGCCATGTTGGCCAGGCTGGTCTCAAACTCCTGACCTCAGGTGATCCGCCTGCCTCAGCCTCCCAAAGTGCTGGGGTTACAGGCATAAGCCGCCATGCCGGGCTGAGAATATTTTATTTTCAATACGTCTAATGACATAGAACACTAGGCCGCACATTTGACTTTGGGAGAGTGGTATTTTGGAATTCAATAGCACAGTGGTACTCAATGATGACTGAACATTACATTCACCTACAGAGCTTTTAAAAAAAATCCTAAGGCCTGGCTCCATTCAAAACCAGTTGAACCAATTTTCCAGGACCAGGGCCTAGACATGGTATTCTTTGTGTTGTATTCTAAGCACCAATTGATTCTAATATCTAGTCAGTGTTGAGCATGAAGGAATGTTCTATTAGCATGACATGTTCCCATGGAGCATATTAATTAGGCTTTCTACTGATCATACACTAGCAGTTTCAGCTTTAATTATTTTTTATTGATTAGGTATAATTGTAACCTGAAGAACTAAAACACTTCCCCAGATTGAGAAACTAATTTAAGAACTTCAGACACACCTTGGCTTGCTGAAATGTTGAATGCCAACAAGTAGAATATTATTTTCATTAATTTTTGTTATAAAAAAGGAAGTGTATTATGTAGCATGTTTGTATATTTTGTTATTTGATAAATATTTTTTCTGATAATGCAAGCATTATCTTGCAACTTTGGATCTTTGAATTCCTTCTAAGGTTAAAGAGGGTATAATTGGAAATTTGCACATATGCAAAACGTAGTTTGAAAGTGGATATCTTTCAGAAGCAGATGATGCAAGTGGTAGACTTTGCAAGGAGAAAATAGTGTTTTCTTTAGTTAGAAAAAATTTAAATGATAATGTCCAATTCCTTCTAAGGTTAAAGAGGGTATAATTGGAAATTTGCACATATGCAAAACGTAGTTTGAAAGTGGATATCTTTCAGAAGCAGATGATGCAAGTGGTAGACTTTGCAAGGAGAAAATAGTGTTTTCTTTAGTTAGAAAAAATTTAAATGATAATGTCCCATTCCTTCTAAGGTTAAAGAGGGTATAATTGGAAATTTGCACATATGCAAAACGTAGTTTGAAAGTGGATATCTTTCAGAAGCAGATGATGCAAGTGGTAGACTTTGCAAGGAGAAAATAGTGTTTTCTTTAGTTAGAAAAAATTTAAATGATAATGTCCCCACTTTTTATAAACTATATTATCTAGTGCATTATCTCACCAGTTGCCAAATTTGGGATATGGTAACATTCTCAGATGTTTAATTTCTTCTTTCATCTGAAGATTTTCAAGTGTGTTGTGACCTGAATATATTATTTTGAGGTTTGGAATTGGGATGTAGTCAATTATATCCAACTAGACGGTAGGTATATTCAGTATACTGGGAGTAAATATAAGGTACTCCCAATACTTGTAGATAAAATTGGTCTCAAGTTAACTAATAAAAGGTTGGATTATTTAGAAAAATGTCTCACAAATTAAAGCCACTGGCAAATCTTAACTTTAATTTAAATATATATCCAGAATTTAACTACTTCTCACTTCAACTTGCCAGACAAACCACCTGTGAGTCCCTATACATTCTGGCCAGTTATGCCAAGAATGCAAGGCCCTGACCACCCTTCACTCAGGATCTTTCTCAGGGTTGTGTTTGTGATAAACACCCTGAAGCGTTGGGGCAATCCCATCCTCCAGGACAAAGAGCAGGTTTGCTTATTGCCTATTACTATAAAAGAGATGGATTTCCCAAGCTCAGTGTTCCTCAGCTGCAACACATGCCCACCAATTATGTAGCATTCATCTGGGCCTGTCCATATTGCCTCTAAGGGACTTGGCAGTACAAGAGGAACCAACACAAACATAAAGCTCATGCTGGTTGCTATGCCCTGAGTAATAAAGTCCTTTGTCTCTGACCCAAGAGTCTCATATCTTCTGCCAGGTTCTGTGAAACAGTTACAGTTTAACATATTAGAGTATAAGTGGAGTAAAATCATATCCGAGACCCCTGACACTCATCAAATACCACGCTAGCCAAAGACACCATCATCTCTTACCTGATTGACTACAATGGTTTCCTCCTTGGTCTCTCTACTTGTGGTCCTTTACCGTCTGTTCTCAACACAATACTCAGAATGATTCTGTCAATCATGTCTAATTATGTCACTCCTCTTTGTAAAATACTTCAGTGGACTCCTGTCTTATTCAAAATGAAAGTCACAATTCTAACTATGACCTAAAAGGCTCGACATTATCTCTCTTAGCCTCATCTCTTATTACTTTCATCCTTTTTTCTATTTGCACTGTCCTCTTTTCCACCAGACACACTTCGAATTTCCTGAGTTATTCACTAGGTTAGCTCTTTCACTTCCTGCAGGTCTTAACTCACTTTCTCAGGGAAGCCTCCTCATCCACCCTCTATAACATCTCCACTGCTCCACTCATCCCTCAGCGTTGCATGTTTTATCTTTTGCTTGTTTTATTTTTTCTTCTTAGCCCTAATAACTTATCTTGTTTATTGTCTGTCTCCATCACTAAAATATAAGATCTGTAAAGGAAGGGGATTTGACATTTCTAGACTAGCACCTGATATATAGAAGCAATAAATATATGTTACATGAATAAATGAATAAAAAGGTCTTGTAAAAGTAATCCAAAAATATTGAATAAAAAAGAATAGGGGCCGGGTGTGGTGGCTCACGCCTGTAATCCCAGCATTTTGGGAGGCCGAGGAGGGCGGATCACGAGGTCAGGAGATCGAGACCATCCTGGCTAACACGGTGAAACCCTGTCTCTACTAAAAAATATAGAAAATTAGCCGGGTGTGGCGGCGGGCACCTGTAGTCCCAGTTACTCGGGAGGCTGAGGCAGAAGAATGGCATGAACCCGGGAGGCGGAGCTTGCAGTGAGCCGAGATCGCGCCACTGCACCTCCAGCCTGGGCGACAGCGCGAGACTCCGTCTCAAAAAAAAAAAAAAAAGAATAGGAAGTTTATTGAATATCATAATCTAGTTGAAGCAAAAGATGGATTGAGGAACAGGAGATGATTGTTTCTAGAATGTATTGCTGCATTACATACCATCCCAAAACTTAGTGGCTTAAAACAACAATTTATTATTATCTCTCACAGTTCTATGATTTGACCACCCTCAGCTGGGCAGCTCTTGATTGGCATCTCTCATACACTTGTGGTCAGATGAAGTCTGGGACTACAGTCATCTAATGTGGGCTGGCATTCCAGGTGGCTCACTCACAGGGCTGGAGGCTGATGCTGATTCTTCATTGTGAGCTCAGCAGGGCTTGCAACTAGCAGGAAAGAGTGTTCTACTAATTAGAAAGTTGTACTTTACTTTGTTAGAGGAAAAGTTTGTGACGTTTTCCCCCCGTCTAGGGCATATACATCCTCTAAACCACCCATTTCCTAATGTTTTCTTTTTTTTTTTTCCTATCCTTACCAAATCACACATCTCATTCACTATTGGTACCCTCAATGGAGAGTTCAAGTATTTCAGTACTTGAGAAAGGCAAATTAACACATTGGCATTTGATTTACATATCCACCCTTGTCATGCTATTCAGTGTGAATCTATTCTAGACAATCTGAATTATTCTGATCTGCATAAAATCAAATTTCTTCACTTACAAAACCAGAGCCCAGTGACCCCACTAATAAATTTCCACCTCATGAGGTGCCATGTCAGCAGCCAGCTGATCTTCCTTTATGTCATATTTATCTTACTTCAACCGAAGATTGCAGGAGTTTCAACATGTATTATTTTTCATATAAAGTAGAAAGCAATACTATTGATAACGCTCCATTAAACCTACAAAAAAATCTTATTGCTTTAAGTTTTCTCTATATTCAGTATAGAATGTAGTCATGATTTCTTTGTATTTCACACATCTGGTATGGGGCTTAATTTACTTAAAATTTAAGTCTATTGAGTTCTTACTGTGTGCTAGGCATTGTATTACATGTCTTATATGCATCATCTCACAAGTGGAACCTTTTACAGCAAAAGAAATAAAGCCACAGGAAGGCTAAAGAACTTGTTAAAAGTCACTCAGCTAGTGATAGATGCTAAATGGCCCTATTTCTTTAGTTATTTTCTATAATCTACCTTGCTTTGTATTTTTTATTATTTGAAAACCCAATAAGCAATTTTAAAGAAAATAAGAATTGACTACAGAAATCTTACATCTGCAATGCCAGTGTCAGCATTTACTGTGGCTTTTACTTTATAGGCATATTATATATAAATTATGTTATATATCATATAATGTATAATTATTTGTATAACACATATGTGATTATATTTTTAAACTTAAAAGTAGTTTCTAAAAATTCTGAATGAAAGCAAGCTAATTAGAAATTCAGCTTTATTTGCTGGATGTTATTTACATAAAAAGATTAGAAGAAAAAGATTCTAGTACATCTTCATCAGGGAGTATGGTCTTGTGTAAAAGTAAACAGCCTGCCTAATCTATTGGATTCATACTTTGCTAAATTGGGGAGAAAATCAGCTGTTTCACAAAATATATTAGCCCATTTTGTGTTGCTATAACAAAATACCATAGACTGGTAATTTCTAAAGAAAATAAATTTATTTCTTACAGTTCTGGAGATTGGGGAGTTCAAGATCAAGGGGTCCACCTCTATGAGGGCCTTCATGCAGTTTCATCCCATGGTGGATGGCAGAAGGGTAAGAGAGCAAGAGAGAGCAAGAGATTGAAATCCTTCTATAAGGAACCAATTTCCCAGGCAAATACTAACCTACTTTCAAATTAATGGCAATAATCCATTCCAGAGGGCACAGCCCTCATGACCTCATGACCCTCAAGAATGGATCATCACAACACTATTGCATTGGGGATTAAGTTGCCAGCACATGAGCTTTGGGGGACACATTCAAACCACAGCACGGAAGTTTAATTTAGCAAAAACAATTGATTAAACTAGTTACTTAGTTGTAGTAAAATATAACTAGGTTGCATGTGCCTGTAATCCCAGCTAATCTAGAAACTGAGGTGGGAGGATTGCTTGAGGCCAGGAACTGGAAGCTGCAGTGAGCTATGATCTTGCCTATGAACAGCTATTGTGCTCCAGCCTGGGCAACATAGTGAGGCTTCACCACTTAAAAATAAATAAATAAATAAATAAATAAATAAATAAATAAAAGTTTTAAAAATTACACACACACACAAAAGCGTGCACACATGAGCACACACACACACACACACACATATCTGCTGTTGGAGTTATTAGTGCTGTTAGAAGTCTTGGCCTCTGTGTTTGGATGGAATTGGATAAGAAGACCTGTTTGATATTAGGAAGCTCTTAGAATTCTTTCGCTGATCTAGATGCTCTGATATTAGGTTCATGAGGGGCAGGGAATTTCCCTTGACATAATGTACCCAGTCATACAAGATTCATTATTTATAATGGTATTTAGAGTCATGTCCTAGTTCCAAAAAATTAAAAGGTTTTGTAAATTACAAAGTCAAAGTGCAGTAACACAATTTTCACTAAAATTAAACAGAAAAGTACATGGAATCTTAATGTCTACTGAAGACTTACAGCAATTATCCCTTACTGACAATTCTTTGTTGGGCATCTCATTTAAACTTATAGGAACAGTTTAGTTGCCTGTTTTACCTTTCATCTTTGAATGAGAAGCATTATTTATATGCATTTCCATAGATATAACTGTTTGAAATAGCACTGTTTTAGTAGGATTTCTGCCTCCATATGGCTGAGATTAAAAATGCATACAACTACACATCTGTCAGATGCAACTCATTTTTTAATGAGTCCTCAGAATGCTAAGACAAGTTTCTGTGTGCTTGTTTTTCTGTGTGGCATCACTTCTCTTATGAGCTCAGTACAGTGACCACTTTCTTTTCCTTTTCTATTTTCTTTCACTTATTTAAATTAATCTGTAAAAAAACTAATACATACCTCATGCTCTGAGCTACATGACATATATAAACTGCATCCTCAATTACTAGTTTCCCTCTTGCCAATTCCCCCAAAGTAACCACTTTTTATAAAAACTGACTACTTACAGTTACTGGGTAAAAATCAATTACTTGAAGATGCTCAGAAGACAAGCATAAGAATAACAAAAATCCTCAGAGAGATCTCATATAGATTTCATTTTATCCATGAATGCACAGCGTATTTAAAGAACAAGGGATTCTATGAGCAGTTCAAATACACAGTACATAAAGGCAAGTGAAAACCTCATCTTTAGTCAAATCTACATAGAATGATTCAAAAATAACATTGGAAAGGGTTTAAATCTCTTTTCAGAAAAGTCTTCCTCCACTGAGTAGCCAGTGTTATGTGGAAATTGGGGAAAACCCAAGGAAGAAATACATGAAAATTAATTGCCGTTCTTACACAAATCACATAAATACCTTTGCATGAGGATAAAAAACATGATATAAACAAATAGTTTTTACATCTTCCTCTCCTCAGCCATACTTGGCAGAGATCTTCATTCCAATAGATGTGGATGAGTCAGCCTAGCTGAAAAATGTGCTTATTCTAGTCCCCAATGCCCACTGCTGGAAAATCTGTGTGCAGCTGACTTTCATTATTTTCATGAAGACGAAAAAGTGACTGTTTCCAGGAGATTCAATAAGTGATGTGCTATGTAAAGGCTATTTAAATTCACGTACTTTTGTCCTTCTTGCTGAGAATTGACTCTAATCTTTTTACTTTGCCATTTTAGGTTTTATGGGAAGGTTCTCCCCTATCACACTCAACATGTAGTTTGTGCATGAAGAAGACAAAAGAACAGAAAGTAAAAATGCAGTAGTTCCTGATTGGCAAATACAATACCCCGGGGCAAATCCAGTTTGTTAGGAGAAGCTTCTCCCCTATCACACTCAACATGTAGTTCATGCATGAAGAAGACAACAGAACAGAAAGGAAAAATGCGGGAGTCCTGATTGACAAATAACAACACATGGGGGCAAATCCAGGTTGTGTTTAACACCTGGCTCTTCAGGTATTAGTATATGCAAAGAAATTCAGCTTTTGTGCCACGAGTCAAGGAAGGTCCAAAGTGAACAAGACACACCTTCATGGAGCATCCGTTTTACCCCTAAGGGCAGGTGGAGGCAAAAAAACCATTTGAACTGACAAGATATTTAAAACATTATATTAATAGTACTAAATATTTTATTGATTTTGACATTAAAGCACATTTCTTTCCTTTTTTTCTTTTTTTTCTTTTTTTTTTTTTTATTTTCAGACAGAGTCTCGCTCTGTCGCCCAGGCTGGAGTGCAGCAGTGCAGTCTTGGCTCACAGCAACCTCCGCCTCCCGGGTTCAAGCGATTCTCCTGCCTCAGCCTCCTGAGTAGCTGGGATTATAGGCACGTGCCACCATGCCCAGCTAATTTTTGTATTTTTAGTAGAGATGGGGTTTCACCATGTTGGCCAGGCTGGTCTCAAACTCCTGACCTTGTGATCTGCCCGCCTCAGCCTCCCAAATAAAGCGTGATATTTCAAATAAATATTTTTGTTTCAGCTCCCCAATTGAAGACCAGGCTGAGACCACATGCAGAGTAAATTTTCGTCTGTATTAGTGAGAGTGTTTTTGTAGGAAGGTTTAGGGGAAGGTAAGGAAAGACTGTGTAGAAGGGAGGAGAAAAAAGGGAACTTGTGCATAAAAACAAAGACAGCCCCAAAGGACACCATGTGGGAAGCATTCACAGAGGATCCTGGGGCTAAGGGATTAGAGTTTAAGGCAAGCAGAACCTGGGATCAAGAGGGAAGAGGAAAGGTACTAGCAAAATGGAGGGGTAGATGCCTAGGATTGTAAAAGAGCTTTGCAAATGACATAAAGCTATCTTACTTTCCTATCGCTGCTGTAACAAATTATCACAAACCCAGTGACTTAGAACAATACAAATTGACTATGTTACAGTTATCTCACTCAGCTAAATCAAGATGTTGGCAAAACTGAGTTCCTTCTGGAGGCTCTGGGGGAGATTCCATTCTTTGCCTTTCCCAGCTTCTAGAGGCTCTCACACTTGGCTGTGGTCCTCTTCAATTTCCCAAGCCAGTACTAATATTACCCTGACCATGCTTCCATCATCACATCGCCTTCTCTGACCTCCCAAGTCCCTCTTTCATTTATAAGAACCCTTGAGATTACACTGGGCCCAACCAGATAATCCCCCCACCTCAAGATCCATGATTTGGTTATATCTACAAAATCCCTTTATTCATGTAAGATAACACATTCGCAGGTTCCAGGGATTAGAGCGTGGACATCTTTGGGGGATCATTTTTCTGCTTACCCCACACAAGGAGTTGGAAGGTAGACTGGGGATACTTGAATTTTGACATTGGAAACGTTTGAGGCATTAACTTGCTCCAACACAGCAATGAGGTCTGGCAGGTCCAGAAGTATTAGGTAAATTTTACAAGGGGAAATACTTAAAGAGACACACCTGCGATTTCTTTTACCCAGACTGCATGCCTCAGGACTATGGTATTTTAAAGACCCTAGGACAATGTTTGAAACCCCCCATAAAGTATATATATATATATATATATATATACACTTTCAAATATGAAAAGAAAGCCTAAAAATTAATATATTTTGATTAAAAGTCAATAAAATATAACATCCTGTCAACCTCATTTCATATTTCTTAAATTTAGAATTCATAGAAATAGAGTAACATTATAAGTAATTTTTAAGTTTGATTTTGTTACTTCTCAAGAATTCCTAAAAGGCAGGATGATGGCTGATAAAACATATGCAATAAAAATTTAAATAAATTTATTGGAGCAAATAATTTCTAAAGCAAAATTATAAAATATTTTCCATCTTCATAGCAAAGACTTCACAACAAGAACTTCACTATTTTTATGGTGAGCTGTGAATGTATTTTAATCTGTTTAATATGGTGAGGGGTGGATATTCCCAAAAGAAGAGTGCCCAGGGCCTTGCATGGTCTTATAGCACACACATAAGGCAAAACCAGGGCTCATGACTAGACAAATGGGTGATGGAGATTTTACCAATGGGTGAATTCCCTGAATTAAATCTTTGATGAAATAGATATGAGGAAAATCTAACTCCATCAGCTTCCTCCAACCCATGAAGTTGTGAAAAAGGAAGTAACTCTAGCTGTCTAAATAAAAAGTCCTCTTTCATTTGTTTCCAAATGTTTTGAACTGGAAATAAACATAAAGGGAAATGAGAAAATGAGCATTTTCCCTTCCATTCAATTTTTATATTTGAATCATTTATAATTGATCAGCACTGTCCTCTTCACAGAGGAATTTAAAATGCATAATCTCATTCAATCTTCACAATAATCCAGTAAGATCGATATCTTTAGTTCCACTGCACACATGGGAACATAGCTTCTGAAAGGCTCCTGACTTGCCCAAGATAAAACACCTGGGAAGCGACAGAGGCAGAATTAAATACCACGTTTACTGCACTCCTACAACTGGTTGATCTTGAGAGTCTTTATAGCATCTCAATTAGGCAAACAAATTATGAGATTTAGAATCAAAGGAAATGGAATTTTGCAAGAATGCAATAAAAGAAATAATTAAATTTCGGGGAAAGGATTCTAGAGGACCTCTTTCTGTTATCATATCAAAAATCCTTACAAAAGACACACACACATGTTTATCTGCACCAAAGAATAACAGGATGTCTTTTTTTTTTTTTTTTTTTTTTTTTTTTTTGCATTTGGGTGTATACGAAAGTAGAGAAAATAGCTCTTTGAAGGAACAACAGCAGCTGGAGAAGGCCAAACTTGGAGAGGTCACTTTGAAAGCAGGCATGAGGAAAAGGTCAGGGAGTCATTAGTAACTGATTAATTTTGGATCTAAGACAAGGAAACTGGCTCCAGCATGCTAAATAGCTGAGTAAAATCAAAAGGGCCCTAGTATACTTGTAAAGTTCCAAGTGGCATGTGAACTAGCTTTTTCTCCCCTTCCTCATTGGAACAAGGTTAGTAAAAGAAATTGTGACAGTCTGTACTAGCGTTTGTATTAGCAAATAGTGACTCCTCTCTTTTTCCACCTTGTGCTGGGTACAGTACCCTGTCTCATTGCTATTGGACTTGGCCATGTGATTGCAGCACAATGTTAGTAAGCAAGGTACAAGCAGAGGCCTTGAATGTCTTGCGGGGATCAGTGGCCTGATAATCTATCATGGAAAAAATGTGCCTCAGATAGTGTCTAACCTTTCAGCCTGAACTTTAGAATGAGACACATGAAGCCATTCACATGCACCAGGAGCTGCTGGTTTGAGAAGATGAGAAACACATGTCTCCTGACAGGAACCCAGACAGCAGGCTAGAACCTGAAATCTGAAGTCCAGCTCAGCCCAGCCAACTTGCAGCCACCTGAAGACCCACAAGCATGAGAATAAGTTTTAAGTCTCTGAGTTTTGGAATGGTTTTTATGTAGCATTATTATAGCAACAGCTAATTAAGGCAGAGATATGCTCCAGAAATTTGCCTCTGTCAAGTACTGGAATCTATTAGGAAAGGAAATTCTTATTTTCATAGTTATTGTTTACAAGCACCTCTGTAGGATTTGGGTGAGTATTATGGGATTTTTTTTGTTTATTAAAGAATCTTTATACACATTAAATAATCTATCATTATATTTGTTGAAGCAAGTTTAATACATTATTATTTCTAAGAAGTCTACAAAGTTGGCATGCTTTTGAAGGAGTTGCTTCATCAAGAGAAATATGAGAAAATTAAATTTTTTTTAATTAAAAAAAAACATTTGCAGAGACTTTCACTTCCAGGGAGATGCAGTGGATGGATTTTTTTCCTTTTCCTATCTCTATATACAACTAAAATCTCTGGACGTTATATATATATAACAAGTGTAAGACTTGGAAAGGAGGGGAAAAAAGTAGACTGACTAGGGACTTTGGAACCCAAAGAATAACATGGTGGCGGGTTTCCTGAGTTTCTCTTTGGCAGCAACTTGGAAATGTCAATAGGCACAGACAGAAAACGCCCCAACAAAACCCTGCTCTCTTAAGCCAAAGAACGGGAAAGAGGCAGCCTAGCAAGATAGAATGCTTTCACACAATAACCACTCTACTCCAGCCGAACATCGTGAATAAAACTATGAGTCTACTCTCATCCATGTCACGAAAAGCTGAGAGGGAAGCCTAGACTTGCACCCTTGCAGACTCTAGCATTGCTGCGGGGCTGGTGTTAGGGAAAGTTGAGTCCAGAGTTTTCACCTCCACCAGGTAGTAACAAGGGCCCTTCCCTCCCTGTGATGTTAGGAGAGACCACATGAGGAGCCTACACTTCTGCTCCCTGTCCACACTAAGGTGCTGTTGGCAGAGGTCATGCGGGGAGCTGTAACAAGGTATTCATACCTCTCTCAGCCAGGAAGTTTTCAGTGGAGGCTCAGTGGGGAACAAATTGCCACCCCTGACCAGAGGTAACAAGGAGTCACTACCCTTGGGGTATCAGCGGAGGCCATGTGGGAAATTTGGGCTTCTATCCTCATGCAGCAGTAATGAGGCAGTGCCTCTTCTCCCTCCACTGGAGCACTGACAAAGGAAGCAATCAAAAACAGAAAGTTGAATGACATCCAGAGTCTTATAACATAATACCCAAAATGTCCAAATTTCTATTGGAAATTATTGGTCTTACCCAGAACCAAGATCTCAAACTGAATGAAAAGGATAATCAGCGAATGTCAATACCAAGGTGGCAGAGATGTTAGAATTATCAACCATCACAAAAATACTCCAATGAGCAAGTAAAAACACACTTTAAATAAGTGAAAAAAGGATTATCAGCAAAGAAGTAGGAGATATAATATAAAGATAATCCAAATGAAAATTTTAGGAATTTAAAACACAATAAGCTACATTTTAAAAAAAAACTCATGAATAGACTTAACAGCAAATTTGAAGAAAACTGGAAAATCAGTGAACTAGAAGACAGAACAATAAAAATTACCCAATCTGAACAATAAAGAGAAAAAGATTGAAAATCAAAAAGAGAACATAGCATACTAGGCCTGTGGGACTTAAAAGAGATGTAAAATTCATATCATCAAAGTCCCTGAAAGAGAGGAGAAACCAGATGGAACTAAAACAATACTTGAAGAAATAATGACTAAAAACTTCTCAAATTTGGTAAAAGGCATAAACTTACAGTTTGAAATTGAATGAAGTTCAAATGATGAAGCCAAGAAATCCACTGAGAAATCAAAGATAAAGGAAACCCTCAAAGCAGTAGGACAGAAATAACCCATTTATAGGGGAAATATAATTTGAATGACATCAGATGTCTCATAAGAAACCATGGAGACCATAGGGAAATAGCAATCATTTTTGAACTGCTGAAAAAGAAAAGAACTTTTAACCCAGAAACCTATATTTATTGAAAATAATTCTGAGAAACAAAGGGAAAATCAAGAAAGTCTCAGATGAACAAAAACTAAAGGAACTTATTGCCAGAGAGTCACCCCTAAAAGAATCTCTAAAGGAAGTTCTCTAAACAGAAAAGATTTTATAAAGAAGAAAATTGAAAACATCAGGAAGGAAGAAAGAACATAATAAGCCAAAATTGGGGTAAATACAATAGACTTTCCTTCCTGAGTTTTCAAAATCATGATTTATGATTGAAGCAAAAAACTATAACACTCTCTGGTGTGGTCCTAAATGTATGTAGAGGAAATATATAAGACAATAATATTCTGAATTGTGGAGTGTAAAGGGGCATAAAAAGGTAAAATATCCTCACTTCACTCAAACTGGTATAATGACTACATACTATAATACCTAGAGCAGCCACTAAAAAACTATGCAAAAAGGCACAATTGAAAACGTTGTAGAGAAATTAAAATATAATTCTAAAAGATGTTCAAGTTACTCACAGAAAGGCAAGAAAAAGAAAACAGAAAAATGAAACACAGAAATAAACAGAAACTGTGCCAGGCACAGTGGCTCACGCCTGTAATCCTAGCACTTTGGGAGGCCAAAGCAGGTGGATCACCTGAGGTCAAGAGTTGGAGGCCAGCCTGGGCAACATGGTGAAACCTCGTTTCTACTAAAAATACAAAAAAATTTAGCTGGCTATGCTGGCAAACACCTGTAATCTCAGCTACTCGGGAGGCTGAGGCAGGAGAATTGCTTGAACCCAGGAGGCGGAGGTTGCAGTGAGCTGAGATTGTGCCATTGCACTCCAGCCTGAGCAGCAGAGCAAAACCACAGTAGAAAGAGAAAGAGGAAGAAAGAAAGAAGGAAAGAAAGAAAGAGAGAGAGAGAGAGAGAAAGGAAGGAAGGAAGGAAGGAAGGAAGGAAGGAAGAAAGAAAGAAAGAAAAGAAAGAAAGAAAGAGAAAGAAAGAAAGGGAGGAAGGAAGGGAGGGAAGGAAGGGAAGGAAGGGAAGGAAGGGAAGGAAAGGAAGGAAAGGAAGGGAAAGAAAGGAAAGAAAGGAAAAGAAAGGAAAGGAAAGAAAGGAAAAGAAAAGAAAGAAAGGGCCAGGCGCGGTGGCTCACGCCTGTAATCCCAGCACTTTGGGAGGCTGAGACGGGCGGATCTCGAGGTCAGGAGATCGAGACCATCCTGCCTAACACGGTGAAACCCCGTTTCTACTAAAAATACAAAAAATTAGCCAGGCGTGGTGGCACACGCCTGTAGTCCCAGCTACTTGGGAGGCTGAGGAAGGAGAATCGCTTGAACCCAGGAGGCAGAGGTTGCAGTGAGCCGAGATTGCGCCACTGCACTCCAACCTGGGTGACAGAGTGAGACACTGTCTCAAAAAAAAAAAAAAAAGGAAAGGAAGGAAGGAGGGAGGGAGGGAAGGAAGGAAGAGAAGGAAGGAAGGAAGGAAGGAAGGAAGGAAGGAAGGAAGGAAGGAAGGAAGGGAGGGAGGGAGGAAGGGAAACTGAACAAGCAGAGTTAAGCCCTAACGTATGAATTAAATGTAGATGGTCTAAATTCATCAATTAAAAGGCGAGTGTTGGCGGAGTGACCCATGCTAATGTTTCACAAAAAAACAGAACTCAACTGTATGCTATCTACAAAAAATTTACTTCAACTATGATATGGCCAGATTGATAGAAAGAGGAGGAAAAGGTATATCATGCAGACATTAACCAAAAGAAAGCAGGAGTGGCTATAGTAACAGCAGATACAGTAGATTTTAGAGCCAGAAAAATTGCCAGACAGATATGAGCATTATATAGAGAAAAAAGGATAATTCACCTGGAAATCATAGCAGTCTTAAATGTGTATGGGTCAGACAACAGAGCTGTAAAATACATGAGGCAAAAACTGATAGAACTTAAAGGAGAAATAGACAAATTCACAATTATAGTTGAAGTCTTCAACACCCCTCGCTCAACAGTTGATAGAACAGCTAAACAGACTATCAGCCAGAATATGAAATAATTCAGCAACACCATTAACAAAAAAGATCAAATTGATATTTAGAGAAATTCCAATACATAAGAAGCAGAATACACATTCTTTTCAATGGTCAGTGGACATACACTAAGACAACATTCTGAACCATAAAACAAACCTCAACAAATTTTTCAAAATTGAAATTATACAAAGTGTGTTTTCAAACCACAATGGAATCAAATCAGAAGTCAATAACAGAAAGATAACAGGAAAGTTTTAAATACTTGGAAACTAATCAACACACTGCTACATAATTCATGAGTCAAAAAGCAAGTCACAAGGGAAATGAAAAAATTCATTAAACTGTAAGAAAATGAAAATACAGCATATTAAAATTTGTGCAACCCAGTTAAAAGAGTGCAGAGAGGAAAATTTCTAGCACTGTGTGCATTAGAAAAAAGATTTAAAAAATCTCAAATTAATACCCTAAGTTCTCACCTCAAAAACCTAGAAGAAGAGCTAGATAAGAACCAAAGCAAGGAAAATAAAAGTAATAATAAAGAGCAAAAATCAATAAAATTGAAAACAGAAAAACAACAGAGAAAATAAGTGAAAACAAAAAGTGGTTATTTGAAAAGATCAGTAAAATTGGCATACCTCTGGCAAAATTAATAAAGAAACAAGAGAGAATATACAAATAACCAATATCAGGAAGAAAAGTGGGAATACCACTACAGACTCTGAAGACATCAGAAGGATAATAAAGAAATACTGTAAACAATTCTGTACACATAAATTTGATAGCTCACATAAAAATGGATCAATTCCTTAAAAGATGCAAACTGCCATGACTCACCCAATACAGATAATTTGAAATGCCCTATAACTATTAAGAAATTGAATTCATAATTTTAAAACCTCAATATAGTAATTTCCAGGCCTAGAAGTTTTCACTGAGTAATTCTACCAAACATTTAAAGAACAAACACCAATTCTATACAACTTCCTCCAGAAAATAGAAGAACACTTCTCAGTTCATTTCATGAAACTGGTATTACCCTGATACCAAACCAGACAAAGGTAGTACAGAAATATAAGGCTGTACGAAACAAAAAACAAAAACAAAAAAACTGCAGACCTAGAATACTCAGGATTAGAGACACAAAGACCCTTAACAAGTTAGTAGCAAACAGAATTCAGCAATGTACAAAAAACTATGTACCATGACAAAGGGAATTTTATTCCAGGAATGCAGAAGTGGTTTAATATTTGACGAGTGATCAGTGCAATTCACCGTTAACAGGCTAAAAAAGGAAAATACGTTATAATATCAATCTATGTAGAAAATGCAGTTTATCAAAACTTAGCACACATGTATGATTTTAAAAACTCCCAGAAAAATAGCAGTAGGGAGGAGCTTCCTCAATTTGATAAACAGCTTTACAAAAACCTGCATTATACATTATGGTTAATGACTGAATGATTACCCCTTAATATCAGGAAAGAAGTAAGAATGTCTGTTTTGCCACTCTTGTTAAACATAGTGCTGGAAGTTCTAGCCAGTGCATAGGTCTAGAAAAGGAAAGAAAAGATGTGTAAACTGGAAAGAAATAAATAAAAGTGCCTCTATTTACAGATGATATGATTTTCTATGTACAAAATCCCAAGGAATCATACATACACAAAACTAGAACTAATAAGAGAGTACAGTAATGACAGAAGATGCAAGATTAACATTTAAAAATCAATTATATTTCTATATACTAGCAATAAGCATGTGGACACCAAAAATGTAAAATATAATATTATTTGCAATCACAAAAATTTAAGTACTTGAGTATAAATCTAACAAAACATGTACAGAACTTACATGCTGAAAACTACAAAATATTATGAAACCAACAAAATATTTGGTATTATGAAATCAACAAAAATCTATATTCATAGAAAGACATTCTTATACACACACGTGTATATATATGTACACACATACATATTCTCATGGATTAAAAGACTAAACATAGTAAAGATGTAAATTTTCCTGAAATATATACAGGTTTAACACAATTTCTTTAAAAATCCTAGCAAGGTGTTTGTAAATATGAATAAGATTATTCTAAAATTTATGCCAAAACGCAAAGAACTACAATAGCTAAAACATATTTGAACTAGAAAATGTGGAAAGAATCAATCTACCTAATTTGTAAACTTATTACAGAGTTACAGTAATCAAGATGGTGTGGTATTGGTGGAAAAAGGGACACATTGTTTGACTGAACAGAATTGAGAACACAAAAATAGACTCAAACAAATATCCCCAGCTGATTTTTGACAAAGATACAAAATCAATTCAATGGAGAAAAGACAGCCATTTCAGCAAATGGTACTGGAGTAATTAAGTGGATATCTATAGGCAAAAGAACTCAGGTCTCATGCCTTAAAAAAGAATTAACTTAAAATGGACCCAGTACTCCAATATATAATGGTAGACTATAAAACTTGTTGAAAAAATAAAAGAGTAAATCTGAGGAGATTTGACAGCAAAAACACAAACCATAAAATAGTAAATTGATAAAACTATATTTCATCAAAAATTTAAAATTTTGCTTTGTGAAGGACCCTGTTAAAGGGAAGAAAAGACATAGTATACACTGGGAAGAATTATTTTTAAACTACATATCCAACAAAGGATTAGCACCTAGAATACATAAAGAACTCTCAAAATTCAACAACAACAACAAACAAATAATTCAATTAAAAAATAGGCAAATCACACCGAGACATTTTACCAAAGTTGACTTATAGATGGTAAATAAACACATGAAAAGATGTACATTACTAACCATCCAAGAAGTGTATATCAAAATGTACAAAGATATCATTACACACGTATCAGAATGACTCAGTGTAAAAAATAGGGACAAAACCAAATGCTGGCAACAATGTAGAGAAACTGGAACACTCATATCTTTCTCATGAGATTGTAAAATGGTACAGCCATCCTGGAAAGTGGTTTGGCATTTTCAAAAAGCAAACAAACAAACAAACAAACAAAAAACCTAAAAATGTAACTGTGTAACTACTGCATGAGTGAGAAATTTCACTCATGAGCGTTTATCCCAGATAAACGAAAACTTATGCTCACACAAAAACTTGTACATGAATGTTTATAGCAGCTTTATTCCTAGGAGCCAAAAATTCTAAAAAAAACAGAGGTCTTTCAGTAGCTGGATGGTTAAGTAAACTGTGCTATATCCACACCATAAAAAAAACTACTCGGAAGTAAAAATAAATGAATTATTTATACACACAATTTGGAAGAATCTCTAGAGAATTATGAGGAATGCAAAAAGCCAATACCAAGAGGTTCCACACTATGTGATTCCATTTATATAAGCTTCTTGAAATGAAAAACATAGAAATAAATAACAGATTAGTGGTTGTTCAGGATGAAGGGTTGGGGGTGGGAGGGAAGTGGATGTGACTACAAAAAGGTAACATGGGATCCTCACCACCATGGAATTAATTGTTCTCTATCACTGTATCAACGTCAATATCTTAGTTGGGATATTGTGCTATAGCTCACCATGTGCTACAACTGAGGGTGAAGGATATGAAGGATCTCCCTCTATTATATCTTACAACTGCATGTGAATTTATAATGATCACAAAATAGTTTAGTTTTTTTAAGTATGAGTTTATTTGCTTAGTTATTTTTAGTCACATTTGAAACTTGTATCTCAGAGCCTCAAAATAGCTTATTTTTATTTCCACTGCAGGCCATAAAAAATGAGAGGGAGAGAGAGAGAGGAAGAGAGAAGGAAGGAGAGTGAGAGAGACAGAGGGAGAGAGATCATTTTATAAATATTTATCTTATACTGACTATATGCCAAGCATTGTGTTATGCCATGAGGAATCAATGGCAGCAAAGTCAGAGTTCCTGCCTTTATGTATATGTATACACACACACACACACACACATTCACAAATATAAACAAAACTTTATACGCCATATAGATATTCATTTAAAATATATGCATAATTGTTTTTAATAATGATCTCTCATTTCCTCAAATACACCAGTGTTATTAACTTACATAATTAAGTTATAGCTTTTTAAAAACTTTCAAACAGTATGTTTGTAGTAATGTTTTAAAAATTGAGGGCAAAGTTAGTGACCTTGAGAACAGATAAATCTAGGGCTTCTGCTTTCTAAGGAGACTGAAAAGTCTTCACAAAGAGCATTAGCATACCCAGCCTTTTAGCTGCACATTTGTTGCCAGATATTACTGTCGATACCACAGGATTCTAGAGTCATTACTGCTCAGGGCCATTAGGCACTACATTGGTAGAGAATTTTGTGCAAAAGACCTAGAAAGATAGATGAAGATGGAGAAAAATGAATGTTAAAATCAATAAATACATATATTCCACTTCCTTCGAATCTGTTATTTAATCTTTGAAATGTCTATTTTATTTTATAAAACATGAGCATAAATGAGCATGCTGATTTATTAAAATGCTTGAAACTTTATATAAGTAATAGGTTAAAAACCTCTTATTTTCTTATTTAAACAATTAAATCTTGGAAAAAGATATAGTGAATCATTCTTCTTAAATATGTTTGAGTTTTTTTTAAAAGCACAGGAAAAAGCAAAAATCCTACAACAAGAAGGCTAAAGAAAGGAACAAAATAAGCAAAAATTATAAATGATTAATTCATTCAGAGATAATACATAAATTCAGAAAACAGAGGAAAACTACCTATAATTAATGCCCCTCAAAAAGAACATTAATTCTATGAAGCAATAAATCACAGATGAGATGATAAAACAACACATTGATAAAAGGAGTTTCCGGAGCTAAATAAACATAAAGAAATTAAAGCAAAAGAAAACACCTCCACTTAAAACTAAAATATTAACAAGTAAATAAAACTAAAATAGTAACAAAAAAGCACACAATTAAGTGCTAAAAATTTCATTAATGTTATAGGGGAAGGCTTGAGAGAGTCTTAGTGAGTCCATGTGCTGGTGATGGCAGGAAGAGGGGCTGAGAAGGTAGAGAACAAGAGATTAATGTACATGGAGAGAAGATAATGGAAATAGAAGACAGGGATAGACCTAAGGATAGTTGAGAAGATGAGAAACCAAGATATAGAAACATGAAGGAAGGGCCAAATAAAAGCATATTCTATTTCAATGAAAGTTATGTATGGAACAATAGAATATATATATATATATACATATATATATATATGTATATCATATTGACTTGTGATATTTTCAACTTGTGATAGGTTTATTGACATAACCCCATTGTAAGTCAGGGAGCATTTATCTATCTTATTATCTATCTACCTACATATATATGTATATATCTTTGAAGCCTCAAGGAGATAAAAAAAAGAATGTTTAGCTTTAATAGAAAAATCATCACCATTTACCATCTGGGTTCAACTGACACTTTTAATATATAATTTACAAAAGTAAGAATAAAAGGATAGTGAAAAACAACATTTGAAATTTTACTAAGAACTTAAACATAGCAAAGCCAAACACTCCTTATTACCCTAGGTTTGAAGGCATACACACAACACATACACACACGTGTATATATCCATATACTCTACGCTCCCCAAAAATATATATGCAACTCTACACCAAAAATGGGCAGTGTAATTTGAATGTAACTAAATGCTTAGTAACAGTTATGCATGAACCTGGAATATATAAATCTTGTTCATTGATTCCAGATTTCAAGTTAAGGCTATACATTATTATTATTTTTTAGTTCTTTTTCTTTCTTTCTTTTCTTTCCTTTCTTTTTCATGGGGGGCACTTGCATTATCAAAACACAATAATTCTGAAAACTTTG
Source organism: Homo sapiens (assembly GCF_000001405.40). Lineage (NCBI taxonomy): Eukaryota > Metazoa > Chordata > Mammalia > Primates > Hominidae > Homo > Homo sapiens. The sequence continues at coordinate 64,828,135 of NC_000008.11, read as the reverse complement.
ATGGCTCCTAATTTTGCTAAAGAGAAATGGACTTTGCCTTTGCTCCATAATTGCAAAATATTTTCAGTTTTAGACTTACAGACATCATTTAGAATGCTCAGTTGAATGATTTTTTTCTCATTCCTACATTATCTAATTTCCTTTGCATAAATGCCTGCCTTCAGCATTTGTCCATTTACAAACTATATCAAGTAAATACTAGTGCACAAATTTTACAAAAGATGAAAGAATTCTGATACATGTTCTTTTAGGAAAATAAAACATTGTGGATGAATTCCTTCCTGTTGAGTGTCATTTTTCACCTTTTCCTTAGGAATATATTGTTCACTCATTAATTCTTGAGTCCAAGAAAACCTCTCCAGAACATCAAACCCTGAAGACTCATTGTCTGAGATTTTGCTGATGGTCAATTTCACCAATATTGGAATGCTACTATTTGTTTCAATTTATCTTCTGCTTCATTTAGTAAGTGTGGAATATCTTCCTCTGCCCATAATTATTTTGTCATCATGGATAAAAATTAAAAATTTTGAATTATCAATGATGTTTAATGAAAGCTAAAAAAACCTACAAAAAAATCTCCTGATTTCTTTGATACGTTCTTGAAATACATTTCAATACTTCAGCAGCAGAATATGACTGCCACAGGATCCTTCTAAATAACATTAAAACTATGGCATAAAATAGCAGACCTAAGGCAATATGTATCTACTCTTATGTCAGGAAGCACAGACAAATTTAGTTATTAGGAAGGGGGAAGACACCATCACATGGATTTTAAAAAACACTATAAGATACATGAAAGTTATCTAGAGTTCTGTTTCCCAGTCATGATAACTTTGCCAGTTAACAACAATTAATCAATCACTTATACAAATATAGTGAACTCTTAGACACACTACTTATTATATAGATTGGTAAAAGAGGTCTCTGGACCTCCCTCATCCAACAAACAAACAAACAGGCAAGAAATGTGAATAGAGTCAAGCAGAAAGGGAGGAGCATTGAATGCAGATAACCTATGCTTCTACTTCTTAGAGCCAACCGGAATGAAAGGGCCCATCTAGAATATTAGAGAGAAGGTTGCAAATGCGCTAAGGCAGGGCCAAAGAGGCAAGGAGCAAGGTCACAGAGGCAGGGAGCCAGGCCAGAGAAGTCAGGGTTCACAACAACAGGGAGCCAGAGAGACACAGAAATCACCAGGACTGTGGGCAGCAGGGAGGGGTGGTGCCCTGAAGTCACAGAACCAAAGCAGCATGAGATACTTGAACATATACAGGAAAGGGAAGCTCAGTCTCAGTCTCTTGTTCTGAGAAGGCCAAAGTGTTTCTAGGATAGGAGCATCTCCAACTTTCCTTTGAAGGAAAGCTTCCCCAAGTTGGGACTACTGGACTAGCACAAGTTAAAAGCAACTGTGACTTCATAAAGTCTGCCGAACAAATGAGAAGGTAAGTTCTGAATGAAAATCAAGAAAAAAAACAAGGAAGGAATAAATTTAGACACTAGGACAGCAGATGTGAAAAACTGTCATATACTATATATAATTAAAACCTGAAGAATAATAAATCAAAGATAGTGGAATAATTGCTACAAGTGTTGGGAATAAACAACACTCAACCTAGGATCGTGCACTCAGCAAAAATAAAAAGTTGAAAGGGGAAACCTGAAAGAATGAACAGATATTTAAAGAAATGGAATATTTGGAAATACAAAATAATCATTGAAATAAAAAAACTCGGTGCTTGGTTAAACAGCAGATCAGACACAATTGAAAAGAGAATTAATGAGCTGGAGAATATGTCTGAAAAATTTTTCCAGAATATAGGTAACGTAATTAAGGAAATGGAAAATACAAAAAGAAGGTAAGCCACATTTGAGACAGAATAAGACTGATACATACTTACCTGAAGTCTCAGAAAGTAAAATTGGAGAACAAAAAAAAAGTATTTAAGGAAAATTTTCCAAAATGAATACACATGATTCTACAGATCCCAACAGGTTACACATTTATATGTATCCCACTGAAGTCCCAGAATATCAAAGACTCAAAGATCATTCAAACGGCCAGGAAGTAAAGACAGATACCTGAAAATCAACAATAGTTAAACCACTTCAGACATCTGACTACAGAAACGAGAACCAGAAGACAGCAAAATGTACCTCCAAACTTTTGGGAGTGAACCACTGTCAGCCTATTGTGTACCTAGCAATACTATTGTTCATAAAACAGATAATAATCATAAGGGCAACATTTCTAAGAAAATAGAGATGTATAAAACTGAGGCATTTTGCCACCAAGTAACCTACTTTAAACATACAATAGAAAAATCTACTTCAAGAAGAATCATGCTAGAAGGATGGTCTGAGACATAAGAAATAATGGTGAAAATAGAATGATAAACAGGCATGTAAATTCAAACAAACTTCATCTATATAAACAATAATGTCTATTATGTGGGTTTTTAAAAAACAAATAAAATAACAAGAGTACTAACGATATCATATAAGGCATAAGGGGGAAACATAAGCTAAACTATTTTTAAATCTTTAAATTTTCTGGGAGAAGTATCAGGATATTATTCAACTCTAAAACTTTGTTACATTACATATGTATGATGAAACTTCAAATGTAGCCACTTATCCTATATGTTCAATAACAGAAGAAAAAACGTTAAAGCATAACTGTCATTACAACTTGCAGACATATTACTGGGAACAATCGGAGAGTTTAGCAAGATGGCTAGATTTAATATCAATATTAAAAAATCAGCTGGAGGCCGGGCATGGTGGCTCACGCCTGTAATTCTAGCACTTTGGGAGGCCGACGTGGGCGGATCACCTGAGGTCAGGAGTTCAAGACCAGCCTGACCAAAATGGCAAAACCCCATCTCTACTAAAAATACAAAAATTAGCCAGTGTGATGGTGTGTGCCTGTAATCCCAGCTGCTTGGGAGGCTGAGGCAGGAGAATCGCTTGAACCCATGAGGCAGAGGTTGCAGTGAGCAGAGATCAGCCTGGCGACAGAGCAAGACTCCGTCTCAAAAAAAAAAAAAAAATCAGTTGGAGTTTTGAGCACCAGCAACAAATAGACAACCTAATTTTAAAAGACATCAAATAAATTAAAATGGCAACCAAAACTACAAAGAACTTAAGAATACGACTAATAAAGGTTATATAAGACTCTAAACACAAAGTATCATAAAACATTAATAAAAGAAATTAAAGACAAAATAATAGATACCTTGTGCTCATAAATAGGAAGACAGTGTTGTAAAAATGTGAATTCTTACCAATCAATCTATAGATTTGAAGCAACTTCAATAGAACTCTCAGGAGGATTTTTCATGGAAGTTGACAAGATGATTCTAAAAACATAGTGGCTTCTCTTCCTCTTCCTTTCCCTTCCCAAACAATTCAATTCTAAAGTCATTAGGTGGAGCACAGCCAGGTAGGCTTCATGCGGGTGGAAGAGGGGAAGGGATGCTACAGTGGTAGGGGATGGGCTCTCAGACCCCAAATGTGGTGAGGTGCATGTGCCTGTAGGGGGGCTGCCCAGAGCAAGTAGGCAGAGACTGGTCAGGGAGAGGAGGGCATCCACACAAAGGGGTGGCCCAGCGTAGGCATCCAGTTCACCCAGTGGGGAATGGAGGTGTCCATATGGAAAATGATTCAGAGCAGAGTCAGACCCCAAGCAGGATGAGAAGTGCATCTTCTTAGAGGGATAGGCCTTGGGGGTTTGGAGACTGTTGTGAACCGAATGTTTGTGTTCTCCCCCAATTTATACACTGAGGCTTTAACTCCCAGTGAGATGGTATTTGGAGACAGGGCTTTTGGGAGCTAAATTGGTTTAGATGAGGTCATGAGAGTAAGGCCCCCATGATGAGATTAGTGGCATTACACATGCACACACACGTACACACACACACACACACACATTATTGGAAAGAATGAGCATTACGATTGCTAGGACACATTTGAAGGAAAAGATTTTACCCACCTGCCAGCTATACTTAATAATGGCTCAGAGGCATACAGATTAACCAATGAAATAGAAAAGAATGCCCAGAAAAGATACTTACATATATGGAGTTTTGATATGTGGCACAGTTGCCTAACAAATCAGGGTGGAGAGAAGGCTTATTTGGTAAACAGTGTTTTGAGAATGGAATGTTCCCATAAGAATTCTGGAAAGCCTCCTCTGCTTGTCAAATCATCCTTTAAACTCCACAGCCTGTCCTGGTGCTTAGTCCTGGGGTTGTGGGTCACCCATGTGATGTTTTATGAATTACCAACCAAGTGTCTTTTGACCTGGGATTTTCAAAAAATTATTGCATTTCTCAATTGGTTGCCAACATTCAAAACTAATAAGTTGATATTACATAAAACTGTAGGTGGCTATTCTTATTTTCTTGAAAAGTCTGTGACAGAAATGAGCCTACATGCTTGCAAATAGTTACATTTGCAGCAGAGCATTGCCTGATCTAGTGGGAGCACACTCTCCAGTTCATCCGAGAACTTTTCTGTATGTTGACACTGCCTGCCAAGGCCCTCTAGACAGTGGAGCTTTCTACCCGAGACTAGTCTAATGTGTTCCAATGTCCCGTAGGGCGGCCATTAGGTCTTTTTTGACTTTGAGGATCTGAGTCAGGCATCAGTGCTCATTGCTTTCTAGTTATTTTGACTTTGCCCCTTTGAGTATTCTGCATTCTGTCTTCCAACTATTTGCTCACATTGCTTTCTTCCCTGAACTCCACTGTAAGTTCATGTATTCTTTGTAAGATTTAAATGATTGCTTATATCTTTTTTAAGGTATGGTAAGAGGGGAAAGGAAGGTCATCTAATAAATTTCATTGGAGTTTACTTCATCCACTATAATAAAAACACCCTTTTTGAAGTGTACAATTCAGTGGGTTGTGGCATATTCACAGAGTTATGGAAATATTGTCACTATATGATTTTAGAACATTTGTATCACTCCAGAAATAAATGCTGTTTCCATGAACAATCACTCCTCATTCTCTGCTGTGTCTTTAAAAGCATTACTCCTGCTGGAAGTATTATACTTTGGTAAGTAATAAAGTCATACAATTCAAGTATCAGACAACAGACTGTAAAGGATCCTGGAGGGGGTGTTTGTTTATCTGGATCTGCTTGGTGTTTCTGAGCTCATCCCTTGTAGACTTGTTAATTTTTCTATCCCTCCTGTCCTCAAGGCTGTATCGTCCGGCAGATTGACTCTAAGCAAGTGATGTTTGCCTCTGATAGGTGGCTTCTTCATTCTATAAGTCTCCTAGGATTTCCCAGGCCTTCCCCTTTATTTCTAGGTACCTAGAGCACATGCCTTACCCCCAGCCTCCCAGAGCCTTTCACTACAGTCTCGGTTCAGATTTCTCCTCCCTGCTTTGGAATATGCCACGCTGCAAAATGCCTCCATGGTCCCACTCCCACGCCCACACTACTAGAGCTTCAGTGAACTAAAGTGATTTAGGTGTTAGGAAAAAAGCAACAATGACTAACCTTATTCAAATGTAGAAATGACAGCTATTGGCACTTTTTAAGTAAGACTTCCAACTGTGAAATTTTAGGCTTTGGGAGAATGTTGTTTTCACTGAAGGGGTGGAATGAATAAGCACTTAGCAAGATCCTTCCCTGGCGTGAGTGACTTTACGCAAGTGGTTTTTCTATGTTCTTCATTCTTAAGTGCTGTCTATAAGTCTAAATTTTTTCTGCATTTTCTTTTCTTATAGCAACATGGTGTAGTAACAGTTCCAAGCTTTTTATTCGCTCTGCGGTGCAAAGAGAAAGGAACCACAACATTGATAAAAGCAGAATCAGACACCTAGGGCTGCAGACGGGGCTCAGCAATGCTTCTAAAGGCAATTTTCTCTACTGATAAATGTAATATGTGCTAACAGTGGAAATTCTGGAAAATGCAGACAAGTACAAAATATATTTTAATCACCTTAAACCCCAAAAGCCACTATTAGTGTTTTGGTACGCTTCTTTTGAAACTTTCTTACTCTCAATATGCCAATTCCCCAAATGTTTCCTCCTCTTTAACTCATATGAGCTAAATTAAACTACCCTTGATATAAATATTGACTCCTAACCCTAGAATTAGATATTTAAATTTTTAATTACTTTTTAATGTGTTTTTTTTTAAGAAATAAAAACTCATTGAGGACATTTGGAGATTGCAAATGTTATAAAGGACAAAATAAAAGTCATTTCTATTTTTGAGATGGAGTCTCACTCTGTCGCCCAGGCTGGAGTGCAGTGGTGCAATCTTGGCTCACTGCAACCTCCGCCTCCCGGGTTCAAGGGATTCTTCTGCCTCAGCCTTCTGACTAGCTGGGACTACAGGCACATGCCACCACGCCCGGGGAATTTTTGTATTTGTAGCAGAGTCGCGATTTCTCCATGTTGGCCAGACTGGTTTCCAACTCCCGACCTCAAGTGATCTGCCCGCCGTGGCCTCCCAAAGTGCTGGGATTATAGACGTGAACCACCGTGCCCAGCCAAGTCATTTCTAATTCTACTTTCAAGTGATAAACACGGGGTCTCATAATTTAAATAAGTTCTGAGTTACAGCAATAAAACCTATGACTAGTCTTCACACTGCTACCTAAAACAGTGCAAGTCACTAAAGCTAGTATTCTGGTCTGGGCCCATGGTGGAATGATTTCCCACAGTTATGGGGAATGAGGGCCGTTTCACACACCCCCAGGCATTGGTAAGCTCCTGCCATTTCAGTTTTCTCTTAACATAATTTATTTAAACAAAAGAGCACAGGGATGAAATGAAGGCATACATACATACATATGACATGCTTGTCTAACAACCAAAAGCCAGTCACATCGATTAGGACTTGCTTTGTTAATTCACCTTGAAAATTGAAAATTGACATCTTTTCATTAATTCTTTAAACTAACAACTCTCGTATCCACAAGAATATATGAATATGGCACTGTGAGAACCAATGATCCAGAGACAACAGTTACCTCCTCTTAACTCTTTTTTTTTTGAAATTGACCAAAATGCAGAATTTCATAAAAATGAGGGAAAAGGGTGAAATATCATTTGAGAATGATTTTTCTTAAAAATAATTAACAAAAAAGTGTGCCCCAAATCCAGAAGGCCTAGGCAATTTTGTTGGCACACCTCACTTTTCACCTTCTTTTCCCCCTAGTAATCAAGCATTCTCTTGATTGTGCTCTGCTCTGAACGCGGAATAACTTCCAAGTACCCCTTTGTCACTACTGCCAAGTTAGCATGCATTCTCTAGGCCTGTCACTTCTCAAGGCCCCTCTGGAAATGCTGAGTAGCAGGGACCTGAGGCGAGCATTAGCTTCACTAAGAAAATATCCAGCAACGCAGTACTAGTCCTCATGTGCAGAGAGCTCCTGGAGTTCAGCAAGAGCCTAAAATTTTTGTCTCATGTGTCATGAAATGTTAATTTCTATGACGTTTCTGTCTCTTTTAAACTACATCTTGTGAAAACAAATAGGTGAAGTTTTCACCAAATTTTGAGAGTGTATTCAGAATGGGCTGATTTAAAGTGTCGACCATATACTATGCACAATCACACAAATTACATGTGGAAGGTTGAGGGAGCATAATTTCGAAGACTTCAATTAGTCATATTGCATTAAAAATTGCTTTATGTTTTGAAGGCGGAGCATCCCAAATGTTCCTGAGTTTTCTAACATGTCTGATTTCAAAACTTTTTTTCAGCCACAGTCACAAGAAATTAAATCAGACAAAAGGCAAACACAAAAACTCGCAGATCTTAGCACCACATCGTCAAAAGCCTAAAAACAAAAACGAGGATACTGAGCCAAAGTTCGTATGAAAAGGATAACCTTTTGAGGACAGTGACGAGAGGCATGTTAGTCAGGGACAACTGAGACCCATGCACGGTGTGAGAAGTGGCTGGCCCCAACGGACAGGCAGGCAGCTTCTAGAGCAGCTGAAACTGAGGACTGAGCAGATGCCCCTGGGACTGCAAGGCAGGACAGGTTTGCCATCGGCAGTTAGAACCGGAGCCTGAGGGAAATTTGGCCGCCAGTCAGGAGAGACACACCACACATATTAAGATGCCATGGACAGAGAAAACAATGGCTTTAATATGAGCCTCAAAGCAAGGAATGCAATATCAGTTTAATGTCTGAAATTTAGACTACTGAAGTGGTTATTAACAGGGCGAAAAGAAAATCACCAAAAAACAAACAAAAAACCTCTCAAACCCCCAAATATTTTTTTTTTTTTTTTTTTGAGACGGAGTCTCGCTCTGTCGCCCAGGCTGGAGTGCAGTGGCGCGATCTCGGCTCACTGCAAGCTCCGCCTCCCGGGTTCACGCCACAAACCCCCAAATATTTAAAAAATGACATCAAGATAAAAATCACTGCATGTCCTTAGGGTGCACTAAAAAGGAAAGTGGATTCCTTTTATATATTGGGTTGCATTGAGTCTCTGACACCATCCTTCCTCTTTTAAACAGCCCCAGTTACCACAGGACATTTCCTTCACCTTAAACATTAATAGGCCACCAGGGTAGAGGCTTGAAATTGCAGGTGCTGACTGGTGATTGAGCTGCTTCCCTATACGATGTGCTGCACAATGAGAATAGCATTCATGTGTACATCACATGTAGCAAATGTATGTACATACATATATCTGAAAAATATTTTTTACAAATCTGAAAACTATTATAGTTCTATTTTAATATTATAATTATAGAAAAACATTACAACACTGACTCTTTAAATACATTCTATATTACTCTGATTATGGGCATGAGTTCTCTTAAGGAAAGCTGAACCATATGGCTAGCAGTAAAAGAAAGAGAAACAAAAAAGAAGAGAAAGGGAGGGAAGTGGAAGAGTGAAATAGCATTGTAGGGATTGACCCAGAGTTTAAAATTTTAGACTAAGAGAAACTAAGCTGATTTTTTAAATAAGATGAACCAGAGAGAGATTTTGGCTTATGATTGAAAGCTAGAGTGGATGTTCCTACTCCTGATACACTTTCCCTTTTTCTGCCAGTAGAAGAACCAGTTTCCACACCCCAACATCCTCATCGTTAAAAAATCTTCTTTCCTTTTGTTTATTGCAGAGCTACCAATTACAGTCACACACCCATTCCCAGAGGTGGAAACACCACCAAACAGCTATGTCAATTGAATGTACCTTCTGATTGAATCAGGGGAAAAGTACACAGGTATGGAAGGTGCTTGTGGCTGGATGAGCCAGTGTAGTCACCTCAAAAACAGGGCCCTCAAATTTCTGCAGCTAAGAGTCACATTTTGGCAAGTTAATGTGTATTTTGCATTTTCTTGTTTAAGTTCATTTTTTTGGTTTGTTTTTTCATTTTTTTGCTTGTTTGTTTTTCTTTCAATCAAAGAATTCTTGACTGTATCTCTGTGGATGCAGGGACCATATATAAATTCCCTATTTCATTCTCTGTGCTTGCTCTGTACTTAATTCTTGGTAGGCATTCAATTATTTGCTGAATGATGAAACAGAATGGGTGAATAAGTGGATCCCCACTCCTAAAAATACTTCTTGCTTTTAAGATTTGAACAGTAATTTAAATAGTAATTTACAACTTAAATCTAAATAGTTGAGAATATGACAGAGATAAATATATTAATATAAAAAGTTGGATTTACAATGGCAAAAAATTAAAACAGAAATTTTTAAAAATTACTTTTGTGCTTTCTATTACATGTTGTTCTATCTTATAGAAGTGAAGTGTAAGGCCGGGCATGGTGGCTCATGCCTGTAATCCCAGCACTTTGGGAGGCCGAGGTGGGTGGATCACGAGGTCAAGAGTTCAAGACCAGCCTGGCCAAGATGGTGAAACCCCATCTCTACTAAAAATACAAAAATTAGCCGAGCATAGTGGCAGGTACCTGTAATCCCAGCTGCTTGGGAAGCTGGGACAGAGAATTCCTGGAACCTGGGAGGCAGAGGTTACAGTGAGCCAAGATCACACCACTGCACTCCAGCTTAGGTGACAGAGCGAGACTACATCTCAAAAAAAAAAAAAAAAAAAAAAAAAAAAAAAAAAAGAAGTGAGGTGTAATTTATACCCATTTCTTATTCTCATTCATGAATTCATATTTTAATCAATAATAAGTGATTATTCATTGATATTTTAATATGTTTCATCTCATTCTAACTTTTGGACATTATTGGATTATCTGCATGAATTATTTTATTTTTTAAGGGCCATCAATTTACTAAAATTTACTGCTACTTTTAATGTTTTTGAGCATCTACACCAAAAATTAGTCAACTGGGTACATGTGCCTATAAGAATCCATGATAGTTTTCCAAGAACTTCATAGGCAGTAAAAGATATAAGAAAATCCATTTTCATTTTCTCTATTTTTTGCTAAAATTGATCTGCCTAGAATAAGTCTGTGGTCAGGGCTTCAGTTTGGTTTTCCTTTCCCACTTCCCCATCTCACAACCAAACTTACCTCATATTACAAAACAAACGATTATGTTTCACCCATCCAAACTCTTACCACAGTGCCTGCAACCTTCTTTAACCAAGTCACCATAAGCTTTTGATAGGGCTTTTGTCTTTCCCTTTCTCATACATTTTTCTGTCCTAGAGAAAGTGGGAGATTTAAAAATTATGTATTCTGTCTTTGCTTGGGTACTGTGAAGTCAGGTATATTTGTAGAGTTGGGTTAGCGAGGTAGTGACAATTTCCTTTTAAAGATGTATATCTTCTTTCTCCCCAATTCTTTCCAAAGAAATTACTGATGCTGAGGAAGATCCTGAGGATAAAGCAACAAACGTAAGTAAATCAGTAGTAAGTATTGAAAGACATCTTGGATTATGTGATCTAGGTGAGAAACGTTTGGAAAAGCTCTGTGCTTTATCTATCTATCTGTCTATCTATCTATCTATCTATCTATCTATCTATCTATCTATCTAATCTACCTACCTATCTCAGAATGAGAAGGGTCAAGATATATAGAAAATGCATGCTCTCTTTCCCCGCTCTCCCTTTCTCATTTCCTTTCTGAATAATTTAGTCCAAAAGCCAGTAGGTAGGGTCGAATGTAATAACACAAAGAGAGGAAGTAGGAATGCAAGCCCAGCGCCAAGTGTGGGAGCCTAAGCAGGATGAAGAAAGCATCTACACAGTGGTCCTGTGCGGAATGGCAGAGCCTAAAAGGGGTGAGGCGGTTGTAGACATGGGGTGATGGAGGTGGTGGTGATGGGCAGTTGGTAACTTGTGAGTGGGATTGACTAGGTAAGTAAATATATTGAAGGTGATGGAGTCCAAGTTTCTCACTGTCAGAGAAAGGAGTTCTATATATTCATAGACATGCATATGTATATACACATATTAAAATGTCCATTTCTAATTAAACTTTACTTTTTAGGTTTACTTATCAATTTCTACAATATATTTAATTTTATTTGATAAATAATATGCCAATAATGATTGTATTATATCATAATTCAGATAAAAAATATTAGATCTTATGATCACAACTAATATTTAGAAAATTCAATTTATAAACATTTTTCATTGCAATTTTACTATCAATAAAAGACCTTCAAGCATAAAAATATGTTAAGATAAAACTCTGTGGGAAAAATGGAATGGAAATATGAGTTCAAAGAGAAAATGGAACAATGTAAAATTTCTGATTATTGAAAAAGAGCTTATTCATATATTTTTTAAATTGATGGTGGGCACAAAGCTGCTATTGTATTTATATTGCATAGATAAATTAAAAATAATATTATCATTTTGTTACCATATGTCAATAATTAAAACAGCCCAGAAATCACATCTTTTGAAACTAGTTTACTTTATGATGAAAACATTTTATGTTAGCTTAAAAAAGAACAGAAGGATAAATGGATTTCCAAAAAATGTTAAAAGGCAAGCAAGCAGCCCCTAAAGGTAGATATTTTATCCGCATTTATTATACAACTAGGAAAATGGAAATTCACAAAAATTGATTAACATTCTCCAGATAACAGTAGTAAGTGATGAAACCGGGAGAGTCTGTTTGACTCTGAATGTGTAAATTTCCTTCTGGGCTTTCACTTCCCCACCTTTTCCTTACTCCACTCCACTTCCTGCTTAGCTTATCTTTCCAACTGTTGGCCCAGCTGACCCACAGCGGCCCTAAGACCACCACTGGCTACTTGACTGTAGACTCACAGAGGCAGTAACTGCATAGAAGCCACGACTTCTCAGACACCTCTCCATGGGCTTCCCCTTCACAGTCTAGTTTGACATTGGATATGCTGTGCTTCACGAATTCTCTGCAAGCTTTAGCACGTCCACCTGCCATAGTGCTTCAGGTGGCCTGGTTAATGCTTTATCTCAGATCCTCCAAATTTCCCTGTTGTACTTTCACTTCCACAGCTCTTCCTTCAGTTGGTAAAGTCTAGTTCCCATAATAAATCTTTTATTCCCATAATATGTATGATGGCTCTACTTCCTAACACAATTATTGTTATCTAAAGTAATTCTAGAGTAACAAAATCTTATTATTAGTGATCTAAAACTTTTTTCTTGCTCTGGCTAGATTCGAAGACATTTGTGATCCCATTGTCTGTGGCAAATTGGGCAATGGTAGTCTATGAATTTCAGTAGAAAATCACTACTTAAAGTATCATCTAGAGCCACTTGGAAAGACTTTGAATGTCCAAGTGGTTGTTACCATAGAACAATTTAGTGGGAGTAAGTAAAATTATCATGGATTACCTGATTGTTTCTAAATGTGAGGGAGAACTTGGAGGGAAAAACATGAGATTAGGGCTTTACATTCCCAGCTCAAGCTCTTGATAAGGAACCAAAAGGCTTTTATAATAGTCCTAAAGGTGACTTTTATTTTCTGTAGCTACAGAATTGAGATTTCTAAAAACAAAATGCGAAATCTAATACTGTGGATGGCTAACATGCAATACAAATCAAATTAACAACTTCTCAAGGGTCTCTTAAGGGATTGCCTGGAAAAAGAATAAGACCCTGAATTTTGAAAGGGGGACATATAAGCAAATTCTGATAAAGCTGAGAACTTTAAACCCTAAATTCTACAGAATTTGTTTTGACAATTAAAGAAACAGTTCTACCCCTCTCTGAGATTAGTCTTCTATTATCTGAAGTAAAAAGTCTCTTATTTTCAGAACACCAACAACCTTCCTCAAGATCTACTCCCATCACCTCTCATTGCTTCTAGATCTATGAACAGATGCAAATGCCAGATGACTCTAGGGGTTCAGCTACCAAGTATTACCTCATGATGACATACCAAAATAACTGCAATCAATGTGTTGCTAAATTCTAATTGACAGAAACCTGGTGAATATGGGTGGCATTGTATTCTACAAATATTGGTTCAGGTTAGAGAAGTCTAAAGTTGGAAGGGCGTTATTTACTAATATGGACGCACTAAGCAGAGGTCATGCAATCGGTGTACTGATTTGAGGCGATGGGAATCACTCTAACTAGTTGCTTAGTTACTTAACTAAATCTTAGACTTGAAAATGGCTTATATTGAAAATGAATTTAAGGTACCAGAACTTCTTTTGCAAAATTTGCAAAAGTGTGCATAGTACATTTTTGTAATGGGATGGATATTAATTATCTTAGGCTTCTGAGCTGTGCAGTATCTGTTACAATTATTTAATTCTACTATTTTGGCCTAAACTCAGCCCTACACAATAAGTAAATAGATTGGCATGGAATTATCTTCCCATAAAACTTTATTTGCAAAATCAGGCAGTCAACATGTGGGCTATGGTTTATTGACTCCTGCTAGAGGAAAACATCCAGAGATTTAGGGAGCTCAGATTGCTGAAATGAATTTATCAGGTAAGACCCGCTCACATACATCCTGTCTCCTGGGAAGTTCTACTGGACATTCTCTTCTTTGAGGGTTTGAGAAATGCACTGATGAGGGGAGCACCAGTATCCCTGAAGAGCTCTCAAGCAGCTATTTTCTGCAGATCATGACTGGCCATTTAAAAAAAAATGCTGTCATTAATATTTTTTCCCTAAAAACAGATAGCTCCTTGGATTCAGTAGTAATGATAGGATCCCTGACTGGCAGGGAACAAGTTGCAACCACCTTCGTATCTGGCTATGTTTCTTCCCCTTGACTCTCAGTGGGCTTTGGATGGTGTGCAACTTCTGAGGCTAAACCATAAAAGATGACAGAGTATCTGTCCTGTTTTATTGGGACATCTGTCCTCAAAGGCCTAAACCATCAGATGAGTATTCTAATTTCCCTGATATCACCATACTGCGAGTAAACCCAGGTCACATGGAGAGGCCAAGTGTAGGTGAAGTCTCAGCCAATAGCCAGCATCTACCACCCAGATATGTGAGTAACAGAACGTTCAGGTGATTCTTGCTCCCAGCTGTTAAATAACCACGAGCTTCTGAGTTATCCCAAGTGAGGCCCCAGACATCATGGAGAAGATATACAAGCCATCCCTGATGTACACTTTCTGTATTTCTGACCCACAGAACCTGAGACCATAACAAGATTGTTATGATTTTATATCACTGAGTTTAGGGTTTCTGTTACTGGAACAGAAGAAATGCCACAGACAAGTGGTAATCTGAATGTTTTAATGCACAGAGATCTTTGGTTTGGAGTAAGTGATCATGGTTTCCCTAGAATTAAAATAAATAGGCAACCTACTAAAGTCTTACTTGATTTGTGTAAGCAGAAAGAAAAACTCTAAGTCTGGGCAATAAAAGTTTGACTTGACTCACCATACATTATGATTCCTCAACCAATTCTTTTATTTGAATCAGTTCATAGATCAAATAAAAAGAGTAAGACCTCCACTGAATGATGGAGAGACCAGGCCCTCTGAAGGAAAGGTCTTGCCACACTGCTAAAAATTTATACCCAGTCTTCTCCAGAAGAATGTACAGTCACTGACCTTTGGTGAAAAAGAAATAACCAGAAAGTTATAGAAATTAGGCAGTTAATATAGCTTTGGCTTAGATCCATCTCCC
This sequence comes from Homo sapiens, assembly GCF_000001405.40. Lineage (NCBI taxonomy): Eukaryota > Metazoa > Chordata > Mammalia > Primates > Hominidae > Homo > Homo sapiens. The sequence goes on along the minus strand of NC_000008.11, from coordinate 64,813,117 downwards.
AGCAGGATCAGTGGTCCCTGAATACACCCAGTGATTATTTACTCAGTTCCAGAATACATATGAATAAATTATTATTTACTCAGTTCCAGAATATAGTTAGAATGAACATATTCAGCAATTGGCAGAATTTTCACATTGGTTCCTTGACCTTGAGAATGAGGGCTATTGTAGGAAGAAAGATTAAATGAAAATCCTGAGAACTACCTCTACTCAAAAAACAAAAGTAAAGCAAAAGCAATGCAAAATTTATAGAGGAAATGCAGATATTGGTGCCTCATCAAGGACATAAAGAATACAGGTAATTCTTATCATATCCCCATTTAATTTCCCTGTATGGCTTATTCAGAAGACAGATTTTAAAGAATTATAGTAGAATATTGTAAGATTTATAAGGTCATGATTCAAATTGCAGCTGCCATTCCAGATGTAGACTATTTGTCGCAGCACATCAACACATTCTCTGGCACACTATAGCTATTAATCTGGTAAGTGAAGTTTGCTTTCACCTGACAGAGCTAGCAATACACATTCACTGCCCTACATATATAACATCTTCAGCTCTCATAATAATAATTCAGTCAAAAGAGACCTTTATCATTTCTTCGTTCCATAGGATAACACCTTGGTCTATCTAAATTAATGTCATCATGCTGATTGGACTTTGTGATGAGACAATTACACTTTCTTAGACATTTTGCTAGACACACATATGCCATCTTGATGAAATTTTTAGGGGTCCAGTGGCCAGAGTTCAAGAAAAGCAAGTTGCTGCACCCAATTTCTCCTACCTCAAGAAAGAGGCACAACACCTGGTGGGTCTCGTTAGATTTGGGAGGCAACATGTACCTCATTTGGGCCTGATATTCCATTTAGGCCTGATACTGATACTCACTTAGGCCTGATACTATTTACTGGGTAAATCAGAAGGCTTTCAGTTTTGAGAAGGGTCCAGAGCAAGTCAAGGCTCTTAACAAGTTCAGGCTGTTATGAAAGTTGTTCTGCTACTTTATTTATTGGACCAATCAGATCCTATGGTGACTAAATTATCTATGGAAGATAGAGATGCTGAGGGACCTTAAAAGGTCCCTCAATATAAATCATAGAACAAATGTTTAAGAATCACTGTTTCTGTATATAACTATTCTCCTCTTGAGAAGCAACTTTTGGCTTATTTCAGGGCCCTCATGGAGAAAAAACACTTGACCACAGCCACCAAATTACCATGCAACCTGAATTATCCATCATTAATTCAGTCTGATGCACCAAGCCATAAAGTTGGATGTACACAGCAGCACTCCATAATTAAGTAGAACTATTCTAGGTCAGGCTCAAGAAAGTTCTCAAGGCATAGTATTTTCCATGAACAAGTGGATCAGACTCCCAAGGTTTATATTCTTGCTATATTACCTCCTCTTTCTCAACCCACAACCATTTTCTATGACCTATTGATTTAAAAAGAAAAAAGAAAATCTCAGCTTGCTTTACAAAGGGTGCTGCATAAAATACCGGCACCATCCAAAAGCATCTGCAATACTACAGCCCCATGCAGAGGTGTCCCTGAAGAAGGGTTGTTAAAGGAAATCCTCTGCGTAGGCATAACTTCAGGCAATGTACTTGGTGGTTTGTTCTACCTGGAGGGAGAGATGGCCGGAAGTACAGATCTACACTGATTTATGAGTGGTGACTAACAGTTTGATTGTATGCTGAGGTTATGTAGAAGAAAAATGATTAGAAAAGTGTTGATAAGGAGATCTAGGGAACAGGTATGTAGACAGACCTCTCCAACTGGGCATAAAATGTAAACATATTTTTGTTCTATGTGAATTGCTGCCCAAAGAACAGCCTCAGCAGAGGAAGATCATGATAAGCAGCCTTTTTCCTCAGCTATTCCTGTCCTTGAACAATGGCCTCATGAGAAAAAAACGGTCATGGTGGTAGGGATGGATATTCCACATCTGCATGTTATTAATCTTCCTAAACCTGTTTTCTCATATATAAAATACAGATTACAAAAGTACCTACTCCACAGGGCTGTTGTGATGTTTAAATGAAAAAAAAAATGCATGAAAGACCTTAGAACAGTAAATGGCACACATGAAATGATTACTACATATTGAATGGCTTCGCTTATTTATCTATTGTATTACTGATTGATTGATCGATTGATTGATCTACTCAACAAATACGTGTTAAGCACCAACTATGTTAAAGAACTTGTGCGAGTTTACAGCAGTGAAGTAGGCAAAATCTCTACCTTCACACGTTGACATTCTGGTGGAGAGGCTTTCAACAACTCATTACAGTGAATTATTATTTAATGATAATGTCATAAGTACTATCAAGGGGAAGTTAATATGCTGAGTAGGCAAAGAATAGGTTGTACTGACCTAGACTGGGGAATTAGAAACCACTTTCCTAAGTAAATGATGCTTAATTTCAGTTCAGAGGGAGATTTAGAATTTAGCTAGTCCAAGGAGGTATAGATGTCAGAAAGCAGGTGTAAGAAGGATTATCTGTAAAGGCTGAAAGAGAACCAGGTTCATTCACTGAACCAAATTGCAGTCTATATTGGAATGAGATCAGAGTTGATGGGGAGAGATGAGGCTAGGGTCTAGTCACTGAGGACCATGTAAGCTTGAAGGTTAAGAAGTTTGCATTTTATTCAAAAAACAATGTGATACTATTGTAGGGACTTAAAATATTGTAGTAACTTGATTCAATTTGTATTTTTTAAAAATCATCACTATGGTTGTAGTGTGGACAATGAATGGATGAATGAGGCAAGGGAAAATCTGAGGACATGCAGATGAATGGTGGATGATGCTGTCTTGGACTAAGTGATGGCTGTAGAGAATAGGAGGAGACAGATTTAAGATGGGTTTTAACAGAGTAGTTAAATGACTTAGAACCAAAGCTGGCGCCTCAGTTTTGAGCATGGGCCACTGGATGGATGGTGATGCTTTAGGAAAAAGAGCAGATGTGTTAGCTATGGTTAAGAGTTGTTTGGACTTGCTAAGTTCCAGGTGCTTATAAAACAACCATGTGGGCTGTTTAAAAGACATGTGATGGGGGGCTGCATCTTAAAGAAATCTGCAGCCAACACATTTAGGAGCTATTCCATAGACATAATGTTTAAAGCACAAAGTTTACCTGTTTAGAGTTTGTAGTAAAAAGAGAGGAGCCTCTGGCCTCTGGGATTGAGCCCTTTGACATTTAGTGGCCAAGTAGAGGAAGAACTGCCCAAGGGGACCAAGAAGCAACCAGAGAAGTAAGAGGACATTCATGGGAACCCAGAGAAGAAAGTATTCAAAGAAAGTGAGAGTGCTGCTGAAAGGGCAAGTACGACATGGGCTGAAAAACGAACAGTGAGTCCAGCACTATGGAATTGTGTTATTGCTTCTGGTTACATTGAAGAAGTCTAGTTCCTTCTCCAGACATTGGTCCCCTGAGTCCTTTAAGGCTCCTAGGATGCTGCTTCATAAAACAAGAAATATGCTCCTACTCTGCTTCTAATTATATGTGAATACATGGGCCACAAAATGATACTGCCTTGTGCTTCCACTATCTTAGAGAAATTTTAGCAAAATCATTTTTTCTTTCTTTAGTAGCCTTTACTTTCCAAAGTTTCAAATTTTAAAGGAAGTAAAAGAGAGAAAAGAGTGGTAGAATCATAGGAAAAATTAATGGCTACTCATCTAAAATTATCTTTTCTCTCTCACACTGACTCTTTATCCTCTGAACAAGCTTACGTATTTCATGTGGCCCCAAATCTCTTATCTAAGTGGACTCATGGAAGTCCCATCCATTTTTCCCTCAATACACTGATAAATCCTTACAGCAAACACAATTGAAACTGTCAAAATGAGGTCCCTAATAGACACAATTGAGATGATTTGTTTCTAAAATAAATACCTTCCTGAAGTTTTGTATCCAGGATGTTTTCTTCAAATTAAAACTTTAATATTGTATATAGATACTGACCCAACATCTAGAGATATCTGTTAGAAACGAGCTAAATTGCAAGGTAAGCTTCAATAGGAAGGATCTAGTAATGTATTATATATAATGAGTTATACACATACAGTAGAAAAATGCAACTAATATTCATACCAATAAATTAGAAATCATTTGCTTGCACTAACTAGTTCGGGAACTTGGTCAAGTTCATTGGACTATTGTTCAGATAAAATATAGATGAGAATATTTAGCTCGGCGATCAGCACGGAGTAGGTATTCAATAAATATTAATTTCATTTCATTTTTTTAAATATCAGTTTTCTAATTTTCATTCATTCAGCAAATATTTATTGATAATCTACAAAGTGCCATGAACTCTGCAAAGTATTACGTATACATTGGTGAAAAGAGACAGACATGGTACCTGTTGTCACAGACGTTACAAAGGACATGTGTAAAGTGAAAATAATACTCAGCTCACTGGATTGTCAAGGGGTCACGTGAGATAAAGTTTGAAAATGCATCAACTCAGAAAAACTACTCTTGTTCATTTTCAGACTTTTATTTGGTTTTGTTTGTTTGTTTGTTTTTTGTTTTTTTTGAGATGGAGTCTCACTCTGTCACCCAGGCTGGAGTGCAGTGGCGTGATCTCGGCTCACTGCAAACTCCACCTCCTGGGTTCAAGCCATTCTCCTGCCTCAGCCTCCCGAGTAGCTGAGATTACAGGCACCCCCCACCATGCCCAGCTAATTTTTTTTGTATTTTTAGTAGAGATGGGTTTTCATCATGTTATCCAGGATGGTCTCCATCTCCTGACCTCGTGATCTGCCCGCCTCGACCTCCCAAAGTGCTGGGATTACAGGTGTGAGCCACCGTGCCCGGCCTTCAGACTTTTATTTGTAAAATAATTATGTTCTGACTCCTGAGTCAGAGCTGCAGAGAAAAGTAGGAGGGTAGAATTCCAATCTTCACTTCAATTTCTGTGTGAGTTTAGGAAGGCTCCTTACAACAATTATGTTTGTCTTGGCACGGGGGTTGTGTAAGTGCTAGAGGGCTGTGAGTTTTGCTGAGCCTGGCAGTAAGAATCTAGGTAAGGAACAGATGTCCAGATTGCTCAGAACTGATAAAAAAAAAAAAAGTAGCAAAAACAAAGAGACATGGGAAAGGAGAAAGGGGTTTTGAGGTCTTGGCACACCCAAAGGCAGGAAGAAGAAATTCTGAAAAGCAGGAAGAGGAAATTCTGAATTAGCCCTTGTACCTTTCTAGACCAGGAATCCAGCCTGTAAAAAGGAGAGGGGCAAGTGAAGAAATGTCTAGAAATGAAAGTTTCTGAGGTGCCTGTAAATGCAGAAGGGACATGTGTTGATATTTGTCCATTTATATATGTTCTGACTGACTAGTCACTGTCATTCGAACATCTTTAAGAATAGGCTGGAGGGGACACCATTCTCCCCTACTTAACCAAGTATCTACTTAAATTTCTAGAAGAGAAAATGAGCCAGGCATAGTCCCAGCTACTTAGGAGGCTGAGGTGGGAGGATCACTTGAACCCAGGAGTTGGAGACCAGCCTGGACAACATGGAGAGAATTTGTCTCTAAAAAGAAAAGAAAAATATTAAATGATTTATGTCAGTTAAATTTTTTTTTTGCTTTTGAAGATGATGACTATATTTTGAAAATATTCCATGCTCCTTGTTCAGAAGAAATTTTTGACAGCTACTTAGCATGGGGAACTCCAAAGCCTGACTCAAATAAAAGATGTGAGCTGAATTTCTTTGTATTATAAAGGCAGGAGGTATTTGATGTTTGCAGAGGAAAATTCTGGAGGGACACTGGAACCAGAGAGGCTGGACTTTGTCAGAGGGAAGCATAAGAAAATTCCTATTGCCATGTGGCCTAAGAGGACTGGAGGATATAAAATGTCAAGAATTTTTTGAGTGGGATCCCATGTTCTGTACAATATGACCCCACCCCCCTCAAGAAATCTGCCACAAAGATGTTGGTGCCTGCTGTGTTTGGGTTTCTTGCAGAAACAAGTGAAGGTACAGAGTGCTGCCTTTTGGTTATCAGCTGTTGAAGGGCCAAAACAGATCCTGCACACGCAGAAGCAAGTGCCAGGAAGCCCCTGGCTGATGTCTGGGTTAAGTGTGTGTATACCCATCTTAGTTCTATTGCAACCCTGGCAAGCAGACAATTAGACTGTTTTTCAGAATCATTACAAATCAATTTTCTCATTCATTAGTGCTATGTTTGTTCATAAAGCAGAATATTCAAAACTTCCAGCATATGTATAATTAGTGTTATGAATTGCTTTTATAAATGTCAAAATTTAGCAATCTTTGTTGGTGGAAAAAATGCCAGACTTCAGAGAAGAAAGGAGAAAGAGAATAACCATGGAAATGTTAGTGATTAGAAAGCTGCAGGAGAAAATAAAAGGCCTTAGAAAATCCTGAGGGAATTAATTTGACCATTTTCCAGTGGAGCTTTGGAAAGGAAAGCAGGGGGTGGGGAGAAAGCTGGGAACAGAGCTCACAAACGAGGAGTCAGATACGAAGGGGGAGAGAAAGAGCATGTCGTGTTTTTCTAGTCTTTAAAGAAGGGTGTGGGTATGAAAGGGCCCAATGTGAATCCAAGTGGCAACTGGCCCACGTGGAGTCCCTGCTAAGAGGATGGAGCTACTTCAGGCAAGGGCACCATGGTAGACTGAGCAAGTAAAATGTTAGCGTGAAGGAAAAATGGTCCTAAGCCCCTTCTGCAGCAGAAAGCATTTGCTTAATGAAATGTATACCTACTTCACGGAAAAGCGTAACCTTCCTAAAAAAATGCTTTAGTAGTTTTCTGATATAATTTTATGGGATTTTGATTTGTTTGGAGAAACTAGTTATGTTCCCTCATTGTCCTCTGTCAGGCAAGAGTTGAATGATTTTAAATTGTTCTTTTAGTTACTCTGACAATACTTAGGTAGTATTCCCTATGTTTGTAATCAGAGTAAATGTTTGAACTGACCTCCTAGAGGCTTTCCTTGTTGCAATATTATAATAAAACCTGACTCATAAAAAAAAATTTCTCTTTAACATTAGAATCACCTAGTAATGTGACTGCTGTGTTCTCAGAAGCAGAGAGGCTAATGTTACTATAGGTATTTTGCTAATTTGCTTTTATTCATCTTGGATTGTTGTTTCTCTCATTAGCAAAGCACCTATAGTAACACTAACCTCTCTGCTTCTGAGATATTACAAATCCAAGATGAGTGCAAGCACCTCCACCACCTATGTGCTATTTGCCTCCAGCATATTTCTGTAGCATCCTAGTGGATACTGACTATTATTTTGTCACCCAGATTCTCTGTCAGCATGGAAGAACCTTTGCTCCAAGCTCTAGGATTGCCTCATCAGCTGTTTCAGGACTCACTCTTAGCTAAAGAGAACCCCATCACTTGTAGACACCTCTCCTTTCCTGCAGGCAGTCTGGAACCAGTGACATTAAAGACCTGAACCCTGCACCTCATCTTGGGACAATTCTAAGGGCTACCTGAGTTCCACATATTATCAAGGACTCAGCTGAATCTTTTGGTAAGACTGTGTCCCAGTTCAGCTTCTCTCTCTGCATGTTTCCTTCCCATCAGCATGCCTGATGCTGATCCTATGAGCCTGTCCTAAAACACTCTTTTACGATAATGTCCCTCTCAGAGTCTGTTTCCTGGGACCTGAACTGTAACAGGGGTCTTTGCTTCTCGGAGTACTGACCTAGCCGAATTTTTTTTTTTTAATGTTTTTGACTCTGGAAAACATTTCCTTAGTGAACAGAGGTGGATGGGGAGTGGGGCTGGAGGAGGGAATGGTTCTCATTAAAAGGAATGCTCAGGGAGAGAGTCTTGTGCTTTTTGTCCCCAGAAATATAGGGTCAAGGCTAGTGGGAAAATGAAATGTTGGAATAGCCAGTGTGAGTTAGAGACAGAGACAGAGAGTGAGTCTCAAAACTTGGCGTGGGAAGTAGGGTCAGATTGTGAGAATGAGCTGAGGTTTAGCACGGGATTGTGATTTTATAAATCACAGTATTCAAAACTCAAGTGTGTATAAGCAATGCCAAGACTGTTAAACAAGAAATGACAAAACTCTCCAATCTTTTCCTTCCTCTTGGAGATAATCAGAGCCATCTGTTCCACCATTTTTGAAGCTGCTTCAAAATAATTATATTCAGGTCTTACCTAAAATTATACTTTATTAAAAAAAGGTTTAAATGGAACTACACTCTATTGTTGGGTGTCACTTTGCTCATTCAACAGCATTTATTTAATAAGATTTTTGCCTGCCATGTCTATATGTGTCCTGTACCAGACTGCATGCTGGGTCAGCACTACAAACTGTCTTTATAGGAGAAAGAAGAACTAAAGCAAAGAGAAAACAACTAAAATCGTTTAAATTGTAAAGAACGACAGAATAAGTGGAAGCATTTGTGATTTAAGATATTTTTAGTCAAGTTTGGTGCCTGCATCTACGATGCCTCACTATTTACTATGTGCCAAATTAAACAATAACTTTTGGGCTTATAGCAGTCTCAGTATATGTGATTATTGCAATCTCAGCTACAATCAGTTTGAATAGTCACCTTAAGGAAAGAAGAAAGCCACCTATTTTATATTTTAATTGGGCAGAAGTAATATATCAATAAGCTAACACCTCAGCTGGGCTGAATTTGTCTGATTAACTTGCTTCTACTTATACCCTTTGCCAGTGGAGCAGAAGGTGCTCAACTGTGAAAAAAAGGAAGCCCCAGGCATTTTCATTGTGATATATATATATATACACACACATATATATTTACTCCTAACAATTTAATCCTCATAAACTTATAGGGAAAGTAGTCTTAAATCATTTTTCAGATGGAAAACTTGAGACCAGCGTCAGAGCTAGACAAGGGCCATGGAGGGCCAAGGTCATGGCAGAGCCTCAATTGTCTCCACAGGGAGCGGTTATGGACAACCTAAGGTAATAACTGGATCCATAAAGATGGAAGAAAGAATGACTGAGCAGGTAAGTAAAGGGTTAGTGAACGAAAACTCTAAGGAGGGCAAGGTAGTACAGTGAAAACGACGGGTGACTTCACAGTTGGACGTAAGAGCTGAATAACCACGGGTGTCCTGGAATTCTTTTAAGTCTTGGTTTTCTTTTATGTAAAAAGGAATAATAATAGCTACATCAGAGATTGGTTTTGAAGATTAGATGAAACAATGTATGTAAAACAGGTACCTATATTCCTTTCTTCTTCTTTCTCTTCTTTCCTTCCACTTCTTCGCAATTTTGCCCAGGGATGGTCTTCATTCTAACCGAAGGTAATGGGAAATCAAAGTTAGTTACAATAAAACTCATGGGAATGGGAGAGAAATAAACAGCAGTCAATCTTTTTAGTTATAGAGGGGTTGTGCTTTGATATGATTCAAAACCTAAACCTAACCTGTATTTTATGTCAAAAGTTGATAGGACCTTTCAGTGTTGGACACTCAATTCTGACTTTACGGACTTCCCAATACTGGAAAAAGAATGTGTGAAATTCCATTTTGGTATTTTCCACAGTGGTACTTTCCCATGTTTCCTAACAGCTGAAGCCTGTAATCTACCCTCCCCTCCAGCACATCATTTGCTTCCCAGGAGCTCACAAGATTGAGGCCATATGGGTGCATATCCTTAAATTCCCCCATGGTCACTCCACAATCTTCTTTGAGTGGCCTTTTTACTTTCTTTTGTCCAATATTAATGTGTTTCATCCCCTTCATCCAAGCTTTTTGAAGGAAGTGACATCTCATTCTTTTTCTTTTTTTTTGAGACAGAGTCTTGCTCTGTTGCCCAGGCTGGAGTGCAGTCATGTGATCTTGGCTCGCCACAACCTCTGCCTCCCGGGTTCAAGCGATTCTCCTGCCTCAGCCTCCTGAGTAGCTGGGACTACAGGTGCGCGCCACCATGCCCGGCTAATTTTTGGATTTTTAGTAGAGACAGGGTTTCACTATGTTGGCCAAGCTGGTCTCAAACTCCTGACCTCATGATTCGTGCCTGCTTCAGCCTCCCAAAGTGCTGGGATTACATGTGTGAGCCACCAAGCCCATCTCATTCATTTTTATAGGTCCAATAGGCCAAGTATAGTGCCATGAACATAATTTGCACTTAACAAAAGTCATTAAGTAGGTAGACTTGAATGTTTCAGTCCAGTTTATTAGTATTTTCAAAATCTGGGCAGAATTAGGATGTACATGTTGAAATGAAAGAGGAAATAGTCATTATTCAGGTTTTGTTGACTTCCACAGAGGCTCTTGAGAATCAAAAGTTAAGGCATGGGGGGAACCAAAGCCAGAGTTCAAGTCCTAATGCTAGATTAGAACAAGAACAGAGAAAGAGGCTAATCACTCCAGCCACCTGGTAGATGAGGGTCACTTGGCTAGTGCAGTGAGTCACTGAAGTACAATCTGTCACCCTCTCCCTTTCTTTACTTCCCCTACTCTTTCTTTCTGTCACCCTCTTCCTCCCCTCCACTCCCTTCCCCTCCCTCCCTCCCTGCTTCCCTACTTCCTTCCTTCGAGTGGCCTTTTTACTTTCTTTTATCCAATATTAATGTGTTTAGTCCCAGCTTTTTGAAGGAAGTGACATCTCATTCTTTTCTTTTCTTTTTTTTTTTTTGAGACAGAGTCTTGCTCTGTTGCCTAGGCTGAAGTGAAGTAGTGTGATCTCGGCTCGCCACAACCTCTGCCTCCCAGGTTCAAGCGATTCTCCTGCCTCAGCCTCCCGAGTAGCTGGAACTATAGGTGCGTGCCACCATGCCCAGCTAATTTTTGTATTTTTAGTAGACAGTTTCACTATATTGCCCGCCTGCCTGCCTGCCTGCCTTCCTTCCTTCCTTCTTTTGAGAGAGACAGGGTTTCTTGCTCTGTTGCTCAGGCTGGAGTGTACAGTAGTGTACTCTGATGATAGCTCACTGTGGCCTCTAAGTCCTCGGTGGGCTCAAAGTGATCCTCCTGCTTCAGCCTCCTGATTAGCCAAGTAGCTGGGACTACAGGTGTACACCACCACACCCAGCTAACTAGAAGTAGTCTTTATGATGGACTGGCATTTGTTCAGTTAAAAATGGAGGACTCTGTTACTGAGGAGGAAGGGGTGAGCAGATATGGAGGGTCAACCGGCAATCTCTGTCAGAGAGGTGATGGGGATAATGGTATACTTTGGCGTTAAAACTGAATTGAACTGGATTGAATATAATGAGGCTAATAATGAGCCACCATGAAAGTAAAAGAAAAATAAAAGGTATCTTTAGATTGTTTTAATCTGGTTATAGAGCGAAGGTCCCTTTTAATAAAAGTGGAAAACCCAAAAGAAATATATATTTAAGATGTATTGCATATATATAATAAAGTGTCCCAAGTAAGCCACTGTGCAGATAACATAGGAATATGATACAGTTGCAAACCAAATCTGGTAAATAACTATGCAGGCTTCTTCCTTCCACTTCTCTAAGGCAGGGCAATCAACCATGGGTTTTTGCTGTTATTAATGTGATAAAATAATATGTTTGGTATGGTGTCTGGCAAATAATAAATGTTCAGTAAGTAGAATGAATTCTTAGTATTTTAATTATATTTTTAAACAAAGGTCATCTAGGGGAAAACAGAAGTATGAGGATTGAGACTTCTTCTGAAAATCAGTGAGTGGCTCTCTGCAGTGGTTACAGAAATGCCCCAGCATGGACTCCCTCCTGTAAACTGGCTCTGCTGTCCCAGCAGTGACGGAAAGCACTCAATTTGTTTTCTCTTGGAAGAGACAGAGTGGCTGTCAGTTTACTGCAATATTTTGGACTGCCTGGAAAATTCAATGTACAACAGGAGAAAGGAGAGGCAGGAGACAGACTCTGGAATAGAAGTCAAAGACAAAGAGGCTCGTAAACATCAAGATTCTGGGGCTAATCTAGCCATTCACAGCTTTAGAACCATGGACAGTAAAACTTAAAATATATACTATGTTCTAACCACCACAAGGTTATTCACTCTAGCAACTAAAAAAGCACTGGCCTCAGGATTTGCAACATTAAAAGTCACAGCTCATCCACCATCAGATGCTAACTGACCCTGCTGTTCCACAAGCCATAACTACAGCTTTGATTGGACAAGAGTCTGGTTTCAGTAACTTTCTCCTGATTAAGAAGACCACTGACCATTGACTGGTTTTGCCAGTTTACAGAGATTACACACTTACCTACCTTTGTATGTAAAATGATCTTTTGATATATAAAGCATAACTGTAGCACATTTAAATGTTAAGTAGCCACCCCAAAGTGAACATGGGTCATATGTTACGTGCATGTTTGTTCAATAGGCATGTGTCAGGACCACCTTCATGAATATTCATAGCTCCTCCTGTAACCAGTTAAATATATATGTTTAGCCAACCTCTTCAGCATAAAGCTCCCACCCCAAGCCCTCCTTTGAAGGGCCTGTCTCTAGTTTTGCCTGGATGGCCACCTTGCAGGCTGTAACCCTTTGGAAGAAATAAAGTCTCCTCTCTCCTTTTCAAAACTTAAAAATTGTGAATTTTTATTTTTATTTTATGTATTTAACTTTTAAGTTTAGGACACATGTGCAGGTTTGTTATATAGGTAAATTCACATCATGGGGGTTTGTTGTACAGATTATTTCATCACCAAGCTATTAAGCCCAGTAATTATTAGTCATTTTTTCTGATCGTCTCCCTCCTCACCCACTCTGCCCTCCAGCAGGCCCCAGTATCCGTTGTTCCCCTCTATGTGTCCATGTGTTCTCATCATTTAGCTCCCACTTATAAGTGAGAACATGCTGTATTTGCTTTTCTGTTGCTAAGGATAATGGCCCCCAGCTCCATCCATGTTCCTGCAAAGGATATGATCTCATTCTTTTTTATGGCTGCATAGAATTTCATGGTGTATATACCACATTTTCTTTATGCAGTCTACCACTGATGGACATTTAGGTTGATTCCATGTCTTTGCTATTGTGAACAGTGCTGCAATGAACATAAGCGTGCATGTGTCTTTATGACAGAGTGATTTATATTCCTTTGGGTATATACACAGTAATGGGATTGCCAGATCCTATGGTAGTTCTGTCTTTGAGGAACTACCACACTGATTTCCAAAATACATGTGGCCAACAAGCATATGAAAAAAAGCTCAATGACACTGATCATTAGAGAAATGCAAATCAAAACTACAATGGATTTTTTAAGTTAATAATGTGAACAGGCTGAGTATGAGGGACATGGTGGCCCAAGCTTGAGTATATATATGGAACCGTTCTGGCGAGGGGAGTTGTACAATGAAGACAATTTGTGCAGGGCTTCTCATTGCAGGTGGAGGATATGACTTCGTCACAAAGACAACCATTAAGAGTTTTGAACAGAGTAAAAGCTGGAGAGGTCTGTGTTTTAGGGAGGTGGAAATGGGGATGATGGACTGGAAGGGTAAAAAACCAGAGATTGGTTTTGAAGCTGCTGTACCCATTCCAGAGAAGTGTTGCATTGACAGAGCACACAAGTCCTCGAATAGGACCGTGGTTAGAACGGCCGATATTTATCAGTGGGAATGGTAAACATTTATCAAGTGAGCAACCAAGTTCAGTTACTTAATCTGAGTCTCATTATGTCTTCTATAAAATACACATTAAAAATAGAAAGTAAAAACGTGGGTAAAGTACCCAGTGGATGGTCATTACTCAGAAAAAGGTATTTTAAAAGTTTCTCCCTTATTCTTTCTGAGTACAGCCTGTAGTACTTGAACCACTTCTCTTTCGTCCCCTACCACGCTGTTCTGCAATCTCTTTTTACCTGTCTCACTCTCTTCCTGTACTGTGTGCCTCATCGGGACTTCTAAAGGCTTACGGCCTAGGTCTTTGTATTCCGTGTCTCTGGCACGCGCCTCTGCACACAGCAGGCCTGAACCAAAACTTGTGAGCAAATAGGATGTAAGGGGGTGAAGGAGGTGGGCGCGAAACGGGTTCGAGGTCGCGCACTCCGCCGGTTTCTGCCGCCAGCCCAACCCCGCTGGGTCGTACCTAAGAGATCGCCGGTGTCAGAGCGCAGCGGGCACCTTCACAAGCATCTTGAGGGACAAGCAGAGTCGCTCCTCCCGCAGGGCGCGGGCTAAGAAGTGAGGAACCCAAGGGGCTCCCGTCCAACTAAGAAGCGAAATCCCCCACCTCCAGGCCTTCAGGGCTGGTTCTTGGGAAATCCTAACTCTTTCCCTTCTAACCCCTTCCTTGGCCCTTCTTCCTGCCCGGGAGGATCAAGGGCGCTGTTTTCCAGAAGCTGCCGGGTCGGAAACGGTGGGGGAACGGGGCGGTACGCGTGGGTGGAGGATAGGCGGGGAGGGGGCAGTCCACGAACTTTTGTCATTCAGCCTGGGAGACCACGGTGACATTCCTGTCTGCGCTGCGGGCAGGCCAGCCTCTCCGGCCCTGGACTAGGGGGCGCCGCCGAGAGAAGCCGCCGCAGGCTGCAGAGTCGCCGACCGCGCTGTTCGCAGGCAGACCCCGGGCTGCCCACCGCGGCCTAGCGCGCGCCGGATGGCAGGAGAAGTGTCCGCGGCCACGGGCCGCTTTTCGCTGGAGCGGTTGGGCCTCCCGGGCCTGGCCCTCGCCGCGGCCCTGCTGCTCCTGGCCCTCTGCTTGCTTGTCCGGCGCACCAGGTAAGCGCCTCGGCCGCCAGGCCACGCATGCGCCCTGGGCCCCGCGGGCCGCGCGCGACCCAGATGGCGAGGGGAGTCCCCCTCCATGATTTCCAGTGCAGACAGTCAGAACTTGCTGCGGGGTACTGGCTTCCTTTGGGACTTTGTAATAACAAAGGCTTCTTCTGTCTTTTTCCCACACATACGCGTACATATTAAAGCTTTGGGACCGAATTCCATTTGCTGCTCCAGCGTAAGTTGTAATAAGCCCTAGGTTGGCGGTATGCATTATGCATCACAGACACATTGTGTGCCTTGCCACTGCGAGTTGATATTTTATGGCCTAGAATTCATAGAGCATTTCAGGAGGGGAATATTCTTAAATTTCATCAGTTAAAAGAGAACTGTTTCAAGAAAATGCCAGTGCATGGTGTGAACAATAACTCTGAGTGCCTCTCTTCCTCAGTTTACCTCACTGTACCTCATTTGGAAAGCTGAAATAATAGTACATGCCTCGTGAGATTTTTGTGAGTACTAAATGAGTTAATGGAGAGTATTTTATGCAGTTGTCCTATCATTTTTATAAGGACAAAACAAAACACACAATAATGACAAAATCTAGACGTGTGTCACTTTAATTTGAATTGTGGAAGTAGAAATAGAGAAGTTCAGATAAAATCATTCACTTTGAGTTTAATCTGTTTTTCCTTTCTTTCTGGGTCCTATTTTCATACTGCTCTGGTGTTCATCGCTTTTGAGAACCAAGCGGATGCATTTTGTTGGATGATAATTGATATATGTATGTATATTTGCATACATATGTATCAATGTATAGATATCTATGTGTGTGTGATACAGGTTGTTTCTCAATAGTTTTGGGGGAAGTGACACCTTTGTACTGCATACAAATATCTATGGACATTTCTAGAATGCCTGGAGATGAGTACTCTAGGAGTATTTGCCTTTCTTCCCATGTCAGTTTTCAGAGATGTTCCTGGAATGTGCGCTTCCAGGTTGCCTTTTCCAATGGCTGTACTTTTGCTTTAGAGCCCAAGATGAGGACTCAGGACACTTGAACTTCAGTGGTATGTGATTCTATGTAGGTTCCACCTTCTCTATTTGCAGGGTCTCTATTTGCATTTGCAAGCCAGTTAAGATGCACCCCTAGGTATGCCTTTAAAGAGAGGTGGTAAAAGAAGGCTGTTGGTTCTATTCCCACTTTACATGCAGGGTAGAAACAGACAAGCTGACTAGGGCAGTTTAGATCAGTGAAGGTGATTGGTGTGAGAATGTGGAACTTGAGGGACAGGAAGGCAAAAGGGCAAGGTAGGCTTTCTCTTCTAGCATTCTGAGAATAGGCTGATCTTTCTCTATATCATGAAAAATTATTTTACTGAGATATTCATGCCATCAACTGCCAATTCCTTCATACCAGGAAGACCGTTTAATGCCCCAAATCTATAGGACACTACTTTGATTATACTGCATTTCAGTGTATAGAAGATAGCTTCATTTGTCCCAGTACAGAGTCATGTTCCTTATTTCTAATGTTTGGATAGTTTACCCTAATGCTCTACGAAAATGATTTTTCAGATATCACCTCTAAGAACAGAAACATGGTTAAGAGTCCCTGATATATTCTTACAGATTTTTTAAAGCTTATGCTAATATGCATGAATATATGTTAATAAAAATCGTGGGGAAATATACCCTGTGTTGCACCTTATATTTTCCACTTTGCAATACATTTTAGATCCCTTCCTATGTCAGTTTATAGAAGTCATTATTTGTAATGATTATATAAATATACACCATAGATACACAAAAACACACACACAAAACATAGATATCTTTGAGCTTTTGTGGAAATATTTATGTAAGATGGTGGAGTTGTTATCAAAATGTATGTGTGCTTTATGTTTTAATAGATGTTGCCAAACTACTCTAAGTCTCAATTTATGTTACTACTAATGTAGTGCAAGTGCCAATTTCTCCACATTCTGCCAATACTGGTATTATAAATCATTTTAATTTTGCCAATCTGATACATAAAGAAAATGCAGCTTCATTTTTATCCCAAATTTTCATGTATTTACTTTTAAAGGAATTTGTATACTTTTAAAGAAAATAATTGTCTGTTTCTTCAATAATTTATTTTTCTATTGGGTTCTTTTTCTATATAATCAGCAAAGACTCTTATGTAATGGGAATTTTCATACTCTTTCATACCAGCTGCAATTATTTTTACTATTGTAATTTGCATTTGTTTAAGAGTTTCTGGATATATGTCCTTGCTTAGAAAGCCCTTCTTGTTCCTAACATGATAAAAATATTCAGCACAGTTTTCCATTATCACATTGAGAGATTTTTATACATACATAGATTACATTTTTATTCTCATTCCATTTTCATCTTTTGAACAATTATGGCTGAAAAGTTTGTAATATTGCATAGTATAGGAATGCCAGATGTTCCAAAGTAAAAATTTAAATATTACCTATAAAAATGGTAAAAAAATTTTTAACAATCGGTAAAAATCAATTCAGAGGTCATTTGTTCCCTTCAGACACTTACCAATTCCACCTCTTTTGGCTACAGTACTTTGATTTCCTTTTGTGAAATTGTCTTTTCCCTTGTTGGATATTATCTGGTGAGACTGTCAATCACAGATGCCATTGCAGTACTTGTCAGGAGAGATGACAGTGGCTTAGCCTAGGGTTGTGACTGTGGGGTTGATGGAAGGTGGTTAGAATCAGGATACATTTTTGACAGCAGAGTCAACATAATTTACTAATGGACTGAACATGATGTGTGAGAGAGATGGGAATCAACAATGAAGCTTAGAAGTTTTGTTTCCCTTTTTTTTGGTTTTGGGTTTTTTGTCTGATTATTTAGTGAACGGTAATATCATTTCCTTAGATAGGGAAGGTTTGGGAGAATTGAGGAAATCAATAATTCTCTTTGGGTTATGTTAAATAGGCAGTGAGCACCAAAAGCTCAGGGGAGAGGTCCAGGCAGGATACATATTTGTGAAAGCCATAAATGTGAAGTGGGAATTAAAGCAAGAACAAGTTGAGATCGCCTGATGAAAGGGTTTGATGGAGAAGAGGAGGGCCTGGGCCACTCTCCTTATGGAAACTGAGCCTGGCGGAGAAAGAGGAAAATATTTTACACTCCTTTCTAGTCAGTTCCTACCCGAGTTCTGAGTCAGTTTTGCTCATTCTCAAACTTCATATAAATGGGATTATACAGTATCCTTTTTTGCGTATAACTTATTTCTCTCAACATAATGATTTTAAGATTCACTCATGTTGTTGTATCTATCATTAGTTCATTCATTCTATTTAATTGTGGTTTGTAATATATATAACATATTGATTGAGAGAAGATTGAGGGGCATAGAATATAGAGTTTTCTATCCACAACCATTTCGGAAAATTGACACTTTTCGAAGTAATTGTTGCTTTTTTTTTTCTGAACACTTCCGCCAGTAATACATGAGGGTTTACGTTGCTCCACATCCTTGCCAGTATTTAATAATGCCAGTCTATTGATTGGAAGCACTATCTTTCTGGATTTTGGATTTTGTTTTTTTCCTATGAAGTGTTGATTTTTGTTTTAGCACGCAGATACATTTCTGGCTAATTATTCTGAACTCATGGAAGCTTAGTTTTACTCTTTGTCAAGGTGAATCTATGAAAAGCTTGAGATATTTACAGATTCTCTCTTCTTTGGTGATGCTATGGTTTGAACGTTTGCTTCCCCTCTAAAATTCATATGTTGAAATCCTAACTCCCAAGGTGATGGTATTAAGCAGTGGGGTCTTTGGGTTATAATTAGATCATTAGGGCAATGCCTTCATAGATGAGATTAGTGTCCTTATAAAAGAGATCCCAAAGGGCTCCCTTGCCCCTTTGTCCATGTGAGGACACAGCAAGAAGATGGCCATTTATGAACCAGGAAGTGGGCCCTCATCAGATACTGAATGTGCTTGTGCCTTGATCTTGGACTTCCCAGGCTCCAGAACTGTGAGAGATAAATCTCTGCTGTTTATAAGTCATTAAGTTTATGGTATTTTGCAATAGCAGTCTGAATTGACTAAGGCAGATGAAATTCAAACCCTAAACTCTGTCACCCCAGTGGTGGGCAGTGGCTGAAGCCTCTGTGCAGACTTCCAGCAGATCCCTTCCGCTGGGCTTTTTGGGGTCTTCCCTGAAGATGCACATGTCCAGGGTTGGCCAAGAATTTGAGGGGTGTATATATAGAGATTTCTGAAGTGCCTCCTTCTTTTCTAGATTTTTCTCCTTGATTGCCAGCCACTTCAGTAGCCCCAAACTCTGACACCCCATGCTGATAATATTGTGGCTTTTTCCTTGAGTTCCAGCTGCCCTCAGGGGCAATCCTGTCCACCCCTGGACCTCACTCAATATTGGTCTGTTCTTTAAGGGTTGCCTCCCTTCTGATATCTGCCTTCTTTTGCCTATTCTTCAGCAAGTATAAATTGGTTGATTGTTTTTTTTTTTGTTTCGTATTTTGTTTTCTGTGGAAATGCTAGGTTGGTTCAAGCAACTTTGCCATTTCTGGAATCCAAATTCTATGTAAGACATTTACCAGTGGTTATATCTAGGTGACATATTTCTATGGGATGGTTTTTCTTTTCTTTGTTATGCTTATATGTATCTTTAAGTTGATATCAATAAATATGTATTCTTTTACAAACAGAAAGAATAATACATTTAAAATTTTATTTTAATATTTTATTTAAAATAAACTTTGAGAAAAATGTTTAAAGTGTTTTAAATTATCATTTCCATTGGAAGGACCAGCCTTATGGGTAGTCCTTCCCATAGAAGACTTCTTACTTAGAACTGGATGTGTTACGAAATGCAGTTCATCTACAGCAAGTCATTAATAACATGTTTTTGTCCAATAATGAGATATATTTTTAAATCACTGTGTATCATAATAGACTTAGGTACAGATACCCACTTCCCAAATTGTTGTTGAAGATAACATATAAAAATAATCTACATTGCAAAAGACAAACATGAAAACAAAGATGTCTCCATTCTTTCCTTACTTGCTCAATCCCTACAAAAATGAAAAAAAATAGTTTTTCTGAAACAATTAAAATAAATATAAGATGTTTAAATTCTTTAAATAAATGAAAAATGGATTAAATAAAATCTTTTTAAAATAAGACACTTAAACCAGAATTAAAAGATTTATAATGAAGAGGGGAAAGTATTTACAGAAAATATGATGGAGAGGGGGTGATAACAGATTTTATTTTTAACTTACAATTCTGGATGTGAGACCCAAAATAGACCTTAGTGAGCTAAATGCAGGGTGCTGTCAAGGCTGTATTCCTTCTGGACCGTCTAGGAGAGAATACATTTCCTTGCCTCTCTCAGTTTCTAGGTGCCACTTAAATTCAAATCTCTTGCTTCTACTCTGACACCCTTCCTCTCTCTTATGAGGACAGTTGTGATTACACCAGGCCCACATAGGTAGTTTAGGATAATATCCTCTTGTCACGATCCTTAACTTAATCACATATTCTGCCTTACAAAGTCTTCCCTCTGAGCCCCCAAAATTCATGTCCATCCTACATTAAAAAAAATGCATTCACTCCATCCCAAATAGACCCAAAATTCTTAACCCGTTTACAGTATCAGCTCAAAGTCCAAAATCTCATCTGTTTAAGAGTTCCAGATCTCATCATCTAAATCATCACAATCACGTATTTGCGAGGATCTGTGTATGATCCATCTTGGGGGTAAAATTCCAAAGAACTCTGTGGGCCTCCCCTGTGTGTCACAGAGATTCACTCCTGAGAGATTTGTTTCTCCAGATCTTTTCTGGATAATCCCATCTCTAATCCTGGCTTCTGCTGACATGGTTGAGGGCAACTATTAGTCATTGAAAAGATTATTCCCTAATCTTTTCAACAATTGATTAAATACTCAGTACAAATGAATGAGTATGTATGATGGGTTGAACTGGGTTTCTGATTCTTCCCACCGCTAGCAAAAGTTGTCCAGCTATGCCCTTAGCTGTCTATGCAGAGCACTGTTTCCTCGCAGTAATATTAGTGCCTTTAATATTAGTAATCTCCTAATATTAGTGCCTTCTGCAATCTGGATAGGTGGACGATTTCCCAAATCATCAATTCCTGGTTCCTTTTTGCCTAACAGTTCTTCTCTTAATCTCTCTCTTTCCTTTCACATTTTATTATAAATAGTGAGAAAAAAATTTAAGCTAACCTTTCAACACTTTGCTTGGAAATCTCCTCAGCTAAATATCTAAGTTCATCATTTACAAGTTTTGTTTTCCACATAACTCTAGGACACAATAGAGCTATGAGTTCTGCAACTTTATATAAGGATCCCTTTTACTCCATTTTCCAATAACACATTCCTTAGTTCTTCATTTCATGTGAGCCTTCACCAGCAGTGCCTTTAACATTTCCTATTTCTACTGTTTATTTTTGATGATTTAACTATTTTTTAAGATATGTTCTTTACCATACCCCTTACTTAATTCTTTCTGACCTCTCACCAAGGGGGTTGTTGACGTCCAGATTTCTACTAACCATTTGTTCCAGTAAATAGTTTTCTACCATTCTCCTCAGAATTCTTTTAGCATTTGCCCATTACCCAACTCCAAAGCCAATTCTACATTTTTAGGTATTTGTTACAGCAGCACACTACTTCCAGGTACCACAAATCTATATTAGTTTTCTAATGTTACTATAACAAATTACCACTAATTTAGTGGCTTAAAACAACAGAGAATTTCTTCTCTTACAGTTCTGGAGGTTAGAAGTCCTCCTGGGCTAATGTCAAAGCATGAGCAAGGGCTGTATCCCTTTTGGGGGCTCTCACAAAGAATTCATTTCTTTGACTTTTCCAGCGTCTGGAGGCCACCAAGACCTAGGTCATGGGCCCTTCCCCCGTTTTCAAAACCAGCAACATGGCATCTCTAAATCTCTCTCCTACGCTGACATTTCCACTCCCCTCTTATAAGGACTCTTGTGATTACCTCGGGCCCGTGCTGATAATCCAGGACAATGTTCTCATCTCAAGATCCTTAATTTAAATCACATCTGTAAAGTCCCTTTTGACATGTATAGCACCAAATTCATAGGCTTCAAGAATTAGGACATGGACATTTGAGGGCCATTATTCTCCCTACCATACCTTTTGATATCAATAATGACCTTATTAAAGCTTTTGCTTGATAGTCACCTGTAATAGTTTGTTAGGGCTGCTCTAACAAAATACCACACACAAACTGAGTGGTCTAAACAATAGAAATTTATTGTCTCATATCCTAGAGGCTAGAAGTCTAAGATCAAGGTGTTTACTGGGTTGCTTTCTTCTGTGGGTTGAGAGAGAGATTCTGTTCCATGCCTCTTGCCCAGTTTTTGGTGATTTTCTGGACTCTATGTTATATCATGGCTTGTGGAAGCTTAACCCTGAACTCTGCTTTTATCTTCACACAGAATTCTCCCTGTGTTTGTGTCTGTGTCTACATTTCCCCTCTTTGTATGGATACTAGTTATATTGTTTTAGGGGCCCACCCTACTGCAGTAGGACCACATCTTAACTAATTATATCTGTAATGATGCTATTTCCAATTACAATAACATTCTGAGGTACTAGAGGTTAGGATTTCAACATATGAGTTTTGAGGGGTCATGATTCAACCCATAACAGCATCATTTGAAAAAATAGATTCTTCTTATGTGAGTCTAAGATTTTTATTTCTACTAATCAGATATTGTAAACACTCTTGGGCACATTGGAGGAATAGGAGTGATGGTTAGTTAAACGTTTTGATTAATTCATGATTTAGGCAGGCATTGTGACCTTATGGAAAGTTGAAAATAGATAACTTATGGCTTAAAGAATAAAAAGCATATTGTATTTCAAAGCACCCCTCTCTCATACAGCTAAGCATGTCCTTCCTTTAGCTTTAGGCTTTGATTCCTACTAAAACACATTGATCTTGGGGCAAGGAGCTTTCGACTTTTCTCACTGGACACTCACACCACAGAGTAAATGAGTTTCAGATTTTTTCCTTTTAGTATTTTAAATGTAATCTCCTAGGGTCCTTTGGCTGCCTTATTCCTATGGATTTTCAAGCTTGCCTTTAGGTGGAAGTGAACTTTCCTTATTATTTTGCTCAAGTGATAATGATAAGGAAAGAACACTGATCCTGAATGTGGGGTATGGTGTTGGCCCAGAAGATCAAACATTGGAAATTAGAAATGACAGGATTTGGGGTCTTCTAGCCTTAATGTTATTCAGAGAAGATTTGGTTATTGCTTGTTTGTGTAAATAGGACCTTACACTTTTCAAAATGTGTTCACATTTCTCACGTGCTTTGATTCTTACATCTATCTAGTAACTGTCATTTCCATTTTGTAGTTGACAAATGTGACTCAGCTAGGTTCCGTAGACTGCTCAGTGGTCACCACAGTTCATGGATCCTTTGAATCATGTTGAAGGAAGGATTCTCTCTGAGATAATCTGAGAAATGTCAGGTGCTGAGGCTTCCTCTTCTGAGTTCAGTCTTTGACATCTTTTTCTTGTTGAAACTTTTCTTATGCATTGCAGGTTCATTTGTGTCCCCAGATGGAGATGTGGATTTATTTAAACATCTGGAGTGGCGATTCACCACCTGCACAAGCAGTGGGTCATCTTGGCACTGTGTGTTACATTGAAGTAGGGTTTCTCAACCTGGAAATTTGGGGCTGGATGATTCTTTGTAGTGGGTGCTGTCCTTTGCAGTAGAATATTTAGCAGCATTCCTTGCTTCTATCTATTGGATGCTTGTTGCACACCCTCCCCTTCCATGAAAATAATGAATGTCCTCAGATATTGTCAAATATCCTCTGGGTGAGGGTAGAGAACCGCTGCATTGAAGAAGTGGAGGGCATGCCCACAGTCATCTTCTGAGTGCAAAGGCTTGCTTGTAGTTAGAGGGAAATTCCCAGTTTGGAGTAGGTATGAATTATAAGTCAGATAGTAAAACACTGGGACTCTTACTGCCTTATCAAGATCCTAGATATGGATGAGTGGCTTTTTACTTATACAGTGGAATATTCTCAAAATTTCTCATGATTGACATGAAAAGTAGTCATGAGCACAGAAAAATTTTGAGATGTATGGTTATGAATCATATACATTTTTGTTTTAAAATAAACTTTTTTTCTTAGAGCAGTTTAGGCTTAAAAAAAAACTGAGTGTATGGCCAGGCACAGTGGCTCATGCCTGTAATCCCAGCACTTTGGGAGACCAAGGTGGGTGGATCACTTGAGGTCAGCAGTTTGAGACAAGCCTGGCCAACCTGGTGAAACCCTGTCTCTACTGAAAATAAAAATAAAAAACGTTAGCTGGGCATGATGGTGCGTGCCTGTAATCCCAGCTACTCGGGAGGCTGAGGCAGGAGAATCATTTGAACCCAGGAGGCAGAGGTTGCAGTGAGCCGAGATCACACCACTGCACTCCAGGCTGGGCGACAGAGTGAGACTGCATCTGAAAATAAGAAAAAAGAGTGCGAAGTACAAAAAGCTACCCTATACAGTAAGTCCTCACTTAACATCATCTGGATTCTTGGGTGGAAACTGCAACTTTAAGCAAGACACTGTATATTCTACAGTAGGCTAATTGATATAAACAAGAGTTAAGTTCCTATAGCATATTTCTGGTCACAAAACCTCACAAAATTTCTAAATAAGGACCAAAAACACTTGTAATTTTAAACATTGAAATAAATGTGATATATACATACATTTAAGAAAGATGAATAAAAACAAGTAAGATTATTATTTACCCAATTATTCCAGTTCAGGGTCTCAGGTGGCCAGACCCTCTCCTGGCAACTGTGGGTGCATGGCAGGAGCCAGCCCTTGACAGGACAGCACCCATCACAGGGGCCACTCACAGAAACCCACAGTCCCCTAGATGGAGACCATTTAGGCACAGCAACGAACCTCAGGTGCACAGCTCTGGGATGTGAGAAAAATATCAGAGTACCTGGAGAACACCCATGCAGACCTGGGGTGAATGAACAAACTCCACACAGATATTGCCCCCTGGTTGAAGTGATATTTTTTTCTCATCAAGTTATCACAAAATGACATTGAATGAAAAACAATGGTATCTGGGGACCTGCTGTACTCCCTTCACCCCTACCTCTCGCTGCCCACTCCTTCAATTCCCTTACTATTAACACCTTGTGTTAGTGTGGTCCATCTATTACAATTGAGAAGTCAATATTGATACATCATTGTTAACTAAAGTTCATGCTTTACATTAGGGTTCTTTCTGTGTTTTACATTCTGTGGGTTTTGACAAATGTCTAATGATGGTTTGGTTGTGCCCCAACCCAAATCTCATCTTGAATTGTAGTTCCCATAATCCCCATGTGTCATGAGAAGAACCCAGTGGGAAGTGATTGGATCTTGGGGCTGGTTTCCCTCATGCTATTCTCTTGATAGTGAGTACTCATGAGATCTGATAGTTTTCTAAGCATCTGATATTTCTCCTGCTGGCACTTCTCTCTCTTGCCGCCACATAAAGAAGGACATATTTGCTTCCCCTTCAGCCATGTGTGTAAGTTTCCTGAGGCCCCCCAGCCATGCAGAACTGTTAGTCAATTAAACCTATTTTTTAAATAAATTAGCCAGTCTTGGGTATGTCTTAATAGCAGTGTGAAAATGGACTAATACAGTAGATTGGCTCCAAGGGAGTGGGGCACTGCTATACAGATTCCCAAAAATATGGAAGCAACTTTGGAACTGGGTAACAGATAGAGGGTGGAACAGTTTGGAAGGCTCAGAAAAATACAGGAAAATGTGGGAAAGTTTGGAACTTCTTAGAGACTTGGAGGGCTTTGAAGACAGGAAGATGTGGGAAAGTTTGGAACTTTCTAGAGACTTGCTGAATGTCTTTGACCAAAATGCTGATAGTGATATGAACAATAAAGTCCAGGCTGATGTGGTCTCAGATGGAGATGAGGAACTTGTTGGGAACTGGAGTAAAGGTCATGCTTGCTATGCAGAGAGTCTGGTGGCATTTTGCCCCGGCCCCAGAGATCTGTGGAACTTTGAACTTGGAAGAGATGATCTAGGGTATCTGGTGGAAGAAATTTCTAAGTGGCAATGTGTTCAAGAGGAAGCAGAGCATAAAAGTTTGGAAAGTTTGCAGCCTGACAATGTGATAGAAAAGAAAAAACATTTTAGAGAAACTCAAGCCTGCCACAGAAATTTGCATAAGTAAGGAGGAGCTGAATGTTAATCACCAACACAGTGGGGAAAATGTCTGCAGGGCGTTGGAGACCTTCATGGCAGCCCCTCCCATCACAGGCCCAGAGGCCTAGGAGGGAAAAACGGTTTCATAGTCCAGGCCTAACCCCTGCCCCACTGCTCTGTGCAGCCTAGGACATCATGCCCTGTGTCCCAGATGCCTCAGCTCCAGCTGTAGCTAAAAGGGGCCAAAGCACAGCTAGGGCCATTGCTTCAGAGGGTGCAAGCCTCAAGTTTTGGCAGCTTCCATGTGGTGTTGAGCCTGTGGGTGCACAGAAGTCAAGAATTGAGATTTGGGAATCTCTGCCTAGATTACAGAGGATGTATGTAAACACCTGGATGTCCAGGAAGAAGTGTGTTACAGGGGTGGAGCCCTCATGGAGAACCTTTGCTAGGGCAGTGCAGAAGGGAAATGTGGGGTTGGATTCCCCACACAGAGTCACTCCTGGGGCATTGCCTATTGGAATTGTGAGAAGGAGGCCACCATCCTCCAGACCCCATAATGGTAGATCCACTGACAGCTTGCACTGAGCACCTGGAAAAGCCAGACACTCAATGCCAGCCCATGAAAGCAACTGGGAGGGGGGCTGTACCCTGCAAAGCCACAGGAGTGGAGCTGCCCAAGGCCATGGAAGGCCATCTTGGATCAGAATGACCTGGATGTGAGACATGGAGTCAACAGAGATTATTTTGGAACTTTAATGTTTAATGACTGCCCTATTGGTTTTTGGACTTGCATGGGGCCCATAGCTCCTTTGTTTTGGCCAGTTTCTCCCATTTGGAATGGGTGTATTTACCCAATTCCTGTAGCTTCATTGTATCTAGGAAGTAACTAACTTGCTTTTAATTTTACAGGCTCATAGGCAGAAGGGACTTGCCTTGTCTCAGATGAGACTTTGGACTTGGACTTTTGGGTTAATACTGGAATGAGCTAAGACTTTGGGGGACTGTTGAAAAGGCATGATTGTGTTTTGGAATGTGAGAAAGATGAGATTTGGGAGGGGCCAGCAGAAGAATGATATGGTTTGGCTGTTCCCCCACCCAAATCTCATCTTGAATTGTGGTTCCCATAATCCCCCCATGTGGTGGGAGGGACCTGGTGGGAAGTGATTGGATCATGGGGGTTATTTCCCTCATAATGTTCTCATGATAGTGTGTGAGTTCTCATGAGATATGATGGTTTTATAAGTGTCTGGCATTTCCCCTGCTGGCACTTCTCTGTTCTGTTGTCATGTGAAGAAGGATGTGTTTGTTTCCCTTTCCATCATGATAGTCAGTTTTCCTGAGGCCTCCCCAGCTATGTGGAACTGTGCGTCAATTAAACCTCTTTTCTTTATAAATTACCCAGTCTCGGGTATGTCTTCATAGCAGCATGAAAATGAACTAATACAGTTACAGTATCATACAGAATAGTTCCATGGCCCTAAAAATCCTGGCCTCTGCTATTCATCCCTCCCTCTTACCTACCTAACCTTTGGCAACCACTGATTTTTTTTTTTACCGTCTCCCTAGTTTTACCTTCTTTAAAATGTCATATGGTTGGAGTCATGTTGTGTGCTGCCTTTTCACATTGGCTTATTTCACTCAGCAATATGCCTTTAAGGTTTTTCCATGTCTTTTCAAGGCTTGATAGCTCTTCTTTTTAATCACTCAATTATTCTAAATTACATAGATGTACCACAGTTTGTTCACTGACAGACATGAAAGACATTTTGATGGCTTCCAAGTTTTGGCAGTTATGAATAAAGGTGCTAAAAATATTTATGTGCAGGATGTTATGTGGACTTCAGTTTTGAACTCGTTTGGGTAAGTATGCATGGGCAACATTGCTGGATCACATGGTAAGTGTATGTTTAGTTTTGTAAAAGTACTGTCAAACTGTCTTCCAAAATGACTGTACCATTTTGCAGTCCTACCAGCGATGAATGAGACTTGCTTTTTTCTCACATGCTTGAAAACATTTGGTGGTGTCAGTGTTTTGGATTTTAGCCATACTAATAGGTGTGAAGTGATACTTATTGTTTTAATTTTCAGTTCCCTGATAACATAGAATGTTGTGTATCTTTTCATATGCTTATTTGCCATTTATATATCTTCTTTGGTTAGGTTTCTGTTAAGATATTTTGCCTATTTAAAAAAATTAGGTTGTTTTCTTATCATTGAATTGTAAGAGTTCTTTGTATATTTTGGATATTTTGAAAATACTGTCTCTTAGCTTTTGCCTTGTATCTTTAGTCTTTTAACAGTGTCCTTGCAGAAGAGAAGTTTTTAATTTTAATCAAGTCCAATTTCTTATTTTTTAAATGGAACCTGCTTTTGATGTTGTATATAAGGAGTCACTGTCATATTATTTTAACTTTTTTTCGTAAAGTGTTTCCCTGCTTTCTGTTGATCTTCTTGTTAGCAACTGAGGTTTTATACTATTCAAAATAAGTGCGATTCAGTTCAGAGTTATATTTGCACATTATTCTGATGAAAGGCAGCTTCATATAGTGGCAAGAGCATCAAACATTCCTGGATTTGAATCTAGGCTCCATCTCTTACTCATTTTGTTATCCTGAATAAAGTATTTAATTTTTTTGAACCATGATACATTAAGTATGTGCCAGTACCAGATACATACTAGGTGCTTGATATATGGTAGTTATACTGAGACTTTTCTTGAAGAATCAAGACATCCAGAGAATTCTACTGTTGAGTTGTTACCTAAAGGCCATTGAGGCTCTAGTCAACAGTTCACTATAAATATTAAATGGCAAAAAGGATACTGAAAAATATATCAGTAGTTCTCAACTAGTGAAAATGCTATCATGGTGGAATATAGTGGCAGACTATTAGTCTGTAAGCACAGAATTTATAAAGGACTTATTAAGTATTTGTTCTTTTTCAATTTTTGTGTTTACTTGCTTTTGTTCTAAGTCCTGCTGTCTCTACTTAGCTGCATTATCAGTTACCTATTCAGCATGATAAAAGTAATCTGTGATCACAGTAAATTATTTCTGCCAGCAAGTACCTTTGAGGCACTACTCTTTGCCTATTCTATTTGTGAGGGATGTTTTATTGTGATGCTTCTCAAACTAGCTGTGATGAAAGACTGGTTTTCTTGATATTTGTTTTAATTTGCATCTGTCAAGGACTGATACCTTGGTAAATTAAGAAAAATGATTCATAAAATAAAATTTTAAAAATGATACAAACCTAAAGGATTTTTCTTAATTATTAAATTGAACAGACTTAAAATTGTTCTGTAAAATTAACTGTACCATTTTGCAGTCCTACCAGTAATGAATGAGACTTCCTAAAATTGGTCTAAAACTTTCTAAATGTTTACTCTCAGGCTTTGCATTTGTCTCTTTGTGACTTATACTAGTTAGCCCTGCACTTTGAGTAACACTGATCTTTTTAACTATTGTCAAGTCCCCATTTCTCTGAGCAAAGCTTTGTCTGGAAGCAGGAATGATCTTGTCATTTGTAATTGAGGACATGAGGTAAAGCTCAGAATACCAGATTATCATGGGTTATCTTATTTGAAAGCTTAGAGGACAGTCAGCTTGCACATTGGGTTTCCTTGGCACTAACCAGAAACTCTTTCCTCTTAGTTGCTATTTGGACCAAAAAAAAAAAAAAAGTAGTATGGAATTTTTTCTCTCTTTCAGCCCTCTCACCCGACATACATATCATTATACTCCCCTCTCCAATGCTGTAATTGGTAAGAAATAAGATTAAAATGCTGTTAAGATAAGTTTTAGTCAAAGTAAAAATTTAATGATTTTTTTGAGTTCTGAGATGTTAAGGTTATGTAGATAATGAGTTGTTTTGAAATGTTGATTTGTTGACATCACTGTATCACATAAGTCAATTATTTCTGTTTCTAATTACTTAATTACTCTCAAGCAAGATCCTTCGTGCTCTAGATCCCTCACATTGTTACCACTGCCCAGGGAATGGGAAGAACCAGGCTGCCATCATTAGTGGATGTTTTTCTTGTTTCTTCCCCTTTTCTTATAATAAAATATAGGAAAAGGATGTGGACAGCTGAGAGTAAAGTTATTTTCTATTCAAGAGTATGCTGAACTTAACAGGTGGATTTTTGTGTTTTTCAAAGGAAGTGACAGGGAGATCTGCAGGCACCTCTGTGGCTCTTGATTAATAGAGAATCACTTAGTGCATCATGTTATGCTTTTCCTTATAAAGCCCAGAGGTTAGATTGTTTCTTGTTACCATTTGAGACAGATTTCTGGCTTGCTTCACTGTTACACATTGTCTTTAAAAAATGGTCCTAAGATAGAGAACATTCTCATTGTGTAATAAAAACATGATGACCCTAAAATAAAACATTTTGTTGTTTATTTTGTATTTCATTCAAAATAACCATTTAATGATTCATGGGACCTGCAGGAGTGCTAATTGGATCAACATTGGAGATTGCTCAATTCTGTAATCACATTTTAATGGTAAATCCTGGTTATTCCTTTTAAACACTTCATCTGTTTTGTCATAACAGAAAATCAATTCAAAAGTTATGTTGGATTAGCATAAATCTCTTATCTCTATCAGAAGAATATCTTAGAGTGCTCACCTAATAATGTGGGGCACTGTCTTGGTCTGTTTGGGTGCTCTAATAAAAATATCATAGACTGGGAGGATTAGAAAGATCGAAGTTATTTTTCATAGTTCTGGAGGCTGGGAAGTCCTAGATGAAGGTTCCAGCAGTTGCTGTGTCTGATGAAGGCCCATTCCTCATAGATGGTGGCTGTTCACTGTGCCCTCATGTGGAGGAAGGGGCAAAGGACCTGTTGGGCTTCTTTTATAAGGGCACTAATCCCATTTGTGAGAGCTCCACCTTCATGACTTAAACACCTCCCAAGGCCCCACCTTCTGTTACCATCACCTTATAGATTAGGTTTCAACATATGAATCTTGGGGTGATGCAGAAAGGCAGATCATAGCTGGCAATTTGTGTATGTGAAGTCGTCTGCAGCTCAGTCTTTCCCTACACTGGGACCTTCTTGCAGAAAGTGGTGTCATGGTGGGCAAAGAGCATGGCTATAAAGCTAAAATGAACATGGATCCAAAATTCAGCTCTACTCTAATACAAATGGTGACTTTTGAGAGGATGGTAAGGGAAGATGGAAATGAACATCATCGAGGTCCTCCTAGGTGCCAGCCTCTGTGCCTAGATATTTTGCATCTATTGTCTCATTTTATCCTCACTCATGTTCAAGAGGTTAACTATTATTAAGCAATTTTCAAAAGAAAAGACTAAAATAATAAAAGATTAAGGTGCTGTGCTACTTGGGAATAGACCTGGGTTTTTGGTTGTAGATCCATTAGACTGTGATAGGCAGAATAAAGCCTTCTCAGCTCCAGAGATAGCCATATTCTAACCTTCAGAACCTATGAATATGTTCGGTTACATGGCAAAGGGGAATTAAGGTTGCAGAAGGAATGAAGGTTGCTAATCAGCTGACCTTAAAATAGGGGATTATCTTGCAGTTTTTGAGAGGGCTCAGTGGAATCAGGATTATTAAAACTGGAAACAGGAGGCAGAGAAAGGAGGTCAGAGTTATATGATTTGAGAAATACTTGACTTTTGCTGGCTTGGAAGATGGATGGTGGATGAAGTATTTCCTGAGCCAAAGAATGCAGGCAGCCTTTAGAAGCTGGAAAAGGCAAAGAAACAGATTTTTCCCTGGAGCCTCCAGAAAGGAATTCAGCCATACCTGCCCTGCCAATACTGTGATTTTTAGCCCAGTGAGGCCCATGTCTTCTGGCCCACAGAAATGTAAAAAAAATGAACTTTTGTTATTTAAGCCCCTAAATTTGTGGTAATTTGTTATAACATTCTTAGAAAACTAGTGTAATGGCCATATTCCCCATGTTCTTTGCCTTAAACTACACTGCCTCTTGCAAGGAGGTTCAAAGGGTGAAAAAGATTGGGAGATTGGACCTTGGTGGACTTTGCTGGTTACTTATGAGGAGCAGGATGGAAAGTGAACATTCTGTAATAAATACTCAGTGCCTTTGCCACTGTGCTAATACATCATCATTTGAGAATTTTTGGTCTCAGATTTTACAGATTATCATGGGGTCACAGATTAGCATTGATTTCTGTGTTCCTTACCCATAGATTCACAAGTAAGTCTTGAATGTTTGTTATGCATCTAGCAACTCCATGAATTTTAAAAATCGTTTTGAAAATAAGTCAGACATTGAAGGTATTGAGACTCAGATATGATTTGGTTAGGAGATTTTTTCTTGCCCAAACCCGGTGCATACCTACTTATGGTTGCCTGCAGCCTGGAGGAGAAAACTGAGCTTGACTCTGAGAATTTGAAGGGATCTAAGGGAATGGGAGTTGTACTTCACCGATTTCCCAAAAATAATAGAGAGAGCCACATCCGCAGAAGAAAAATTAACAACTTCTTGTAGGAGGTTTTTGTGCTTTATACAAAGTAAAATCCCATTGAAACTACTCCAGGTTACTGTTCTGTGAAAGGCAAAGGACAAAATTATAGAAAGTTACTTTGTTGAATAAGAGAAGGTGACATCTATTATATCATGCATTTTTATAGCTGAATTGCTCATTTTTATGGGTTTGGCATTTTTTTCAATGTAGAAGTATTTGGGATGGGATCTTTTTTTTATATAGGAAAGTGGAAAGGATTAATTAAGTCTATAATTGCTTAATATAAAAAATAATAGAAAGCCTAACAAAAGTACACCCATAACAGGATTTAAATTCATTGTCATTTCTCCTCATAACTTCATCCTAAATAGTTGACATTAATAAAGAAGAAACTTTAGAAGCTTTACTTTAGTTTTAGCACCTAGCATAGTATCTGGCACTGAGTAGATTCTCAGTGAATATTTGTTAGAAGAATGAAGGGTGAATGAATGAATAAATAGTTTGGTACAGTAATTGTTATCTTTTTCCAATATGAATATTTTAGAGTTCTAGATATTGATATCAAAAATACAAACTGCATACAAATTGAAACCTAATGTCATAAAACCACATTTTCTGCAGTTCCATTAAAAACTGAAGATTTCATTAGCAAATGCTTACCTAATTGTGAATATTTTATAAATGGAGAACATATTAGTGTAACGACTTGTTTTGCATAAACCTAACTGCACACAGTAACTGAAGTACAGATGACCTCTAACATTCCTGCATCTGAAAATTCAGTTTAAAAATATGTATAACAGTACATATTTAGGTTTAGGTACTGGACTTTCATGTTTAGGTACTGGATTTGTATAACTGTGCTTAAGATTCTGCTTCCTGGCATAGGTAGATAGTGCTGTTTAACAAATGGGAACTCCTTTGTGAAAGGGCTGCGCCTGTTTTTGGTAATCACATAGAATTACACACATTTGGTCGTTAGTACACTTGAAACAAATAATAGTAGGATGAGAGCTCATAAACCATTTAAAAGACTAGTTTTCTGTTTGAAAAACCAAAGTTGTCCTGGTGAAAGCAGTGCTTTTTATTAGCTGTATCTTAGAACTATGAATACTCAAATCATCTTATCCCAGGAAGGCAAGAGGCTTACTGTTGGGTCACTGGCATGGAGAACTTAGTGTTGTAGTATTGTATTTCAGTAGTGCTGTCCTTTAGGGCTAGAATGTAAAGGAATTAACTTCTCTGGATAATAAGTAGATGTCACTTTAGCACTGGCTACTCCAATATTGTTGGTTCCTTTTTATATTTTTTACAGTAAGTATATAGTATTATAGAATTGATTTTGACTTGTAATAGGGATGGCCAACACTTTTGAGAATTGTCTATGAGCCTATTATACATAGAGGAAAGTGTCTTATATTCACTATTGTATTGAATTTTATTGAATCCTCTTATGATAACTTTCCTCATTTTATAGAGGTTGAAAGTCAGTTTTATTTAAATAATGTTTCTAATGTGATGCAGTTCAAACTCACAATGTTTGACTTCAAACTTAACTTCTTAAGTTTTTTCCTTTTTTGTATTCTTTTTAAATCTCTCTTAAAACAATGTTCTGACATTTGCACTCCCCCTTTACTAAAAATGAAAATATTAAGAGCTAGTACATTTTAAGCATTGCTAGAAGAAATGTAAGTATGATATGAATACACACATTTACACACATTTGGACTTTTTAAAAAGAATATATTAAGCTTAAGAACAAAGCAGGCAAAAATGGTCTGCTGTCTCCTTCTTGCACTAGATTGTGTGAAAGCCACACTTGACGGTCAACATTGGCAAATGCCTTTTTTGCTCTATCCCATTTACTGGCTATTGCATCCACTTGCTTACTGGCTTAGTAGAGGTTTGGGGTCTACTGTGTGCCTAGACTGCCCTATGTCAGATGCAATGGAAAGCAGGAGAGAAGATGCAGGAAGTTGCCTTGTGACATAAGGGTAGTAGCCAGGCAAGAGTCACATCTCAGTCTTTCTGAAAACTTGTAAAATTTGATTCAAGATTTGTTTTCAAAAGTAAAACCAGATTGAAGGAACCTGGAATCAAAGGGGAAGGATATTTTCACCCCCTGGGAATTAATTATAGACAGTTTAGTGTGTTTCTCATCTTAACAATCCTTCCTAAATGGATTATGCAAGCTGTTGCATGTGTCATCGCTGCAGTTACTATTGCACTTAGAGTAGCAGCATTAAATATTGAATGAGAAAGTGTTACAGACAGTTCAAATATTACTTTATGTACCAAAACATAGTGGTTCCTGATATGTCTCTTGTTGCTTTCAGGTCTATAGCAAACTTTTAATCTTGTTTTGGATTTTGAATGACCTTTTTCACATGGGCAAAGAATCTTAGCACTGAATACAGAATGCAAAACTTTGTCCTTATATTTCTTTGTAGTCATGCATGCAGATTCTTTCACTTACATGCATGTATATGTGTGTATATGTAGTATATGTATATACATACACTACATATACACACACATGTATAAATATATGTGTGTATACATATATATATATATATATATATATATTTCAAACTAGTTCTACCCTTTTTGCTTCTCAGTGTGTTGTACCATATGGTGTAGAGCATCATGCCAAAAGATAAAAATATTCCTAGAACATATGAAATCACCAGTCAACTGAAGAAGGGTAAGGACTTTTGACCAAAGCATTTATGACTCTGATGTACTTGCAGGCAATAGTATATGGCATAATACCCACAATTTTAAAAAGAAGACATATTTTAAAGTTAAACTGACTCTTACTTTTTAAGGGAAAGAATCCAAAAATAAAGTCTTTGAAAATTTTATTTTTTTACAGAAATTGATTCAAATCAGTGTTTTTTTTTTCCTATACTGAAATTCTCCATATCCATTTATGGAATTTGCCCTGATTATTTTAATCTCTAGAGTTACCATACAATTTGGCTCTTTAAGTTTTCAGAAGCAGAGACTTGGAGATGAAACCCGCTGCAGGTGGATGGAGTCTTTGGGTTATAGATAACATGGCCATTATATAGTTTTCTAACTTATTCCATGGGTAACACGTTTTAACTAGTAAAGTGCAGAAGATAAGATTTAACAACATTCCTAGGGTCTATGTAATAAAGTTGTAATGACAATGTGATTCGGGCTGTTTCTTTTGCATCAATAAATAATAAATAGTCGGCACGTGGTCCATGATATGCCATATTTTGCTACTCAGATTTTATTCATTTTAGGGCTCAAATTGACCTGCATTCCTTTATGCTACATTGAATATTGTTTTCAACTTCTTAATTAGACAAAAATGGGGAAAAAACTTAAGTGGTTAATTTCCTAGCTGAGGCTTGAGCATATTTTTTACTAGAGAAATAAACTATTGCATTAAATAGCGTAAGTGCTATTGCTATGAAATTTCTGGGTAGCAGCTCTGTAAATAGTGCTCATGTTATATGCCAAAAATCCCATCTTACCCTTCATGTCTTTGCTAATTATGCTTACTCACCTTTTGTATTTAATCACCTCTAATTTTTTTTTTTTTTTTTTTTTTACAAAATGACCCTACCTGGGTTTACTTTTTACATGATGGATCTATAATAGAGAAGATGTCTTTCCTCACCTATTGCTAAGCTCATGGCTGAGATCCCAATAACAAAAGATATATTAACAAGAAAAAAGCATGCACATTTATTTAGTATAAGTTTGATATGACACAGGACCCTTCAGAAATAAAGACCCAAAGGAACAGGAAATTCTATGTATTTTTCTGACAAGTTTGATGAAGAGTAGACAATTGTGCAAAAGTATGATTGAACCAAGGAGGTATTATCTAAACTGAAGGGCACTTTGCAAGTCCTGTTCAGATTCTTCTTGGCATCTCTGTGTCTTTGAGGATAAGGTTGTTCCTTTCCTCTGGGTGTAGGGAGGGTATCTCTGGAATTAAAGTCTTATGACCTCCTTTAGAGGAAGGGCAGCTAGGTCTTACGACCTGCT
Organism: Homo sapiens; assembly: GCF_000001405.40. Taxonomy (NCBI): domain Eukaryota; kingdom Metazoa; phylum Chordata; class Mammalia; order Primates; family Hominidae; genus Homo; species Homo sapiens. Next base: position 64,776,731 of record NC_000008.11, on the reverse strand, counting down.
TTGGGGAGAAGAAAGGAGGGGAAGATGAGAGTGACTTTGCTGCTTCTGCTGTTTTCTCAAATGCCATGCTGCCATATTGTGGGGGAGCATATGCTAAACCCCACCCCTTGCTAAAGCACATCTGAGTAATGCCTCTCCTCATTTCATGTTTATTAGTTTCTTATAAAAAGGAACACGATTGAATTGTCTCAAGTACTGTGTTTATATGATAGGGCAAGAGGGTTTAAAAGTATTTTAGGATAATCAAATTTGTGGGACATCTCATGCCCTGTGTGTGACAAATTGATAATAATGCTAGATTATTTAATCCTGAAAAATTGGTTGTTCTTTATTTGTCAGCAACTTAAAGTTTTCTAATTGTATTTAGGATATGCATAGATGCATTTGCAAACTGACCTCCTTCTTTAGAACAGATAATTATCAACAAAAGGAAAAACAAGCAAGAAACATGCAGAGACGGCATTTCTGTCAAAGGATGACTTTAGAAAAGGACCAGAATTTGGGCTCTGTCCAGAGCATACTTTTTGCAGGGTCTGTGAAACATTGGTAAGATCAAGTAAAGAAGCATCAATGGCAGTAAGCACTTTCCTCTTCGAACTACTGTTTCCAGGTCTTCACTGGAATGCTACAGTTACAACCAGGTCTATAAAATAACTAAGAATACATCTCCTTATTGAAAGAGAAAAAGTAGGACCATGCTGTTTATGAAGTAAGCATTAATGGAGCACCCACAGCAGAGGAAATGGCATGACAACATTTGTCACTAACTTTCTCTAAGGCTCAGTTTTCTCATCTGTAAATGAAGAAGCTGAACCAGATAATCATTTGGGAATGATATGATTCCACAAGGACATTACTATTCTCACATTTACCACCCCCCCAAATCACATACATTTCTGCTATGTGAAATGTGCCTGTCCTCAAACACACCATGCCTTTTTCTGACTTCATGATGGTACCCTTCTTTTCAGCATAAATGCTCTACCTCTGTGGAATTTTCCCAGCTCTCTCCCAGACAAAGTTCACTGTCTCTTCCCCTAGGTTCCCACAGCACGTCAGAATTCACATCACAATGTATTATAATTATCAGTTAATATATATTATCTCCTCTGGCCAGTATGTCAGCAACTAATATGATAATCAAGGTCTATTTTTTACTCATCTCTCTGTCCTCAGCACCTAGAAAAATGTCTGGCACATTGTAGGTCATCAACAAGTAATACATTAGTAACTAAGGAAAGAACTATCCTTAAATAAAATCAATGCCCAATCATAACATGGAAAACAAAGCCTGTGGACTATTTTCTTTATAGTCATTATTAGTTCCCAAAATGCCGAGAAACCTGAGAATACACAGTTTACTATAAGGAATATAACTCATTGGCTCCACTTTAGTTGGAGCTAAGGTGGTTATTTGGAATTCCTCTTAGACTGCCTGTCAAACAAGAACAATAGTTTCAAGACTCACTGTATAAGGATCACAAGATGCTGAATCCTAGAGTGAGTTCAGGCCATGAAAAACATCTCATATCTGAAGACTGGAGCAATGCTATTTCAGAGAATTAGAGTGTTTTTTTTTATGGAATTTATTTACTAAGGATATTTGGAGATCTAAATCAGAGACAAGAACTCAGATCAGATTGGAACTCAGTTCAGAGACAAGAAAACCATTTGTAAAAACAATTTGGATGAAACTCTTGTTACAGAAAGGAAACAGAGAAGGTAAGATATTTGACCATCTATATTTATACTTGTTTGGAATGTGTCAGGTCAAGATATGGCAGAGTGCTAAAGAGCAGGGCTTTAGAATCAGAGTTAAGGAGGTGTTTGAATACTAGCTCCCTTACTTACTTGAGGTGAGACTTCTCACAAGTTATTTTACCTCTGAGGATAGAAGAAGTTTTGGAGGCAAACAGTTGATTTTGGAAATGTTTTATTGCCCAGACCCTTGAAGGAAAGCAGATATGCACTATTCAGTAAATACTTATTGAACTCCTGCAATGGGAAACCGTGAGGCAAGTAGAAATGATAATAAGCTCCGATTTCTGCCACTAAGGGGGTTATAGCCGAGTTACAAAGACTAGTATAAATATGGGACCTGTTTATACCCCTCTCCCAATGTTCACACTTATGTGTTCTATTAATTCAAGGTTGCTTAACAAATTCAAGATTTGTCAGTGTTTTTATATGTAGTTTTTTTTTACTTGATCCCCTGAAGTTGTGACTTGCACAAGGAGGAGAGTTAAGGCTACTAGTAACAACTGTTCCTATTGACATGACTTTTCCAACAATCACTAAGGCAAAAGAAAGGGACTGTTGATACCCCAATATCCAGCTTCCTAATCTATTAGTCTTTCCATTTGTGTCTTCCTTTCAGTTCAAGTCAACAAGTATTTATTGGCTACCTACTATATACATGCTTTGTTAGCTACTGGTTACATAGAGATGAAAGTCAGTTTCTGTCCTCAAAGAACCCTAAATCTATAGAGGTACGTAAATAATCCAGAAATTCCATTACATGATATGCTAGGTAATCAGGATAGTGATAAGCCACAGAAAAACAATTGCTGATAATTTAGCTAGATGGGAGAAATTGTTAGGAGTCAGACTTACTGGACTTGGTGTTGGACTGGATGTGGGAAAAAGGTGGGAGAGAGGGAAGGTATAAGGATGAACTAGGCTTCTGATATGAAGGACCGTACTAGGTGCTATGGTTTGAATGTATCCCCCAAAGGTCATGTGTTAGAAACTTAATCCCACTTCCCTTACGTATGACTTAATGTTGCATCTGTCCTCATGAATGGACTGATGGATTAATGAGGGCTCTGGCCTCGTGAATGGATAAATGTCACTGCCATGGGAGTGGGTTATTTATTGTGAGAGTGGATTTGTTATAAAAGTGAGCTCTCTCTGGCTTTCTTGCTCTTGCCTTCTTGCCATGTGATGCCCTCCACCATGTTATGACAGAGCTAGAAGGCCCTTACCAGATACCATTGCCATGCTGATAGAATTCTCAGCCTCCAGAACTGTGAGATTAATAAACTTCTTTTCTTTGTAAGTAACCCAGTCTGTGGTATTCTGTTATAGCAACAGAAAATGGACTGAGGCACTGGGTTATTCAACAAGACAGAGACAGTATAAGAAGATGAGGTTTGGGGCTAACAGAATAAGCCTACTTTGTTGAACATTTTGAATGTACAGTGTCTATGGGATACCCTGTTGTACTGTTATTTTTTGCAATTGTAAACATGCACATTGGAAAGCTGAAGAGTAGGCGTGTGACCTAAAAATATTTTACTTTGGATTTTTTCAAACTGCAATTGATAGGGAATATCCCATTTATCTGCGATCCTGAAGCTGTAAAGATATGAGCCTGGGAATAGTTTGCAGCTATTTGCCCTATCTAAAGAGAAACAAGTGTACATTAGAAGAAATTAAAGCTGATGAGCAGAAAAAACAAAGAGGATATAGCTGAAAACCATCATCATTCATTCTGAGTTTCAAATATATACCAGGCATTGTTTTAGATGCTTGGAAAATACCAGAGAACAAAACAGACAAAAAATATCTGCACTTATGGAGCTCACATTATAAGCAGATATTAATTTTAAAGCACAATAAATACATAGATTATCATATAGGCAGTGATATGCACAGTGGAAAAAATATAGCAGGGTAAGAGGGATCTGGAGTTCTGGAAGTGGCACTGGTGGTAACTTTATGTAGGGTGGTAGTAAGATTAGCTCTCACTGAGAAAGTAATATTTGAGCAAATAATTGGACAAAGTGAGAAGGAGGAGATGGGATATCAGTGGAGAAAGCATTCCAGTCAGAGGGTACAGCCAGTGCAAGGACAGTAAGGTGGGTTGCTTGATGTCCCTGACAAATGGTAAGGAGGCCAGTGTTGTGGGAGTGAAGTGAGGGAACTACATATTTACTGAAAATCAGACCATTGTGAGGCTTGATTTTTATTCCTAATGAAATGGGGATCCATTGAAGGAATAGGAAAAGAGGAGTCAGGTAATTTGATTTTTGTTCTGAAATGGTGTGCAGTAGACAGGGTAGAAGCCAGACACCTGTAAGTAGGTTCCAGAGAAACAGAACCAACAGGATGTGTGTGTGCGTGTGCGCCTGTGTGTGCATAAGAAAACTGTAAGAAATTGGCTCACATGATTACTGAGGCTGGCAAGTCCAAAATCTGCAGGGTGAGGCAGAGCACTGGAGACTCAGAGAAGAGTTAGTGCGGCAGTTCAAGTCTCAAGGCCATTGGCTGCAGGATTCTTTTCTGCTCCTGGAACTTCTTTCTGTTCTATTCAGGTTTTCAACTGATTGGATGTGGCTGGCTCACACTCTAGAGGACAATCTGTCCTACTCAAAGTCCATGGAGCTAAAAGTTGATTTCATCCAAAACACCCTTGCAGAAATATCCAGACTAATGTTTAACCAAATATCTGGGCAATGTGACCCAGACAAATGGATGAATATATGCCAAGCCATCAGAGATGGGATCTTGCATATGAGAGGAGGGTTGGGTTTAGGCAGAGGCATGGATTATTTCCTTCATAGAAAAAGATAGTAAAGGAAGGCATGGTGTGCAAAGCTAGTTGGTGGATGATGGTGGTGCTGAGAGTCTGTAAAAATTCTCTTCAGATTGCTTCAATTTTCTTATCAAATAGGAAGCAAGGTCATCTTATGAGAGTGACATGTGGGATGAGGTCTTAGGAGTTTGGGGAAAGAAGGGAAGGTGTACATTACTTGTCCAGGAAAGTGGATGAGTGAATGGAGTAGGGAATATGGTATGATTGCTGGACAGGATGCAGGGTCACCCCAGGTTTGTGGTCATTAATTTTAAGTGACACCAGCAAGATTGTATGTTTTTCTCTGTCCATGTTCAGCTGCATGGGCAAAGTATGGAGCAGGCAGAGGATTGTGCTAATGGAGTTATAGTTTTGTCTATAAGCTTCATGTAGAATGAGAAGGAGAACGCAGTTGAGAGAGAGAGCCAGGGAATGATTATGATGATTGGCCATGGAATTTAAGCTGGGAAACAAGCAAGAGACTACAGCACATGGGAGAGGGACTCAGAATAGGTGGAGGGATCAAAAGACCCCTGAGGGCATTGACCCCTGCACCTGAGGCCAGTTTTAGTTTTACTCCTGACCTTAGTTATGTAAGCACATTCTTCTTTGTGTGTAAATTAGTGTAGGTTGAGTTTCTGTTATTTGAAGCTGAAGAATTCTATCAATTTGGCAGAAAATATAAAGAAAAAAAGAAGTGAGAACCTAACTGACAAAACGTGTAGACTCCAAACAACTCAATGTTCACAGTGTATCAGAAATATTATTAAAGCATGTACATTTTTAAAAAGAATGAGGCTGGGCATGGTGGCTCACGACTGTAATCCCAGCACTTTGAGAGGCCGAGGCGGGCGGATCATGAGGTCAGGAGATCGAGACCATCCTGGCTAACATGGTGAAACCCCGTCTCTACTAAAAATACAAAAGATTAGCTGGGCATGGTGGCATGCACCTGTAGTCCCAGCTACTTGGGAGGCTGAGGCAGGAGAATCACTTGAACCCAGGAGGCGGAGGTTGCAGTGAGCTGAGATTGTGCCACTGCACTCCAGCCTGGCGACAGAGCAAGACCCTGTCTAAAAAAAAAAAAAAAAAAAAAAAAAAAAAAAAAGATGCTGATATCCCACTCTTGAGATTCTGATTCAATTAGTGAAGATTGAGGAAGTTGTTTTCAAAACTCCCCATATGTTTAGAACTATAGCTCTAAACCATGTCAACTAAGTTCTTAAGTGACAGCTTCAAATTTTTAGATGCTGCAAATTAATCTTTGAACTAAATGATCAACTAATGTTTGGATTATCTCTGCATGCTACTGGGATATTTATGGGGAAGGGAAAGCGTGTTTAGATTTCCCCTGGATAGATTTTATAGCTCTAGCAACTAGCCATGGGGAGAGCCTAAGGAGGCTGGCACATGGACTGTGGGTTCATCCACCCAATGTGTGTAACTCTGGTGTGCCAGGCACTCTTGAGCACCAAGGAATGGCTGGCTGCCACTCTCAAGGAGCTCATCCTTGGGTTTTTATTTGTGTTGTTTGTTTAATGTTTATTATGGTGAGTATATTGGTTTTAGATTTATTGTTCAATAGTTTTATTTTTATGGTAGATGAATACTTTATTGCATATTAAGTGTCCTTAAATAATCAGTGTGTAAAGTATGCCCCTTTTAATAGGTATTTATAACAGGGCAGAGAATATACTGGAAAGAGCTTTGGTCTGCCTGTCAACAGAGCTGTGCTTGAGTTCCATTTCCATCATATCTCAGCTCTGAGATTGAAGACAAGTTCTTCACCCTCTTTATGTCTTAAAGTCCCCATCTGTAAAATCAGGGGCTTTTCTGGGAACTCTAAGATCTATTCCAACTCTGAAACTTTATGGCTTAACTATAGTTTAATTTTTTTCCAAATTTTTTTTTGAGATTTAGAGGTTTTCTATTGTTTGGTTTTATGGCACACGGTTGGTCTCATCTATGATTTATATATCCCTCCATGTTCTTAGAGTAGTGCATGGTGCCAGGTGGAAAACATAAATGGGCTTGATGACAATCTGCTTCCCAATATGGCTTTTAGGGATGCATTGTGGTGAAACTGAGGACATTCACACACATGCGTCCACACACGCACACACACACAAATGTAATTGAGACTATTAACAATAAAGATGAGATAAAGAAGGATGGTAAGAACTTTGGGACTTGCTGGACTTCAGAAAGGAAGGAGTTGTCCTACCGTTGTCCCCGTATTGTTCTGTGAAGACTTGAAGGTGGTGGTACTTGGCCCACTGTTTGGAGAATGAGGTGGATGTCAGTCTTCAGGAAGAATAGACTTTTGGGTGTATGCTCAGTAGGATGGGGGGAATGAAGGTGGAGGTGTGGGTTAAGGCACGGAGACAGGGAAGTGAAGATTACATTTGAGGGAGGAGAAAGCGATCAATTTGCCTTGGAAGAACAAAAGGAAAGTCTGGAAATGCAGAAAGTATGGATGCTGAACCACATAACAGCAGATGGCATTGCTGTGAAGTATACTGGATGGAATACATTCAAGCGTTAATATTTAATTCTTTTTGTGGAAGGTCACACAATTAAAATTTAATTGGGCATGGAGGCTTAGGACGGGGTAAAAAAGTCTTTAGAAAAAAATGGAATACAAAATTGGGTTTATGCTGCCCTGGGAGGATACACAGAGGATAGGGTGAAGGTAATCAGGTTTTGGGCTCTCAACTTTTATAGACTTTATTTTTTTTCTAACATTGTTAGCACAAAAACATGCTCGTGTGCCAAGGAGTCTTTCCTACTTCATCTTTCACAATATTCCAACTCTCATTGAATCTTACTATTGTCTCAAGGTATAAAAATCTCTTGGCTGGGGAGAAAAAAGTAGAGATTCAAATATTTGTGTTTGTTATGATGTTTTCATCAAGGCATGGTGCCATCCCGTTCCATAGATCTTATTATGAGATTAAATTACTATAAATTTTACTTTTTAGGTTTAAGAGTAATATATCACAATGTGTAATGCATTTATTTGGTTTTACTCAATTGTTTGCAACTAATGATTGTGATAATTTAACAATAATCTGTCTCAGAAAAACATTTTTAAGAATGTGATGTCATGAGCATTAAAAACAATATTTTAAAATTTAGTATGTATAATATTTGTTGCAAAAATGTATGATGGGGTGGGTGATCCATAAAAAAACTGATGTGTAGATAAGAATCCTGTGCAACAAACTCATAGAGTTTGCAGTTTATGTTGGAAAGCCCACCAGGAAGTTAGAGCCACTCAAAGGTAGGTGATTCTTTTATTGAGGGCTTTGTTTTGTTTTAGTTTGCTGTGGTTTGGCTTAGTATTTTTAATGGTGAAGTCAGACATTTGTTTGTTGCCTAAAATTGGGAAAACCTTTGAATTAAAGCTTAGCCACATACCACCATATAATCTTAGATAAGCTACTTTGCTGCTATGGGTCACATAAGTAAATTGGACACAATAAGACTTATCTCATAGTTTGACATGAGGCATAAATGAGACAGAAGATGTTAAGTGCTTAGTAGAGTTTCATGTGCACAGAGAGCTCTAAGTGAACGATCTCTTTCTTTTTCTCTCATATGTGAATAACTCGATGATTGTTTATCAATTATTAAGTGAAATGTGACTTTAAAAAGCAGCCTCTCAGAACATTATTACAGGAAAAGACTTAAAACATCAATTTTTTAAACAAACTAAATATTGAAAATGCATCAGAAGAGCAAATTACTAAAGAATTGCTCTCTGAAATGTAAATAACACTTTTTTTTTTTTTTGGAGTTGCACGATTTAATAGAGTGAAAACAGAGATCCCATACAATGGGAAGGGACCCAGAGGGGGTTGCCCCTCCTTGCTTGAATGCCTGGGTTTATATCCCGATCATTGTCCCTCCCCCTGTGCTCTCAGGTGATATATGATTTGAGTATTTCTTTACCTCCTGCTTTAGCCTAATTTGTATTTTAGTGAACCCTCTTTGCTACCTGATTGGTCGGGTATGAGCTGAGTTACAAGCCCCGTGTTTAAAGGTAGATGCGGTCACCTTCCCCAGCTAGGCTTAGGAATTCTTAGTCGACTTAGGAAATCCAGCTAGTCCCATCACTTAGTCACCCCTCTCAACAGGAAAACCCAAGTGCTGTTGGGGAGGTTGGCCAACGACTGCTCTTAACTGCTTCCTGCTGAACTGGGGCGTAGTAGGGGTTGTACAGTTGAGATTTCCTCGGGAGGGATGCCTTCAATGTCATTAACATTGGAGCATGGGCTAGCAGGCTGGTCCAGGGGTCTGCGGTAGATCTTACTCATGGACTGCATCTAGGGTTTCATTTGAAGAACGATTTGTAGTTTTACAGCTTTGATTCTGGAAGAGACAAGCTTAAACAAGGAGGTTAAAGATACAGGGATTGAAATGTATGACCTGAATTGCAGGGGATTATTTCTTTGGCATACTTCACAGGCCCTGACTATCTGCTTGATAGTTTTGAAAAGGCCTTGTCCAGTACATAATGATTTGGCCATCTGATGGGTGCTATCAATGCCTAAGTGAAACGTTTGGTGAAGGGTTTTAAAATTTCCATTGGTTAGCTGCAGGCAAAAGTATTTTTCCTTCTTCGGGGCTAGCCATCCTGAGGGGAGGAAACTATGTCCTCGTGAGGTTCCCCGTTCTTTCTTCTGCTGAGTACTGGGGCTTGGTTTCCTGGAGGGGATTACCCCATACTAGGGGTCCTTCTATAAGCATTTCTAATGGAGGGTCCCGCCTTGCGGCTCTTTTGGCTTCAATATCCGCTTGGCAGTTCCCTTCTATTTCCCTTTCCTTTCCGATGAACCTGGCAGTGTAAGACTGCCACTTCTTTAGGTTTCTGTACTGCCAATAATAATCTCCTAATGGCTTCCTGATGTTTGACAGGTGTTCCCTCGGAAGTTAGGAATTCCCTTTCTCTCCATATTGCTGCATGGGCATGGAGGATTAGGTAAGCATACTTAGAGTCTGTATATGTATTTACCCTTTTTCCTTCTCCTAATTCTAGTGTATAATGGCCTCTGCTTTTGCTAGGATGTCTCTCCCTAACAAAGGAGTGAGGCTTTCAGGCATAATTAGAAAGGCATGTGAAAAGAGTAAAGTTCCCCAGTCACAACTTAGTGGCTGGGAGAAGTATCTAGTGACTGCCTGTCCTAGGACCCCTCGGATAGTGAGATATCTGGAGGACAGTTGTCTGGGACAGGAGAGTAAGACTGAGAAGGCTGTACCAGTGTCCAGGAGACAGTTTACCTCCTGGCTGTCAATGGTCAAGCATACCTGGGGCTCCGTGAAGGTGATGGCATGGGCTGGCGCTTGCCCTGGGCACCCTCAGTCCTGCTGCTGGATCATCTGGTTAGTGGCTTCTGACTCAGAGGACCTTCGTTCCCTGGGGCAGTGGGCCTTCCAGTGATTCCCTTGACATAAGGGGCAAGGACGAGGGGGTGGCTTATTTCTATTCGGACAATCTTTTTTAAAGTGTCCTTGTAGACCGCACTGGAAGCAAGCCCTATTAGGCATTCGAGTTGCCCAGCCTTTCCCTGTTCCAGAGCCTCCAAAGTCCACTTGCCTGAAGGCCATGACTAAAGCAGTGGCCTTTTTTTTTTTTTAATCCCGTTTGTCCCGTTCCGCCTGCTCCTCCTGATCTCTATTATAAAAAACCAAGGTTGCCAAGTTCATTAGGGTTTCTAAGTTTTGCTCTGGGCCTAAGGCAGACTTTTGAAGTTTTTTCTAATGTCGGCAACTGACTGAGTGATAAAGTTACCCTTTAAGATTAGTTGGCCTTCAATAGAATCAGGTGACAGAGAGGTTTGGTTCCTCAATGCCTCCCTTTGTCTCTCCAGAAAGGCAGTAGGATTTTCTTCCTTTCCCTATGTTATAGTGGACATCATTGAATAATTTATAGGCTTCTTCCTAGTTTTCCTTAGTCCTTCTAGCACGCAAGTTAGCAAATGTCTGTGGCACCAATCTCCATGTTCTGATTCTGCGTCCCAGTGAGGGTCTACACTGGGAACTGCTTGGTGGCCTGTGGGGAATTGTTCTTTTTCCTCTTTTGTCATCCTATCATTGACCTGACTGAGATACCAGAAATCGCCAAACTCTCAGGCTGCAGTTATGGCAGCACTTCTCTCATTTGGGGCTAGTGTCTAATCTAGCAGTAACAATATATGGCTCCAAGTCAGATAAAAGGATTGTCCTAACCCTTGTAAAACATCAATATAGCCATCAGGGTTATCTGATAATTTACCTAGGTCTATTTTAATTTGCTTCAAGTCTGAGAGGGAAAGAGGTACATGCACTCTGGGCCGAATTCTCCAGAATACATCTTAGGGGCGTTTTTGCCTTGGGGGGAACATTTCCCATCTGGAAAAAGAACATAGGGATGCCAGCACCCCTAGTCATTTTCTGACGAGCATTAGTCCAAGAGCGTCTTCTATGGTCCTAATGCTTACTCCTTTCCAGGGTGCGTAACCACCCATGGACCTCTGCTTATCGGATTAGTTAACGCTCACTGATGTAGCAGTCCTGCACCCCTTTTCTTGCCTTTGTTGACCACAGAAAAAGGGGTCCGGGCTGCTGGATTCTAGCAGTCCTTTACCAGTGTGCCCAACATTGCCTTTGTGCTCAGGGGTGAGTCCTAGAGCTGGGCTGGGTTCCTGAGTATTTCATAACAGCCCAGTTGCCCCATCAAGATGCATTCCCATAAACAACAGTTCTTATGCAAATTCATTTCATAGAGGGTGTAAGCAACCTTTTGAGCCAGGATTGAGATAGAGATTTTTAAAGATGATAACCATTTTTTTCCAATGTGAACTTCCTTTATGTCTGTGGACTAGACTGTCTAAGGCCGCAAGATTAGGATAATGCAGGTTACACTGTTAACTTTTAGCAAACTTTACTTTTGTTGAAAACCTTGTAGATTTAGGATTTCAATTATCCTTTGCTATTAATAAGACCTTGTTTAGTCCAAATTGACTTAGAATTGGTATAGATTTTTTTTTTTTCATCCTGCAAATACTTTAAGTCTTGGCTGAGTACAAACAACTTTCAGGTTTCAGCAGACCAATTATTAGGCAATTTTCCTAACTCTGCTTCTACAAGAGTTTCCCTATCAATTACTGAATATCCATTGTGTTTTTTTTTTTTTTTCCTCAATCACCTGGGAGGAACCATCTATCGTCCTGTCTAGGTCTGGTCGGAACTTTGTGTGGTAATTGAGATTTAAATCCCCTGTTAGGAAATCTGCAGGGTTTAGGGAATTTTTCAGTGGTTAATGTTAAATCACCTTTTTCTAACAGAATAGCACTATCCTTTTAGATTTTTTAGTTAGTAAGCTACCTTTTTGCTTTTTGACTTAGGATAGTCTGAACTGGTGAGGTATGCTCACAATGAGTTTTCCTCTAAAGGTTATTTTTCTACTTTCTTCTGTTAGCAAAGCAGTTGCCACTACAGTTTGAATGTATTTGGGCCATCTGTGGGTTACTGGGTTAAGAATTTTTGATAAGAAGGCTACGGGTTGTCTCAGTGTTTTCAGGGTATGCCCTTGTTTACACTGACAACAAGGTAGTATTGGAGTGTTACAGGGTCACGGAGAAGGCCTTCAATTATCAATTATAGGTTTTAAATTTACCCCAGCTTTTAAAGGAATAGGGCACATTGTTTTTTCTTTACTACTTCTATCTTTCTCTTCCTTTCTGTCTTTCTCTCTGCCTCTCTTTCCCTTCTTTCTCTCTCTGTGCCTCTGACTTACTCAATTCACTTTTATCCTGATCTATTATGTTGTTGTAGACCCAGTTCCAGTTGTTAAAGTACTGGGTTATCAGTTCTAAGGCCCTGACCAAGGAGCCAAGGCTTGGAGATTGTATTGCAGGGGGCGGGGGAAGGGGGTGGGGGGGGCAGCGTGGAAGCTGGGTAGAAATTCGGGGAGGAGAGCATCTTACACAATGGGAGAGCAATCTTCCTAGCCATTTACAAACTTGGGGCCCTGGCAAGAGTGGTGGGGAACGGGTCCCACATAACTGCCTATGTTGAGAGCTGTATACCTAAATTGGGAGGGACACCAGGGACAGGACTCCCTGGGTTCATAGCCTAGATGCCTAAGGACACAGTGTAGAGCTTCCTTAGATCTCTTTGGAGATACAACTTGCTAGAGGAAATGAAAGTCTGAACCATTAGTACCTAGGAGGCAGGGATCGGAGGAAGTAGATTCAGAGCTAAGGAGAATTTTGGGGCTACACTTTCAAGAAAGTCATGGTCGGGACCCAGGAGGTATGGGTCAGAAGGAAAGGTAGGGGCACACGCATGGGCGACTGTTGGGTAGAGACTTCTGGCTATGCCATGATCTCAGCTGGCTAATGCTGGGAGTTCGGGATGACAGCTTTCTGCCTCTAGGCGGCCTCGGCTTCCCCAGGAAAACTGAAAGTGGAATTTGGTTCCAGGCAGACCAGTGCTCCCAACCCAAAAGAGTTGGGGGTTGTTAGAAAGCCCTTCCCCAGACAGCCTCACACCTAAGTCTTAAGTCCGGCAGCCGTGCTAATTGTTTTTAACCGGCCAACAGGTGCCCAGTATTTTCCTCCAATTCTAAGGAAGGACAGGACAGAATAGCAAGCGAAAGTGGTCGGATATTACTCACTGCTTTAGAGAATCCCTGTATGAGGCCACCAAATGTTACCAGTGGGTCTTTGTTGTTAGAGTTCCCAAGACGGTGGCGGGCTGCTCCCAAGATGGTGGCATCCCTTTTGTTCTCTGACCTGGGGTTCTTGGCCTCATGGATTCCAAGGAATGGAACCTTAGGCCATGAGGTGAGTGTTATAGCTCTATTAGAAGCTGTGGGTCACAGAAGAGAACCGTGGAACCCAGCAACTAGTGTTCAGCTCGATTAGGACGAACCCAGGCACTTAGCTGTACAGGAACAATGGCGAGCCTTTAGCCCGATCAGGAGCAGCAATGGGCGCCTTGCTGGATCAGGAGCACAGTGGACACCCTGCTGGATCCGGAGGGGTGGAAGTCAGTGGCGGGTCTGCAACAGTGGCAAACAGCAGTGGTGGACGGCCAGCGAAAGCTCAGCTCGAGCCATAACAAACACGGAGCAGGAGAGTGTGCAGTTGCAAGATTTACTAGAGTGAAAACACAGCTCCCATACAGTGGGAGGGGACCCAAAGGGGGTTGCCCATAAATAACACTTTTTTATTCACCTTCTCTGTCTTAGATTTTTGTGCACTATGTGTACCTATTTATCTACTGATTAGAAACATCTGAAAAAACATATACTATTCACCCAGTAGTTTTACAATGAATAATAAAATAGGTAGAGAAGATATGCTGGAAGGAAAACTACTACAGGGTCTTTTGGTTAATTTTGTTCCTAAGATAAATCCATAAAACTGTTATATAAAAGCTGATTGGAGAGATTTGAACTTTTATGTGAATAATGGCCATGAAAAATGATTTTCTTTCAAGAAGGATGTGAGCTATTGAAATATATGCCCATAATACTGTTTAGATTTGTGCTATTACAAACAGTTGGTAGCCCCAGGTCATTGCATTATGAAACCACGTTTTCAAATGCATTATGAAAACTTAGTGAAGTAACCTATTTTTTTTACCTATTTGCATTTTAGTTTCTCACACTGATTCAACCCAAGTATTGATAACTCATTGTCTTAATTTCCTTGCATATAAATTATCAGCACTACAGAAATTTTAAAATGGGTGCTAGTTGTTAATATAAGTAATATTGGCTATTACACCTGTAACTGGAGACAAGTCAGAAGAGAAAATCAATACCATCATTCATGAACAGGTATTTTTATCCTGATATCAAAAATAATTGTAATACATCCTCAGTATTAAACTTCTGTAGCTTTACAGATAATCATTTTAGATAAGACTTATGTAGCTTTACAAATAATCATTTTACCTAACATAAAATTACAGCTATAATGTTATTATTAGTGCACTAAAAAAAGCTACTATAGTAGGTTTTTGGGCTCTAATTAGGATAATTACTATATTCTGTGGCTTTCCATAAGCTGAGTGTGTATGTTCTGTGCTATCATTTATAACAGTTTTAGCAAACTAAAGACATTTTTACATTTGAAAATTTGGAAAGCAGTTCAGAACTTCAACTTTGGAACATGCCTGTTTCCTGCTTCTCTCATAAACCTTGCATTTCTACTCACCATGGAATATGCATAGGAGCGAACAGTTTGAAGACAGTACTGTACACAGTTCACACAAGGTCTTGTTAAGAATATGGGACTACATCTTCAACCATATGGAGTGCTGAAATTTTGGGGAACAAACCCAAATGGTAATCTGAAGTCTTATTTAGGAAACAAAACTTGTGTGACTAGAAATAGACCAACTCCTAAATATATTCTGGTTTATGTGCATTCTGGTGTAAAACACATGCCACTAAGTAGGTCTTTAGGTGGTCAGCAGAGAGCAGGCATATTTTCTACCCAAAGAATGTGTCCGGCACTCTGGGAACTGACTAGACTCGTTTCTAGTTTGATAATTTCCAGTCATTTCTTTCCTAGTGACAAATCTGTACTTACATATATATACATTTTAAAAATATTATTAATCCCTTTGAGGAAATGAGTGTTCATTTTAAGACATTCCCCTCCCCCCAAGCTTTATTGACACATAATTGGTAAATAAAAATTATATATATTTAAAGTGTTTAACATGGTGTTTTATATGAGTATATCTTATGTAATTATTCTCACAACCAAGCTAATTAACATATACATCAGTTCACGTTAACAATTTTTTGCAGTGAGAGCATTTAAGATCTAGTCATTTAGCAAATTTCAAATATACAATATATTATTATTAATTTTAGCTACCAAGCTGTACATTTGATCTCTAAAACTTAGTCACCTTACAGCTGAATGTTTGTACCCTTTGACTAACATCTACCCATTTCCCTCACCTTCTAATCCTTAGCAACTACCATTCTACTCTCTGTTTCTCTAGGTTCAACCTTTTTAGATTCCACGTGTAAGTGATATCATCTAATGCTTGCTTTATTGTGTCTGGCTTATTTAATTTAGCATAATGTCCTCCAAGTTCATTCATGTTCTTGTAAGTGACAACATTTGCGTCTTTTTAAAGGCTGAATAATATTCTATTGTAATTTCTTTATCTGTTCATCCATTGACAGACACTTAGGTTATTTCCATATCTTGTCTGTTGTGAATAATGCTACAATGAACACTGGAGTGCAGATATCTTTTGAAGATACTAATATTATTTCCTTTGGATATATACACAGTATTGGGATGGCTGGATCATATGGTAGCTCTATTTTTAATTTTTTTAGGAACCTCCATACTGTTTTACGTAATGGGTATACCAATTTACATTCTCACCAACAGTGTACAAGAATTCCCTCTTCTTCACACCCTCATCAATACTTGTTATTTCTTATATTTTGATAATAGTCATCCTATCAAGTGTGAGGTGATATCTCATTATGGTTTTGATTTGCATTTCTCAGATGATTGGTGATGTCAACCACCTTTTCATGTACCTGGTGGCCATTTTTGTGTCCTTGATATAAATGTCTGTTAAAGTCCTTTGCCCAATTTTTAATTGGGTTATTTTAATTTTGCTATTGGGTGGTATGAATTCCTTATATATTTTAGATATTAACCTTTTATCAAATATGTTTTGCAAATATTTTCTTCCATTCGATGGTCCTTTTATTTTATTATGGTTCCTTTGTTGTGCAGAAGCTTTTTAGTTTGATGTAGTCTCACTTTTTTATTTTTGCTTTTATTGCCTATGCTTTTGGTGTCATAACCAAAAAATCATTGCTGAGACCAATGTCAAGGAGCTTTTCAGGCCTTATGTTTGAGTCTGTAATCTATTTTGAGTTAATTTTTGTGTATGGTGTAAGATAAGGCTTTAATTTCTTTTGCACAGAGATATACAGGTTTACCAACACTGTTTATTGAGGAGACTATCCTTTCCCCATTGTGTGTCCTTGGCAATATTGTTGAAGATTAGCTGATCATATATGCATGAGTTTACTTCTGGGGTTTTTATTCTATTGGCCTGTGATTCTATTTTTATGTTAAAACAATTTTGATTATGAATTATTACTTCAAAAATCTTATATCTACATTTTAATTATAAAAATTCTATAACATATTCTCTGAAATATTGATCCTCTCTTGGGCTTAAAAAACTGAAAATAAAATGGTGAACTTCTGTTTTAACTTTTGTATATTTTTTTCTAAAACAATCCATGTTACCCATGATGTGCAGCTATGATTGAGTGGAAAGAATATTTTAAAATAAATTTGGAGAGCTGGATTCAAATCTCTGGACTTTCAAGCAGCAATATCTTTCTCACTAATTAGCTGCCTGATCTTCATGTAAATAGCTTAACCACTCTGAGCTTCAGTGTTCTTATCTGTAAAATAAAGAATTTTGTATTCCATGATCTCAATGACCCATTCTAGGTCTGAATTTTCATTTTCATAAAAGTCTAACAGTTCATATTCATATCATAGTTTGATCATTCTCCATATTAAAAAAAATAATTTATCGGGTTCTTTGTTTGCTGGTTCTTGTAATTTGACATATTACTCTTCTTTCTTGCTGACCATTCTTTTGATTTTCAGTTCATTTCTTGTGCAGTCAACAGAGGGGAACACATGGGAATTTATTATTGCAAAATAGTATGAGAAGTATAGATATTTAGAGATTTAAGTAATCATAAACATCAGCAAGTCTATCCATTAAAAGCGACAAAAGTGATGACAGAATTGTTTCAGGGACTAGACTTTTGTGTAGAGGGAGGATTTATTAACTCAGAAATTAGCAGACTGATGACCTCTTGCATTTTGTCCTGTATGCCTCCTTGTAGCTCTGCCATCAGCCGTAATGTTTCTACCCTGATGTAATCACTAGTTTGCCACATTTAAGAATACATCTTTCATCCTGGCGAGCTACAGCAGATTCAGATTTCTATAGCTAGTTCCTCAATCATTGATTTAGAGCTGATCAGAGTAGGAAGCCCATCTTAAGAGTTATTTACCTTCTTCCTCCTTCCTTTTCTCACAGTACAGCAGGACTCCATGGTGTTTGGTGAACTTCTTGGTCATCAACACAATCACTTTGAGTTTGTCATGCTGTAGATGGTGGTTAAAATTGTCTGAATGTCCCAGATGGGAAGCAGTCTGACATAAGGAGCAGGGACTAAGGATTTGGCCTTTTTTAGCTGGGCAATACCGATCTTGTAGCCTCAGTAGTCCTTAGAATTTTTCATTTGAAATACAACAATAATCCTAGTATTACTATTGAAACAGTACTCTGGTTCATGCATTATTCCATCTGATCCTTACCACAGTGAAGAATCGAGGTATGAATTACATCCTTTTTACAGATGTAACATCTTAAGATAGAGGTTGACCTGCCCAGTTTATGCAGTGAGTTACTGTGTCTGTTCTTTGCCTGCTCCTTGCATTTTAAAATGAAAAAGGGAGACTAAAATTACATTTATTATTTCCTATATGCCAAAGATCTGGCTAGGTGCTTTAGTATATTGTGTTATTAAATATTAAATAAATTTAAATAATATTAAATATTCTTAATAACAATGTGAAACAAATTATTATCTCTGTTTGATAGATGAGAAAACCGAAGCTCAGAAAAGTTAGGAGAGATGTTTCAAAGCTACATAGCTAGTAACTATTTGAGACTTGAATCCAATCTCTTGGACCCAAGATAGCAAATGAATTTTATCTTAAGGATTAACTTTAGTCAGTTGATGGAGATTGTCTGCAGCAGTGGAGAGAAGGGTTCTGAGGCTGTGTCTGGGCTTTCTGGGAAAGAACATCTCATTCAGCCAGTGACATTTGTTACAGGAGCGAGGAGAGGAGACAGCACTCCAGCCATTTATTTTTCCTCCATAAAGGGGCAGTGGACTCTCTACTGCCCCTTTATTCTCTGCAAGCCTTTTGTTCTAGGTAACCATAGGAATAGGTGGTATCTTAGCCTGCATTCCCCTGAAAGCAGAGCCTGAGCCTGAAGCAGAGGCTTGTGCATAGGTAGTTTAATTGGGAATGCGACCCTAGGGAACAGGAGCAAAGGATGGGGAAGGAAGGAAAGAAACCAGTCCAAAGGTGTGTTATGGAGATGGCCCCTACTTGTACTTAGTATCTGGTGTGACTTTCTGAGAAGCTTCATGAAATGTGTCTGAGAACTGTCCCCATGGGAGGATCAAAGGGGCAAGAAGCATGCATGCACAGATTCCCATCCCATATTGGATGAAGGCAGTTCTGTGGGTGTTAACTCCTCCACGCTCTCCAGAGTCACATGTGTGAGTATTCAGGGTTTTATTGGAATGTCCCACACTGTAGTATCAAAGAAGCCCAGAGGCAGAAAGCAAGAAGCCAGCAATGCAGATCAGAGGTGAGGTACTGCCAAGTTGCACCTGAGTGAAGCTGGTAAAAGCCTGTGCTGAACTTGGTTAATGCAATGGTGGCTGATGTAAGAACTGGGCCTGAGATGATCTTGAAGTGGTGCCACATAGGACACTGACCATTGTTGATCTCTGTAGCTACTGTAGGCCTGGGAGTCTCCATGAACCTTATAAAGGCTGTATACATGCTAGGGAAATACTAATGCCTTTAGACTTAACTAATTTCTGAACTTTCCCTCTCACTATCCTTTTTCTATGAGAAATTTGGGCATATAATATCAATGTATAAAAGCATAAGCATGTTGGGCATTAATAATCCTATTTTATGGAATACCTATTATGTCCCAGTTTCTGTGATAGACTCTAAGTTCATGATCTCATTCAATCCTAGCCACATGACTGTAGTTGGTATTAGTCCTCTGCCTTGCACAGAGGAAACTGAGTGTAGGAAGCCAAACTGAATTGTCTGAGACTACTGCTACAGAGCAGTTGAGCTGAAACTCAAACATGCCTGCAGCTGATTCCTAAGCCCATATTCTTTCACTCTGCTGGTTGGTTGACTGGCAAAACCAGAAGGGCTTCCTCTTGTTTGGCCAATGCTTGAGCTCTCACCCTAGGACTCTACAAAATGAACTCACTTTTGGGACTCAGGCTTGTCAACATCCTCCAAGTGAGTCAACTGGAGACCTGGCTGGTCTCCACAATAAGTGCTGGAAATCCCCACTGTACGTCTGACTCAGAGATGTGTTTCTAAGCCCATAAATCTTTAAACCGTCTGGGTAAGCACAAACTGAAGATGAAAGTTCTTAGAAAATGCACTGTTATTTTCCGTAAGTGCTTGAAGGTCACATTTTCTCTGGCGATCAGAAACATAAAGATTAAACAGCATGTCCAAAGTTACAAAGAAAATTAGTGTCAACTTCTCTGAGTCTCAGTTTTCTCATTTATGAAATAAAGATGTGGATTTTATGATCCCTAAGGTCCCTTCCAAGCTAAATTTTATGATGCAGAGGCTACACTGAAGCAGATTGTGAGATGCTAGCGGGCAGGGGCATGGTTTCAACATTTCTGTTTTCTCAGCATTTAGCAGAATCTTCTCGCCGTGCCTTGTTCTTTCTGTGGTTTGCCACATGACAGCAGTATGGAAAGCTGGCAAGCCCCCATTCTGGTTCCTTTCCTCTACTCTTTGATAGTTCTTCCTATCCTGGCACCTAGAAATTCCGCTTCCAAAACAAACCCTGAGCTTAGAAAATGTTTGGATGTTTATTTCTACCTTAATGTGAAGGATCTTGTCAACATATTCTCTTTCTGGATGTATTTGCATGTTGACATGCTTGTCTAACTGTGAAATTAAAATATGTACCCAATTAAAGACATTTCATTAGTCAGTCAACTTCATTTTTGAAGGACAGGGCTCTTCTGAAACTCCAAAATCATCTCATTGGACATAAAACCCAAACTGCCTCCACATTGAAGACCAAGAAAGAGTTCATTCCATTAAGGACTAGAGGGGGGGAAATGAGGGAAAAGAGTTAAAAGTTGGACATGAAGTCGAATTACAGACATTGGGCACTACCATGGAAGCTAGACACTTCTTTCTCTGGTTATCTGCTGCAAAACCTCCTGGTATAAAGCACACAGGTGGACGAATGATGTAACTTTTAGAATAGGGCTCAGCAGACTACAGCCTGCAGGTCAAAGCCAGCCCACCACCTGTACCTCTTTTTCTATGGTGTACTAGCTAGGAATTATTTTACAGGTAAATATTTGCAACTGATTTGATGATTGAGAACACTAACTTAGAATTCCAATTAAGTGAAATGTTGACTCCCCCTAAAATAATTTCATTCTTTCCATTAGTAGACCTATATTACCAAAAAAATTGTACTAAATTATTCTTATATTTTAAATTTCATCAATGAGAAATATGTGGAAATTTTGTCCCCCTCTTGTTGTATAAATACCTACATAATATGATTGATTTTGCCTCTTGGTCCACAAGTTTAAAACATTTACTATCCAGCTTTGTACAGAAAAAAATTTGCCGGTCTCCAGCCTGACCAACATGGTGAAACCCCGTCTCTACTAAAAATATAAAAATTAGCTGGGTGTGGTGGCGGGCACCTGTAATCCCAGCTACTGTGGAGGCTGAGGCAGGAGAATCACTAGAACCTGGGAGGCGGAGGTTGCAGTGAGCCGAGATCGTGCCATTGCCCTGCAGCCTGGGGATCAGGGCAAGATTCCATCTCAAAAAAATAAATAAATAAAAAATAAAAATAAATTGCCGGACTCTGGTTAACAGGAAAAGAAACCAGACAGACAATGGATGGGATAACAGTGCTATGGGAGAGACTGAGGAAAGTGAAGTGCTGTTACAAATAAAATGGAAGAAGCAGAACGTCCTTTCACTAATCATATGAAGCACTTACATGGAATCTTTGAGGACTGGCTGGTTTCCCCTGACCTCTGCAAAAGTTTATCACCCGTGTTAAAACACACACATGCACGCACACACACATATGCACACACCTGGCAGTCAGCCTGCGGTGAGGCAAACGTGACCCTAAGCACAAATCTCAGGTCTGCCATGAACTTACCATGATTTGCCAATTTATTTCCCCTCTGGCCTCACCATAGGCCTCAATGACTCTCCATTCCCCAAAGTTGCTGGTGGAACTTGCAATCGTTAAAGCCAGTGTGTTTTCCACTTCTTGGTCTCCTTGAAAACTTCACCTCTGGTTCCCACCATACTGCTCTTAAGATCTTCAAGATCTTTCACTGACTCATTTCTTGATCTGAAATTCCCTATAGAAATATAGGCCTTACCCAAGGCTCAATCCTCAGCTCTCTGCTTTCCTTTCTTCACACTTTCCCTCAAAGATATTACTCCTCCTTAATTCTCAACATATCACTCCTCTGCTTAAAAACTCTGCAGGGGCTTTTCATCACCATGGCAAAGTTCAGACTACTGTCAAGGCCTTTGTAGCTGCACCTCCATCCCCAGGATCCTAATGGTCAAACTCACCTTGCCTTCTTCCCATGGCCTAGCCTTGCTCAAGGGCTTGAATCCCCTAACTCCAGGCCTCCCTCCCTCCCTACTGCTTGCCTGCATTGTCTCTCTGCTCACCTTTGTTGGACTTACTTCCTCTAGTCCTTCCAGTCTCTGACTTGACCCCTACTTGTTAAATTATCTTAAACATTTAAAGATTGTTTTAAATGTAATAGATTATCTTTGTGAGCACTTCAACTTACTGTTAGGGCAAGCACAGTTCCAATGATAAAACATTCCCAAGCCCTGAGACCTCCTGCAGATCTTAAAAATTAAATTTATTAATGTAATGCACCAAGTTGGCCTCAAATATTTCAATACTAAAAATATATTCAAGATACCCTGCATTTTTTGGGCAGGGCTTTCGTGATGTAATCATATCATGCGTACCACTCTCCTGTTTCAGACTCTTCCCGACTTCCCATTCCTCTGAGAATAGAACGAGCATCCTATTTAGAGCCACAGGGCCCACACAGAAGCCTCCTCACACCCTCTGTCCCCTCTGTGTACAGGCACCAATCACACTGGCCTCTTTGTTGCATGGACATGGTTGTGTATGGGGACCAACCACACTGGCATCTTTGTTGCATGGACATGGTTGTGTACGAGCACCAACCACACTGGCCTCTTTGTTGCATGGACATGGTTGTGTATGGGACCAACCACACTGGCATCTTTGTTGCATGGACATGGTTGTGTATGAGCACCAACCACACTGGCCTCTTTGTTGCATGGACATGGTGAGCTGGCTCTGCTATGCCCCCTTCCTCTTCTGACTGGAGCTCAGCCCTCACATTCTTACAGTGGGGTCAAGATTGTCACCCAAAGTGCAGCTCAAGTGTCACCTCCTCAGAGAGGCCTCTCCTCGCCATCCTTTCTAAAGCAGTCCTCTCACCCTGTGAAATGATTTCATTTCGTTTCTTTATAGATTTATCTGGTTTGAAACTTACTGGCTTAATGTATTTGTGTACTGGTTCTTGCCTGTTCCCAGTGACTACAATGTAGGCCTCATGAGGGCGAGAGTCTTGTCTATTTCACCACTGCCCTGGCCCCTGAGTTGTCCTGTCACGTATTCCTTCCTTTTGCGTGAATGGGCATACCTCAATCCCAGTGGTCTGACTCATTCTCTGCAGAGTGGTTTGCTTTTCCTCAAACTGGACATTAGTCCTTGGTGTGACAAGGTTACATGCTTGGACTTCGAAGAACGTCTACATATACTTGCTTAGTATATAGAAGAAACCAAGTTGGATTGCAAAGCAAGGAGAGCTGATGTGATGCTAAATGTTAACATAAAGCTTCAGATCTCAACAAAGAAGACAGACATTTTAGATGCTATCAATAAATTGGAAATCAAGAACAAACCCAGATAGTAGGTATTTGGCATTTGTTTTTGGCTTTGAAAAAAATGCTATTAATATTTTTAATGAGGAATTCTTTTCAGTCTTTCCAAATATAAGTCTATTGTTTATTTTTAAAAGAGTGTTAACCATTTAGAGAGAACCATTGTATTCTTGTACTTTATAAATAAAAGTCTTCTCTTTAAATCTTCAGTGGAAAATAACATTTCAAACACAGGAAAATCTTCATATTTGACCTTTAATTTTTGCACACTCTTTAAACTTTTTCAGATTGTTAATTGTGTGTGTGTGTGTATGCTATCTGTGTGTTCTCTCAACTTTCTTCTGATCTCTTTAATATGTAGCAGAAGTAGTATATGAATAGTAAATTACCAAAGCTTTCATCATCTCTAAGTGGAAAACCTAAGCCAGGGTATTCAGAGACAAGACATTGATGGCTGCCATTAAAGTGCAGAAGTTTCTCAGATTGCACTTTCTTTATGAATTGCAAGAGAAATTATAATAAACATTTCATATATATAAAATTTGACCCTATATTTGTACATAGGATCAAGGTTTCAGGCATACATGTATAGACTTACATATGTAGAAAAGGACATAAGATTTTGCAGTTTCTCTTCAAATACTGTAGTGTGTAATTTCACACAGAGAACATTAGAAAAATATATTCTCTCCTTGAGTCCCATTCTGTATCTCTTACCACCTACCTCAGCTCTACATAATATCCCATATGTCTTTCCTCATTACTAGCATATTTTAAAGTCATTAGAACTCCGTGGGTGGCAGAGATACATCGGAGAGCAGCTCATAATTAATATAAACCTCTCAGAGGAACTTTGGAGTTTAACTTGATTTATACACACACACACACACACACACACACGCACATGCACATACACACACACAATTTATTTAACAGAAAGTTGGACAAGACATTTCATTATGAAAATATATTCCAAAATATGTAGACCTGTTTGTAAGTAAACTTCTTTATATAGTTTTTTACATAATTTCAGGTGTGTATCACTCATGATCTAGCTAGATCACTGACTTGCTTACAGCACCTGGAACCTTATACAGTACTGTTAAGATTTTTTTTTTTTTTCTGGAGTACATACATCATGGATCAGGTAGTGGCATCTGCTGGCAATGAGTGATATTGCTTTCTAATTCTATAGGTGGCCTGGCATTTCATCACAGTACATCCCTGGAAAGTGGATCATGGTGTTGCTTTTCTAGAACAAACATATTCATAAGAATATAAATAACAAAATTGAGTGGCAATGATAATTTACATGTTGGCTGGTGTATGACATAAGAAAGGAAAAAAAATAAACTTTTATTGTGAATTATTGGGTGCCTATGTGGTGCTATGTTCTTTCACATGCTATTAGAGAGATTAAAAGGTCAGAGAGGTTAGGAACCATGCCCAGGTTTACGGTCTGTTGAAGGCAGTATTCAAAGCAAAATCTGATCTTATGATCCTGGGTAAATAGTTAAGATGTCCTAGTTTTTGAGGCAGAAAAGAAAAGGCTATTCAGACAAGGGTAAGCACTCCCATATACTGTCAGTTGCATAGTATATTGCTTCAGTTTTTCTGAAAGACAATTTTCCCATATGCATCAAAAGGCTGAAATGCATGCATGCCGTTTGACTAAGCAATTGTAATTCTAGTAATTTGTCCCTGGGAAATAATCATAGAGGTGCTTGAAGATGATTAATATATGTACTTATTGCATCCTTATATGAATGCTATATATTATAGCATTTATTATAGTAGTAAAAATAAATTAAATAGCAACCAATAACAAAGGGTGGTTAATATAGATTATGTTATATCCCTAAAATGGAATTATATTCATATATTAAAAATACATCGTATAGGAGTACTTAATGGCATGAAAATGTTTATACCATATTATGAGATAAAGAGAAAAACAGGTTTACAATTCCATGTGATGTCATTTTGTGGATAAGACTCTGTATGTCTGTATGCGAATTGTGTGGGTTTATAAGGGACATATACCTAAATACTAGCAGTGGTTATCTTTGAGAGATATGATGACAGGTCACATTTATTTTCTTCTTTTCCTCATCTCTCTTTTAAAAATTGTCTCCAATGAAAGCACATTACTTTTAAAATTTAAAACAGTTTACATTTTAAGAAAATAATTTAGAATATTGTCACAGGAAGCAACCAGGGACCCAGTATAAAGGCACATCTACTGAAAATGGAACTGGACAGGGAACTATCCCTGCAGCAGGAAATTCATGGGAAGTTGATGTTAAACAGCAAGAAGATCCAGCAGTTGGCGTGAGGATGGTGTCCTGGCATGATGTAAAGGGAAGGTCAAGAAGCGTACAGCGGGACAGGTAGCATCAGTGATGCCTAGAGGGCAGGGTACCAAGCCGTGGTGCCTGGAAAGTAGTCTTAGTATAGGAATCACCTTTGTTCTGGAGAAATTGGGAGAACCTAAAGAGAACAAAACACAAGAATTAAGATTGGTGCTGGGAAGTGGTTTAAACCCAGGGTAGAGGGAGAAGCAAGTTCAACTCAGTATTAAGTTACTGATCAGCAGTCCCAGGGACTCTTCACATTTCCCCTTGATAACACTCCAGAAAAGCTTGGTTCCCTCTCCTGCTACCACACTAAGGATTTGGAGAATCACTTGTTTGCAGATGTTCAAAGCACAATATCTACTGTACTTAAAGGTTGCTTAGGGATATTTATGTGCTTGGATCAAGTTGGGAAACAGACAAATGAAAAATAAACCAACAGATGGAACCAATATCTTCTTTGCAACTTAATTTTTCCCTAAGAAGCAAAGGTGATTAAATTCATTCCTTTGACTTCAAACATGCCCTTAAATTGAGATCCTTTGCAACATCTAGATGTTTTAAGCCTGTGAAAGGTTTGGGTTGTAAGGTTTTGGAGAGAAAAAGACCACTGGATTTGGGTCAGTAGATCTAGATCCTGTTGGTTGCCATGCCTCACTTCCGTACTCTTTAAAGTGAGGTAAAGGTGGAGAATCATTTCATCCCTGAAACTTCATGACTCTGGACCTGAAACTTTACTCTTATTTTCATGTTCATATCCTCTGTCTCATCTACCCACCCCTAACCTGCAAATAAAAAAGCCTTGAAAGGAAAATCAATCATAGAAAGTTAGACAGAGGGGAGAGCTTGTTCTTTTTTCCTGGAGTATCATTACAGATTGTATGGCTAAATGTCTAGGAGCATTTTAGCATGCATTTATTCATTTAGTTATTCATTCAAGAAACAGTGTGCACCTGGTTTTGTGCCAGACATTGTGCTAGGTTTCAGGTAAACACAATAAAAAGATACCTCACCTGCTGTCAAGAAACTTTTTATGTAGTTAGTGGAGGATTTCCAACTCCCGTATCATATTTTCCCCTAGAGATATTGAGCTTCCTTTCTCTTCTCCTTCCCCTTCCACCCACCCTGTTTTTAATAAGAAATAGTTCAATGGAAGTTGATTAAATATATGGATAGTATGGAGGTAGAAAAGTACTGAAAACCACTGCTCTGGTGCAGGAAACAAACTCGTATACAGGGAATTACAAAGTGCCATTATAAGAACTATAACAAGGTGATATTCTTTGGACCATAGAAATATAGCCACATGAACATAACTGACCCCATGTGTCCTATCCCGTTTCCCAGAGTTTCTTACGTATCTAGCTTTAGGATTCAATAAGTCTTCAAATCTACTTTTAGATAGCTCTAAAATCCACTATTTCTTTCTGTCCCCACTGCTCTCCCTCAGTCCAGCTTGCCATCATCATTTACCTGGATTACTATGGTACCTTTTCTCTCTACCCCCTTCTAATCTATTTTCTACATTTAGTCAGACTGATCTTTCTAAAATACAAATCTGGGCTGGGCTTGGTGGCTCACACCTGTAATCCCAGCACTTTGGAAAGCCGAGGCGAGTGGATCACCTGAGATCACAAGTTCGAGACCAGCCTGGCCAACATGGTGAAACCCCGTCTCTACTAAAAATACAAAAATCAGCCAGGTGTGGCAGTGTGCACCTGTAATCCCAGCTACTCAGGAGGCTGAGGCAGGAGAATTTCTTGAATCCAGGAGGCAGAGGTTGCAGTGAGCCAAGATCACACCACTGCACTCCAGCTTGGGAGACAGAGCAAGACTCCGTCTCAAAAAAAAGAGAAAAAAGAAAAAAAAGAAAATAAAAAAGAAAACCAAATGTGATGATGTCTCTCCCCTGCTTTTATACATGTAGAATGAAATCTAAATCCTTTCTGCATATTAGGTTAACCTTTGTGCTTTCATCTCTGGAGTCATTTAGTGTTGTAATCATCTGCATAGTTATCTTTCTCTAGCTGTAGACTACAGCTCTATGAAGATGGAGACTGTAGTTTACTAATCTGCACATGGATGAGCCTAGCACTCTGCCTGGCACAATGCTCAACACTATTTGTTGAGTGAATGAAGGATGTGAGTTTGGAGGTCATTTTTAGTTGAAGTCATGGGTGCAGATAAAATTTGGATGTAGGAGATGTTCAGTAAGGGTTTTGTTGTATGAATGGATAGAAAATGAGGGTGTGTAGACTGAGAACAGGCGTAGTCAATAGAACCCTGAAGAATACTAACATTTCACTGGATGGTAGGGGAAAGTAAATCTGTGAGAGTGATTGTGAAAGTCAGAGGAAAGCTAAGGGAGAGTGTGGGAGGCAGGCTAAGCAGCAGAGAATTTTAATAGTGTTTCCTTGGATCTCCAAGACCCAGCACAGGGGCAGGTAAATGAATAGCAGAATGAATGATCAGCAGATTCAAATTCTGCAGCAAAGTCAAGTACCAAAAGGACTGAGAAGTACTTACTGGATTTGAATTACAGTTGTAGTGAAGTGTTTGGGGCAGAAGACCAGGGAGGGATTGTAGGGGAGGAAGGAGAAATGGTGAAGATAGACCACTCTTAGAAGGAAAAGGAAGGAGAATAGACGGGGGAGTGTCTGTCTGTGTGCATTTAAAGATGGTAGACACCCCAAGGGTGAAGAGCTCCACCTTCTGCTTTGCTGCTCACCCAACATCAGAGCTTCTCAGCAGGTGCTTCAGTCCTGGGCAAAGATGACTGAATAGTGGATGAACTGATCTTTCTAGAATACAAATCTGATGATGTCTCTCATCAGACATCATCACTGCTTCAACACTGGCCATGGCTGGCAAGCTCAAAAATCTTCTCGTTGTCCCCAGAAGAGGAGTTTGGGTGGGAAGGACAGCAACAAATCCTGAAGTTGTGAAGTATGGCTTCCAGGTGCTGCAATGGGTCATGGGCTAGGCCATGACCTTAGTTCCTCCCCTGCAAGTTTTTAGCCTTACCCATTGGGTGACTTCATACTTTCTTCTGCTCTATGTTGTCTTTATACTTTCTCTAGAAACAATATGACAATGGTGATGATAATAATAATAATAATGAATAGCCAGGTGCTGGGTTAAGTGCTTTTATGTGATAATCTAATTTATTCCAGCCAAGAGCCCAATGAAATACATAAAATTATCCCCATTTTACGTATCGGTAAAGTTAGTTGAATATTATATTTATATATATAAATAACATATATAGTTTGCCCTTGAACAACATGGATTTGAACTGCACGGTTCCACTTATACATGGATTTTCTTCTACTTCTGCCACTCCTGAAACAAGGTCAACCCCTCCTCTTCCTCATCCTCCTCCTTATGGTTTTTTCAATAGCATTTGCTTTTCTCTAGCTTACTTTATTGTAGGAATATAGCATATAACACATATACAAATGTGTGTTAATTAACTTTTTATGTTATTGGTAAGGCTTTTGGTCAACAGTATGCTATTAGTTAAGTTTTTGGGGAGTTAAAAGTTGTATGTGAATTTCTGACTGTGCAGGGGTGGAGGTCAGTGCCCCAACCTCTACCTTGTTCAAAGGTCAGCTATACACTTTATATATTATGAATATAGTATATTATATTAATATTATATTCAAATATACTATATGACTTATACTACGTTTAATACTATATTATTATGTTTATATATAAATACTATATTTAATATATAAATATATAGTATGTATAAATATAATGCTTATGTAATATACAATATATACTTATGTATGCTTATATGTAAGTATAGATCTATAAATAACAATAAATATATTTAAAATTAATTTGTAATTCACAATGAATTTATAATTTATGTTAATTTATCAATTCAAATTCATATTGACATAGCTTATATTACTCCATAATAGTAACTTACAATAAAGTCAATAACATAGAATTTATTTTTATAATCATACTTTGTATTTAGATTTTAGGAATAAAATATTCTATAAAGTGAGGGTATATACAATTTTATGGATTTATAAATGCAGATTGGGATTAAATACATTCCACAGAAGGTAGTTACTAATAAGAGTATGTCAAATGTTCTTTTAATCTCCTTTGTATCTTTAGAGAGTTATGATATAAATGAGGGGTATTCAGAAAAATATGTAACATTGGGTTTGGTTATCTTCCAAAATTTTAAATGGTAAATAATAGTAACAAAAAAGTCTATTATAACAATTATAACACGTTTACTTTCCTGTTTCTAATAATTTGTTTTTGAAATTAAAATATTTCTCTGGGCTAACAGGTAACAATTGTCTTGCTGTCAGTGCTTACTATAAAAATGCAAAGCAAAATAGTATTGGGATCATAGACACATATAACAGTTACTACTTCTTTTAAATCACCAAAATACAAATGCATTTGGATCAATACTTGAGTCTTCACAGTCATTGCAACTAACTGAATGCAAAATATATTTTAATATATTCTGTAAATGAGTGATGAGAGCATGCAGGAATGACAGTGCCTCTTGCGTTATTCTCATTGCAATTCCCTGGACTGATTTTTCTTGTGGTAAAACAAAACCAGGAGAAAAATGCTTTCCTTTTAAAGTAACCTTAAGGCTTGCCTTTAAATAGACAACAGAAGCTTGGGAGATCAATGCTTGGGGACTTAAGCTATATTATTATTTTTACTGTTTAGTATTGCAGAATTACTACCCATACCATACATGAAAGTCTATACAGTTTTAACAAAAGACCTGGCTATATTGACTTAAGAAAGGGATTTTTTTTTTCTTACCTCTGAAAATACCTACTTTTTTCTTTTTAATTCAACTTAGATCCAGCTAGAGAGTTTAAATATATTTAAAATTTTTAGTGGAAAAAATTATCCTTTAATATCAAATAGATTAAAAAACATGCATTGAATGGTTGACTCAGGGGCTTTCACTAAACTGGCCATGAATGCTGAAACCATCTGTTTTTCTGGACGTTGTCAGGGTGAGTATGGCAGAGGCAGCTGTTTGCAAAGGGACGCTTTAGATGATGAACCAGCCCATTGTTTCTAAGCAATTCACTTGCATTCAGAGGCTCTACCCAAGCGTACTATAGAGCAATCAAAATCAAACTATTGTTTGTACCAATCATATTGATCTGAAAAGATTGTGGTGGGATGACCCCATTGTAGATGCAAATAGTTGTTCTGAGCAGCTGTATGCTGGCCAATATGTACCTCAGTAGGAAACAGGCTTGGAAGCTAGAGGGCTCTCTGCACCCTACTGGGGGAGGAAAAATGATTATACCCGATTGAACTGCAGTTTAAGGGGACTGGGGGGAATGAAGACACAGGTCTGTTAGTATTAGTGGTAATTTTCCTTCATGAAAAAATTAACTCTGGTGGCAAAGCTATTTTTATATTAAAGCTTTCTGCACACTATAAATGTAGAATCTCCAAAAGATTAGATAATGGCTTAAAACTATAGCACAAAAAGTCATTAGCTTTGGTTTTAAATGTTGAGTCCTGGTTAGCTCTCCCAATTAGAAAATGCACAATCATATTTTATCTGGAATTATTCATACACTGTTTAAAGTTTTATAATTTATTTACAACTCAGAAATATGTAGAAACAATCTTGATATTGCAATATTTGCATAAATATTAAAAAGGACATTTTCGTCTATGCAGAGAGCAAATGGAAGCATACAAAATGAACATTATACTGCTGCATTCTTTAAATAACCGGAATGCTGTATCTTACCCATTAACATTTAAGCTTTTTGGTTGTCCTTGCCACTTCATTGCATGCATGCTAATATCTTCTCATATAAAATTTAATCTGTTGAACTAAATGAAGGAATTAGTATCTGAAAGACATCTTTCATTAAGCAATTAACGAATCTCTCCAACAAATCTACAAAAGCATATGTGTTTATATTTAATAATTATTTGTATGATCAGCCAGTTATAACACATGCATACATTTAGTTTTAGTCATAGTATTACTATACCTCAACTCACTGTCATTACGCTATAAAGCCCTAGTAAAAATGTGGTTTAAATGGGTTATTTGCTAAGGAATACATACATGTATAGTTTATTGACTTTTGAAAGTCCTCTGAGGTCCAGTATAGAACAAAGAAAATTCCCACAAATAGAGATATTTGGTTGTGGATCAAATCTTGCTTTATATTGCAGTGAAAACCAGAAGTATTATAACAGGGCAAAATTAAGACAATTCATGGGTTTGCAGAGTACATCTCAAAGAAGGGTCAGCATCATATGTGCCAGTTAACTTTTACTGTCAAATGTAAGGGGCCAGGATAAGACTTTGGTGTTTCTTAAGAAAATAAAAGAAAAAAATCCTATCTTAGTTATCCACAATTTCCATTGCTTAAATAATTATTTCTGAGCTGCACTTTAATTAGTAGCCTACCTTCCTTTACTTGAATATGTTAAATTGTCTTGGTGTTACTGGGATTGTGGAATGGGGTTGAGCTGATGGAGCATTCTACCGTGGCAAATTCTGTCCATCACTAGGTTGGCAGGCCTATGTAATGAGAAAAGGAAAAAAAAAA
Organism: Homo sapiens; assembly: GCF_000001405.40. Lineage (NCBI taxonomy): Eukaryota > Metazoa > Chordata > Mammalia > Primates > Hominidae > Homo > Homo sapiens. Next base: position 64,744,351 of record NC_000008.11, on the reverse strand, counting down.
GAGATTCTTTTTCATTAAATCTCTTGATTTTTTCTTGAATTAACTGGTAGATGAGGATGATTTGATATCTTATGGAACGGCTATGATATATCTATAAAATAACTCCATCATTTCAAACTTCTTAAATATTTTATGCAGAAAATTAATAAACAGACAATATTTCATTCTTCTAACACTCAGTTGACTATATTTTCCCTCTCCTTTTAGGAGAATAAATCCAATCATAATTTCTAAAAAAGCCAATATAAAGGATTTATTTCAAGAAGTAATTTCTGGGTTATTTTCCTAGAATGAATAAACATTTGGCCAAAATTCTCATGCTTATCTTTAGAAATAGCCATAGTTTTAGTAAGTGATATTTTGAATGATGACCTGAGGTGCCACAATGACATGTGAGCCACCAAAGAATAATTAAGAATGCTCATAACACTTTATTTATTATTGGATTCTACTGTGTGCTCATGGGGATGTTAAATTTCTTTATATGGAAAGAAACAATATTCTGTTCCAAACAAATAAATTAAAAATATATTAGTATGTATTAGGGGCTGTATTTTGTCCCCCCAAAATTAATATATTGAGCCCCAAATATGAGTAGCTCAGAATGTGACTGCATTTGGAGATAGGGTCTTTAAAGAAGTAATTGAAGTTAAATGAGGTCATACTCATGGGCCCTAATCCAATCAGACTGGTGTCATAATAAAAGGAGGTACACACAGAAGCACAAGGGATGCGTGCCTGTGGAGGAAAGGTCAGGTGAAGACTCAGTGAGAAGACAAGCCAAGGAGCCAGTTCTTGGAAGAAGTCAACCCTGTTGACACCTTGATCTTGGACTAACCCTGTGGACACCTTGATCTTGGACTTTTAGCTTCCAGAACTGCGAGAAAATAAATTTTTCTTGTTTAAGCCACCCAGAGTGTAGTGTTTTGTTACGGCAGCCCTAACAAATTAATATGGTATGCTAAGGCCATGTTGTAATTTACTTTGCTTTTCTTGATTTGGTAATTCTTTTCTTGCAGCTCACAACTAATTAGTGTTGAATCAATTAACAGATATAGAGCCTACTAAGTAAGCCTAATTATTTCTAGCATCCCTTTTTTCTTTTAATAAGGTGAATGAACAGATCTTTGTGAATGTCCAGGAGCCCTCTGGGAAACCCCAGAGATAGTTTAAATATTAAAAAAATGGAAAATGTTTTGTTTGTTTTTTTGTTTATTTGTTTTTTGGCTAATCTGACTTCTGATCTTAGGAAGGCAAAATCTAGAGTTGTCGGTGAAAATTCGATTATTTCATTAAGAGGGTATCATAGGTACCTTGGAAGAAAGATTGGCGTTGGCTTGGCTGCCTGTTAGTCAAAGTAGCAATACAAAATTTGTAAATAAACATAGAAGAAGGAAATGAAATTATAATGAACCCTAGCATTTAGAAATGAAAAACTTTTTATAACAATCAAATACATGATAAAGTATGCAAAGAGTAGGAAATTATTCTGAGGACATATGGAGGGTTACAAAGGAAAAAACTTTTTGCTACCTCTGATAAAGAATAGACTAAATTCTCCAAGACCAATCTGACTGGTGTCATAATAAAAGGAGGTACACACGGAAGCACAAGGGATGTGTGCCTCTGGAGGAAAGGTCAGGTGAGGACTCAGTGAGAAGACAAGCCAAGGAGCCAGGTCTTGGAAGAAGTCAACCCTGTTGACACCTTGATCTTGGACTAACCCTGTGGACACCTTGATCTTGGACTTTTAGCTTCCAGAACTGCGAGAAAATAAATTTTTCTTGTTTAAGCCACCCAGAGTGTAGTGTTTTGTTATGGCAGCCCTAACAAATTAAAATTATATTTTAACAGAGAATATAAAATTCTAATATAACATTTTACAGTAAAGCATTCATGGTCTTTTTTTTCTTATTAATAAATCCATCAAAACAGAAAGTTTTGCAAAATTTTAACACATTTCTCTACCACTACTGTTTCTACTCTCTTAAAACTACTCCGCAAATATAAAAATAGGAGGCCAAAATGCATACATTAAAACGATGTTTGGGACTAATGGCTTAGCATTCTATTACACTTGGAAATATACAAATATTCAAAGATTATCTATTGATCAACTCAGTGTAATATTTTTTCAGTATTTACATTAACTAAAGATCTTAAAAATTATATTTAAATTGACAGTACAGATCATAATTTCTGTGGTTATGAAATATTTGTCAGAATTATAATTCCATTTGTTTGAACAGATACATAATTTTCTATTTTTCATAATCATAGATTTTATATGAGAACAGTGTTAATCTATCTGATCAGTAAATCAGTATAAGAAGTTAAGGAAGTTTATACTAACTAGCCTCTGTTGATATCTACAAAAAAGCTTGCTGGGATTTGATTGAGATTCTGTTGAATTTATAGATCATGTTGGAAAGAATTGACATCTTAACAATATTGAGCCTTCCAATTAACGAACATAGTTTATCTCTACCATATATTTATATCTTTAATTTCTTTTATTAGAGTTTTGTAGTTTTCTGCATATATATCCTGTACACATTTTGTTAAGCTTATAACAAGCATTTCATTCATTTTGGTGCTACTGTAAATGGTATTGTGCTTTTCAATTCAAACTCCAATTTTACTGCTGGTATGTATGAGAGTAATTTCCTGTTATATATTAACCTTGTATCCTATAACCTTGCTATAATTGATTATTTGTTTAAGAATTTTTGGGGGCTGGGCACGATGGCTCATGCCTGTAATCCCAGCGCTATGGGAGGCCAAGGTGGGGGATCACCTGAGGTCAGGAGTTCGAGACCAGCCTGACCAACATGGAGAAACCTCGTCTCTACTAAAAATGCAAAATTAGCTGGGCATGGTGGTGCATGCCTGTAATCCCAGCTACTCGGGAGGCTGAGGCAGGAGAATCACTTGAATTCGGGAGGTGAAGGTTGCAGTGAGCCGAGATCGCGCCATTACACTCCAACCTGGGCAACAAGAGCAAAACTGTCTCAAAAAAAAAAATGTTCAAATCTCTGTGATTTCCACATAGAAGAATCATGTTATGCGCAAAGAAAATTTTATTTCTTCCTCCTTCACTGTATCTTCCAGTCTGTACACCTTTTATTTTATTTTCTGGTTTTTCTTTATTTTATAAAGCTAGCTAGAATTTTCAGTAAGGTGTTGTATGGGAGTAGTGAAGGGGACATTCTTTCCTTAATCTCTAACTTAGGGAAAGAGCATCCAGTTTTTCACTATTAAATATTATGTTAAATTTTGTTTGCATCCTCAATAAAACCACATTGGTCTGTCACTCTCTCTTGTAATGGCTTTATCTGGTTTTGCTATTAGAGTGATGCTGGCCTCATACGATGAGTTAGGAAGTGTTCTGGAAGAAATGATACAGAATTGGTATTATTTTGTCCTTAAATGATTGAAAAAATTTGCCATTTATATCATCTGGTCCTGGTGCTTTCTTTTTGGGAGATTATTAGTTAGGAACTGGATTTTTTTTGATAGATATAGGCCTATTCAAAAGATATATTCCTCCTTTTATGAGTTTTGGTAGTTCATGTCTTTTAAGGAATTGGCCCGTTTCAACTAAGTTGTGAAATTTGTGGGCATAGAGTTTTTCATAATATTCCTATATGAATCTTTTAACATTCATTGGATCTATAGTGATTACCCCTCTTTCATTTCTAATATTGGCAAGTTATATCTTCTCTGTTTTTTTTTTCTTTTCTTGTTAGCCTGGCTAGAGATTTATCAAATTTATTGATATTTTCAAACAGTCACCTTTGGTTTTGTTGATTTTCTCTATTTTTTTCCTAATTGTAATTTTATTTGTCTTTTATAAGGTATACTATTTCATTTCTTCTGCTTGCTTTATGCTTAAGTTGCTCATTTCTATAATTTCTTGAGTTGAATGCTAAATTATTGATTATAGATCTTCTTTTATAATTTATGCAGTTATATCATAAACATAATATGTAAATATATATATTATTGACTGATGTACTTCCTTGACCCATGTTTTATTTAGGAATTTGTTGTTTAATTCGCAAATATGTGGAGATTTTTCAGCTTTTATTCAATTTTTGATTTCTAGCTTAATTTGACTGTGGTCTGAGAAAACACTTTGTATAATCTCTTAAATTTGTTAAGGTGTGACTTACAGCCCAGGATGTGGTCTGTCTTGTTAAGTGTTCTCTGTAAGCTTGAGAGGAATGTTTATTTTACGGGTTTTTCTTCTCCAGTGTTCTTCCTCTCTATATAGATCCATGTTTTGTTTTGTTTAATCTATATCATTTTTCTTCTCCCTAAAGAAGTTCTTTTAACATTTCTTGCAGGGTAGGTTGTCTAGTGATGAATTCCCTGTTTTTGTCTGAAAAAGGTCTCTATATATCTCTTTCAGTTTTGAAGGATAATTTTGGTGGATATCAAATTTTAAGTTGATTTTTTTCCTTTCAACACTTTAAATATTTCAATCCACTCTTCTTTCTTGAATGAAAAGAAGTCTACCATAATTCTTATCCTCTTCTGGTTTCTTTCAAGATTTTCTCTAATCTATTTGTTTTTTAGTTTGAATATGATATGTCAAGATGTGAATATTCAGGAGAACCACTTGGTGCTCTTTGAATTTTCTGTGTATGTTATTTCATGTCTGTCATTAATTTGGAAAATTCGAAGGCATTATTACATCAAATATTTCTTCCATTTTGATCTCTCTTTTCTTCTAGTATTCTAATGATACATCTGTTACACATTTTGAAATTGTCCCACAATTCTTTCATGGCCTATTCTGTTTTCTTCATTCTTTGAGGTAAACAGACATTTTAGTTAGAGAATTTATTGAAGTCTTGCTAGGTGTTAGGCTGTGTTTAATGTTTGATGTAGTGGTAGGTGCCAGGGGCCTCAACTTCCTCTAGTGTTCTCGTTTTTGTCTCCACTTTTGTCCTTGAGCTTCGCTAGGAATTCTTCCTTAAATAGAGTCTATGTGTTTTCTACTCTTCCCAGTAAACTACCATTATACCAGAGTCCTGCTAATATAGTGGTAAGGCATGGGAGAGGAAAAGCATTCCATAATCTTATGATTAAATCTCAGTCTTTTAGGGGGCCTGTATTCCTGGGCTGTGACCTTCACCAATGTTTCTTAGCTTCCCTCAATTCCCTTAGGTGAGACAGAAAAGCTAGAGAAAGTCCACTAGGAGAAATGCCCTGTGCCTGGGGCGGGGGTAAGGCTCTGGTAAAATCTTTCCCCTGGAGACTAAGCCTTTGTTATAGAAAATGCTCTGAATATTTCACAAATACTCTTTCCCTCTGCCTGCCAGAGACAGAAGGGAATCTGTTTTAGCTCTTCTCTGTGAGAACATGGCAGGGTTCCTGGAGGTAAAACCCATAAAAGTGTTGGGGAGCCCAAGACTATGGCTCCCAGGAGTTTCTCACTGTTAATACTAGTCCACACTCACCCCCCAGGAATTTGTCAAAATTACCATTTAAGTGTTTCCTACCAGTTTATGACTCCAGTGGCTTCTGTTTCAGGTAAACTGATCTTGGCTGTCAACTCTTTGGATTAGCCTGGTTCTCCAGATTTTGGGGTGGCAGTTTGCCCTGCAAGCTCAGTTCTCTGAAGCTTCCAAGAAAAATTGTTGATTTTTAGTTCATTTAGCTTTTCTTTTTGTACAGACGTAAGTGATGACTTCCCAGCTCTTTACATATTGGAGCTGAAACCAGAAGTTTAGTTAGTATCTTGATTAGAAAAGGAACCCAAATTATGTTTTATATGCGTGTGTGTGTGTGTGTGCGTGTGTGTGTGTTTTCTTGTATTATATTCTATCCTGATAAAATTAGGGAGAAAACAGTTTCTTTTAAATCAGTGATCAAACACTGAAAAGAGAACAATGATCTGATTTGCCAACGATTCTGTGAACATAGCTTCTTATAGGAAAATGCTGCTGAGCTAGTAGTTTCTTTGAGAAGATTTTTTTTTCTTTCTTAATAGAGTAGCACATTTAAAGTGTTAGAAATTCAGTTTTTGAAAAAACTTTTCTGGGATTTTTAAGAATGCTAAATATATGGAGTGCTTATTGGTATCTATAAACCAATCACAATCTTTTTTATTTCTAGAGACTTCACAATATAAATTTTTAATTACTCCAGAGTTAGAAAAGTATTTTTACAATTACACATGAGAAGTAAATTCTTTTCTCAGTAGAGGTATGCAGATACTCAGAGAACTTACAGCTTTACTTTTACATATTCAGCTCTAGGTCAGAATAAACCTAGAATATAAAAATTCATATCTGAAAGAGAGTCTCCTTTTCAATGGAAGGTAAGACATACATTTGCACAGACAGACAGGAAAGCAAAAAGACTAACAAACCAGTATCTCTGTTGTCTCTCATCTGAAAAAGGGCAATTCCTGTCTCTACACAAAAGAGATCACCAAATAAGTAGAACATAAAACCAAATTCCCAGTTACTGCTGCCACCAATCGGGAATAACCTGTTGGCTATGCACAAGCAAGAATAAGAACAACATTGGCCAAGAACAAAAACCAAACAAACAAAAACACAAGTCAGAAGAAAAAAAATAGAAAAATTTAGTCAGCAAACCTGAAATTCTGTTGCCTCTTGGAATCCTTTCATTCCAGGATCCAAGAAAAGATGGACTGAGAAGAGGAGCCTAGGAGGTATATTTTCAGGCAATGCAGTTTAATTGACTTCTCAGGCATCTTGGTACTTACAAGGCATAATTTTTGAAAAGTTAAAAATATGATTCTTATACAAATATGGAAAGAACATGCATTAACATTTATTTAACTCTTTAATGAGGGAACTAGCAGGATGAAAAAGCTGGATTATGCTTTACAGATTTTAATGCCAAGCTGAGAGTACTGGATTTGAGCTAGTGCACTTTATCACTTTTAGTTTTGCTATTTGAGATTTTACATGGCCAAAGTGGTCCAAATCTAACAGACTTGCCAATGTAGCTGTTTCTTTTGTTCTCTTTTTTCATTAAAAAGAAAAACAAAACAAGAATTATGTACATTTTTTCTTTATATTGAGGGATAATCTTTAAATGGAGCCAGGCATGGTGGCCCATGCCTGTAGTTCCAATTACTCGGGAGGCTGAGACCAGAGGATTGATTGAGTCCAGGAGTTCAAGGTTGCAGTGAGCTATGATCATATCATTGCACTCTGTCTAGCCTGGGTGACAAAGTGAGACAATATCACACACACAAAATAGATTTTTAAAAATGGACTGATTTAGGATATTTTTCATTCACTATATAATCACTGTACACAGAGAGCTCTAGAAAATGTTTTCTGTCTCATTAATTTATTTGTTAAAACATACTTATTGAGAGTCAGGTATTGTGCCAAGAATATAAGGGTAGAAAAGATAGACATGCCTCTGTCCTTAGAGATTTTACAGTTCAGCCTCAAGTATTACTAGGTAAAAATTTAAAATAACATATCTGTTATAGACAGTAGACAGAATTAGATTAGATTTGAGATATGGATTTGGTAAAATGAAAAGTAACTAAAAGAGAGCAAGAAAATAAAATTTTTGAAACTCCCAGGAATTAAAAAAAAATTCAGCCCAGGTGTGGTGGCTCACACCTGTAATCCCAGCACTTTGGGAGGCTGAGGCGGGAGGATCACGAGGTCAGGAGTTCGAGACCAGCCTGACCAACATGGTGAAACCCCATCTCTACTAAAAATACAAAAATTAGCTGGGTGTGGTGGCAGGCACCTGTAGTCCCAGCTACTTGGGAGGCTAAGGCAGGAGAATTGCTTGAATCCAGGAGGCGGAGGTTGCAGTGAGCCAAGATCATGCCACTGCACTCCAGCCTGGGCAACAGAGCAAAAGTCTGTCTCAAAAAAATAAAATAAATAAAAATTCAGGTTGGGTTAGTTTTTGACTAAAGCGAAGATATTTGTTTGTATTTTCTTGCATTTTTTGTTTCTCTTGCCCAGCCTTCTTTTTCCATTTGATCCATTCGTGTGTCATCTGAACATTCCATAAGAGATGGATGGAGCACTAAGGGAAGAGAAGCATATGTCAGATGATTGCAATGATTTGAATCTAATATTGGTAGAAGAAGTTGAAGAAGTGACTGATTTGGGATTTATATGGGTGTTTTTCTCGTGGAAATGGCAAAATCAAGATCTATATTTTTAGTGACACATTCAAGGTGTGTGTTTATTTCCATAATAGGGATGTAAACACAAAGACTTCCTGATAAATTAATTTATTTTTCTAGATACCTTGATTCTGTAGTGATAATTATTGTTTGATGTTGTCAGAAGATAAAAGGCATTTACTCACCAGGAAGTATATAATACTTAGGGCATGGGTGAAAACATTAAAAATTTATTTTTATTTTTTAATTATGCCTTTAAAAATTTCTTCTTTTAAGCATGCTTTACAACTTATATTAGTATTGTAGGGGAAGAAACATAATTTTACCTTTCTCTCTCGATCAGGCACTGTGGAGACAGATACACTAGAGTCCCTCTGTGAGAATTCTTACCCTTTTCCAGTTTTCCCAGGATCCCATCTGCAGGCTCCACAGCAAATGGGATGTCCCACAGATCCCATTCTCATTGCCAGAATTGTAGGGGAAGAATTATAATTTTCTCTCTACTTTTTGTGAGTTATTTGCTGGGACCTCCCCCTTCCCCGTAACAAAAGACAGATTAATAAGATAAAAACAAATAGAGGCTTATTAACATGTATACCTCATGTATACATGAAAATAAATCTCAAGGAAGGGGTTTTGAGTTCAGATTTAAATATCACCGTCAGCTGAAACAAAGAAACATTTTGGAAAGGTTAGTTATGGAAAGGTGACCAGGAAAAGCACACCTAACAAAGGTAAGTTTTGTTATCCAGATATAAATAGACACCTTCTCTTGTGATTAGTCATCCTTCTCTTCCTGGTACAGAGAGTGGAGACACCCTTAGAAATGGAGATTTCCTTTATAGATATAAATTTTTCTTACAAAAGGGTAACTTCTACTCTGTTTTTGACCCTCTCCTGTGTCTGTGATTTCTCAAAATCAGCTCAAAATAATTCTTATGCCAAAGCGACATATTTTGCAGTGCATATTTTTTCTAGTATAGTATATCCATTTTAGAAAAAATATTGTATATCCATTTTTAAATAAATATATAGATATTGAGGGAACATGCAGTTTTTATAGATCAGGAACTCACTGAGACAAGTTTAGAGAGCAGTGGTCTAGACCAGGGGTCCTCAGTCTCCAGGCCATAGACCCAGTACTGGTCCATGGTCCACCTCCTTAGCTCCACCTCCTCCAGGTCAGTGGCAGAATTAGATTCTCATAGGAGTGACCAATCCCTGGTGCCAAAAAGTTTGGGGATGCTGGTCTAGGGAGCCTATTGTCCTAAAATATTTTCCCCATTCCTTTTTCTTGGTAAAAACCAAATGAGTTATAATAGTGACCAACCTAATTTTCAGGCAACCAGTATACTTATGCTTTTGTTTAAAAAAAAGTTTGTAAAGAAAAGTGTTTATGCTTTCTGTAGTTAAAAGTTATGTTAGCAAATAAAGGGGTGTCTTTACCCAGTAGAACAGTCTAGAGATGCTTAGAACAATCTTCACATGATATATAGGACTACAAATAAACATTTGTTGACCTAGTAGGTTTTAGATACTAGGACTAGGCACTGGGGATCTGCTATGGCTTGCATGTTTATGTCCCCTTCAAAATTCATGTTGAAACTTATAATCACCAATGCAACAGCATTAAGTGGTGTGGCCATTGGGAGGTGATTAAGTCATGAGGATTATGCCATCATGAATGGATTAATGCCTTATGAAAGGGCTTGAGAACCAGGTAGGCCTGGTTTCCCTTTTTGCCCTTCCATCTTTTCTACCATGTGAAGACTCAATATTCAAGGTGCCTTTTAGAAGCAGAGATACCAGACACTGAACCTGCTGTCACCTTGATTTTGGACTTTCCAGCTTCTAGAACTGTGAGAAAATTAATTTCTGTACTTTATAAATTACCCAGTCTCAGGTATTTTGTTAGAGCAGCACTAGTGGACTAAGGATCCAGAGGTAAAAAAGGCAGATGTGATCTCTGTCCTTTTGGGGCACACAGTCTAATTTGTTTATCATACTCATAAGTTTATGATTATTAGTTATAAGAATTGAATGTGTTATTATTTGTAAAGCACTTACTACAATACCTGAGTAAAAAGTAAGCACATAAATACATATACACTATAAAGCAAAAGTACTGAATATGAACAGAATGTATAGTGGGATGGTGTTCACCTAGCCTTAGTTTCCCTGAGGAAGTGACTTTTATTTTTATTTTTTTAATTTTAATTTTAATATATTTTTTGAGATGGGGTCTGGCTCTGTTGCCCACACTGAAGTGCAGGGGCACAATCATAGCTCACTGCAGCCTCAAACTCCTGGGCTCAAGCAATCCTCCTTCCTTAGCCTCCAAAATAGCTGGGACTGTAGGCATGTACCACAATGCCTGGCTAACTAAAAAAAAATTGTAGAGATGGAGTCTCCCTAGGTTTCCCAGGCTGGTCTCCAACTTCTGGCCTCAAGTGATCCCCCTGCCTCAGCCTCCCAGGCAGCTGGGATTGCAAGCATGGGTCATAGCACATGGCAGAAGTGATTTTTAACTTGAGACCTCAAAGCTGAGTAGAAATTTCCAAGTACCTTCCAAAAATGCCAAGCCTGTGTCAGCCTTCACACAAAGGCTGGCTTTCTAGGTGTGACTTCGCAAGCAGTACTAGCGTATGGTAGAGAAGAGCTGTCCTGTGCATGTGGAACTGATTGGCGATCAAATTCTTCTTTGTAAATACTGCTCACTACTGCTGGGCAGTTGTGAGGAGATAGGAGATAATGCCCATAAAGCACTAGTTGGTCCTCAGATGGTGGGTGAGAAATGTTATCTCATCCTGTTTTACCTGCATTGGCATCAAAAGCCGCTGTGTATCCACTGGAGAGGGGAGGCCTGGAATGTAGCCTTGAGGAATTCCAAGCTCTCTTTAGTCTCTAGCGCATCAGATCATTGTTCATCCTTCAATATAGTAGGGGGACCCATCTCTTAAAGTGGTCAGATTTCACTTACATTTTCTTTTTAGCACATGGTTACTGTGCCCCTGAAAAAACTCATCAGAGTTCTCTATATATGTGTGTGTGTGTGCATACATATTGTATTAGTGCATTCTCATGCTGCTAATAAAGACATACCTGAGACTGGGTAGTTTATGACAAAAATATGACTCTTATACAAATATGGAAAGAACATGCCATCATGAATGGATTAATGCCTTATGAAAGGGTGGGAGAACCAGGTAGGCCTGGTTTCTCTTTTTGCCCTTCCAAAGAGATTTAATTGACTCACAGTTTAGCACAACTGGGGAGACCTCAGAAAACTTAACAATCATGGTGGAAGGGGAAGCAAACACATCCTTCATCACAGGGCAGCAGGAAGGAGAAGTGCAGAGCAAAGGTCGGAAAAGCCCCTTAAAAAGCCATTAGATCTCCTGAGAACTCACTCAGTATTATTTGAACAGCATGAGGGGACTGCCCCCATGATCTAATCACCTCCCACAAGTTTCCTTCCACAACTCGTTGGGATTACAAATCAAGATGAGATTTGGATTGGGGACACAGAGCCAGACCATATCATTCTGTCCCCGGCCCCTCACAAATCTCATCTTTCTCACATTTCAAAACACAATATGCCATCCTAACAGTTCCCCAACATCGTAACTTATTTCAGCATTAACCCAAAAGTGCAAGTCCATGGTCTCATCTGAAACAAGGCAAATCCCTTCCGCCTATGAGCCTGTGAAGTCAAAAGCAAATTAGTTACTTCCTAGATACAATGGGGGTACAGGCATTGGGTAAATACACCCATTTCAGATGGGAGAAATTGGCCAAAACAAAGAGACTACAGGCCACATGCTGTCCAGAATCCAATAAAGCAGCCATTAAACCTTAAAGTTCCAAAATGATCTCCTTGGACTTCATATCTCACATCCAGGTCACACTGCTGCAAGAGGTGGGCTTCCATGGCTTTGGGCAGCTCTGCCTCTGTGGCTTTGCAGGGTACAGCTCCCCTCCCAGCTGCTTTCACAGGCTTGCCTTGACTGGGTGTGGCTTTTCCAGGTGCACAGTACAAGCTGTAAGTGGATCTACAATGCTAGGTTCTCGAGGACAGTAACCCTCTTCTCACAGCTCCACTAGGCAGTGCCCCAGTGGAGACTCTGTGTGTGGGCTCCTACTCCACATTTCCCTTCTGCACTGCCCTAGCAGAGGTTCTCCATGAGGGCTCTGCCCCTGTAGCACACTTCTGCCTGGACATCCAAGTGTTTCCACACATCCTCTGAAATCTAGGTGGAGGTTCCCCAACCTCAGTTCTTGACTTTGGTACACCACAGGCCAAACACCACGTGGAAGCCACCAAGGCTTGGGGCTTACACCCTCTGAATTCATGGCCTGAGCTGTAACTTGGCTCCTTTTAGCAGCTGGAGCTGAAGCATCTGGGACACCGGACACCATGTCACAAGGACACCATGTCACCAAATCTAAAGACATGGTGAATGAAACCATTTTTTCCTCCTAGGCCTCTGGGCCTATGATGAGAGGGGCTGCTGTGAAGGTCTCCGACATGCCCTGGAGACATTTTCCCCACTGTCTTTGTGATTAACATTCAGCTCCTTGGTACTTACGCAAATTTCTGCAGCAGGCTTGAATTTCTCCCTAAGAAATGAGTTTTTATTTTATATCTCATCATTAGGCTGCAGAGTTTCCAAACTTTTATGCCCTGCTTTCTCTTGAACGTTTTGCTGCTTAGAAATTTCTTCTGCCAGATACCCTAAATCATCTCTCTCAAATTCAAATTTCCATAGATCTCGAGGGCAGGGGCAAAATGCTGCCAGTCTCTTTGCTAAAACATAGCAAGAATCACCTTTGTTACAGTTCCCAACAAGTTTCTCCATCTGAGACCTCCATACAGTTCCCAACAAGTTCTCCATCTGAGACCAGGAAGTTCCAAACTTTCCCACAACTTTCTGTCTTCTGAACCGTCCAAATTGTTCCAGCTTCTGCCTGTTACCCAGTTCCAAAGTTGCTTCCACATTTTTGGGTATCTGCAGCATCACCCCACTCCTGGTACCAGTTTACTATACTCCATTCTCCCGCTGCTAATAAAGACATACCGGAGACTGGGTGATTTATAAAGAAAAGAGGTTTAATTAACTCACAGTTCAGAATGGCTGGAGAGGCCTCAGAAAACACTGTGATGGCAGAAGGGGCAGCAGACTCATCGTTCTTCACAGGGCAGCAGGAAGGAGAAGTGCAGAGTGAGGAGGGAAAAAGCCCCTTATAAAACCATCAGATCTTGTGAGAACTCACTCAGTATCATGAGACCAGCATGAGGGGACCGCTTCCATGATCTAATCACCTCCCACAAGATCCCTCCCCTAGTATGTGGGGATTACAATTCATGATGAAATTTGGGTGGGGAAACAGAGCCAGACCATTTCATATATACAGAGTGTGTGTGTGTGTGTGTGTGTGTGTGTGTGTGTGCAGACAGTCCTTGCTTCACAGGGTTCCAATTTCCATGAATTTAGTAACCATGGTTTAGTTATATAATACCAGTACTCCAACAACACAGTTCAAATTTTAGTTACCACATTGTGTTAACTGAGTAATTGCATAACATATACATTTAACTGCCAGATCTTTAGCTCACAAATCATTAGGTAGATAACAGGTACTCATCTCAATCAATGACCAATCATGTCATGTTTTTCAAAGTCTGTCATGATGGGTCACTGCACATCTGCTATTCAGTTCATGCACAGATCACAAAGCATGTACCTTTGTTGCCTTCTTGTCTCTCAGTGATAAACCTATGGGATATTTTACAAAAATTGAAGCTTAAAAGAGGGAATTGGACAACAAAGATGACTGGGCACAGTGGCTCATGCCTGTAATCCTAGCACTCTGGGAGCCTGAGGAGGGTGGATCACTTGAGGTCAGGAGTTTGAGACCAACCTGGCCAACATGGTGAAACACCATCTCCACTAAAAATACAAAAAAAAAAAAATTAGCCGGACATGGTGGCATGTGCCTGTAGTCCCATCTACTTGGGAGGCTGAGGCAGGAGAACTGCTTGAACCCAGGAGGCGGAGGTTGCAGTGAGCTGAGATGGTACCACTGCATTCCAGCCTGGGTGACAGAGCGAGACTCTGTCTCAATCAATCAATCAATCAATAAAATAAAATGCAGCAAAGAAACAAAAAGTGATAAAACTGTAGGTGAAATTAGAATCAAACATATATAGAAGACATAGCTGACTAGGAATGTTGACAGCATAGCCATTCAAAAGACTAGATTCACAGCCAGAGGAACTTAGTGAAGGTGAACAATTTACCAACATAAATGAGAAAACTATTTGTGACAAAAAGGACAAAGATGTCCCAGAGGAAGTGACACTGACAAGAAACTTTACATTAAAAGAATGCTTCAAAATATTTCATAACATTCAGAGCACACAGGACAAAATGTTAGAATCGGATCCAAATTTAGAAAGGAATGTGATGATTCATCAGGACATAGGCAAGATGCTTACCCCATTTCTTGTAAGTTTCATGACGAGAAATTCAAGCTATTCTTGGTTAAGATTTTTATGAAGGGAAAAAATCTCACGCTTAAAATGTCTTCTGGTGTTTTAAATTACACTATGCTGGATAAATATTAGTTATATTAATTTTTTATTTCTCTAACATTTATAACTAACATAAGAGTTTTTAACGCCTCGACAAACAATTTTAAAGGTCAAAGAACAATCATAAATTTTTGCATTTATTATTAACACTGCTTTGCACAGTTCAGCATAAATGGTCATGTTTATGGCTCTGCACCATCTTGCAAGTCAAGGACTGCCTTCGTGTGTGTCTGAATGTGTCTCTGTAAGATTGTGTGTGCATGAATGTGTGTATGTGTGCATGTGTGAATATGTTTGTGTATGTTCTGATCAAGTAATGAAGGATAGAAAGTCCTAGATTAATACTTTTCACTTTGTTTTGATGTGTCAAGTATCATAAGATCATCTGAAATACATATTTACATTAGCTGTTATCTTAGAGCTTCTCTGATTTTCTTACAGTTTTTCTGAGACAGGGTATCGATCTGTTGCCCAGGCGGGAGTGCAGTGGCACTCTCACAGTTGTCTGCAGCCTCAACTTCCCAGGCTCAAGTGATCCTTAGACCTCAGCCTCCCTGATAGCTGGGACTACAGGAGTACACCACCATGCCCAGCTAACTTTTCTATTTTTTTATAGAGATGGGGTTTTGCCATGTTCCTCAGGCTGTTCTTGAACTCCTGGACTCAAAAGATTCACCTGCCATGGCCTCCAAAAGTGCTGGGATTATAGGTGTGAGCCACTGAACCTGGTCTAAGGTAGAATTTCTTGGGTAGGATATTCTCTCTTAACAGTCTTTTTTCACTCATTGCATTATAAACAATTTAAGAAATGGCAGAAATTTCTTGAACATTTTGAAACTGAATTTCAGTTGTTTTCCTGATTTTTTCTAGAAGTGTTTGATAATTCTCTTGAGTTTTTCTTAACGATAATAATCATTCTAATAAACACAATAATAGCAACCAACATTTACTGAACATTTAGTATGTGTCAGCTTCTTTGCAGAACATTTAATATATATTATGAGGAAATGCAATGCTTTTCTTTTACTCAACAATTATAATAACTTAAAATTTGAATACATCCGGAAGGAGAAGTCTTTTACACATCAATTATGGTTGGTGTAACTGACACCTTAAGAGTTTTTCACATCTGAGATAAGGGGCTAACAGTGTGGGGAAGGATCTGTTGCTGATCTCTGCACTTTTGCTCACTGCATGTGACCAAGTGGCTTTAGTGGCCTGAGACTTGCTCTCTAGAGAGAAGCAGTAAGATATGACCACTGAAACCAGCACAAGGATCTAAAATGTGCTTTTACCTTGTATTTGGTAACAATATACTTGGTAACTTGGTGGTATGATACATGGAAAAAGAACCAGTCTAGTAAGTGCCTAGAGATACTGGCAGTGCATGATAATTAAACTCTCCAAATCCTCCCATAGAAAACTCAATGAGCTGTATTTACTTCTTTCTGGCATTATAAAAAATTATGTATCCTTTTATGTGCAGAGACAGTTCCTTAGGGATGAAGAGTTATGCATGCTCATTAACAGAAGAATGTGTACCACAGCAGGTACTGCATGCTAAACCCACGACTTATGACCCTATTGTCCAAATGAGTGGCAAGCATAACTTCTCCATTGTGGTGGTGAATGAGAGGATGAAGAGATAATGATGGTAATGAAAGAGGTTAATTTAAATGTTCTTGATCCATACTTTTGTTGAATATTCAGGTATATTTCAAATTAACCATGCTTCTTAAAAGGTTGGAATCCAAGTGTAGATTTTTTTTGCTTCATTTCCTGTGTTTTGAAATAGAAGATACCATTGGAGTTCTGTGTTAGAATTGTCCAAGCACATTGCCCTGGCTGTGAACCTTGAGTATTGGTTTTAAGTCTGTCAGTCTAAAAAAACTTTAGATTGTTCTCGTTGGGCTTTCTAGACTGACTTTCCCTGACTCTGTGGGCATGTGTATTAGCATAATCTTTGCCTAAAGATTTCTACTTGGTCAACTGTTCCCTATAGTCCTTTTCAGTTTAGAAGAATGCAGTACTGGGACAGATGCGGTGGCTTTGATGTTGGAATCTTCATGATAATTCTTCTTTTCAAAAACTTAGGTCCTTTGTGTCATTTACTATTATGATCAATGTACATATTGTGTGAATACCTAATTCATGAGAATTATCATGAAAATTGGCTCATTGACTATATATACATTAAAAGATCTCAAGTGAACAAAAAGTAATTTGTGAGGAAAGATAATTGAATGAAAGCAACAAATGCTAGGGAATTATGTCATTTGGAAACCTAGTCAGCAAAGAGAAATGGTGAATTATTATACTTTTTGCTAAAAGAAATAAGAAGGATAAAAATTTAGGCTCTCAAATGAAGGAAAATGAATTGAGAGCCTTTATAATACTGTATTGTCTCAGATTGGGTTCCTCAGAAGTAGAACTCCCAGGGGAAACCCTTAAGTGGGCAGGGAAAGCACAGCAGGGAAGGGAGAAAGTGGAGGAAGGGTTTGACTTAGCTTGGACAGAATCTCCCAGAGTGTGACTTCATTCAGTCTAACCCTATAGCACTCTGGAGTATGAATTAGACCTATTTGTGTTGCAGGTTCATGCTCCTTCATCCCATACTCATTGGATGATAGTCTCAGGGTGTGCAAAGGATCATAGGCCCTCAGGCACTTCCCACTTTCTGCCCTTGTCACAAAGTGGCTCCATCAGCCTGAGAGTTGTCCTCCAAAGAGCTACAGGAATTGGGGGTGGGGGACTGAAAGCACCAGACCACAAAATCGGGGTGGGGTGCATGCAAAAGTGGCAAGAAGGAATGGGAAGGAGATTCAACATTGTCTGCTATACAGATGATCCTAAGTTAACTTCAGAATCGTTTCCAAAAGAAATTCTCCCAAATAATAGTGATGGTTATCTGTATTTGTACAGGCCACACAAGCTTCTCACATTTATTATCCCATTTAATCTTTGCCTTAACACAGCGAGGTAGAACACTCAAATCTTGCAAATCAGGCAGCTACTGTTCAGAGAAGCTAGGTAACTTGCTTAAAGATGCAGCGCCAAAAAATGGAAGGGCAAAGCCACAGCCAGCAACCCTGACTTCAATCTAGTGCCCGTTCCAATAGGAGGTTGCTTTTATTATGTACTTTTTTAACCTGGTTAGTTTCCCTGTGAGATTCAAACTACTTTTTGTAACTGGGTTCATTACTGGGCCATTAGTCAATGCATATTTTCTAAGCTGATTTCTATTAAATTGAATTTAAAAGGCAGACTTTCTTATCCCCCAACGTACATCATCAGTCTCTGCAATTTCTCAGATACTTGTAGATTTATGGGGCTAGCCTATGGGCCATTTTAAGTCACTTCTGAAACAACTTTGTTAATAAAAAGAAGAAAACGTTTGGGAATAAAAGAAACAATTGAGGGCATTTTTTTTTAAAGATCAGAGGGGTAGAAGAAGGTTTCTTATCCTACATGTTTGTTCCATAAAAGGGATCTATATTTCTTTAGTTTCATCTCAAGAAGACAACACCTTAATTAAACTCCAGTGGGCCAGTTTAATTAAAAAATGTCAGTCAGATCCTCACAGGAGAACAAGATATCCATGAAACAGACGGTCTGCTTCCTTTGTGATTACTCAGAAATCTCTGGCCCTGCAGCCACACGACAGCGGATTGTTGTGGTGAGCAGAGCTTGTGCATATCCACTGAGAAGGGTGGGCTTTTGGTGGACCAATGAGTGAGGTCAGGGCATGATGAAGGAGAAGAGATACTAGGCAGCTGATCAGAATCTAGATTATCAACAGTCAGAGATGCTTTTCTCTATCACTGTGTGTTACTAATGGATTCATAGTCATATTTTCTGTTTTCATCACCAAAAGATATCTAAGAAGTGTGTCAGTCTTCCCTCCCTGCTCCTCCTCCTAACCTACCTTCCTCTCCCACTCTCTGCATTCCCTTCTGTGATCTGACAGGCCCAAGCCTTGCAGTTATGTGTGTATATGAGAGCCTTTTAGTAGCTACTTCAGCCTGAATCCAGCTCCCACTGTCAGCAAGGAAGCCACCTTCTGAAACCCTAGGGCAAGAGTCAGGGAGAAGGATTTAAGAATCACAATGTATTGAGGGCTTAGAGTAGTCATTCCTGCTTCTAGGTGTTTTAAATGCATGATTTCACATAATGCTGACTTTAACATTACCTAACTTGACACAGGGGGAAAGTGGAGAGAGACGTTCAGTGATTCTCCAAAAGTATAAAGCAAGTGTAGAAGTGGACAGGGTGTGACACCTTTCTTTCTCACAATAAGGGTCATGGCTGATACTTTGATAACAAAACACAGCTTAACAAGAGAAAAGCATAGCATCTTTATTTAAATAATCAACATTTTATGTGACTTGGGAGCCTTCACAATGAAGACCCAAAGACTCAGAGAACACTGCCTATTTTTATGTGTAGGTTTGGTGAAAAATGGACAGCTATGTAGAAATGTGATTGGACCAAAGGGGGTGATCTAATGGTTACGGATTGATGGGGAAACCCAACAAGGCCTCCCATCTGTTCAGATTCTTCTTGGCTTCTCTGTTGTAGTATTTCTTCTCACTGGAATGGGCAGGAAACCTCTGGAATGAGGGTCTTATGACGTACTATCGGACAAGGTTAGGTCAGAGAATTTCTTTACAGCCAGCTGACAGACAGAAAGACAGGGGAAGGTTAGAGTAATATTTCTAGGTTTTATGTCTGTCTTTGGGGAAAAGGGGAACTGCCTTGGGGAAGAGGAATTCTGTTTATTCTGACTCACCTTAAGAGAGAGCCAGGGAAGAGAAACAGGAGGGCAGGAGGGCAG
Organism: Homo sapiens; assembly: GCF_000001405.40. Taxonomy (NCBI): domain Eukaryota; kingdom Metazoa; phylum Chordata; class Mammalia; order Primates; family Hominidae; genus Homo; species Homo sapiens. The sequence goes on along the minus strand of NC_000008.11, from coordinate 64,724,773 downwards.
AGAGATCTTCGTTCTGAGGCTGCTTCTGAGCCCTACATCTTTTAGTTCAAAGTACTCAGCACACCAAAGCATCATACTTTGGAGTATCATTTTCAGAGCCCCAATACAAGCAAATGAAGAAACTAGGAATTAACCTGCAAAGCTGCCTGTTAACCTGAAAAGCTTCCAGCCAGACTTGCTTCTCAGACATCTCTTCTTTATTTGTGAAAATGACTTTATTGTTTTAATCTGATTATTTAACTATTACAGGCTCATTGTAAAAATCAGATATATCAGAATAATATGCTGTTGTCATTGAGGACTTTTGGAAAAAAAATTCATTCTTTTGGCTGGGCGCGGTGGCTCACACCTGTAATCCCAGCACTTTGGGAGGCTGAGGCGGGTGGATCACGCGAGGCCAGGAGTTAGAGACAAGCCTGGCCAACATGGTGAAACCCCGTCTGTACTAAAAATACAAAAATTAGCTGGGCGTGGTGGCACATGCCTGTAGTCCCAGCTACTTCGGAGGCTAAGGCAGAAGTTAGGAGAATCTCTTGAACCCAGGAGGCAGAGGTTGCAGTGTATCGAGATTGCGCCACTGCACTCCATCTAGCCTGGGTGACAGATCGAGACTCCATCTCAAAAAAAAAAAAATTATTCTTTTGGTTACTAGCCAACCCTCCACCCCTACCTCCCCCAACCCCGTTCCTTTCTATGCTTATATCAACAACCTGTACATAGCCTTTCAGACCGTTCTCTGTGGGCATATGATCTGTTCAGAACTTTGTTTATACACCCATGTATGTGGAGGGATTTTGCCAGTTAGTTTTTTAAAGATGTGTTCTCTGCATCTTATTTTTTATTTAAGAGTATATCATGAAAAATTGTCCTGGTCAACTGGTGTAGCTTTAACAGACTCTTTTAACGTTCTATAATATTCCATACTATGAATGGCCGACAGTTTTTCTACTTTGTTTTTGTTTTTTTTTCTTTTTTAGCTCCAAGAAACAATTCTACAGCAAATATCTTTGATTATATATGATTTTACACTGGTGCTTTTATTTCTTTGAGATTGGTTTCTTAAAGGTGAGGTTTTAGGGTTGAAAAATGTTTGCATGTCTTATTTTAACAGATATCTTTAGATTGCCTAAGCAGTTTCTAGAACATGATTATACTTTATAACAAAAATCCATCAGACATAACTATGGACATGTGTTCCCAACTAAAATCCGACTTTTACAAATCTTGACTGTCTTAGTCAAATGTGTTAATAAAGATTTCAACCCTGGATTAGGTACAGACTGGAATGGTAGTATGCTTACTTGTGAATTTCCCTGCTGAACTTCTGGGTTACTTAAAATTCACAAAAGTTCTAAAAATTTTACTTATTGGGCATTTGGATAAAAAATTGTGGCATAGCACATCTATTTTGGCATTTATTGATAGAAACTTGATGTTGTGTCATTATAGAATGATAGGAGTTTGGAGGGGGAAGTGTTACATTGACTGCTACTGATTTTATCTTGTGTATGGTTCCTCCATATACTGTAGAAAGCACCATAAACTGTAGAATTACTGTGAATCATGTCTTGATGGAATGTGTCACTGGAGCATGCTGCAGAGTTATCTCATGTAGTGCTTTGTTGAAAGCCTATTTCCAAAACGGTTTTCAAAATGTTCAAGTTTTTAGAAAGAAGTAGACATTTATTTAAATTTACTTTAAAGACTACTGATTCAGGGCTAATGATTGTATAGTTTATTAATCAAATGTATTTAGCAGAAAAAAAAGCCAGCTACGATTCACTTACAATTGAGATTTTACTCTATTTTAACGTTATTTTAATGAGCTACAGATTTGAATGTGGGCTTTGTTCATCTGTTGCTTCCGCTCAATTGCAGTTTCACCCTAAGAAGACACAAGACAGATTGATCAGGCTTCCAGTCATTGTGAGGCTTAAATGAAGTGAACAGGGCCTTATGTTTCTAAACCAAATGAGAGGATTAAGGCAAAATAATAATAATAAAAAAAAACCTCCCGCCCCCCCCCCCCCGCCGCAAAAAATCATTCTACTCCCTTTAAGTCATTTGTTTGATTTTCTTAAATTTTATACTACGAGATCCCAGTTTTCCTAGGTAAGCATCAGGAGTTGAAACCATAAAAGTGAAAATTGCAAATATCCCACAGAACTATTAACATGTGTCCATGTAAGCAAAAAACTACTGTGTTATCTCATTTTTTGACACACACTAATTTCAATGCAAAAGTAAAAGCATTAAAATTATGTTAGATTTTTTCTAGTAGCTAATGTCCTTATGTCTAAAGTTAGAAAGGTATTTATCATCTAATGCTTTGTTGAAATTATTTCATGTTTATTTGATTTCTTTACATTAAAATGAATTTGTTTGAATTAAAACATGATTTTTATGGCTAATATTCATAGCCATATTTTCAACACTGAGTTTGTCTTGGGGAACTTCTCTGATGGGCCACATAAGGTCTGGGAAGCACATACTGGACAGCTTAGGCTGCTCTGTTTTCCATTTGCAAGTACAGTCTAGAGAGGCCAGGGCCTTCCAACATAGAGTTTTCCATTGTAATTATAAACTAGTTTTGCTGCGTAAGATGCAAAAGGAACTTCACTTTCAGGAAGCAACTTACAGCATGATGTATGGCAGCTTTGGCCAATTTCATTAAACAAGAAATTAATTATAGTTTCTGAACTTCCATGGCTCAACCTCCTGATAACAAGAAAAGCATTGTGTGCTCCTGTTATGCTAATTTTTAAAATTATAAATTGTTTATAGTTAATTCGAGGTTTATAAGTTAAATTTTTAAGCAAGAACAGGCCCTGATTAACAATAATCAAATTTCTATAAACTGACATTCTTGGTGGAATAATACAGATTCTTTTGACTTATTTGAATAATTCAATAAATGAAACATTTACAGTAGATAATGTTATCTATATCATATGTGTCATAATTATATAGGCTGTGTATCTTGCTATCTATCATAAAGATATAGTGTTATTTACTGCAAATGTTTTCATAGATATGAAATATATATCTGTAAATATTTTCATCTATACAAAGTATTATTTTGTATATATTAGATAGAATCCAGGATGGCTGTAAGTCATACACATTTTTAAGACGGTAAATTTCAAGAGGAGAGCTTGCTGTTGCGAAAAAGTCCTATCGCTAATACTGTGCATCACAAATATTAATCTTTTAATCATCCTTCACCTACATTTATACATTGGTTTTGCTTAAAGTGCGACAGACCTATTTTAGTTTTCCCTGAGAGATTGTTGGTTATTTTAATTTGGCTTTTTACAGATTGATATATTTAGACCCCTAAATGATGAATAGATGTGGTAAGACCAAAATAATACCAAATAAAATACAGAAGCTATGATTTTTTTAAATTAGTGGGAAAAAATGATATCTATATGATCCTGTTTGAGCAAAGCCAGGAATTCACTTAACGCTTTCTAGCAGTCAGGGCAGATGTTTATTTTGTACTGGAGCTAGTATAAGTTGGTGAATGACAGAATTGTTTGTAATTTCGACAAAGATAGGTGTTGTTTTTCTGTTTACTTTTTGATTAATTTCAAATATTGAATACATTCACCTTTAAAGCAAAAACAAAGCAAAAAATAGCAAGAAAGTTTAGATTGACTTTATAGGTAAAAAAAAAAACCAGGTAAGAATCAGTTTTCTATACTTTGTCATTTGTGATGATGTTTGATTTTGTAACATTTTTTATTTTGATCTTTTGTTTTGGTTTTAAATAATAGATTTTTGTTTAAAAATATCTTATTTATATATTCAATTTCTGATAGGTTTTTGCATAAAGAAAAAAAGCCTTTGTTAGTAATTTACAAATAGATTAAATCAAAAAGATAATTGAGAAGCTTTTGGCAACCCCTGCTGAGAAAGTATATAGCACTTTCATTACCCAGAGACCATTATGCTAGTTATTAATTTTGATAAAATTTAAAATGCATCTACATATAGTTTCACAATTACATAATTTAAGGGAACATTTTTGACACAAGAAATTTATATTTCTTGAACTAATGTGTCTTTTAAAGTATGCACATGGTATATACATTTAGGTCTCAAACAAAGATGTATGAATTAAAGTTATATAATAACATATAGCCAACCTTAAAGAGCTTAATTTCCTCTTAATGGCATGCATATACAGCCATTAGTGGATGTTTTTGCATTGCTTTGAGTATTAACAATATCTCTGAATAGTCTGTGTATCTAAGTAACCATGATTGTGGTTCATTTCACTTAATGGTCATTCATATAAAATTAAAGCTCAGAGTATTATTATTTGCTTCAGCTAATACCAGTTATATTACTCTTTTATAGGTCAGCTGATATTTTCACATAACAGATTTTCCCAGTCTCTTGACTTTTTCATTTTATTGTGTTGTTTCTTTCATTGATATTGCCCTCATAAGTTCAAGGTGAAGTTTTCAACTTCAAAGTTATAAGTCAGTTTTCATGTAAACAATTGGCAACAACCATCTTCGACATCGTCTTTTTTTAATTCAGCTTTGCATTCTGTTATGTAAATGACCATACCTGTGTGTCTCTAAAAAATCTCTATTTATAATGGGCACATTAAAAAATCCTTAGCTATTCAGTGTTTTTCTACAAATAAATGTAAAGTGGGTTCATTGTGCCTTAGATTAAAGGCTAGTAAGGCAGACAAAAGGGACACCATTGCGAATTAAACCATAAAGGTCTGAAGTATTATTAAGAGGTTCACAGATACTATGTTCCAATCAGGCTCAATAAGGGTTGAATTCCTATTCTGTTTCTAAAGCCTCCAAAAAGACATGGGAAGGGACCCAGAGTTAAAGTCGTCAAATAGAAAGCACTTAGGCCAAGAGCACATGAATGTATGGCTGGGTAATGTGCCTTTCATCTTTGAAATAAAAACAGTTCAGTTCAATTGGAAGTGAAGTTTCTACCCTTTGAGAAAGTTTATTTTAATGAGTTTTCATTTTATGCGTGGGCTGTTCTTTAATCGAGGCTGTCCCATTGAAGTCTTACCCAATGAAGACGCAAGACAGATTGTCCAAGCTTGCGGCTATTGTTAGAGGTTGATGAAGTGTATGGGCCCTTATGGTTGATAACAGAAGTAAATGGTCAAAGCCAATAAATAAAACCTTAACTCTGATTGTTGGATGCTTTATGCTGAAAAGGTTTCCATTAGCATGGATTTTTGGTTTTGAAGGACTTGTGAACCCAAAGGCAGCGTGTAGCTCTGTCACACAAACTAAGTCACTTTGACAAGCAGCAATCTGTCCTAGCTGATAAACTCAGTTTCGCTTTTAAAATTTTAGACTTCTTTTCAGAAGTCAACATTGTTAATATCTTGACAGACAATTAACTTAATAATACATGAATCGCTGCACTCACTACTGATTTATCATGAAAGTGTAGTTTAAGGAGGTCATGTATGTTTTGCTTTGTGGGGATCTTAATGATGTAAATTTTAGAAATATAAATTTAATATATTTTAAGTGGTTGATATCTGAGTGTGCGGAGGGGAGAAAGAGACCTTATGGTTTTAGTCATGGAATGAACTCAATTGTCATAAATGTAGGTTGGTCATTGAAATGACCTTTATATGCTCTCTTCAAATTTTTATTATTCTAAATGCCATTTAATCTAATTTCTTGGCAATGGATATGGTCAGTTGTGTATCCACTGTTGTCTTAAAATTTACCAAAACTGTGTGTTATGAGCTGAAATTCCTTAAAAATCTGTTCCAGTGACCTCACAACTATATATGTTAGAAGCCACTACATCCCATGATTTCAGTCGTGATTGTTGTAGTAGAACAGATGGAGCCTTGATGACTTTGAGGGGGTAACCCTGCCCATAATTGCCTTGCCACTGGAATGCTGGGACTTCCGGGAATCTACTTTATATTTACCTTCCAGTTACCCTAAGGAAAATCCACCTCTGACAATTGTGGGACACAGATGCAAATGTGACCCTTAGCCCATATCTTGCACCTGCCATTCTACGGGGACCTAGTCTGCCTGGAATGGACCACTCTGCCCACAGGAAGCTCCATCAAACTTTCACCCCAAACAACAGCCATCGGCTAACCTCAGACCTGGAGGTGAACATAATGGCTGCATGTTTGGCTTTTGGGGGATAGACCCAAGAAGGAAGCCCATGTATGCCCCAGAAGGGGACTTCTTACTGTTGAACAGGGAATCCCAATTTCTGAGCAGCTGGACCATGAGCACAAAGATGGAGGGGCTAGGGCAGCATGTCCCCTTGGGTGCTGGATTCCTTGCCTTTGGAGAGAGGTGTAAGCCTAGGAAGATTCAGGGCAGAAACCCTGGTGCTTAGTCCTGACGAGCAGTACTGGGATTACAGGTGTGAGCCACCACACTTGGCCAAAAAGCCAACTCTTACAGATGTGCATCAGAATGGACATGGTGGCTTGTTATGGCTCCAAATATGTTATTTTATACTACTGAGTGACCCTGGAATGTGTTGTTAATACCATTGACTCTTGGGCTAATGATGAACGAAGAGGTAGTTAATAACTCTCACTTTGAATATTCAATAGGGATGCAACTACCTGAAGTCAGTGATTTATACTTTATTTAGACCTTTGAAATGCCATATACTAGATATACCAACATATATTACATAAATAGCTTGAGTTGTTCCTTTAATGCTCTTATACAACCATGATCATTAAGGGTGGAATATATGAACTCGTGACTGTATAGCAATTTGCAGTAATAAATATAGTAATTTATTTTTAATTGTTTCATGTCTATATTATAATTATAATGATTTGCTAGATATAATAGTCTTATATTACAATATTACAATGATTTGCTAGAAAAATGTTATTTACATTTTTTTTCCAAAAAAAAAAAAACTTATTTTTTGGAGGCAGGGTCTGGTTCTGTTGCCCAGGCTGGAGTGCAGTGGTGCAATCTCACCTTATCGTACCCTCCACTTTCTGGGCTCAAGTGATCTTCCCACCTCAGGCTCCTGAGTAGCTAGAGGCATGCACTACCACGCCCTGCTAATTTTTGTATTTTTTGTAGAGACAGAGTTACGCCATGTTGCTGAGGTTGATCTCAAACTCCTGGGCTCAAGCAATCCTCCTGCGCTGGCCTCCCAAAGTGCTGGGATTACAGGTGTGAGCCACCACACTAGGCCAAAAAAATAACTCTTAGAGATGTGCATCCGAATGGACATGGTGGGCTGTTATGGCTCCAAATGTGTTATTTTATACTTTCAGACTACCTAAAGGTAGAATAGATACATGATTTAGGGGAATTATACTATTTTGTTTCATTAAACAATTACATCTGAATGGCACTCATGAATGGTAAAGAGCTAGCAAGTCAATAAACAGTCGTACAATTTTCACAACATTCTGAAATGTTCAACCAAAATGATTGGAAAATTAGCAGTGACAACATGGAATCTCTTTGATACTGTTTTATCTCCCTTCCCTCTGCAGTTAAAAAATAGAATGTAACTAACCTGCACGTTGTGCACATGTACCCTAGAACTTAAAAGTATAAAAAAAAGAGTAAAAGAATGGAAAAAAAAGATGTACCATGTAAACATTAATCATAAAAAGCTGGAAAAGGCTATATTAATATCAGACATAGTATCCCACTTCAGAACAAGGCATATTACCAGCACTAAAGAGACATTTTATTTTGATGAAACAGTTAATACATTAAGAAGCTATAACCATGCTGAAAGTGTACACACTTTATGATAGAACTTTAAAATAAATGAAGCAACAACTGGCAAAAGTCATAGAAAAATAGACAAACCTATAATTGTGGTTGGATAGTGTAGCACTCCTCCCTCAGTAATTGTTTGAAGTATAAAAGACAAACAATAGTAAGCATGTTGATTTGGACCATACTATCAACCACCTTAGTCTAACTGACATTAAGAGAACACTGCAACCAACACCTGAGCCATACACTGGTTCATAAAACAAAGTTTAATAAATTTTAAAGAATTGGAGTATTACAGAGTATTTTATTTTATTTTATTTTTGAAATGGAGTCTCTCTCTGTTGCCCGAGCTGGAGTGCAGTGGCGTGATCTTGGCTCACTGCAACCTCCACCTCCCGGGTTCAAGCGAGTCTCAGGCCCCAGGCTCCTGAGTAGCTGTGATTACAGGTGCCTACCACCACGCCTGGCTAATTTTTGTATTTTTAGTAGAGATGGGGTTTCACCATGTTGGCCAGGCTGGTCTCGACCTCTTGACCTCAGGTGATCTGCCCGCCTCGGCCTCCCAAAGTGCTGAGATTACAGGTGTGAGCCACCGTGCCCGGCTCTGAAGTGGGATACTATGTCTGATATAGTATTTTCCATAAATGTTTAGGGATAAATTTAACAAAAGATATGATAACTTCTTGGATAAAAACTATGAAACATTGCTGAGAGAAGTGAAAGATCTTTTAAAACAGAGATATTAAAAAGCATGCTATCTGACTAACATGGAATTAAATTAAAAGTAAATGAAAAATATATCACAAAGAAGTTCTTACATGTTTAGGACTTAAGCAACCACTTCTAAATACTATAATTTTAAGTAAGAGAATTCAGAAAAGAAGATTAGAAAATAATTTGAGAGACAGCTAAAAACAGTGCTTAACGCAAAACATAAGCTTTAAATGCTTATGTTAGAACATAAGAAAAGATTTAAAATGCATGTTTTATGTTTTCACTTAGAGAAGATAAAAAACAGGCATAAACTAAACTGAAATTAAGTTGAAAGAATAAAATATTTGTTAATTTAAAAAAATAGAAATAATGGAATAGGTATCAATTGTTGAATATTACCAGTAGCCTGAACTCACAGAGTGTTTCTCCCTTTTCTTCATTTGGGGAACAAATCATAGGGAACTTAGTGGTTTCCCCTGCAACTGTAATTACAGGCTGTGTCCGTGTTAAGAACTAAAAGATTCAGATGCTTAAATTTATGTTCATGTTACTATGCTGTAGAGGTCTTTCTCCTTTCTCTACGTTTCCCTCTTTTGGGTGTAGAAAGAAGCAGTGGGAGTTAGGCAGTGAGTTCTCTCACATTTTCCCATTTTCCCTCTGTTGCCAGTGATTTTGCTAAAATCAAAGTGATATTATGAGGATTTTTGTAGGGGTGTGAGGAACGGAAAAAAAATAGAGGTAAGATCTTGGAAGTGTAGCAAAATGGGATGTTCTTTCCTCTTCTCTATATTTTGTAGTAAAATCTATAAGGAGGAATAAAGTGACTAGCAAGGATAACAATGAGAGAAGTCAGGACAGTGAGGAAATGAGGAGCCAAGTGAACAGAAGCCCAAAAGTGTTGTGTGCTAATTTATATAAACTGTTCAGTGGAGGCCCTTTTATGTCCCTTTCCCTTCTAAGCAATACTATGCATACTTTAGACCCCTGTTCACAGTGATTTTCCACCTCTTCGCCCAAAAGATTAGTTATTCTTTTTACAGTCTCATAATATATTTCAGTGGTGTCAGATATTTTAAAAGATTATAAAAAATTTCTAGCATTTTTCTTTTCTAGAAGGGGCAATTTACGTAGTAAGATGCCCACTTTAACAAACATCTTAACAAACAAATTGAAGTGTAACACAAATCTTAATTTCTATCAAATTTCAAAGTAGACACCTTGGAAAGCAACAAAGATACTTCCAAATTTCTGGCCTGTAATTCATGGGTTGGGTGCCTTGGGAGCCATCAGGGTCTCAGGCCATTTACAGAAGTGCCCTGCCCTGTTTCCTTATTCCTAGATTTGGTTGGTTTGGTTGTTGGATGGTTTAAATTCCCAAATAAGGAACACGGTCAGTTTTATTCATACATTGGGAGAAAGGAGTATACATCTTTTTATAAGACATCCTGTCTCTCTGCAACATTAGATTAAATATTTGCTTAAAAAAATAAATGTTGAGTTTATCCTGTTGATTTTCTTTACCTTTAAAAAAAAATCTCACCATCATTGTGTGCAGTCATTTATCCTGAGAGTAGATGATGGGGACATCAGTTTTCATACGTTACATGACACAGAACCAGAAATGGGATGTTGTCGTGTCCAGACCTGTCCATCACTGAGGATTGACCTTAGACTTCCTGATCAATTCTGACAAGTCACTGACAGTTTGCAGGGGAAGCACATATGTGACAAAGGACAAGCAGGGCTACATGTGTCAGCAAGAACCCTCTGATTGCAACTAGAAGGAGTCAAGTTGCTGACAACTGTAGTGTCTGGATGTTCTTAGTTTTCTTTTAAAATATGGCTTCAGAAAATCACAAGTACCCATTCCTCCAGATACACAGTTTTCCTGCTGATTTAGTCCATGGTTAAATGGCGGGTCACAATGGTTTGAATGCTAACATGTTCTTCATCTTTTTGCCAGTTTGTTCATGCATTTGCACACATTTATTGATATTATTCTGGATCCTGGAAGATAAAGTGTAAATTCATATTCTTTATAAAAACCACACTGAATTGTTTTAAGATTTAGAAGTGTTTAGCATAAAAATGGACACATCTGGCTCAAGTTTGAGTCTTAAAGTGTTAATGTTTGTCCATTGCACAGAAGGTACAGAGGCCATATAGCATGGTTAAGAGCATGAATGCTGAAGCCAGAAACACAGGTTTGAGTCTTTGCTCCACTCAGAAAAGCTGGGCGACATTGAGCATGCCAACACCTAATCTTTCTGGGAGTCAGTGCCCTGATCTATAAAACAGAGATACAAGAGATCTTATCACCTTGTGTTTTGGGATTATATGAGTTACTACCTGCAAAGCATTTAAAGCAGCACTTGACATAAGATAGATGTTTACAATTATTAAATTCTGTCACTGATTCTTAATATATTTAAAATGCAGTCACTATGAGATAGCATAATGTAAAAAGAGAAGACCCATGAGTGTATAATTTTGATCAAATTTGGGAAAATTTGGGCTCTTATCTCTTGAAGATTTTTTTTTGACTCCCTGTCTCTTCCCTTCTGGGATTCCAATTACTTGCATTGCTTTATATTACCCTACTGGTCATTACTACTTTTTAATTTCTTTAGAGTTTTATCTTTTTTTCTTTCAGATAGTTTCTGTTGCTATTTCTTCAAGTTGACTGATCTCTTCTTCTACAGTATCTAATCTAATCTGCTGTCAATTTTACATAATTTTTTGTTACAGACATTTCATTTTTCATCTCTTAATATTTTCATTTTTTGTATCTTCCATTTCTTTCTTTTCAAGTTCATGTTTTTTTCTCTATTCTTGAACAAATGGAGAACATTTAATCACATGATATTTTAACTTCCCTGTCTGCAAATTCCATTCTCTCTCATTTTGGGAGCCTGCTTTTATTGATAGATTGATTTTTTTTTTCCTCTATGTTTTCCTGCTTCTTTGCTTGCCTGATAACTTTTTATTGCATCCTGGACATTGAGAATTTTATGGTTTGGGATGATGGATTTTGTCATATTCTTTTTGTTGTGCTTTGTTCTAGCATGCAGTTAAGCTTTTTGATATCAGGTTGATTTATTGGAAATTTGCATTTAAGGGTGGGTCTGGAAACAGATCATTTGACAAGTCTCATATACTACACATATACCAACAATTTTTGTTTGATGATGCTACTTATTAACTTTTCAATCAGCTCTCTATCCATTCATCCAAATAATGTTTTATTCAATTTCTCTTATATAATAGAATAAAGATAAATAAGAATCCTCAAGGAGCTTACAGTTCAAGAGAGAAGATCATTTAGGTGTAAAGCATTATCAGGCAGTAATTATGCACTAATAGGATTATATGCAAAGTGCTGTAGCATCTGTCGACATCTTACTTTTACCATGTGTATATATGGATATTCAACCAAAGTATAATCATACAACATTTTCTTCTCTCTTTCGGCCTCACAGTGTTTTAAGAAAATTAATTATACAAATTTCTGCACTGTAAGACTATATATATATAATATATAAAATATACATACACATAACACACACATATATAATGAGACATATACATATAAAATGAGAAAATGTATATATGTATACATATAAAATGAGGAGAAAATATATAAGTATGCATATATACATATATATAATGATATATATAAATGAGGAGAAAAATATATCCACATTTATAAAAATTCAAGAGTGTATTTAACAAATATATGTTGGTTGACTATAATGTGCCAGTTTCACAACTGGAGCTACAACCATGAAAAAAAAAATCCTTTCCACATGCAAATTTAAAATGCAAGATCAAGTGGTGATGATATATGATGTCTTATAAAATGATGACTCTGTGTTTATCTTCCCACTCTCAAGTGACATGATGGTTCTAGCATTGAGTTAATGGTAGAAAGTTGTCCCTAGGCAGGGCAGCCTGTTTTCTGTTCTGAGATCCAGAATGCAAGTGCTGCTGCTGCTGATGGCCAGTTCCAGTAAAGTGTTTTGTTTTAAAAAAAAAAAAAAGGATTGCTGATGGATCTATAATTTTGTCTGTGAAGGTGCTATTTTTGTAGCTACAAATTGACTTCCTTTTTTAGGATTTTAGAGTATGATTTTCAAGAAGATTCTTAATTGCAAAAGAAAAGTCAGGCTATGAGCTACAACTACAAATGTTACTACTATTGTTGTTCCTGCCTCTGCTACTGTAGCTCTGATTTTCTTAATTGTCAACATGTGCCAGTGCTGTGTTAGGCACTCTGTTCTTTGCTGACTTTATCTCTTTTAATCCTTGAAAGAACTGTGTGAGGTGAAGGATAATAATAGTGCAGAAGAGAAAGGATTGGCCATAAAATCATTTTTAAAGTATTTATGAAAAATGAGACATAGTCACCAAGACAGAAATAATTTTTGATTTGCTATATTGAAAGTGCTATAATAAGACTATTAACACATGCTACACTGCACATTGTAAATTGCAATTAGCATTGTTGATTTGATGACTGAGTAGATATCTTTCTGAGCAAGACTTATTTGGAAAATTCATTTCAATTTCTATATTGTTTTATAGAAGGAAGGCGTATTATAAGAATATTCAGAATTTAAAATAACCCCCACAAGGGTGCCTCCTTAGTATTATGGCTTGCTGAAGGGTAAATTCCCCACTTAACTAGCTTTCTGAAGAACTACCTGAAAGTTGAGTCAGACACAGATCAGAAGGGTCAATGTAGATGCACATAGGGAATTCTTTTCTGTAAACCTTGACTTCCCTCTTTAAGGCAGGGACTCATTTCAGAGAGTGACAGATGACAAAACCAACACTGGGCAGATGGCCTTCCCTTGGCACCTCACCCTCTTTGTAGCGCCACCATTTGTCCCTTCCCAGGAAGCAGCGGTGGTGGGCTTCTCTGCAGTGACTGGTCCCAGGCAGTGAGGCCACCAAGCAGGAGAGACGCCAGGAGGTTTACCATGCAGCTGTGAAATCATTTCCACTCAGCTGTGAGTTGTATACAAATAGAGAACTGGTTTGCTGTGATTCTGCTAGTCTAGAAGTTGTAGCAACAGATCTCTCTGTGCTGAGCTGACAGCAGATATGACCACTATCATTAGAGTTAAGGGCTCCTAGTGCCTCTACTCTTGTCTTCTTCTGGTGTATTAAACTTTGAGAGATTTGAAAACCTTTTACTCCCTCCCTCCCTCTCATGCCCACATCTCTCTTCCCCCTTCTAAAAATATAGAACAGAAATGGGCAAACTGCAATGTGCTTGTTTCTATAAATGCAGTTTGTTATAATGGTAGATAAAGTATTCTTAAGGTGAGAAGTATGTGTGGTTTTATTCTTTAAGATCTTGCAGGAGTTTTCCTATTTTAAACTACTACAAAGTAGGTATCTCCTTTTAAAATTGGGCTGCTTGAATATTTTATGTATTTTCAAATATGAAGCTTAGTTTGAAAGGTATTTATTTTTATAAGGTGCTTTATGTTTATATATTATATATAAGAATATAAATAAAATATATTTATATGTACTTTTTATACAATTTATATTTTACAAGGTGTTTTGTATTCATCTGTTGCTCAACCATGGATTTATCCATTCATGAAATTTATTGATGTACTACCATGTTCTGGGTACTGTTGGCCTACAGTGATATACAAAGGAGGTTTCTGAATCTAAAAATGGCAAGTATCCTAACTGAGATGTTAGCAGAATTCAGAGAAAAGAAAGATTATTTCCAAGGTTGGAGGAATTGGGGATGTAAGAAAAGTCTAAGAGAGAAGGTGTCAAATATGGTACCTGGTATATATAGGAGCTACTTAAACAGTATTTACTCCATGAATGAATGATGAAGGAACAAATGAAAGAGAAGTATCCTTTGGCCTTGCAAAGTGAGTAGGTTGGCAATGCCAGACCAAAGGCAACCATGTGAACAAAGGAAGACAGAAAATTCAAGGCAAAGTTAGGGAATGGAGAGCAACTCAGTCTAACTGGATCAGGGATGGGTGTTTTAAAAATAGAGGGCATCAAACTCTAAAGAATTTGAATCTTATTTGTGTCATAGGAAGCCATTGAGAGTTTCAGAGAGGATGGGGTGACCTGGTCAGATCTGTGCTTTACGAAGACTTGGCTGGCAACAACTGGTAGGCTAGGAGGGATGGATAGATTCCAGAATCACAGGGGCTGGTACTGAGACTAATGGAATCAGCGAGCCTGAATCTGCTGTGACTCTCTACTGCTTGAACAATATCCTCAGAAAAATGAGCCGAGTGCCATTGTTTTTATCTGATAGAACTGTTCTCGATATGGCCTGTAGAAAATGTCAACCAAATACTGTGGCAGGACAAAATCAGTCATGAAATCAGACTACAAAAAATTGCTCTCAAACAGTAAAGTTTGAGGTGAAGTAGCTCATGAGGAAAAAAAATCAATGTAGTAAAAATTAACACAGAAATCAAATCCTCTGCAATCTATTGTGCTTAATTTTCAACAATCTTAAGTGTTTCTGGGAGAGTACTTTGTAAGTTGATGTTTTCTTTTTCTTTTTCCTCCTTTGAAAAGCTATACACTGTGTATGCCGTTTATCCTTTTTCTGGCGCTTGTAACACAAATTATGATTCCATCCAGATTAGCCCTAAGGTATTTCACTTTCACTTCCTTTGAGAACTATTTCTTTCTTTGTAAAATATACAATTAAAATAATGATAATAGAAAACAGTCCAGATTTTTATGAACAGTCTTATAAATCCCAGGATTCTGACTTTTTAATAATTTTCACCATTGACTAATACATTTACATATGTTCTTAGTAATGAAAGCACTACTTGAATGACTATATATACATACATATTTAATTCTTCTTAACACACAAATACACAAATATCCATATCATTAAAGTTTTTATGCAGTGGGGAGAATTAAATGCATAACACTCTTTTCTTCTCCCTCTACACTTTATATTCAGAAATAGCTCATAAATAAGATACAAGAAAGAAAGATAGAAATCAAAAGATCAAATTTATTGTTGATCAAGCTTTTTGGAAAATGAAGCTTGGCATTTGCAGCTAAACAGGCTTGATTATATTTTGGTTCTTCCTCACTATACAAGGAAGTGATGGTCCACCCAAGGAAATGATTGTGTCTTCAGAGCACACACCCCTTCCCAGGAGGATCAGTGTTGCCTCTGGTGCAGAGCTGATAGAGAAGAGAATCCTGCACTGCGGCCCCTTTCTCAAGATTAGTCCACCAATTGGAGTAACACAGCTCAGTGCCTGTCAGATCACTGTTGCCCACAGTTAGATAAGTTAACATTTCTTCTTTGTGGAGAGGCAAAGGAGGAGGTGAGCATGAGGTTGAGGGAGAACTAATGGTGTTATCTATGGAAAGTACTTTCATCTAGATACACAAAACCAGTGGAAAGGAGGTTCCCCTCTAACATGCTTATACGAACACACACACAAATGTCTTCAAGCCTATGTAAATATTTCTGACTATGATTTTGCTATATGTAACTGATTTTAATAACTAGTACTTTCAGTGTTGAACATTGGATATAATCAAATGCGTGTATTATATACACTCAAGAATGCAGATATCTAAGCCATATTTCAAAAAATTATTAATTTCTAACAAAACATTAATTCAGAAAAGCAATACATTTAGTTTAAAAGTCCTCATGACCATATTAAATGTGAAAACATGGAATTATTTCTGAAATTCTACTGGAGCTGATATCATAGCACATAAAGCAACAAACTGAAACGCCTAGGTTCACTAGCATAATCCTGATACTGACATTATATTTAAAAAAATTTGTACTCATATCTTTGTGGATGTTCTTGGATGACTTCTTTCCTTAAGGATTTTGTTTACAACAAAATAGTGATTATTAAGTTTTGCAAAGTGTCAAAGAAAGGTGGTGACATATTGGCTGATTGTGAAAATGTGATAAAGATGTCGTGCTGAGTAGGTGAACTGGTGGCCTCAGTGAGGACAGAGTAGAGAGCAGAAGGGGATGTCATTGAACTTCCAAACTCAGTAAATTTCAGTGATTTTCACTGAAACCATCCTAAAATTTCTTTTGAATCTTTTATAGTTTTAAGCAAAATATTTAGATTAAGTCAGATTCACACTTAAATCCAATAATCTGTTATCCAACATCAATTACTCAATACAGATGACTGGGCAGTGAAGCAAACTTACATAACACCAGGCAAGGAAGAAAAGAACATAATATCCTTTGCCTCTTTCTGCTGATAGTCCATGCTCCCAAGGGCATTGTACATATCCTGATATTGCAAAAGATACAACAGCAAGCCTGAGGGGATTAGAATTATATGATTAGCACTTCTAATTCTCAGGGTAGTTCTCTATCTTCCTCCCTCCCCAGTACTGCCCATCATATGCCAGTGTATATATCTCTATTTCCAGAGAGTATACTTTGATAGTGAATTATTTTAAAAAACACATCTTATTTCCTATGTATAATTTCCAATAAAATCTTTAGAAATCCAGAGTTTGTGATTGGTCATAGCAGAGAGAATTTTGTTTGATTTTGGATTTTAAGTCTTTAGAAAAACAAATTGGAGTGCAAGAAAAGTGAAAAAAAAAACTAATTGAATAAAATGTAAATGTTTGGATGAAATGGCTTACTAGTCTAATTTGGTGATAACTGACTACCCAAGATAGCCTGCCATGTTAGTAATTGGGGAGGGAAACTTTTCATTTCAAATGACAGGTGAATACCATTTTCAGTGGTTAGCTTTTGATTACATGTCATGTTTGTAGTGGTCTATTGAATTTTTAAACTGCTGTAGTCTGATTGTGTTTGTGAAGTCTCTGTTCACTCAAAAGAAAGGAAGTGCCTACTATAACCTCTTCAATGCCAAATAAAACCCCCTAGATAAGCTTGGCCCATACTATGACTATGAAAGAACTTCTACCTGGAGATGATGTCACAAATTAGAGAGCTGGTTGCCTGGCCACTTATCAGGGGATATGGCCTTGAATTACACAGGCATGTTGAAATAGATATTAGACTCTGGAATTTGGGAAATGACATTGTCTCCAATATTCATTTTCTTGGCCTCTAGGTACCTTCAAACTAAATGGACTCCATTAAGGATGAAAGTATTGCCTTAGTAGAACTCTCAGACTTCCATTTTCTCTCTGGAAGGCTTGTTTTGCATACGCATATGTTGCACAACATATGGATTTTTGAGTTGTTGGAGTATAAATTCTAAATGTATATAAATTTATTATTGTTTAAAGCTGAATCATTCAAGGTTTCTAATATAAAGTCTGATTTTGTGTTCTACTGGATGGTATTAAGTGGATGAATTGCTCAATTGTTACGACTGCTTGGCAATCCTGTTTCCCTTTCTGATATTGGATACCTTCTTTTAAGAAAGTATTTTTTAAGCTGATGATAATCTTTTCTCCTACTTATTGAGGGCTTAGTATGTGCCAATAAAATGTCACTATTATTGTACCACATTGGAGATGAAATTCAAAGAGGAAAGACATGTGCTTGATGTAAGCAGCTTAGCAAGGTCCAACTCAGGTCTTCCTGCTCTCAGTGGTGATTCAGGACAGCCTCTTTATCAAGCAACATCCTTTTTTATTATTGTGATTAGTTTACTATTTTTAATAAGGGATGAAATGGACCTAATTAAATCCAATCGATAAGATAAGAGCCCTTACTTAGGACAAGAACTTCTATTTTCCTGATGCAACCAGGATTTCTTGCTGCAACTTTCATATGAAAAATCAGAGAAATGTAGAGAACTTTTATAATTGTGAAGCTTTTAACAGGTATTTCTGTTTCATTAGAATTAAGATCCTGATTAATGAAGAGAGATGAGAAAGTATGTGCTTAAATGATGAACACTCTCTTAGGTAGTCTATGGAAAGAATGATTGTTTCAGGAACAACCATCCTCCTAGTTTAAGAGTATAAAAAGAACGCCTACATTTTAAATGTTTTCCCTTATACTCATTATTGGCACACTTTACTCAGGACTTAGTAGTCAGTTTTACCATGTATTCTAACTTCACCTTCACCTTTGTACTCTAAAATTTCCTTGCATTAGGATCAAGTTTAGAGGTATCCTTTTATCTCAAAGTCAATTCTACCAACTATGTTTTCAGAGAGAAATGTTATCATAAGCCTGAAATCTTATGCCAGATAATTAGAGGGGCTCTTAATGCTGTTTTCTTTTTCCAGCAAAGTACTTTAAATAAATGCTTCATAAAAGTAGTTCTTATGTAAATAAAAAAAAATTAAGGCTCAGTTTAGACCTTCTTGGTTAAAATAACCCGTTGGAGTTCAGAGGGCTTATACACCACAATGTTAAATGCTCTAAATACCAAAGTGCCATCTTTCTGAATTTTATTGTTCTCACTGAATCACTGTATTATCTTGATACTTTCTAGCATTTTCAGTGCAATTATTAAAACAGTTATGGCCGCTCTAAAGGAATGTAATTGGAAAAGAAAGATGGCCTGTACTGGATGAAATTTTTAATTAATCTTTCACTGTTAAATTGTTCAAAATTAATCAAGTATATTGCCTATAAGAAGGCAACTGCACTTTACATACTTCAGTATTATCATCACCAAGCCATATATTAAAAGTTAATTTCTGATTTAAAAGTGTACCTTAACTGCAAAACCGTCAATTCTAAGTAATTCTATTACTCCCCTCACCCCCAAAAAATCTTATAAAAACCAAAGGACATGATAAAGAGAGTGCTTTGTGCTTAATGTTTTGAGATTTTTTTTTTTTGGCATGGACTTTGCAACATCAAATTAGGATATATGATTTCATAAAATAACTAATCTGAATTGGAGAATACCATTCATTCACTCATTGATTCAGTCATTCATTCATTTATTTAACACATCTATGTTGAAAAAAGTGATGTTTTAGACAATGAGAATAATGACTGAAATGCAATAGCAATTTTCTGACATATTATGAGACAATAAACAACTTAAATTCTAATCACGGCTGTAGATAAATATCCTTGGGGATATTTGAGAAAATTATGAAAAGGTGGTGATTCCCCCCCCCACCTTTTTGAATTATGCAGATTATATTCTCCACTGGTTCTTGCTTTTTACCGCCCTAACATATCAGAGTGATAAGATACAACCCACCTGATACACTTGGCCCCGAGGAAGTGCTTCTCAGATAAAAGGAGGAGGTGACTTATCCCTTTGCCAGAGCTGGGAATGACTGAAAGAGTTCCTTGGCTGTCTGCCCATTCCTAGGTTGAGAATTATCAGTAAATGGGATCATAGGTAATTACTGAGTAGGCCACAGAGATAATGTCTAAACACATCTAACGCAAGGTCCTTATGATCCTAATAGAGTCAGTGGAACTAAGTAAGTGTAGTTGATTTTTTCCCCCAATAAGTCAACTGGTTGTTGATTTAATTGATTAAGTAGATATTTTCATGCCACACAGACATACTCTAGATGTCAGCATAAAATAAATATATTATTTTGTTGGATATTTTTTAAGATGTGATAGTTGTGATCAAGACCATTTTAAGATAAATGTGTAACAGATATTTCTCAAAGCCAGAACAGCATGAAATGTTATATATCCCTGAATGCAAAAGTCAAGAGGTATGTCTAAGACTTTTCTGCTTTGATGTTAGAGCAGTCTTGATCTTACCACCTGGCTTTCAGAGACTATAAGAAGCTATTTCAAAGAGGCAAAGATGTAAAAAACAAATGTGCTACTGTTCTTAGAATCAATGAAATAAGGTTATACCTTTTCCTGACAATTTTCTATGTTCTGATACATATTATATTTTTAAACCTGCATGCAAAACACATATAATGCTACACATTGAGATGTTACTTAGGAAAGTCATATTATATGAATTAAATGGGGAACCCACTGAGATGATTAAGATATATCTGTGGAATTTATAGACATTATTCATCTACCAGATATTGCCTCTTTAGAAAGAGTATCCTGGAATGCCAGGTTTGATTGAATGACTTGAAATTGGGTAAAAATCTTTTCTGTACTGGGCTAGCCATACAATGAAGTCAGCTGACACATGGGTAAAATAGACAAGCTATTTAATGTCATGATCTGAGGAAGTTAAAAAAAGAGTTTTTATTTCTTCCTGCCATGGATTATCTCTGCCTTTCCTCTTTTTAAAAATAGAAATGCTTCTTTGAGAGTTAACACATCATACTTCTAACAACTTATCATGGGTTAGTTTTTTATTGCTTTCTGTCCTGACTAGGCATATAGAAAGAAAAGTGCAGCAAACAAAAGGATAACCCTGAAGAAAAACTTGAGCTGTTTCTCTGCTTTGTCTAATCTCCTGTCAGGACATCATTTATTACCCACAATATTCACTTGAGAAAACAACTTTGAGAAACCAGCAAAGAAAAAGCCAAAGGATGAAGATGAAGTCCTTCTATAGTTCAAATCGCTCATGTCTGTGATCTTCAAAATGTGACATTGGACAATCAATTTAAATGCTCTTTTTTAAAAGATAGACTGTTGTATTGATTATTATTTCATGCTATCTAAAAGTTTCCAAAATATTTTGTCTTGTTGTAAAGAGAGAACCAGATTAAAACAATCACGTGTCAGTTTGTTTTCTAAATATTCATATATTCTCCTCCCTTTCTGAATGACAGAGCCGTTGACCAACAGCTGTTTCTATTATGTAGTTTGGGATATGCTTCTTTCGTTTGTTTACCCTATTAATGTGAGGATTTCTAATGTTTCATCCTTCAGACAAGGAACTGGTCCTGATGGCCTAGCTGCTACCTATATTTTCCTGGCTTCTTTTGTATGGTATTAAATATGATTTAGAGGTTTCTTCAAATTGTATTTTCATTAAAGGAAAAAACCAAGCATGTAAGAGCCAGACAGTTTTATAAGAAGAGTAGAATATCATGGTGTAAGGGGTTATGCTGTGCTTCCGTTTTATGTATAATTAAGCAATTCAAGCAAATCAAGATAATTTATCTTAGCAACTAGATGATTATTTTTCTCCTTTTGAATAGGAGCTGTCTTTTATTTTGTTTAAAAATGCATCCTTACCTTCTGTTTTGGAACAGAATAGAAGCATTTAAAAAGATAGAATTTCGTATTGTTGAAAGAAATGTGAGACAAAGCTGACAACCCGTTCATAAGGCCCTTTCACCCCATCTCTAGGCATGGTGACATTGGTACAGACAGGGTTTGTCACTCATAAATTTACAGCTTATTCCAGTCTCTTCATAAATTGACTAAATTTTTTGAAAGAAAAAAAATATAGATGTATAAAATACCCAGTTATAGGTTGTGTTCTATTTAGCCCTTGATTGAAACGTATTGCTCCTTAGTATCTTTTAGCTATGAAAATTATAATATGGAACAGAGATTAGAATGAAATTATCATGGCTAGAAGGCATTTACTCAGTGGTGGCAACCACATAAACCTGGGTCCTGAGAATGATGATAATACATTAGGTTCTGCATGCCCGATATTATTGCCGTACATTATGTATGTTTCATTTATACTATTTCGCACACACCAGCAACGCTGACAGATAGGTAATTACTCTCTGCGCCAATGAACAGTTATCAGCACCACCGCTGTTTATTGCTGGAATGAAGCGCGCTTGTCAGTCAAGGTCACTTGTTTGTGTGTCCTCTTCAATAGTTCCTTCACAGTTGTTGAACTTTGCACACAGTTCTTATTGCAGGGTTCCTGGAGGTTACTTTACTACATAATGTGTTTCTGGTGTTATCAAAGTCACTTGTATTTATCACTTTAATTGATAAACAACGAAGTCACAGGAAGCAGAACTGAAGATGTGAAAAAACATATTTTGCTAGTCAGCTGATCCCAGTAGGTTTTCAGTAATGAATGACCTCAAGAAGATGCATTCAGCACAGACCCTTTCAGGTTGTGATACGCTGCCAGCCTAAGCTAGTGAAATCTCATTTTATAACATTAACCTTAATTTCAGCTGCTGATGGATACTGACACAATTTCATAACTACTATAGAGTTAATGTTTTTACCCTCTAGAAGTGTTTTTCTTTGTTCATTTCTTGTGCAGTGCAGAGGTTATTTTCATGCTTAGTATAGTTCTATAATGGGCTAAGTCCATTTGGTTTGACTTAAAACCAGTCATGTTTATTTGTTAGATATGTGCCATTAAAGCCTCCCCTTCCCATAAAAAATATTATCAGTCTAATGCTGGTTCTCCTCATTGTGTTAAAGCACCGGTCGTGTTCCAAAATGAACATTGCATGGTGCATTTTTTAGAGTAAAAATAAATTCAATGCCATTGTGTCGATCCCATGCAGCCTGTAATTTCATCTGTTATAAAATAAAGAGAATGGTTGGTCTTTTTATTTTTGTTTGTTAGCTACAGTGCTTTATTAGAAACTGGAATAACCTCTGTGATATAATAATTTATCTAGTCAAGATAACTGGAGTTATTTCCTTAAGCCTGTGATCAGCTTGAGTTTGTGTGTTGGGAGGTTTATACTGCCGTTGCTTATTACCAAAGAAACAGTTAAAAAGGATTTATGGTAGTGCCCGTTATGTGTGTGTCTGGAATTTTTGTGTATTTAACTTCTCTCCTTGCCTATCTCTGTTTTTTCCTCTCTTAACATTATCGTCAAATAGAGAGACTATCTATACCTACAATTAAATGCAAATTTTATTCAGGCATTTAAGCAGAATCACATTCATTCATTAAACCAAATGATTCTTTTATTTGAAAAAATATATCAGCACATGGTAATATCACACCCTGCTTACAAGGGCCTCTAGTTCTCTGTCAGTGCAAAAGTTTACTATTTCATTATTAAAGGATTAAACTACAGCAAAAGCTGCCTGGTGACCATGAATGTTTTAGTTAATTTGATTATGCCCATAAAGAAAGAGTTTAATTCCATAGCAGCCAGTGGGTCTTATACCTGGCAGTGTGGTTCCAATGCATTACGGGCATGATCTTATCCTGGGAGAGACTGAAATTGCCATTTGGGTGAAGTGTGGAGGAAGAGATGAGAACTGGGTTCACTGGTGAACCCAGGTTAACACCATGCCTCGACGTTTTCAAAATGCTTCCTTTTCTTAGTTCTTAGTTACCAGAGTGTTACAAAGAAAGGGTTTTGATCTCATGTAGATAGCATAGCATTAATTACCCTGACACTAATTAAACTGCATCAAACAAATACCACCGTGTTCCTCAGGGGGACAACAGAAGGCAGTTTAAAATAATTACTGGAGCTTCATGCATGTGTGAAGTTTTCATTACTCTTAGGACACAAGCAAAAAAGATTTGATATCATTAAAATAGCCACCTTTTAGTGATTGCAACAACAACAACAACAACAACAAAAAGTGACTAAAATTTCCTTGGAGCATATTGATGTCTAAATAGTGGTGGCTTCAGTTCTTCAGAATGGTAACTTTTCCTTAAGAATTGGAAGTGTGTGAAGCAGGAACAGGTGTTCCAGTCACATTCTGGTATGATTATGTATTAGCTTATGTTTGTCAGACCATTTCATTAACCACCCACTGCTATCACATATACATATACTTTGTTCTTTCTGAACCATGAAATGAAATGCATATATCTTCACTAATGCTTGCTATCAATGTAAATGAGAAAAAGAGGCTTATTACCAATCACGACTCCCATGAAGTCCACACCTCTGTACACTTACAGGTAATAAACATCTTTTTTGTAAGTAGAACAAAAGATATATTGAGTTCTGCCTATAATAAGAGATAGTGATCTTGTCCTACTTTTTTGTCCTAATAGATGGTACTTCCCATACATAGTTTGACACAATGCTATGGGAAGCAAGCTTCTCTCAAAACTGGAAGTGCTTGTTATTTTTGAGATCTGACATCATTCTGGACATAAGCAAACTTTTCTGGTCACAGATAATGGACCTTTTGTGCCACTGGACAAGTGCAGTGAATTAGTGGCCACCGTTACTAGGATCATAGATGGTCCCTGTCCTGGTGGTTGTTAGAAAGGACTGATGTCAAAATTGCCAAATGGATGGTATAAATGATTGACAGTGTTGCTGTGTTAGGGCCGGTTATGGTGACTGTGGAAGTTGCTCATGTTTGATTGCTCTTTTAAGTGTGTGTGACTCTGCACATGTGTGCTTGATGTGTGTGCATGGTGAATTCTATGCGTCGTCCCCACTGTCTGCTCAGTATATATGCACACAGCACATTCTACAGTTTTGTCCTCACAAGGTCACTTATCCTATTTATCTCAGTGACATATGAGCAGTGGGACTCAAGTTGTCTGGGTTCTAGCACCAGGTGCCAGCCATCCTCCCTGAAAAGGTGTTGGGAATTAAAATGGGAGAGTGGTCATTTCCAGATTGATGCAACTCATATTTCATTCAGTGAATGACTCCTTGAATGTGATTATGGAGTGGTTCTGTGTATGCAGTACTGCATAACATAAGCCATTTATTTTTTTACTTCCTTCTGAAAGCAATAATTTAAGGGAATTATGCATTATGAGGGTTTTCCAGTAATTTTTTTTAAAATTAAAATAATGCTAGCTATTTTAGGAAACCTGTTTAGGAAAATAACACTGAATTAGTGCTTTGCAGTTGTCACACTAAGCAAAAAATGGAACAAAACTGATTGTAGAAGAATAAAAAATTAATCCAGTTGTAGAAATTTGATGTGTTCAAAAATATGCAAAAAATATACTTTTGTTCCTTTATAGCCAGATGGTTTGTCCTATTTTAAGCTGATAGTAACTTCATACATCTCTCTTGAATGTCATTGGTTTTAACTGGCAGACAGTATCTACTATTAGAATTTTCCTTATTCCTGGATGATCTAAAGTGTATTTTTGGAACATTTGGATGATCATACTGTACACCAAGAAAATTTTTTCATTACACTTAGCTCATACTCAAAAAAGTGTTTATATAATTTTAAAAAAACCTCTAAAAATGAACAGTTCTTTTGACATGATGTTGACAGAAGTCACTTTGATGTAGTTTAGAGTCATGAATTTTCTATCTGTTCCATTTTTCCTGGGGCTCCATCAACTCAGACATCCTGATCTGTCATTTTTCAACTCTTTGTGAAGGCCTTGACAGATAGAGGTTTTGACAAGTGCTGGACATCAGCAGCAATTTAGAATAAGCAGTGTATATTTCTCCAGGTAAAGTGACAAAATGTCTAAAAGTGTCAGAAGAACTATGTGGCCTGCAATCATCTCTAATACTATAAAGCAAGCTTCCATTTAAGTACTGTGTTGCAGCATTGTATGATGGCTGAAATTTAAAATTCTGTCAGAACCTATGATTAGAGGGCATCTGGCTTATTTACAAGTGTTTGCAATATTAAGAACCTTAGGGTCACTAGAAAAAAATCCTTTAAATTTCTAATGAGTGAATGATCAGGATAATCACATAATGTGATAGGAGTCTTTAAAACTATAACACACCATTATATATTTTTTTGTTTCTTCAGTACTAATTTGGGTCATTCTTTTTAATGAAAACCTACTTCCTGTGCTGTCTTCAGAGTGTACAGTTCAGAGTTCAACTTAAGGGAACTTTCACTGGGTGCTAATTATAACAGGTCATTCAGGTTTCAGATGTGCCAGCATTTTTCCTGGTTGACTCTTCTATCAATGACTAAGTAATAACTGTAAATATCATCTCGCATATTGAATATGTTGTCCTTTTCATATAATTATTTTGTGTCTGTATTCACTCAAGAAACAGCTGTTAAAAGTTGAGTGGGATGCAAAATGGCACAGCCTGAAGATGTTCTTACTCACTCAGCTAACTCCCTTTTGATGTGATACCTACTGGCAGGGTCGCGTGGTGAATTCAACTTCTTTGACAGCCATCAGCACTACTGACCAGTGGTTTTGGGTTTTCTAGTGAGGGGAAAGAGTAGGAAAGAATTCCGTAGTTTAGTTTTTTTCCCCCCCCTGCTGCTGGAGCTAAAGCTTCTGCCAACAACTATCTAAATCAACACCATGCCAACGTGATCTGCAGACCAAAGGTCACTCCAACATCTGGCCCCACTGTCTGCTTCTTTCAGGTTTGTCACTGGGCAGCATCTGCTTATGGATTCTTTCTCAACCTCTCTTTGATCTCTCTGACAGTAAAAAGAAGCTTCTATCACCCATCATGTGTTAGGACTTTAAAAAATAAATTCGAAAGCATGAGACATTGGAAAACTGGTGGAATTTTATGTTTTTCACTCTTGTATACGTTGAACATTTTATTTGATACAAGGCCATGGACTAAGGTGATTCTACTCTTGATTTCAAAAAGTATTGTCGTAATCAGTAAGTCCAGTCTGTGAAAATATCTGGTCTATGTGAGCCCTGTCTTGTCTCTCTTGGTCAGGATTTAAAAAATGAAAACTGAAGAGCACAAACTGGTTTTGTTTTTGGTTTGTTTGGTTTGTATTGACTCTGAAGAGTCCGTGGTGATAGCTCTTGTCTGCTTTTCTGACATTTCTATCAGTGGTTGAGATCTCATGTATTTTTCATCCATAGTGTGGAATGTAGAGCACAGTTTGGGGATGCTACATAGTCTCTGGGTACATATTGGTGAACATGGTCAGCCTTTTCGTGAAACGAAGCCCAACAGCCTGTTCTCCCTGGCAGCAGTGGCGTATCTCCTAGATAAGGCACAAAAACAGCCCCATGCGCTATTAGTTCTTCCTTCATTCCTTCAGCCCTCCTCCCTCCAGGTGAGTTCTTATTATGTCCAACCTGGAGTTCAAATTCAGCCAGCACAAAACGAATGCTGACTCTGTGCCTGGCACTATCCTAGGTGTTGGTTATACAGAAATGGACAAGACAGACACACGTCCTGTTCTCTCAGAGTTTACAGTCTGGATTGACACAGCGGGAGGGGGGCTTACACATTTTCATGTCATAAAAAACTGAATGAGTCAGAATGTGTTTGGCCTTCCCCAAGAAGTGGCAACCCATTACTGTATTTATATGTGAGTATAATTATAAGAGTTCACAGCTATGATTGTAACACAATTTTAGTTCTAGTCCAAATCAAATGCCAAAACTCTCAGGGGAAAAATGATAATGCATTCTCCAGCACCTAACACAGAACCTGCCAGGCAATACACGTTGTGGAGAGAATTTGTGATTTTCTTCCATTTTCATTCATTCTCCAAACAGATTGGCAGTTTCTATTTTCCTTCACCCTCCAGGAAACTAAAGCAGTAGATAAAACCCTTTTTTTCCCCTGTGTGATTTAACTTTGGCTAACTAAAACAAGAACTTGTGTTTGTAGCATTTGCCACAATTTCACAGCACTTTTACTGCTTTGTCATCATTTATTTTTCACAAAATTCCAGAAATGTACAAGAAACCCAGAATTGAGCTGTTAAGTCCACAGTGACTGAGAGAGCATTCAGACCAGAAATTTGCATGTATTTTTACAATTATTAGTTTTTAACATCTCATGTTCATCTCATAAAAGAATTACCTAGGAACTTGTTCTGTCAGTTAACCAGTGCTTCAGAAAGTGCTTAAATAATTGATGAAATATAAGAAAAAAAAAGTAAGCAATATGACACAAAGAATGGGACTATTTCGTATGGAAATCAGGCTAAATACTTTACAGTCACAAATCAATGCTAAGATGAAGACTGACAAAGCTAGCACTATGTCTCCTTAGCCATACATATTCCAAAAAGACTGGGGCTCAGAGTAGCTGGCTTCTCATTTCCTTTCCTGCTGACTAGTTTAGTGACCATGAACAAGTCATTTGAGCTTCCTGGTTCTCAGGGTTTCATTTTTCATCTGCAAAAGATGGTCTGAGGATTAGGTGGTAAAAATAATAATTTATATCTGATTTTTTGCTTTGCAGTTTATAGTTTCCACATATATTATCCCCTTTAACCAGAACTTTGTTTCAATATTTTAGGAATCTGTAGTTTCATTATAAAGGCTAAATGTTTGATTTCCAAAAGTATTGTCATAATCAATAAGTTCAATATGTAAAAACATCTGGTCTAAGTGAGTACCATCTTGTCTGTCTTGGTCAGCATTTAAAAATAAGGCCTTCAGTGCAGGCATCAGATAATAATGACCCTGTATGATAACCTCATACCTGCTTTGGAAATTATCTAACTGTGGAAATCCAGTCCCCTAAATGATAAGTGCTTGTATTGGTAAAGAATAGTCATGACCCTGTTAATAAATCTGTTGTTGGGTCTTCTTTGTTCTGGACATTTAGCATTACAAACTCAGAGGAATGAATTAATGTCCAATAAATTATAAGAATTATAACTGTTCTATTTATCATATACATTTAGATAATTTAAGAATAGAATCTACATTTTGCATTTTTAAATTTATATCTAATTACATCATTTGAAGTACTTGAAAACATTTTGCACATCAAAAAATTTTTCTTTTCTTTTAAAAGCAGCCAGATTACAAAATAGCCCTTTTTTTGTTAACCAACCTGAGAATTTACATATATTACTTTGACCACTAGAGGGAGTCTGCATTGTCAGGAATGCCAAGCCCAAGAGAACATGAAACAGGCTGTTTTCGGGTGCTGATGACACATCCATTGTCTGTCCACGATATCATATGCATACAAATTGCCATAGTAATCACATTAACTGTCACTGGGTTCATTATTTTCCTTAAAAAAAAAAAAAAAAAAAAAAAAAAGGAATTTGATAACATGTTTTATTTTGTTCTTTTTAAAAAGTGCACAACTTTTAAAAGGTGACAAAAACTTACAATGCTTCCTTAAAATAACAGAGATTTAGCAGTCTGAAGAACATGGGGGATTAAATAACATAAATTAGTGATAATCTGATCACTTCCATTTTAGGGCTGGTTTTGTAATCTGGAAATGAACATGTCCTCCTTCTCCCTCAGCCCGCCGCCCAATGTAGGCAGCAGCTGTGCAGGGTTTTTGCATCCTAACCTACTGATGTACATCGCCCCTAACCTGCAGGGACTTCCTTCCAGGGTGAGAGGGTAATTGTGGCTCATGTCCGGTCAGTCCTCAGACCTCTTCTGAGACTGCCAAACAAGTGGCTTTGCGTGTGTATTTTTCACAGAGCCGGTTTATAAATGAGGAACTGAGCTGAAACCACCTGCTCGTTTCACCTCAGCTACCAAAAGCAGAGGGAGGGCAGGGACAGCCATTCCTTTCTCAGCATGGCTGATTTTTAGTCAGCAGCATATAATTGAAGGGTTCGAATTGTTTTGAATTTCAGATTTTCAACAGGACCCTTGAGTTTTGCTTAAATGTCTTATCTTATGCATTATTGACGTCAGATTCAGTTCATTTCTGGATTGCCCACTTCTCGTTACCCATGTACTCAGAAGTCAGGACAGAACGGGCAATCAAAACTGCAGTTTGTTATTACAGATATGTATTTATGTATAACTTTTGTTCCTACATTTTGATACAGGTAGCTTTGATAATCTGGGAAACCATTACATTCCTCCCAGATAAAACCTGCCTCAGAGTGGCCTAGCATAGTGCTTCTCAAACTACACGCAGAGACAGACCACTTCCTTTATTTCCTTCCAATTTTTTTGGATCAATACTTCCACAAAATACAGTAAAAATAAATGACTAGAAATAAAAAACACTTGAAATATTAACTAATTTTCTATTATTATCTTCAACAGACAAAATTATTCTGTGAAATTGCTGTAAGAGTTTCTATGCTCTTCCTCTCCTTTCTGTCTCTCACTGTGGACCAGCACAGGCAGTCCCGAGGCCAGCATTCTGACTTGCACTGGCCTCATAGCACTCTCATTTACCACCCTACCTCTGCACCTTTCAGACTCATGCAGAGCTCCAACTTTAGCAGAATTCCCCTGTTCTTCCTTATCTAGAGCAAGGCCAGACTTGGAAGGTTTTGCTTCAGTACTGAACATAGAGTGGAGGTAAACAGAAAAAGCCATATTTAAAATTACAAAGCAGAGTTGGTGGCAGTGTTGGTTTAATGAAAATAAGGTTTCAAATGTTTGACCCTGAGCATGTAATTAAAAGTTTATTGCAGATGATATTTTCTAATCACCTCACTCTACAAGAGATTCAATATTAAATTATTTCTTTTCTTATGAATTTGGGGCAGGAATGAAGCAATTAAAGGGGGTCTTCATGTTCATGAAATATTCAGTAGGTAGAGAATCTGGAGAGCTTAGTAAAATAATAGGCTGAACACACTGCCTTATTTTTCTTTCTTTTCAGTTGCCCTTTGAAATAGAGCTGATGGTAATTTTGTCTTCCAAGCCTCAACGCGTATTGAGGACAGATTAGCTAAACACACTGGTCTGGGAATCAAGAGACCTGGTTATCATCTTGTCACTACTTACTAGCCAGATGGCCTTCAGCAAATCACTTTAGACTTCAGTTTTCTCTTCTTAAAATGGGAAGACTGTTACCTCTCTAATTCCCTCACAGGCTTGGTTGCTAGGAAGATCAAGTTAACTAGTCAGTGGGCTTTGGAGACCAGCAAACAAGTTACACACACACACGTATATATGTGTATGTGTATATATTGCATGGTTCTCCATTTATTTAATCATGTATTTCTCTTGAATGCTCTTGAAATATATACCTTCTAAGTTCATTGTTAATCCATTCCATTTTATGGTCCTTTCTCACCCTATGCCTAGTCCACCCATAACTTTAAGCACATGGTTATTTTTGTACTTCTTTTGAAAGGTAAAAGATAAACTTAAATATACACAATACAGTTTATTATTAGAAATGTTAGAGGAAAGGATCATTTAAGTATAATCTACAAGGTTTCATCTCACTTGCGCAGTGTTGTGAAGCAGAGGTATGGTACTGAGCTATGCTGTCTGGATAAGAGGGAGCCTGGCCTCTGAAGGCTCAGTGTCAAGCCCCATTGCTGCCTCCTTGCCAAAACACACACAAAGACACATGCCTGTATGCACATATGTGCACACATATACATACCCGCACACACACACGGACGCACACATATAGAAATGTATACATGTGCATGCACACATGCACACTTACACAAATGTGCACACACATCCCAAGTGCTTGACACTCAGTTGTCTCCCAATAGCCATGGCCAGACCTGCACAATTTCTGCATGACAGTACTCTGTCATGCAGATCATGTCTGAACGACATACTCTGGCTAGGCTCTGCAAGTGAAGATAATGGGACTTCCTTTGGAGAACAGTGATTGCAAATGAGACCACAAGGTCATTGCCCTGAGAGCAAAGAAGCAGGATGTCTTAATGCTGGGACACTTGGCAAAGCCTAGTCCTGACCAGCCTCTTCAGTCCATGAGGAGACAGCTTTGAATGATTTGACTCCAAATATGAAATTCTGGAAATAGAAAATGGAAAAGCATTTTTCACCCTAGTAAACTGGAACATGTGGCTGGAAGAGTTACATGTGGCTCGAGAACAGTTTGGAAGAATTACAGAACCTCATTCATTCATACATACATTCAAACATTTATAGAGCATCTATAATGTACCAGGTCCAGTGCCTGGTACTGGGTAGACAGTAGCAAGAAAAAATAATCTGAGTATCTGCTCTCATAAAAAATATGGATAATTATAATACAGGTGTGGAAATGACTCCAGGAGACTTTTCCCTCTTCTGCTGTCTTTGAAGGTGTACTCAATGTGATAAAGTCAGATGAAGCTGTGGAATCCAAGCCTGAGTTTATTCTGACCTTTACGTAATTATACCTGTGATCCTCTCAGCCCACTGTGATCTAGATTCTGTTCTCTCTCCACTTCTCTAAGACACACTGAGAAATGTCCATGACCATTTTCTGTTGCTCTTAGATAGATAGCTGACCTAGGCATGTCAAGGGAAGCACTCTCAGACCGGGCTCCATCTCTGTGCACCGGGGTCTGCTTCAACAGCTTGGAGTCTGAATTTGTCAGTGAATACAGATTAACCACCCTCTCATAAACTGATGTACACATAGTCTCAAAAAAGACATGAGTAAGTGATAATATCCATTTGTTAATTTGCAGTTAGGAGTGAACCCTTTCAGAGACATAAATGCTTAAATGGGCTAGTCAGGGTATCCCCTTATTGACATGGAGGTAACATTGATGTTACGTTGGTCTTCCAGAGGCTGCTTCATGAGAATAGAATCAGAGCAATCGACAGTGGATAGTATTGTGGCTCTTTGGGGTAGGTACCTATTGTTAGCATATGCGTATTCATTTCTGTGATCCTTTCCACTTCATCTGTGAGTTTTTTTTCTAATAATGTTTTGGCCACAGAGGACATTCAGTTGATGCTGACTGACTGCAATCCTTTGAGACAAGATTTGGATATCTATACTCTGCAACTTCCAGAAAAAACATGTTTGAGGTATGTCAGAAAGGTGGCCCTTTGGGTGTTCACAGTAACTGTGTGATAAGCATCGTCTGTACTGGGGAAGGTGCTCTGACCTAAGAACTAGGAGGCAGGAGGCTTGCTCTGGCTCTGCCCCCTACTGTGGCAGTCACTTAACTCCACTGCAGATGGGGGAGGTTGGACTGGATGAGCAGTAAGGGCCTGTCCAGCCTCAGTGCTCAGATGATCCATGACTGTTGAGCTGGTGCTAGTGGTGGACTTGTGAGTTCCTCAGGCTACACTAAAGTGGAGGTATTTTTTATGCCATTGTCATTGCATTGAAAATGTTGTTTCATGTACCTACTATGTCTCAGGCACTTGGATGCAACAATGAGTAGAAACAAGCCTATTGCATTTACAGTTGAAAAGGACTTTGGAGGCCATCCACATTCCAGCTTTAACCACCACCCCCCCCCCCCAGTTGCCATCGCAACCATACGTTCATGTTGGTGCCTGTTTATATGTACATATGCTGGCTGTGTGTGCCAGTGGGAGCTGTGCTTTTCTGGCAACCTGTATTCTGTGACAGTGGACAAGAGTTAAGAGAGGAGAAGGTAGGTAGCCATTTGGTTTCTCCTGTCTTTTATTTTAGAGCTTTTGGAAGAGCTGATAAGTGATCACTAAGCCTGCTTAACGTCCCTAAACTGTACTACCTATTTAATGGTTGAATTTCTGTTGATAAATAAGAAAATTTAAACGTTTTGGTAAAGTATACAACTTTGATAAGTGCCCATGTCTATTGAGACTTTTTGAAACTTTGTAGAAGCTCTGGATGTTGTATAATGTTGAAGTAATACCTTAGCCATTGGTAGGACTCCCCTCACTGTCATTGTTAAACCACCTCCTCCCCGAGCCCTGGGAAGCCTACCTCGGGAGTTGTTTCATCCCAGAGCGTTATAGAACAGAATTGCTCATCAAACCAGGAGGAGGAATGGAGTGGTGAATTTTGCACAGTTACACATGTGCAGTCCCTTCGTGCCATAAATATTTGGTTCCATTTCTTACTGGAAGGCATAAAACTGATTGCTTATGTGCATGTTTAAGCCACAAAAATGTCCTGGCAGAAAGTGAATGCCTGGGGATGTTTGTATCCACATCCCACAGCAGAGTGAACAGGAGAAGTAGTTCCAGCTAAAGGAGAAGCATAAGCCTGCCTTGGAAAATGCTTTCTCGTTTCACAATCTATTTTATATATATTTTTTGAATAGAACAATTCTCACATATTTCTTTAACCGTGGCTCAACATATATATACTACTGAAAATGCTGGTTATTCCATCAAATTTGAAAAAGAATAATACATAAGTTTTTGTTGTTGATGTTTGTTTTAACCAGCATTTTCTTAGCAGGTCCATAAAAAAGAAATTAGAAATTTTTATGGCCTCATAGTTTCTTGGCTTCAAAGAAGGCTGTAAATAAGAGTATCTCTATCCACCCCTTCCTCCAAAAAAAA
Source organism: Homo sapiens (assembly GCF_000001405.40). NCBI lineage: Eukaryota > Metazoa > Chordata > Mammalia > Primates > Hominidae > Homo > Homo sapiens. The sequence continues at coordinate 64,690,449 of NC_000008.11, read as the reverse complement.
TACACAACATCTGGGTTTGCTCATTACTTTTTGTTTGTTTGTTTGTGGAGACAGGGTCTCACTGTATCGCCCAAGCTGGAGTGCAGTGGTGCGATCACAGCTTTCTGCAGCCTCAACCTCCCAGGGTCAATCGATCCTCCTACTTCATCCTCCTGAGTAGCTAGAACCACAGGCATGCATCACCATGCCAGATTAATTTTTGTAATTTTTATTTTTGTAGAGATGGGATTTTGCTATGTTGCCCGGGTTGGTCTCTACCTTTGGGCTCAAGCGATGCACCTGCCTTGGCCTCCCAAAGTGCTGGGATTTCAGGCGTGAGCCACCGTGCTTGGCCCCCGATCATTACTTTTTAAATAGGATGTTTGATCATAAACATGGGGAAATGATGGCATAAAATAATTGATTTATTTTAAAGACTATCTAGCATTGGAATATTCTTTTAAAATTAGGAAAAGAGTATTACATCAAGACATATTTCTCCTTATTTAAAAGGAGAACACATATTTTAATATAGTAATTACATAGCTGTAATTTATTTGAAGCGTTTTCCAAAGAGTGGAAATGCAATTAGAAACAGAAGCAGGCCGGGCGTGGTCGCTCATGCCTGTAATCCCAGCACTTTGGGAGGATGAGGCGGGTGGATCATTTGAGGTTAGGAGTTCGAGAGCAGCCTGGCCCACATGGTGAAACCCCATCTCTACTAAAAATACAAAAATTTGCCGGGCAGTAGTGGCGCACACCTGTAATTCCAGCTACTCAGGAGGCTGAGGCAGGAGAATCACTTGGAGCCTGTGAGGTGAAGGTTGCAGTGAGCTGAGATTGTGCCACTTCACTCCAGTCTGGGTGACAGAGTGAGACCCTGTCCAAAAAAAAAAACTGGAATCAAATAATTGTTTTGGTGGTCTATTAGCCAGTTAAAAGTTGCATATAACCTATAAAAACAATGGATATTTCAACATGGACCAATTTCATTCATAAATAACAGCACAGAAGAAGGAATGTGTTGTGCTTTGATTCGTGATTTTCATGATTTTGGGGATAATATTTCTCATACATGCCTGCAAGTGTCAGTATGTAAGATAGGCACTTATGGTGCCTGCCATTGAAGTAGGATCTATGTGTGTGAATGTATTTGTGAGGAAATTCAGTTGTTAATATGACCCTTCCCTCTTTAAGTAAACCCCAGAAATAAAATTGAAATTATAACTCACTTATGAGTATTTTCTGAATTTACATAAACATTTACTTCATTATTCCTTTAAACAGTGAACTTGCATAGGACATTATAAACATGATTTTATAGTTTGATATTTATACAGATTTTAGGAATTGATCTCAAAATGTATGCTATGTATTTGGAAATAAATAATAATTTTAAAAGTAAAGAAAGACACATCTATTTCATACAGCTAATTTAAACACTAGGAAAGAAATGGAAGGATATTTAAACTTAATGGCAGACGCCTCAGAATTTATTTTTAAATTAACATTTTTTATTTTTGTTTTTTATTTATTTATATTTTTGAGATGGGGTCTCGCTCCATCACCCAGGCTGGAGTGCAGTGGCACAATCATAACTCATTGCAGCCTCCATCTCCCAGGTTGAGCAATCCTCCCACCTCAGTCTCCTGAGTAGCTGAGACTACAGGTGCACACCAGTGTGCTTGGCCAATTTTTGTATTTTTTTTTTAGAGACAGGGTCTCCCTATGTTGTCCAGGCCAGTTTTGAACTCCTGGGCTCAAGTGATCCACCCGCCTCAGCCTCCCAAAGTGCTGGGATCATAGGCATGAGCCACTGCACCTGGCCCTAAATCAACAATTTTTATCACCAGCACCTAGAAAACCAGAACCCAAATAACTTGCACTTCAGCCAGAGTTGGACTTCTGAAAGCTTATAGGGGATGTGTGCATTTTAAAGCAAAGCATTACCTCCTTGTAGGCATTTCTTTTTCCATTCAGTGTATCTTCAGCTTCTAGTGTTGTACCTGGCATGTAGTCTATATTAAATAAATGTTTATTGCTAAATAGATAAGTGAATAAAGAAAAGAAGGGAAGGAGGGTGGGAGGGAGGGAGGAAGGAAGGAAAGAAGGAAGAAAGGAGAAATGGAAAAAACTTCAAAAGCTAGTTTTAAAAGGTTTTTATATATTAACTGTAGTCACTATGGCCACCACCCAAGTCTCTAAAGCTTTGCTCAGAGAGAAGATGGAGATAGAAGAGTAGAAGTGGGCTTCTGGGCATTGCTGCAGGACCTTCACAGATGTAGTGACCCAGCCTGAATATCAGGTTTTATGTGCAGACATCTGTATTATCAGCAGTGCTCTCATTGAGTCCAAGAAAGTGTTTTATGCTGAAACATATGTGTTTAGGGATAAAAGCAGAGGGAGCAATGGTTGAGGGTTTATTTGGTACTAAATGTATTTGTATGTATTATGCTATAGAATAAGAGAACTCTACAAACCCAGGAGATGGCTGGGAAGAGCTACCAAGTTTAGTTAGCCACTGCCTCATACTGAAGAGAATCTTGCAGACAACCTTAGGTAGATTCACTGAAGTGTGAGAAATATAATATCTAGAGAAAAGACCTATAAGTAACGAGCGAGGCTTTTATTATTACACTTTTCACACTATTGAAAGGAGGTGGAGCTGTTTTCCCAGCTATATGGAGTAACACATACTTGAAAAATACTCGGAGAAACTCTGAATTATCCAAGGAGTGATTTTTAAAGTAAATTTTATTGTGTATTTTTGAGGTTTACATAATTTTTAAGAGAAAAATTTATGTTTCTTGAGCACCTGTTATATGCTACATACTTTTAGGTGTTATCACATTTTGTTTTGCTTTGCTTTGTTTGGGGCATTTTAAATTTTTCTTAATTGAGATATAATTCACACATCATAAAATCCACACATCATAAAATCCACTATTTCCAAGTGTACAATTCATCAGGTTTTTTTTAGAACATTTTCATTTTAGAACATTTTCATCACCCCAGAAAAAACTCTGTTGGCAGCCACTCCTCATTCCTTCCTCCCCTCATCCCTAGGTTACCACTAATTTACTTTCTCCGTGCATTTGCCTATTCTGGACATTTCGTATAAATGGAATGATACAATGTGTGGTCTTTTGTAACTAACTTCTTCCTTTAGCATAATGTTTTCAAGTTGTCACGTGAATTAATAGCTCTTTCCTTTTTATGACTGAATAATATTCCATTGTGCAGATATACCACATCTTCTTTATCCATTCATCAGTTTATGTACATTTTGATTCCTTCCACATTTGGCTACTATGCCTAATGTTTTTTTTTTAAATTTATTTTTTTATTGATAATTCTTGGGTGTTTCTCACAGAGGGGGATTTGGCAGGGTCATGGGACAATAGTGGAGGGAAGGTCAGCAGATAAACAAGTGAACAAAGGTCTCTGGTTTTCCTAGGCAGAGGACCCTGCGGCCTTCCGCAGTGTTTGTGTCCCTGATTACTTGAGATTAGGGATTGGTGATGACTCTTAACGAGCATGCTGCCTTCAAGCATCTGTTTAACAAAGCACATCTTGCACCGCCCTTAATCCATTTAACCCTGAGTGGACACAGCACATGTTTCAGAGAACACAGGGTTGGGGGTAAGGTCACAGATCAACAGGATCCCAAGGCAGAGGAATTTTTCTTAGTGCAGAACAAAATGAAAAGTCTCCCATGTCTACTTCTTTCTACACAGACAGGGCAACCATCCGATTTCTCAATCTTTTCCCCACCTTTCCCGCCTTTCTATTCCACAAAGCCGCCATTGTCATCCTGGCCCGTTCTCAATGAGCTGTTGGGCACACCTCCCAGACGGGGTGGTGGCCGGGCAGAGGGGCTCCTCACTTCCCAGTAGGGGCGGCCGGGCAGAGGCGCCCCTCACCTCCCGGACGGGGTGGCTGGCCGGGCAGGGGGGCTGACCCCCCCCACCTCCCTCCCGGACGGGGCGGCTGGCCGGGCGGGGGGCTGACCCCCCAACCTCCCTCCCGGACGGGGCGGCTGGCCAGGCGGGGGGCTGACCCCCCCACCTCCCTCCCGGACGGGGCGGCTGGCCGGGCAGAGGGGCTCCTCACTTCCCAGTAGGGGCGGCCGGGCAGAGGCGCCCCTCACCTCCCGGACGGGGCGGCTGGCCGGGTGGGGGGCCGACCCCCCCACCTCCCTCCCGGACGGGGCGGCTGGCCGGGCGGGGGGCCGACCCCCCCACCTCCCTCCCGGACGGGGCGGCTGGCCGGGCAGAGGGGCTCCTCACTTCCCAGTAGGGGCGGCTGGGCAGAGGCGCCCCTCACCTCCCAGACGGGGCGGCTGGCCGGGCGGAGGGCTGACCCCCCCACCTCCCTCCCGGACGGGGCGGCTGGCCGGGTGGGGGGGCTGACCCCCCCCATCTCCCTCCCGGACGGGGTGGCTGGCCGGGCTGAGGGGCTCCTCACTTCCCAGTAGGGGCGGCCGGGCAGAGGCGCCCCTCACCTCCCGGAAGGGGCGGCTGGCCGGGCGGGGGGCTGACCCCCCCACCTCCCTCCCGGACGGCACGGCTGGCCAGGCGGGGGGCTGACCCCCCCACCTCCCTCCCGGATGGCACGGCTGGCCGGGCGGGGGAGCTGACCCCCCACCTCCCTCCCGGATGGCACGGCTGGCCGGGCGGGGGGGCTGACCCCCCCCCACCTCCCTCCCGGATGGGGTGGCTGCCGGGCGGAGACGCTCCTCACTTCCCAGATGGGGTGGCTGCCGGGCGGAGAGGCTCCTCACTTCTCAGACGGGGCAGCTGCGGGGCGGAGGGGCTCCTCACTTCTCAGACGGGGTGGTTGCCAGGCAGAGGGTCTCCTCACTTCTCAGACGGGGCGGCCGGGCAGAGACGCTCCTCACCTCCCAGACGGGGTCTCGGCCGGGCAGAGGCGCTCCTCACATCCCAGATGGGGCGGCGGGGCAGAGGCGCTCCCCACATCTCAGACGATGGGCGGCCGGGCAGAGACGCTCCTCACTTCCTAGATGTGATGGCGGCTGGGAAGAGGCGCTCCTCACTTCCTAGATGGGATGGCGGCCGGGCGGAGACGCTCCTCACTTTCCAGACTGGGCAGCCAGGCAGAGGGGCTCCTCACATCCCAGACGATGGGCGGCCAGGCAGAGACACTCCTCACTTCCCAGACGGGGTGGCAGCCGGGCAGAGGCTGCAATCTCGGCACTTTGGGAGGCCAAGGCAGGCGGCTGCTCCTTGCCCTCGGGCCCCGCGGGGCCCGTCCGCTCCTCCAGCCGCTGCCTCCCGGGCGGCGCTCGCCGGCGGGGCGGCAAAGACTGCCTAATGTTAATATTAACATTTGTTTGCAAGTTTTTGAATGGACATGTAATTTTTCTCTTGGGTATATACCTAGTAGTGAAATTGCTGGGTCATTTGGTATTATTGTGTTTAACTTTTTGAGGATCTGGCAGACTGTTTTACACAATGCCTGCTCCATTTTACATTCAGTGTGTGAAGGCTCTGATTTCTCCATATCCTGGTGAAAACTTGTCATTGTCTGGGTTATTGATAAGAGCCATCCTTGTGGATGTGAAGTGGTATCTCATTGTGGTTTTGCATTGCCTTTCCCAAATGTCTAATGATGTCAAGCGCCTTTTCATGTATCTATTTTGTATATCTTCTTTGGAGAAATGTCTAGGAGTAATTTCATTTCATATCATTGTGCATTTCTATATTATATAGAAGAGAAAAATGAAGGCAGGCATTAATTGGATCTGTCACCAAATATTTGTTGAGCACCTGCTGGCAGTTGCTTGGTAAGGTGCCATTTGTAGGTTCATTTGAGTGACATCATCTTTGAACTGGGAAGAAATGTTGAAATGCTGATTGTGACCTTATACATTTTTTAAATAAATCTATTTAATATAGACTTATATAAATAAATTATACTTTAGCATTATTCCGCTGCTTAGCAAATCTATTAACTTATTTAATTATTTTAACAAAGCGTGATACAGGGTTTATCATATACTAGGCATTCTAGGTATTGTTTAAGCACTTTAAAAATATCAATTCATTTAATTCTGGTAATAACCAATAGTCGATATTGTTATCGCTCTCAGTTTATAGATGAAGCAGCTGAGGCAAAAAGAGATGAAACAACTTGCTCAGCACCACACAGCTAGTGAGGCAGTATGGTTCAGGACCACCTGATTTATACTACCACACTCTGCTGCCCCTCTTATGCTATGTCATCTTACTCATACATAGTATTTGGGATGAGGAGTGTGTAAACCCAACCATGCATTCATTTAACAATTATTTGCTGAATGCCTACCCTTACCCACTTTCGTGGTCAGAGCCTGTGCCCTCATGGGGTTTACCTTCTAATGGACGAGACAGATCATACCCTGTAAGCAGAAAGACCAGTTATCTGTGAGGTGATATAAAGAAAAGGAATGAAGGTAAGGGAGAGAGTGTGATGGGGTAATGAAAGGAGTGTGCAGACAGGGAGTCAGGGGAAGCTTTTCTAAACAGGTGCCATTCGAACAGCAACAGGAATGAAGTGAGCCACGAGGGTATCTAGAAGAACAACATTCCGGGCCCAAGAACCTGCGGGTGCAAATGCCCCAAGATTACAGCGTGACTGGCAAGGTGTAGGAACAGGGAAAAAAAAAAGTATTTTTAAAGGCTCACTAGAACATCAATCTGGAGAATACACTGTTTATTTTTATTTTTGTGGGTACATAGTAGGTGTATATATTTATAGGGTACACAGGATGCTTTGATGCAGACACGCAATGTTTAATAAGCCCATCATGGAAAATGGGGTATCCATCTCCTCAAGCATCACTTTAATTATTTATCCTTTGAGTTACAAGCAATCCAATTACACTCTTTTTAGTTATTTTAAAATATACAATTAAGTTATTACTAACTATAGTATCCCTATTGTGCCATCAAACAGTAGGTCTTATTCATTCTTTCTATTTTTTTGTACCCATTAACCATCTTCCCCCACAACTCCCACTACCCTTGCAGCCTCTAGTAACCATCCCTCTACTCTCTGTGCCCAGGAGTTCAATTATTCTGATTTTTAGATCCCACAAATAAGTAAGAATATGTGAAGTTTGTCTTTCTGTGCCTGGCTTATTTCACTTAACATAATGTCCTCCAGTTCCATCCATGTTGTTGCAAATGACAGGATCTCATTCTTTTTAATGGCTAGATAGTACTCCATTGGGTATATGTACCACATATTCTATATTCATTCATCTATTGATGGGCACTCAGGTTGCTTCCAAGTCTTAGCTATTGTGAAAAATACACTGTTAATGGGGGAAGCGTTAGACCAGAGAAAGGCTGCTGTGATCATGCAGCAAAGGGATAATGGTGATCTGGATGGAGAGGAAACACTACTTGGATTTGGAAAATATTTTGAAGGTAGAACAAAGTGATTTGCTGATGTTATACGTGGGTTGTGAGAGAAAGAAGTCAAGGTTCAATCAAGGTTTTTGGCCTGAGCTACTGGGTGTAGTGGACTGCCATTTGTTGAGTTGTAGAACACTGAAAGAAGCATTCTTGATAGAAAAATGAAGCATTCATTTTGGATAGGTGAAGTTTAAGATGTTAATAGACCTCCCAGTGGAGATGATGGATAGGCAGCAGGATTAGGAGTCTGGATTTCAGAGGAGAGGGCCAGGCTGGAGATACGAGCTGACGTGTCTCCAGTATTCCGTGGTATCAAGAGCTGTTGCAACTAGCCTGGACAGCACGCTCTAGAGCACGTGCAGAGAGGAGCAGATGTTTGAAAACTGAGTTCTGAGGCTTTTCAGTGTTCAGAGATACTGGAAAGGTGGGGAACACAGACAGAGGAACTGAGAAGCATCAGCCAATGATGTAGAAGCTAAATGAGGGAGCCACACAGAAAGAGTGTTTGAAGAAAGGTCACCAAGGAATAAGCTTGTCTCAGGCCTAAGTCCCAGGAGACTGTCAGTGGTTGAAATGAGGAATGGAGGAAATATCTGATCAGAAATGGGCATTTCTATTCCTATGTATCCCTTGCAGTAAAAAAGGTTAGCGCCTTTTGGTTAGGCACTTTCCTACTTTAAAAAATGCACACTTGCTCACTTTTGTCTGTAGGATGAGTCTTAGCTGCTCAGCCTTGTGTTCCACATGCTTCACAACCTGGCTTCATCCCACCTCTTTCCAGCTTCGTCTTTCACAATCCACGACTCCCATCCCAGCCAAACTGCACCCTATTACTCTGGCAGTGTTGAGCTACTTCCTCATTTCTAGTTATCAGTTTGCATAGCTGTGCATTCACTACTGCCATCCCATCTGTCTGGCCTATCATTTCCTCCTCTCATTTTCTAATGAACGGTTGCCCATCTTTAAACTCACAGCTCAGATGTTACCTTCCATGGAAAGCTTTCCCCTGCCACTCCAATAATAAATCTACTGGGTTTTTCTCTTAATACCTTAACAACTTGCTCAGTTATGCTTCTACATTGGCTACAACTCAGTGCACCATATTTATATCCTGGACCATCCATGCCAAATGTGTATTAGCTATCTATTGCTGTGTAACAAACTGCCCCCCAAATTTAGCATCTTGAAACAACAAACATTTATTATCTCATAGTTTCTGAGGTCCGAGAATCTGGGAAAGGCTGAGCTGGGTGGTTCTGACTGGTTTCTCGTGAGGTTGCTATCACAATGTTGGCTGGGCTGCAGCCATCTCAAAACTCAATTTGGGCTGAAGAATCTGCTTCCAAGCTCACACACATGATTGCTAGCAGGCCTCTGTTCCTTGCTGGTCATGGGCCAGAGACTTGCTGCTCACTGTGCAGGCCTTTTTACAGGGCTCTTCTCAACATAGTAGCTTGCTTCATCAGAGCAAGTGATCTGAGAGAAAGACTCCAATACTGAAACCACAATTTTTTTATAAACTAACCTTGGAAGTGACATACCATCACTTCTGCCTTACAATAGTTGTCACACAAATCCATCCTTGTTCAACATGGAAGAAAACTGCACAGGGTGTGAATATCAGGAGGTGAAGCTCTGTAGGGGCCATCTCAGGGGTCCTTTGGCTGGCTGCTGCAAAAGGAGCACACCTGTCTTTTCAACTTCCTCCCCCCACCACTACTTATAGTGAATAGTTGGTGGAAGACACACTCCGTGACGACTGGGGAATTATTAACTGGCTGAACAAAGAAACAGGCCCAGAGAATGGGAAGTAGTGTTGACATTCTGATCCTATTTTCCACCAAAAAATAATGTGCAAAAGGGGGGAGAAAGATCTAATTATCTTTTCATAGATAATTAGAAATGCTTTTATTTCTGTTTTATTGTCTACTCATTTGCATCCACAAACATTTTAAAACTTGTACTTAAGGCACAGATTGAACCAATCACATTGCTGTTCTCTAAACGTTTGAAATAATTTCCAGTGAGAAAATTGAAAATTCTGGTGAGGGGCAGGTGGAGTGGATGTTGAGCAATGTATGAGTAAACAAGGAAAGTAATTTTGGAAAGAAGCATTTACAGATAGAGTGGACCTGGGTGGTATTTGGTGCAGCATACTTGAAGTGAAGATGGCATGAGCTCACTGGGCCCAGAGTTTCCATGGAAAATGGAAATGGAAAGATGCTAAGGAAAACCTTACTTTCTCACAAATATAACATAACATTGTTAAATGTTGTTTCAAATTTTAATTTTAATTTTAAAAGTCAGAAGAAGTGAAAGCATATAATCATCAGGATCAGCTGAATCCTTTTATTGCCCTCTGATGTGCTTCATTGAAACCATATTTCTGCCTCAAGTATCTGGAATTTGTATCACTGGCAGCTGTCACCACCTTTATTTTCTGTGTTTAATTTTCGAAGGGCCCATGCAGTGGTTTTTTTTTGTGAATTCTTAGAAGTTGTAGACACTTTTATTTTCTAAATGAAACAATGCCTCAGTGCCACAGGACACAGAAGGTCTGATTTCATGTTTTTCATCTAAATCAAGTAGAAATTTGGGACTGCTGTCCTTCAGGCACAGACCTGGTTTGGGTAGGGACTGTTGCGTTTTCCTCCAGTGAGAGGATGAGGGATTGGTGGAGCTCATCACCTGGATGATATAGGAACATATTAGTAATATATTAGGAACATATTAGAAATATGAGAGTGTTCTTGAAAGGAAAGCTCAATTGGTTAGATAGACTAAAGTAAGCATGTGCAACACTGGGGAGAAAAATGAAGGTGCGATGAAAGAAGTTTAAAGGAGAAAGTCACAGGAGGAAAAAAAACAATAAAATAAGACAAAGAAAGAAAAAATATCACATGATCTCACTTGTAGGTAGAATCTACAATAGTCAGACTCATACAAGCAGAGTATAATGGTTGTTTTCAGGGAATGGAGGGAGGGGGAAATGGGGAGATGTTGATCAAAGGGTACAAAGTTTCAATTATGCAAGGTAAGTTTTAAAGATATACCCTGCAACATAGGGCCTGTGGTTAACAGTACTGTATCATATATTTATAATTTTGCCAAGAGGATAAGTTTTATGTTAAGTGCTTTTACCAGAAAAGGAAAAACAACAGAAAACAAAGCAAGCAATAAAAGGAGGCAGAAGGAAACTTTTGGAGATACTGGATAAATTTATTGCATTAATTGTTATGATGGTTTCAGAAGTAGATACTTATCTTCAAACACACCAAGTTCTATACATTAAATATATACAGCTATTTATATGTCAATCATATTTCAATAAAGCAGTTTAAAAGCAGTCACAGGAGGGCTAGGAAAAGATAGGCTGGTTTTCCTAATGAGAATAAAATCTGCTATAATGGGGACAAATTCAAGGGGAAAGGTTTTTCTGTTCCCTTTCACATAAAACTTTTAGAAATAGAAATAGAAGTTAGAAAGCAAGAAAAAAATGTTGGAAAACACATAATAATTTGTTTAAAAAATATGGAACTGTCTCTGATAGGATTTACTGACTTGAGCCTTTTGCCCAATTTTTTTAAACAATCATATTTAACTTAGAGCAATAAAAAATATTTTCAAAGGGAAGAAAATGTTTTTAAAGGTTATTTCTATCTATCTATACAGCACAAATCTTACAAAGAACTTTCCTTCCCTATTCTTCTCTATCAGCCCCTGTCACTGGCATATAAAGTAGTGATGATAGAAATGCCTGTCTATTGATTTCTACAAATAAGTTATATAGGGAAGTCTCAAAGTAGAGACTGTATTTGGTCAGCTCTTTATTCTCCAAGCTATTGAATGAATGAATGAATGAATGAATATATGAAATGTGGAAAAATAGTTTGATTATCAAGCTAGCATGCTGTCTGACCATCTTGATGAAGTGGAATTTTAACAAAAAGATTATGAAAGTTTCACAGGTTTATGAATCGCCAACTCTACCTTTCCTGCCCCCTAGAAACTCAAAACGTACAAGGACTGTCATATATATGCAATATATATGCAATCAAATATATTCTTAAGCCCAGTTGCCATTATGCTGTCTTGCTTTTCAGAATCTGGCACCACAATTTATTTGCTTATCTCTCTATACACACACACACACACACACACACACACAGCATTGATGTTTAACAAAAGCAATTCCCTCAAATTCCACAAGAGTTCCAATTTCTTGGGATAAGAAGGGCCTGTACAGTTCTCATCCCATGTGGATAGGATCCCATCTGAAACATCAGCTACCTGTGCCTACAGGCATGGTTCTCACTGGATATTCTCTACCTCAAAGCAGCGTTTTCCTCTTTATTTTCTACAGATAGAAGGATCATCCCCAGCAGCAGCAGTATGTGACCAGCAGGCAAGGAGCACCCGTAGCAGCAGTATGTTACCAAATACTGATTGTAGACTCTGTTTTGCTTTGCTCTGAATATCACCACATATATCCCACCTCTTTGCTTGTTCAAAATATCCTGGGAAATGACAGATGAGCCAGCATTTTATTTGTAACTAGTAAGTTGATTTTGTTGTCACAGTAGGAGGTTTTTTATCAGACTAGGTGCTTTCTTTTCTTTCAATGATTTTTCTAGGATTAAAGAATTGATGCTAAATAAATCCAGCTAGCCTAGTGATCACAAGAACCCTATATGCCTCTCTAAGTATGGATCAATATCTGGCTGTTTTAGGGACTCCCAGCAAGGCAATCAGTAGACTCTCAACCTTGTATGCAGACAGCAGGCCTGATGAAATGATACCCATGTTTATAACATACCCAGGATCTCCTTCTCAACAAGCAGGAATTTGAGCATTGACTATAGGCTACATGTGTGGTAGGTTTCACCCATAGTCCCTATACTGAGAGTGATACAGAAGACAAGTTGGGGTGAAATGGACAATAAAAGCAAGATGTACAGGTCAGAGCTTAGGACAGCCCGTTTAGGCAGAGCGGGAGAATTTAAGTATAAGGCAAGAGTTTGCAACTAGAGAATCAAACCAGAGTATCCAGAAAGACAGGTAGAAACAGCATTTGCTGGAATCATGGCTTAACCACGAGAAATCTGTCTTGGGTTCCTTTAAGCCTTGGGAGGAAACCATGAACAGCAATGAGCTGAATCTGACTCCTCAGTAATAATAACAACAATGAGAACACCTAATGTTATCAAACACTTATTATGTGCCAGAAAGTATGCTAACTACATGACAATGATCTCATTTAGCAGACCAGATTTTATATTTAATTTTAAAACATAGATCTTAAGATACATTTCTATGTAAAAAAAAAAAAAAAAAAAAAAAAAACCAAGGAGTGTGGTTCCTTCTTATGCATTCCTTCCATCACATTACCTTTGGGAATATTTTGATGAATCCTTAATTTTCTGACATGCAGTGATTTTAGATTAGATTTTTAATGTGATGGCGATAGAGCTTTTATGGCCTGTCCTCCTCAGTTGCTTGAGAATGTTCTGGTAAGCTGTTAGTCCTGTACTTGTATGTAATTGTCATTTCTCTGGAAATTAGCTAATATAATCACCAGGAAATCATTTTTTTTTTTTTTTTTTTTTTTTTTGGCTCCTAAATATGTGCCGTTTATCTCATTTCTGGGCTTTTCCTGTAAGAACTTTTAGCTCTTATTAGCTGTTATTTAAATGTTACTAGTACCTCTATGACAACTTCTATTCCAGCACATCATTTTGGTTGGCTTTAAAAGGTTTAGGGTTTTTTTTCCGTAGGATTTTTGAT